>NC_000019.10:49740874-50365874 GCF_000001405.40 Homo sapiens
ACTCTGTCTCCAAAAAAAAAAAGGCCGGGCGCAGTGGCTCACGCCTGTAATCCCAGTACTTTGGGAGGCTGAGGCAGGCGGATCACGAGATCAGGAGATCGAGATCATCCTGACTAACACGGTGAAACCCTGTCTCCACTGAAAACACAAAAAATTAGCCAGGTATGGTGGCAGGCGCCTGTAGTCCCAGCTACTTGGGAGGCTGAGGCAGGAGAATAGCGTGAACCCAGGAGGCAGAGCTTGCAGTGAGCCGAGATTGCGCCACTGCACTCCAGCCTGGGCGACAGAGCGAGACTCCATCTCAAAACAAACAAACAAACAAACAAAAAACAGTCCTTAGTGCCCTGGTTCTCTACGTACAACTGCACCAAGCCCCATTTCCTCTCATGTATTAGTCCTATAGCTCGGCCACATCAATGTCCCACAGTGCCTCACTTGTCTGTCTCACCCACTACAACATAATCCTATAGTACATTAGGTCAATATCCCATAATACAGTGCACTAGGGCTCAAGTTCCACCAACTATTGGGCTGAGTGTGTTGTGCAATGCCCCAGGAAGAGCTGTGGTTCCATTTCCCATAACGCATCAGCTAACTGGGGCCTACAGTCACTGGGTCTCCTATTTTACCTCAATATAGCTGACCCCAATGATCTTGTACAATGCACCGCCTCTCTAAAAGTTTAGAGAAAATCAGGCCTATGTTCCATGAAGCTTTAGACTGGTGTCTGTCTCGTGTCCCACAATGCACTAGATCCAACGTCCTATCATGCTTTAGGCCCAAGTCCATCTTCCGAGGTAGCGTAATGATTGGCCTGTGACTCACTCACCACCAAACTGCTTGTCCATCTCCCCATGCATTAGGGCCAAGTCCTCCCCCAGTGCCTGCTGCTCCCAGCTCAGCCCTTCCCCTTCTGCCACACACCAGCAGTACCCTTGAGTCCGGGGTTCCCCTCCCCTTGCCCCAACAGAAAAGTAAAGTGGGACATGGTGGCCCATATTCCCTGGTACCAGAATCTTCTTGTGTAGCCTCTGACAGCTGGGACAGGCAGGAGTCAGGCCCCTCTGCTTCACCTCGTCCACTAGTGAGGTCAGTGCTCGGTCCAGCAGCTGCTGCAGGGACTCCGTAGACAACTGCGACCCCTGGCTGGGGGAGGGGCGGTCACCAGATAAAGAGGCCCAGTACCAACTCCAGGACGCCCCATGCCCCATGCTCACCTGTGGAGCCTCCATTTGGCCTCGTTTCCAGTATGCACCCTATGCAACCTTCCCAGCATGCACTGTGCACCAGCTGTCCCTTGGTTTCCATGGTGCTCTGGGGATCACTACTCCTTTTTTTTTTGAGACGGAGTCTGGCTCTGTTACCCAGGCTGGAGTGCAGTGGCGCAATCTTGGCTCACTGCAACCTTCACCTACCGGGTTCAAACAATTCTCCTGCGTCAGCCTCCCAAGTAGTTGGGACTACAGGCATGTGCCGCCACATCCGGCTAATTTTTGTATTTTTAGTAGAGACGGGGTTTCACCATGTTGGCCAGGATGGTCTTGATCTCCTGACCTCGTGATCTGCCCACCTCGGCCTCCCAAAGTGCTGGGATTACAGGCATGAGCCACCGGGCCCGGCCCTTTTTTTTTTTTTTTTTTTTGAGATGGAGTCTCGCTCTGTCACCCAGGCTGGAGTGCAGTGGCACCATCTTGGCTCACTGCAACCTCTGCCTCCTGAGTTCAGCGATTCTCCTGCCTCAGCCTCCTGAGTAGCAGGTATTACAGGCACCCGCCAGCACGCCTAGCTAATTTTTGTGTTTTTAGTAGATATGGGGTTTCACCATGTTGGCCAGGCCGGTCTTAAACTCCTGACCTCCGGTGATCCTCCCACTTGGCCTCCCAAAGTGCTGGGATTACAGGCGTAAGCCACCACGCCCAGCCAGAGTCACTATTCCTAAGGGCACCAGACAGCCCTCAGTTTGCAAAGGCCGTCAAGAACTAACATTTCCCATAATACACTAGTGAAACTCGATTTCATGTTGTACTGTGAGTCCCCCTTTCCTACAATGGACCTTCCCACAATGGGCCAAAAATGGTGTATCCCTCGGCTCTCACAATACACCAAGGTCTCACTTCCCCCTCAGTGCACTGAAACCCTGCCTCTCCTCATGTTCACATCCCAGCCTTCCCACAATGCACTGGAAATATGATGCTTAAAATGTACTAAGTGTTTTTTTTTTTTTGAGATGGAGTCTTGCTGTCGCCCAGGCTGGAGTGAAATGGCACGATCTTGGCTCACTGCACCCTCCACTTCCCAGGTTCAAGAGATTCTTTGGCCTCAGCCTCCCAAGTAGCTGGGATTACAGGTGCTCACCACCACACCCAGCTAATTTTTGTATTTTTAGTAGAGATGGGGTCTCACCATGTTGGCCAGGCTGGTCTCAAACTCCCGACCTCAGTGATCTGCCCGTCTTGGCCTCCCAAAGTGCTGGGATAACAGGTGTGAGCCACTGCGTCCACCCTTTTTATTTTATTTTTATTTTATTGAGACACAGTTTCACTCTACCTACTAGGCTGGAGTGCAGTAGCGTGATCTCGGCTCACTGCAACCTCCGCCTCCCGGGTCCAAGTGAATTTCTTTTTTTTTTTTTTTTTTTTTTGAGATGGAGTCTCACTCTGTCTCCCAGGCTGGAGTGCAGTGGCATGATCTCAGCTCACTGCAAGCTCCACCTCCCGGATTTACGCCATTCTCCTGCCTCAGCCTTCCTAGTAGCTGGGACTACAGGCACCCGCCACCACGCCCAGCTAATTTTTTTTTGTATTTTTAGTAGAGACGGTGTTTCACCATGTTAGCCAGGATGCTCTTGATCTCCTGACCTTGTGATCTGCCTGCCTTGGCCTCCCAAAGTGCTGGGATTACAGGCATGAGCCACCGCGCCCAGCCTGGTCCAAGTGAATTTCATGCCCCAACTTCCTGAGTAGCTGGGATTACAGGCACGCGCCACCACGCCCAGCTAATTTTTGTATTTTTAGTAGATACGGGGTTTCACCACGTTGGCCAGGCTAGTCTCGAACTCCTGACACCAAGTGATCCGCCCACCTTGGTCTCCCGAAGTGCTGGGATTACAGGCGAGAGCCACCGCGCCCGGCCTGTACCAAGTTTCTCTTGAGTTCCACAAGACACTGATTCTACCTTGTAGAGTGGGAACAAATGAGGCTTCTAGTGCAGCAGGACCGGCTGTTTCTACAATGCACTGGGATACCTTGTCTCCCAAAATGAACAGCGCCCCACCCTTCACTAATGTCCCATCTCCTTCCGCATCTCCTTTAATGTCCTATCCACAAGGCTCCCAGAGGCAAGCCCAGCCCCGTTACCTGGCACAGCGGGCACAGTTGCCTTGGTGGGACCGATCCAGGTTCATGGAGAGGTCAGGCCCTCTTCGAGAGTTCTGAAATTGCCGCCCGAACTCCTCCAGAATGGGTTTCAGTGGGCCCAGCCCCTCCAGTTCGCTCCTCAGTGAAGCCACAGACACTGCTGACCGCTCCACCCTGAGGCATGAGTAACCAGTGCTGCTGGGTCGTCTCTTCAGCGGTATAACCCTGGCAAGACTCCACCCATTATTAGCCCACCACTTGCGTCTCCATCTGGTCAGCAATTCTCCACCCTGCCCTCCCCTCTCTGCTCTGACTGGCCTCACTTTTTGTATTTTACTTTATGTTATGTTATTTATCTGTTGACTATTTTGAGCCAGGGTCTGGCTCTGTGGCCCAGGCTGGAGTGCAGCAGCACCATCATAGCTCTCTGAAGCTTTGAACTCCTGGGCTCAAGCGATCACTCCTGCCTCAGCCTCCCGAGTGGCTAGGACTACCAGGGTGCGACACCACACCACTCCCAGCTAATTTTTAAATTGTTTGTAGAGATGGGGTCTCCGCTATGTGGCCCAGGCTTGTCTTGCACTCCTGGCCTCAAGTAATCCGCCCACGTCGGCCTCCCAATGTGCTGGGATTATAGATGTGAGCCACCTCACTGGGCCACCTTTTGTAGATTACTGTTTGGAATGCCCCTCCTAGTTCTCTTAATTGATTTTCTCGGATCCCACTTGACCCCACCCTTTGCCCTTTTAAGGTATAGACCACACCCCTTCTCTAATTGATTCCACCCCTCAGGCCTTATTAGGGCTGATGCAACCCTTCCTGCTCTCTAATTGGTGTTTCCCGATGTCGGTATATGTTCCGGAATGCCTGGCCATAGCTGATTGGCCTACCCATTTCCCTCAAGACCCCGCCCTCAGGTTGGGATTGCCCTGCCCCTTCCGGTCTTCCCATGCACTGGCCCCAATCCTCACATGGTGCACAGCTCATCCGCCCGACCTCGCAGCTCCTGCAAGTCCCGCGCCGTCTGTGCCTGTTCGCGCTGTGCCCGCTCCCACTGGCCTAGGAAGCCGTCGACCCTGCCGCCCAGGCCCCCGAGCAGCCGCAGGGCTTCCTGCACCGCCCCCTCCTCCTGATGCCACCGGGCGGTCAGTGAGGACACCTCTCTCCTGGAGGGGCAGAGGAGGGGAATGGGTAGGGGCTAGGCTTCAACAGGTCCCCACCTACCCCCACGAGATAGGTGGGACAGGACTCACCTATCTCGCCCCACTGAGACCATGCCCGTGGCTCCAGACCCACCCAGGTCACCAAATTTTATTGCACCCTCCATTTGGTGAAATTTGGTCGTGTCCTCCAGAGCCCCGCCTTTATCCCCTTCCTTTATTGGCTATCTTGGCCCTTTCCTGGTCAGGTCCCCAACCTCTACCTGGGCTCCTCCAGACACTGGCCCCCCAAGGCACTGCCCACCCTACTCTGCCCCACGTGGTGCCTCCAGGACCACTCCTCTCCTAAGCCCCGCCCACCTCAGTTTCACCAGGCCTGGACCTGCCTCCCAGCAGCCCAGAACTAAAAAGTTCCTTATTCTGTCCCTCCCTTGCTCAGGTCACTGCCTTCGGGGCACTCCCTCCTCTGCTCTTGGAGACCCCAGCCTTGTCGCCTTCCGGTTAAGATCTAGGCCGGGCGCGGTGGCTCACGCCTGTAATCCTAGCACTTTGGGAGGCCGAGGCGGGCGGATCACGAGGCCAGGAGATCGAGGCCATCCTGGCTAACACGGTGAAACCCCGTCTCTACTAAAAATACAAAAAAATAGCCAGGCGTGGTGGCGGGCGCCTGTAGTCCCAGCTATTGGGGAGGCTGAAGCAGGAGAATGGCGTGAACCCGGGAGGCGGAGCTTGCAGTGAGCCAAGACGGCGCCACTGCACTCCAGCCTGGGCGACAAGCGAGACTCCGCCTCAAAAAAAACAAAACAAAACAAAAAACGATCTTTGAGGAACCTCCCCTGTGTCCCCGCCCACCGCAGCTCCTGGAGACTCCTCCCGTGTCTCTACCCACCTTCGTTCCTCGAGGCTCCTCCCATGTTCCCGCCCACCTCAGGTCCCCGAGGCTCCACCCATGTCACCGCCCACCTCAGCTACTTGAGAACCCCCGTCCCTTGGGTCCCGCCCACCGCATCTCCTCGAGGCTCCACCCCTGAGTCCCCGCCGATCTCGTTTTCGAGGCTCCGCCCCTAGGTCCCGCCCACCTCAGCTCTTCGATGCCGGTGAACAGCTTCTGCAATTCCTGCTCGCTCACGTAGGGGCCCTCGCCAGCCCGAGGCCCCATTCCCCAGCCTGCGGGGACCAGGCCGTGTGGCCGCGAGGGTTTGTCGGGACTCCCTGGCGGGCCGGGGCAGCCCTGGGACGTGGCGGCGGGGCCCAGGCTGTTCCAGGAGAGGCCAGCCTCCGGCTTCTGCTTCTCCTCCGGCTCCTGCTTCTCCTCCGGCTCCTGCTTCTCCTCCGGCTCCTGCAGCTCGGCCTCCTGCCGTCGCGGCGTCTCATCCTGCAGCTGCTGCTGGAGGTAGCGCAGCTTCTCCTGGGTGGTAAGGGAGGACGGGGTCACAGCGTCCAGCCGCTTTCCTCCCGCAACCACCTCCACCCCAAAATCCGCTCCAGTACTCCCCGAGATTGGAAGTAGAACGCCTGTGGGGACAGTATGTTGGAAGTCTCACTGGCTGTCATTAGGGAGGGGAGGCACCATTTGAGGCCCAGTTGGACTCCAATTCCCGCTAACCTCCCACAGCCTGCCTCCAGGTATCCACCCGGCCCTCCAAGCCCTCCAGGCGTCAAATACCAGTCCCGGCCACTTGGCAAGAACAACTGAAGCTTTCTCAGCATTTTGTTGGAAAATGAGTGGGCATGTGGACAGGACGGGCCTTCTCACCTGAAGTCCAGCTCGATTCTCTTTCTGGGACCTGAATGTGACTGCAGGGCAAGAGTCCCCCATCTGGGTGTTGGAGCCTCATTTGAATCCCTCTTATCAGCGAGTTCTAAGGATGACTATGTGCACGAAGGTGCAGTGTGGTGGTGGTGTCGGGGCAGGGAGTTCCACCTAAAAGTGTATCTTGAGTCCCTCGTGCATCTGACCTCCTCCCACAAATCCTGGGACTGCCCCCTAGCCCTTACCTCCAGCAGGGCAGAATTCTGCTTCAAGACGTTGGTTTTGATTTCAGCATCTTCCACAGACCGGGTCACCTTCCAGCAGTTCTCCTGGGTCAGACACCAGGGCGAGGGCCCTGCCTTCCCATTCCAGTTCTGCCTCCCAACCCTTAGCCTGTCTGTTTCCATCCAGGCTCCAGGCCTCCTAGCCCCCCAGTACAAGACACACTCACCAGCTCATTTCCTTGGCTAAGGGGATGGCTTCCTCCTTAGCCAGATGTGCCAGAGTGGCACCCCTCCACTTCCTCCCACCTCTCTTCGGTCCACCCATTCCATTTCTCCTCTTTCTTTTCTTTTTTTCTTTTGAGACTGAGTCTCGCTCTGTCGGCCAGGCTGGAGTGCAGTGGCGCAATCTTGGCTCACTGCAACTTCCACCTCGTGGATTCAAGCAATTCTTCTGCCTCAGCCTCCCAAGTAGCTGAGATTACAGGCGCCCGCCACCACACCTGGCTAATTTTTGTATTTTTAGTAGAGATGGGGTTTCACCATGTTGGCCAGGCTGGTCTCAAACTCCTGACCTCAGGTGATCTGCCTGCCTCGGCCTCCCAAAGTGCTGGGATTACAGATGTGAGCCACTGCACCCAGCCTCCTCCCCTCTTTCTCCCACCCTCTTCTTACTCCCATTCCCCTCTCCCCATCCATTCCTGCGTCCCACTGGCTCACCTTGAGTTGAATGCAGTACCCCTCCAACTCTTCTGCCTCTTGCCGCCTTCTCTCCAGATTCTCGCTCAGCACAGAACACTCGCTCTGGAGCATGGAAGGAGGAGAGGTTAGCCAAGGACACGAGGGGACAGCCTGTGGAAAAGAAGATCTGGGCCTGGGAAGGTTCCTTTTCTTTCTGAGCCTCAAGCTCCCCAACTGAGCTATGGGTGCATTCTGCTGGAGGCAGGCTCCAAGAAGGGAACTTGGCCCTGGAGGAAGGGCAGGTGTTGGATATAGGGGGTCCTCACACCTGCAGAGACTGCACGTGCTGGTTAACCCGGTTGGTCTTTTCCTTCAAGCTGGTGATGGAGTCTTTGGCGCGGACCAATCCACTGTTGACCCCACTCTGGGGAAGAATGGGAGACAGGTGAGTTAGTGGGTATGTGGGGGCAAGCCCCAAGCCCAGGAAGAATTCCAGAACTGGGAGGCTGTGTTTACACCTTGATTTTGCCCTGGAATGGCTATGTGACTTGGAGCCAAGGGCTATACCTCTGATTCTTAGCATTCCTGCGCGGCAAACCCAGGGCATAAACGACCTTTCTTCATGGTGGGCTGGGAGAAAAATAGGATCCAGGAGGGAAAGGGGGATGGAGGTGGGGTGCTCAGACATGTGGAGGAAGAAGGATGGACTCAACCAAACACTGAGCTAAATGTCCTTGGGGGCCAGGTGCCGTGGCTCACTCTGGTAATCCCAGCACTTTGGGAGGCCGAGGTGGGTGGATCACTTGAGGTCAGGAGTTCAAGACCAACTTGGCCAACATGGTGAAACCCCAACTCTACTAAAAATACAAAAATTAGCTAGGCGTGGTGGTGCCTTTAATCCCAGCTACTTGGGAGGCTGAGGCAGGAGAATTGCTTGAACCTGGGAAGCAGGGGCTGCAGTGAGCTGAGATTGCACCACCGTACTCCAATCTGGGCGACAGAGCGAGTCTCCGTCTAAAGAAAAAAAAAAGTCCTTGGGGTCCACAGCTTAAAAAGAGAAACTTTGAAAACACATGCCCTTTCTCTCCAGGAACTGGTGAATTACAAAGGAAGCCACTTTTCAGATATGAACACTTGCTATGCACCAAGCACTTGTCTTGTCTTTTATTCTTCACAACTCCGCCTCTTGAGGTTATTTGGCCTATTTTACAAGTGAGACAAATGGGTCTCAGAAATGGGATATCCCTTGTCTTCCCAAGCACTCAGCACATTAGGTGATCTCATCAGAATCTAGATTCAGAACGCTTGTTTTAAACCATGACACCATGTGGCCTCTGGTCATCATTACTTTATATCACATAAAGTGTTGTGCGACTCCTGCCAATCCGTGGTTCAGGAGGGATGCATGTGGTAGGATCCATTCTCCCAGCTTGGACAGTTACAGAAGCCTTAGCCTGGCACATGACTGCCCAACCAGAGACTACATTTCCCAGGTTTCCTTGCAGCTAGGTGTGGCCATGTGACTAAGTTCTGGCCAATGGAATGTGAGTGGAAATAATGTAGTCAATTTATTTTTGGGGGAGGTGTGTGTGTGTGGGGGGTCTCTCATTATTACCCTGGCTGGTGTGGAGCGGTACTATCATAGCTCACCAGCTCCTGGGCTGAAATGATCCTCTTGCCTCAGCCTCCCAAGTTGCTAAGAGTATAGGTGCTTGCTACCATGCCCAGCAAAATTTTAAGATGTTTGGTATAGATGGGTTCTCACTACGTTACCCAAGCTGGCCTCAAACTCCTGGGCTCAAGTGATCCTTTTGTGTCTGCCTGTAAGTGTTGGTCTTACAAGCATGAGCCACTGTGCCCAGCCTCCTTTTTTCTCTCTCTTTTATTTATTTTTTTTTTTAGCCTACATCATTACTTAGACTGTGCAGAATTATAGTCAATTTCTGAGTCATCCCTTATAGGAAAAGAGTGAGAACTTTCCCTTTTTCTCTCATTTCACTGGAATGCACAATTGAGGGCTGTCTTGGACCAGCAGATAGAGGACACAATGAAACAGAAGAAGCCTGAATCCTTGACATGGAGCCACCATACTCCATTCCAACCACCTGTGAAGACTTTCAGGGTGAGACATTACATCTTCTGTGTTATTCAAGCTGTGTTATTTTGTGTTTTTTTGTTACAGTAGTCAAATGTATAACTTCAATATCATTGACATTCTTTTTTTTTTTTTTTTTGACAGAGTCTTGCTCTTTTGTCAGGCTGGAGTGCAGTGGCATGATCTCGGCTCACTGCAACCTCTCACTCCCAGGTTCAAGCCATTCTCCTGCTTCAGCCTCCCGAATAGCTGGGACTACGGGCGTGCACCACCACACCAGGCTAATTTTTTGTATTTTAGTAGAGACAGGGTTTCACCATGTTGGCCAGGATGGTCTTGATCTCCTGACCTCGTGATTCACCCACCTCGGCCTCCCAAAGTGCTGGGATTACAGGCGTAAGCCACCGTGCCCGGCCTATCATTGACATTCTTATTTCACACCTGAAGGAAAAGAGACCCAGAGAGCCCTCTGCCAGCTGTTTATGACCAGTTCCAGCCGATGGAAGGGAAGTGGGCACTGGTCGATGTGTGGAAAAGACAGGCATGATCTCTTCCCCTGTTCCCCCTGCTTAATGGCTGGAAGGCAGTGGCGAGAGCAACTGTCTAGAAATGGCTGAGCAACCAGAACGTAGACACCTGTAACCTGCTGCATTTGAAGAGCAGAGCTACTAAGCTTATCAAGCATTTTATGTGCAAAAAAGCAGTTCTCTTGGTTTCTCTCATGGTTGCTGAACTAATACACAAAAGATAGACAGAATAAGTTTCCTCCCTTGTGAGATGGAGGCAGCAACACATTTCTTGCATGATTGCTCTGGGGAAGAAGTGGAATAAGAAATATTGTATCCAGTTAACAACAGCAAAATGGTGGATTAAATAATTCAGGCCGGGCACAGTGGCTCACACCTGTAATCCCAGCACTTTGGGAGGCCGAGGTGGGTGGATCACTTGAGGTCAGGAGTTCGAGACCAGCCTGACCAACGTGGTGGAGCCCCGTCTCTACTAAAAATACAAAAATTAGCCAGGCGTGGTGGCAGGCAGTTGTAATCCCAGCTACTTGGGAGGCTGACACAGGAGAATCGCTTGAATCCAGGAGGCGGAGGTTGCAGAGAGCCTAGATGGCGCCATTGCACTCCAGCCTGGGCGACAACGAGATTCCATCTCAAAAAAAAAAAAAAAAAAAAAAAGGAATTCAAAAATTCCACCCCTCCATAAAAACAATGAAAAAACTAACAAAAACCATAAGAAGCAGTTTGTTCACAATTCTGGAAATTAACCAAAGGCTTGCAGCAACTCAAAGAGCATTTATTCAAGAAAAGTGACTCTCGATAAAAAACGGCAAGACTTGAGGAATTTTAACTTATCCTAGTCCTATCTCCCACTCCCTAGCTCAGCAGGAACCCTGGAAAATAACAGCCCACATTTCCCACAGGGAGGAAGCAGAATGAAGCTAGAACTCATTCAAAGCCTCATAACCCAAAGAAGAGTCATTCTATGATTGTTAAGTGATGCCTGGGAAGACCCCACACAGAATATTTGTCTTTCCTTTTCAGAACTGGCAAAGCCGTGAAAGCATCTCTGATAGTTGAAGGAAAGATTTGGATGTTTGTCCTCTCCAAATCTCATGTTAAAATGTCATCCCTTGCCAGGCACAGTGGCTCACACCTGTAATCCCAGCACTTTGGGAGGCTGAGGCAGGAGGTTCACTTGAGCTCAGGAGTTTGAGAGCAGCCTGGACAACATGGTGAGACCCCAACTCTACAAAAAAAAAAAAAAAAAAAAAAAAAGTAGCCAGGTGTGGTGGTGTGCACCTGTAGTCCCAGCTCCTCAGGAGGCTGAGGTTGAAGAATCGCTTGAACCTGGGAGGTGGATGTTGCAGTGAGCCGAGATTGCGCCACTGCACTCCAGTCTGGATGACACTGAGATCCTGTCTCAAAAACAACAACAAAAAAATGTAACTCCCAGGCTGAGCGTGGTGGTTCACACCTGTAATCCCAGCACTCTGGGAGGCCAAGGTGGGCAGATCACCTGAGGTCAGGAATTCAAGACTAGCCTGGCCAACATGGCGAAAGCCCGACTCTACTGAAAATACAAAAATTCGCCAGGAATAGTGATGCATGCCTGTAGTCCCAGCTACTTGGGAGGCTGAGGCAGGAGAATCGCTTGAACCCGGGAGGTGGAGGTCGCAGTGAACCGAGATCATGCCACTGCTCTCCAGCCTGGGCAACAGAGCAAAACTCCATCTCAAAAAAAAAAAAAAAAAAAACTTGTGTGGCATCTCCTTGCTCCTGCTCTTGCCAGGTGATATGCTGGCTCCATCACCTTTTGCTATGAGGCCCTCACCAAAAGCTGAGCAGATGTTGGCACCATGTTTATCAGATAGCCTGTGAACCATAAGCCAGTTAAACCTCTTTTATTTATACCCAGCCTTGAGTATTCCTTTATAGCAATGCAAGAATGGACTAACATGGAGTGGGAGAGGGAACATTTGTAAAGAAAAAAAAATTTTACGCTTGTTTTAATGTTGCTACTGCCGAAGGCAATGGATAACAGTTGGGGTAAACAATAAAAAGCAAAAAATCTTAAAAGGAAAATCTGATGGACATATCTGTAGAAGCCTTGAAATGTTCCAACAAATTCCTGGGAATGTAGAAAGCCATTGGCCTGTGTAGGGTTGTGTACATGCTTGGGAAAGTTCTGAGAAGGCCCCAAGCTTTTCACCTCTGGCTGACCTTGAAACCTTGAAACGCTGCACAAGCAGGAAGGGAAGGCTAAGGTAGAGTTGTAAATTGTCTGAGTGTTAAAGGTGTGCCTCATCAGGCACACAGAGTGCCATTTGGCAAAGACTAGAAGATTTTGTTGTTGTTCCAGTTTAAGGAAATGTCTCTCCAATCATTAGCTAACCACTAAAATTAGAGAACAGAGACTTCAGTGGCCAAACATGACAAAGAACACAGATATTACAGAAATAGTTCAGAAAAGTCTGTTTTTTAAAAAGCAACTACAGGCCAGGTGCAGTAGCTCACACCTGTAATTCCAACAATTTGGGAGGATGAGGTGGGAGGACTGCTTGAGCCCAGAAGTTCAAGACCAGCCTGAGCAACATAGTAAAACCTAATCCCTTAAAAAATAGTAATAAAATAGGCCGGGCGTGTTGGCTCATGCCTGTAATCCCAGCACTTTGGGAGGCCGAGGCGGGTGGATCACGAGGTCAGGAGATCGAGACCATCCTGGCTAACATGGTGAACCCCGTCTCTACTAAAAAATACAAAAAATTAGCTGGACGTGGTGGCGGGCGCCTGTAGTCCCAGCTACTCGGGAAGCTGAGGCAGGAGAATGGTGTGAACCCGGGAGGCGGAGCTTGCAGTGAGCCGAGATCGCGCCATTGCACTCCAGCCTGGGCAACAAAGCAAGACTCCATCTCAATAATAATAATAATAATAATAATAATAATAATAAAATAAAATTAGCTGAGCTTGGTAGTGCACACCTGTAGTCCCAGCTACTCAGAAGGCTGAGGCAGGAGGATCCCTTAAGCCTGGGAGTTAGAGGCTGCAGTGGGCCACAATCATGCCACTGTACAGTGGCCTGGGCAACAGAGCAAGATCATGTCTCAAATAATAATAAAAATAAATAAATAAAAATAATAAAATAAAAAGCAACTATAACAAGCAATAATAACAACAAATCCTTATGAGTGGGGAGAATCTGTTTCTAGGGTTGCTACATTATGATACTTTATTTTTTATTGTATTTTTTTTTTTTGAGACAGAGTCTCCCTCTGTCCCCCAGGCTGGAGTGCAGTGGCATGATCTCGGCTCACTGCAACCTCTGCCTCCTGGGTTCAAGCGATTCCCCTGCCTCAGCCTCCCCAGTAGCTGGGACTACAGGCACCCGCCACCACGCCTGGCTAATTTTTGTATTTTTAGTAGAGATGGGGGTTTCACCATATTGGTCAGGCTGGTCTCGAACTCCTGACCTCAGGTGATCTGCCTGACTTGGCCTCCCAAAGTGCTGAGATTACAGGCGTGAGCCACCGTTCCCTGCTACATTATGATACTTTAAATGGCCAGTTTTCAGGCCAGGCACGGTGGCTCACACCTGTAATCTCAGCACTTTGGGAGGCCAAGGCAGGTGGATCACCTGAGGTCAGGAGTTTGAGACCAGCCCAGCCAACATGGTTAAACCCCGTCTCTGCTAAAAATCCAAAAATTAGACAGGCATGGTGGTGCACACCTGTAATCCCAGCTACTGGGGAGGCTGAGTCAGGAAAATCGCTTGAACCTGGGAGTCAGAGGTTGCAGTGAGCCAAGATCATGCCGCTGCACTCAAGCCCGGGTGATAGAGTGAGACTCCATCTCAAAAAAAATAAAAAATAAAAAATGGCCAGTTTTCAACAAAAAAGTTATAAGGCATGCAAAGAAAAAAAACTATGGCCTATACAATGGAGGACAAACAAGCAGTCAAGAGAAACTGTTCAGGGGTAGGATGGCGGGGGCAGATTTGGACTTACTAGGCAAACACTTTAAATCAGCTACTTTAAATATGTTCGAAGTGCTAAAGGAAACCATTCCTAAATAACTAAAGGAAATTGAGAGAATAATGTCTCACCAAATAGGGCATATCACTAAAGAGACAAACATTATTAAAAGAAACCAAATAGAAATTATAGGGTTGAAGGGCCAGGCGCAATGGCTCACACCTGTAATCCCAGCACTTTGGGAGGCCAAGGCAGGCGGATCACGAGGTCAAGAGATCAAGAACATCCTGGCCAACAAGGTGAAACCCCGTCTCTACTAAAAATACAAAAATTAGCCGGGGATGGGGTGTGCACCTGTAGAGCCAGCTACTCGGGAGGCTGAGGCAGCAGAATCGCTTGAACCCAGGAGGCAGAGGTTGCAATGAGCTGAGATCACACTACTGCACTCCAGCCTGGCAACAGAGAGAGACTCCGTCTCAAAAAAGAAATTCTAGGGTTGAAAAGTACAATAACCAAAGTGAAAAATGTACTAGAGGGGGCTCTGTAGCAGAATAATGATTCAGTGAACTTGAACATAGCTCAACTTTGATTATCCAGCCTGAGAAACATGAAAACAAAAAGAATGAAGAAGAATGAATACAGCCTCAGAGACCTATGGATCTGGGAGTCCCAGAAGGAAAGAAAGGGGCAGAAAGAATATTTGAAGAAATAATGGTTGAAAACTTCCAAAACTTGATGATTTGAACATAAATCCACACATCCAAGAAGCCAAATGAACTCCAAATAGGCTCCAGGGGCCGGGCCAAGTGACTCACTGCTGTCATCCCAGGACTTTGGGAGGCTGAGGAGGGTGTATTACTTGAGACCAAGAGCTCAAGACCAGCCTGGCCAACATAGCAAAACCCTGTCTCATAAAAAACAACAATAAGAAGGCTGGACATGGTGGCTCACACCTGTATTTCCAGCACTTTGGGAGGCCAAGATGGGAGGATCGCTTGAGCCCAGGAGTTTGAGACCAGCCTGGGCAACAAAGTAACACCTGCGTCTCTAAAAATAAAAATGAAAATAAAAACACTTTTAAAATAGGATAAAATGGGCCAGGTGGCTGGGCTTGGTGGCTGATGCCTGTAATCCCAGCACTTTGGGAGGCCAAAGTGGGTGGATTATGAGGTTAGGAGTTTGAAACCAGCCTGGCCAAGATGGTGAAACCCTGTCTCTACTAAAAATGCAAAAATTAGCCTGGCGCGGTGGTAGGCACCTGTAGTCCCAGCTACTTGGGAGGCTGAGGCAGGAGAATCGCTTGAACCTGGGAGGCGGAGGTTGCAGTGAGCCGAGATCGTGCCATTGCATTCTAGTGTGGGCGACAGAGCGAGACTCCATCTCAAAAAAAAAGAAAAGAAAGAAAGAAAACCACAGACCAATATCCTTTATGAATATGGTCACAAAAATCATCAACGAAATACTAGCAAACCAAATCCAACAGCATGTAAAAAGGATTATACATGGTGACCAACTGGGAATTATCCCAGGAATGCAAGGTTGGTTCAACATACTAAAATCAACCAATGACTGGGCATGGTGGCTCATCCCAGCAATTTGAGAAGCTGAGACAGGAGGATCACCTGAGGCCAGAAATTCTAGACCAGCCAGGTCAACATAGTGAGACTCCATCTCTACCAAAAAATTTAAAAATTATCTGGGTACAGTGGCATGTGCTTGTGGTCTCAGCTCCTTGGGATGCTGAGGTGGGAGGACTGTTTGAGCCCAGGAGGTTGAGGCTGCAGTGAGCTATGATGGCACCATTGCACTCCAACCTGGGCAATGGAGCAAGACTCTGTCTCTAAAAACAAATAAATGTTACATACCATATTAATAGAATAAAAGGGAAAAAAAACACATGATCATGTCAGTTGAGAAAAAGCTTTTGACAAAATACCACTCATGATTAAAAAAAAAAAAACACTCCACAAACTAGAAATAGAAAGGAAGAAAGGAACTTCCTCATCCCAATAAAGGGCAGCTACAAAAATCCCACAAAATGTGATAGTTTAAAATATGTCCATAAATTCTTTCACATTCCTTTAAAACGTGGAGCCTTATTTGCCTCACTTGAGTATGAGCTGGACTTGGTGACTCACACCCAGGAAATAGAATAAGGCAGGCTAGTTGTGGTGGCTCATGCTTGTAATCCCAGCACTTTGGGAGGCCGAGGCAGGTGGATCACCTGAGGTCAGGAGTTCAGGACCAGCCTGGCCAACATGGTGAAACCCTGTTTCTACAAAAAATACAAAAATTAGCTGGGCATGGTGGTGCACACCTGTAATGCCAGCTACTCAGGAGGCTAAGGCAAGACAATTGCTTGAACCTGAGAGGCACAGGCTGCAGTAAGCCGAGATTGCGCCACTGCACTCCAGCCTAGGTGACAGAGACTCTGTCTCAAAAAATAAAAAAATAGAATAAAGTAGAATTGATGATATGTGAGGTAAGAGACTACTTCATAAGAGGAACTGTTTCTTATTTGCTCTCTCTTCATCTAGGGAACGATAGCCTCAATGTCATAAGCAGCCACCTATGAAGAGGCCCATGTAGCAAGGAATTGAGGCCTCCAGCCAAGGGCAGGTGAGTGCCCCATTTTGGTAGCACAACCTCTGGCCCCAGTCCAACCTTCAGGTGACTGCAGCCCCAGCCAAAATCTTGTTTGCAACCTCGTGAGACGCCCTGAGCCAGGCCCACCCAGCTGAGCCCCTCCAAGTTTGTTGTTTGAAGTTTTGGTGTAATTGGTTTCACAGCAATAGAAAGCATTACACAAAGTGTCTTTCTAACCTGAAGACTCAGAAGGTCTTGGGTTTCCTGTGGGTAATTGTTCTGGAAACCAAGGCAACAGGACCTAGGGCCAACTAATTTCTCCCAGTTACTAGCCGTATGACCTCATGGAGAGGACTTCACCTCTCTGTGCCTCTGCTTCCCTACCTGTGAAATGGAGATATAACTAACAACTACCTTCACAGGGTTCCCATTGTCCTTCCTCCTACCTGGAAACTGACACTCTCTCAACCAGGGTCTCCATCACCGCCTGGTTCTCTGTCCCCCTCTTTCCAGTTCTCTGTCCCCACCCAGCCCCTGTGTCTGTTCCTTCTCTCTCTGGGTCTCTATCCCCCTCCTCTATTTCTGGTCTTCTGTCTCACCCTGATTCAGCTCTGTCCCCCAAATCTCAGAGTCTCTGACTTATTTTTCCTGAGTCTCTGCCTTTCTACTCTTTAGGTCTCTGTCTTCTTTTTTTTTTTTTTTTTTTGAGATAGAGTCTCACTCTGTCACCAGGCTGGAGTGCAGTGGCACGATCTCGGCTCTCTGCAACCTCCACCTCCCGAGTTCAAGCGATTCTCCTGCCTCAGCCTCCCGAGTAGCTGGGATTACAGGCATGTGCCCCCCTCTGTCTCTGGGTCTCTGTCCTCCTCTCTCTCTGGGTCTCTGTCCTCCTCTCTCTTGGTCTCTGTCCCCCACTCTCTGGGTCTCTGTCCCCCTCTCCCTGGTCTCCCTTCCCCTCTCTCTGGGTCTCTGTTCCCCTCTCTCTCTCTGGGTCTCTGTCTCCCTCTCTCTCTGGGTCTCTGTGTCCTTCTCTCTGCCTGTCCCCGCCTTCTCTCTGGATGCAGCTCAGGTGCTGGGTGCTGGTTCCAGCTCCTGCTGCCCCCCTCACCTCTCCAGCAGGCACCCCAAGGTCATTACTTTTTCCATTTCACAGAGAAGGAACTTGAAGCCCGTTAGAGGCCGACACTCCCCTGCAGCCCCACAGCGAGCTGGCAGCTGTGTCAGACCTTGATCCTGGCTGCCTGGGGTACTTTCTCAGGCTTCACGATCCAGTGGGGGATGTGACTCAGAAATAGCTCTGGTGGGAGGCAAACGGCTGCAAGTGCTGCCTGAGGGACACTCCCCAAGACAGGGCGGAGAGCTCTTCTGTCTGAGGGAGGAGATGTCTCCCAGACATCCTTCCCAGCCCAGACTCTTTGCCCTGTTCTCTGCAGCTCCTCCTCCTTCCCTGGACCCTCGCCCAGGCTCCCCTCTGGCCTCCCTGCCTCAGTCTCTCCCCTCCAAACATCCCCCACTCAGCCCAAGGGAGTCTTGGGGAGAGAAAGCCCTTTTGCATTAGTGACAAAAGCAGCAGCCTTCTTGTCTTGGTCCTGCTTCTTACAACCCCTCCAACCTTGACCTTGTGGAGGTTACTACACCACTGTCTACCTTAGTTGTTTCTTTTTTTTTTTTGAGACGGAGTTTTGCTCTTGTTGCCCAGGCTGGAGTGCAATGGCACGATTTCGGTTCACTGCAACCTCTGCCTCCCAGGTTCAAGCGATTCTTCTGCCTCAGCCTCCCACATAGCTGGGATTACAGGCATGTGCCACCACGTCCGGCTAATTGTATATTTTTAGTAGAGATGGGGTTTCTCCATGTTGATCAGCCTGGTCTGGAATTACCGACCTCAGGTGATCTGCCTGCCTCAGCCTCCCAAAGTGCTGGGATTACAGGCATGAGCCACGAAGCCCGGCCTCAAATATTTTTTTAAAAAATTAGCTGGGTGAAGCCGGGAGCGGTGGCTCATGCCTGTAATCCCAGCAGTTTGGGAGGCTGAGGCAGGCAGATGACAAGGTCAAGAGATCAAGACCATCCTGGCCAACATGGTGAAACCCCGTCTCTACTAAAAATACAAAAATTAGCCGGGCGTGGTGGCACACACCTGTAGTCCCAGCTACTCGGGAGGCTGAGGCAGAAGAATGGCTTGAACCTGGGAGGTGGAGGTTGCAGTGAGCTGAGATCACACCACTGCACTGCAGCCTGGCAACAGAGCGAGACTCCATTTCCAAAAAAAAAAAAAAAAAATTACCTGGGTGTGTGGCATGTGCCTGTAGTTACAGCTACTCGGGAGGCTGAGGTGGGAGGATCACCTGGGCCTGGGGAGGCCAAGGCTACAGTGAGCCAAGATTGTGCCTGGACTGTCATGCTGTCACTCCAGCCTGGGCAACAGAACAAGACCCAGTCTCAAAAAAAAAAAAAAACCGAAAGAAAGAAAAAAATTTGTTTAGCTGGGCACGGTGGTGTACACCTGCAGTCCCAGCTACTTGGGAGGTCAAGGTGGAAAGATCGCTTAAGCCCAAGGGTTTGAGGTTGCAGTGAGCTATTATCATGCCAGTGCACTCCAGCCTGGGCAATAGAGTGAGACCCTGTCTCAAAAAAATAAAATAAAATAAAAAGAAAGAAAAAGAGAGGCCAGGTGCGGTGGTTCATGCCCGTAATCCTAGCACTTTGGGAGGCTGAGGTGGGCGGTCATCTGAGGTCAGGAGTTCGAGACCAGCCTGGCCAACATGGTGAAACCCCATCTCTACTAAAAATACAAAAATTAGTCAGGTGTGGTGGCGCTCTTGTAATCCCAGCTACTTGGAAGGCTGAGGTGGGAGAATCACTTGAACCCAAGAGGTGGAGTTTGCAGTGAGCCAAGATCGCACCACTGTACTCCAGCCTGGCTACAGAGTGAGACTCCATCTCAAAAAATAAAGAAAGGAAAAGAGATATTTGTTAAAAAGAATAAATGTGGCTGGGCATGGTGTTGCACTCCTGTAATCCCAGCACTTTGGGAGGCTGAGGCCCAAAAATTGCTTGAGTTTAAGACCAGATTGCACAACATTGTGAGACCCTGTCTCTACAAAAATTATTATTATTGTTATTATTTTTTTTTTGACAGACTCTCGCTGTGTCGCCCAGGCTGGAGTGCAGTGGCGTGATCTCGGCTCACTGCAACCTCCGCCTCCCGGGTTCAAGCAATTCTCCTGCCTCAGCCTCCACAGTAGCTGGGACTACAGGCGCCCACCACCACAGGCACACACCATCAGGCCCAGCTAATTTTTGTATTTTTAGTAGAGACGGGGTTTCACCATATTGGCCAGACTGGTCTCGAACTCCTGACCTCATGATCCACCCGCCTCGGCCTCCCAAAGTGCTGAGATTATAGGTCACTGCGCCTGGCCTACAAAAAATTTTTTTTTAATCAGCCAGGTGTGTGCCTGTGGTCCCAGCTACTCAGAAGGCTGAGATGGGAGGATCCTTTGAACCCAGGAGTTCGAGGCTGCAGTGAGTTGTGATTGTGCCACTGCACTCCAGCCTGGGAGACAGAGCAAGACCCTGCCTTAAAAATAAATAAACAAAAGCTGGGCGTGGTGGCTCACGCCTGTAATCTCAGCACTTTGGGAGGCCGAGGTGGGCAGATCACCTGAGGTCCGGAGTTCGAGACCAGCCTGACCAACATGGAGAAACCCTGTTTCTACTAAAAATACAAAATTAGCTGGGTGTGGTGGCACATGCCTGTAGTCCCAGCTACTCGGGAGGCTGAGGCAGGAGAATGGCTTGAACCCGGCCGGGAAGCAGAGGTTGCTGTGAGCCAAGATCACGCCATTGCACTCCAGCCTGGGCAACAAGAGCGAAACTCTGTCTCAATAAATAAATAAATAAATAAAATTTAAAAATAAAGGAACGAATGTATGCATCTCCGTTTTACAGATGAGGAAACCAGGGCTCCCTGAACATAGAAAGTGCTAGTGAATCTTATCAGCATCATTAAGATCATGGCTATTGTTAATGTGGTTCTCAGTATCTGGTAGAGCCTGTTTTAGGCCTGGCCCAGGGGAAGCCAGGTGGGGGGTGAGGATCAGAGGTGCAGTGAGTTAAAGGACCCATTTGTAACCCTCTATACTTTTGCCAGAAATTCCCTAAGTCCCCCTAAATCTTGCTCATCTCTCAGTTTTGCCCCAGATTCTTAGCTGACTCCCCTCAGAGAACTCCTACTCACTCACTAAGGTCCAGTTGCAAGACATCCTCCTCCAGGAAGCTTTCCCTGGTACCCCCCAGCCTGGCTTGAGGGGCCTTTCTCTGGGATCTCCTCCGTTAGGGAATTTCTCACCCTAGTCTGTGTCTTTTGCCCCCACCAGACTGGGAGCTCCCCAAGCACAGGGATCTGGCCTGTTTCCTGAGCCCAGCCTCACTGGGGACATTTGGGAGTGACTGTGTGAACTGAAGACCACCCAGGCCAGGCACGGGGGCTCTCGCCTGTAATCCCAGCACTGTGGGAGGCCGAGGTGGGAGGATCACTTGAGCCCAGGAGTTTGAGACCATCTTGGGCAACACAGTGAGACTGTCTCTAAAGGAAGAAAAAAAAAAGACCAACTCCCAGATTCATGGCTGGCTGTCAGAGAAGGAGGAGGCAGTTCCCAGTTAGTTCCTCTGGGTCTCGAATGACCAGAACATTCTAACTCCAAGTCAAAAACACCCCACCCCCGTCCTAAGTATTTGCTACCACCTTGTGGAGGACCTCGGTCCTCCCCAGCGGGTGGTGTGGAGGGCCCTCACCAGGATTTCCGTGATGTCTGCGTCATCCGGATCCCAGGGTAGGGTAGGGGAGGCAGGGGGCCCAGCCAGTGTGAGTTGGCCGCTGAGGTCTTCCACTGTGGAGTCTGTCCCCGTGGAGTCAGTGGGCTCCATGGCGGCCAGGTTGAGCAGTGACACGTTGGTGCAGGCCGAGGACCGTTTGAGGTTCAGGCACCAGTGCATGGGCTGATGGGACATCTGGGGCTCCACCCTGCAGAGAAGAAACAGGCAGAAAAGTGGAGAAGCAGCCCCAGGGTGTCTGGGCCCTCCTGCCTTCCTTTCTCCATACCTCACCCCCTGTGACTCCACCCTCACTGTATATAAGTTTCTCCCTTCTCTGTCCCCGCTGCCTACTTTATTCTCCTTCCCTGTGCTGCCTACTTTCTTTCTTTTTTCTTTCTTTCTTTTTTTTTTTTTTTTGAGACAGAGTCTCACTCTGTTGCCCAGGCTGGAGTGCAGTGGCGCGATCTCAGCTCACTGCAACCTCCGACTGCGGGTCCCAGTTCAAGCAATTCTCCTGCCTCAGCCTCCTGAGTAGCTGGGGTTATAGGCATGTGCCATCACGCCCAGCTAATTTTAGTATTTTTAGTAGAGATGGCTTTTCACCATGTTGGCCAAGCTGGTTTTGAACTCCTGACCTCATGATCCACCTGCCTCGGCCTCCCAAAGTGCTGGGATTACAGGCGTGAGCCACCGTGCCCGACCACCACTGTCTACTTTCTTCTTCTCCTTCCCCGCTGCCTACTTTCTCCTCCCTTCTCTGCCACCTACTTTCTTCTTCATTCACTAGCCTCCCTTCTCCTTCTTCCCTCCCCACTGGCTTTTTCCTCTCTCCATCCATCCCCATTACCTTCTTCCTCCCTCCATCCATCCCCATTACCTTCTTCCTCTCTACCTCCCTGTGACTTGATGTCTCTTCACTGCTGCCCTCTTTCCTGCCCCCGACCTGCTGGCTTTTCCCCCTCCCCTTCCTCTAGCACCCACAGTCGGACTCCTGCTCTGTTGGAGGTAGTGCTGGGCATTAGAACCATCCCTGACAGTGTGCAACAAACCCACCCGTGGAACGACACGGCCTTCTTTTTCTTCGGGATCCCCTTGGCCCGGCTGGTCACCCTCCGGGGAGCCTCTGGGACTAGCTGGGAGCAGCTCTCCACCCCCGTGGGGGTGTCCCCGGCCTCATGGATCTCTTTGGACTGCCAGATCGTCTTCACCACCACGCTCGCCATGGTGTGGGGGTCTGGCTCCCAGGGAGGGGCTCCTTCCTCTGAGACTTCCTACCTACTGTGACCACAGACCCTCAGGATCCACTGTCCCCTCAGCCTGCCTCACAAAGGACCCAACCACTGGGCCCCAGTGAGTGGGGGGCACAGGGTAGGGAGAGATGCTGGCCCAGGTCATTCCCCTAGGGTTCTCAGTGGACTCCTCCTGTTCAGGATTCTAGTTACATGCCCAATGTGCCCCCCGTCTTCAGAGCTCCAGTGGATGGATTCATGCTAGCCTGTAACTTAACAATGGGTCGGCCCACGGATTCTTGGGAGAGGTCCAACTTCCCTCTCCCTGAGACTAAGCGTGGGGTCACACAGCCCTGTGCACTTGTTCTTGATTCTTCATGTAGCTTCCTGGATTTGACAATTGGCTGGGGTTTGAGAGACTGTGGTCGAAGAGGGCTGAGATCCAGACCCTGACCTGGAGGGTCTCATATTCTATGGGGCGTCGGGGTCGGGGGAAAGGCAATATACAGGTAGATCAACAAAAGAAAGCTAGGTGCGGTGGGCCTCGGGGTCAGGGTAGAAGGTGAGGGAGGAGAGGAAGGTAGAGAGTTGGGGCAGGACAGAGGGTGGTATCCCCCTCCCCCGTTTATTTATTTATTATTTTCTTTAATACTTTTTATTTTTTTTGAGACAGAGTCTCTCTCTGTCATGGAGGCTGGAGTTCAGTGGCGCGATCTCAGCTCATTGCAACCTCCACCTCCCGGGGTTCAACCGATTCTCCTGCCTCAGCCTCCCCAGTAGCTGGGACTACAGGCGCTGGCCACAATGTCCGGCTAATTTTTGTATTTTTAGTAGAGACGGGTTTCACCATGTTGGCCAAGTTGGTCTCAAACTCCCGACCTCAAATGGTCCACCCGCCTTAGCCTCCCAAAGTGTGGGATTACAGACATGAGCCACCATGCTCCGCTATAATTTTTTTTTTTTTTTTTTAGATGGAGTCTCGCTCTGACACCCAGGCTGGAGTGCAGTGGCGTGATCTTGGCTCATTGCAACCTCTACCTCCCAGTTTCAAGCGATTCTCCTGCCTCAGCCTCCTGAGTAGCTGGGACTACAGGTACCTGCCACCACACCCATCTAATTTTTTTTTTGTATTTTTAGTAGAGACAGGGTTTCACTGTGTTGGCTAGGCTAGTCTCCAACTCCTGACCTCGTGATCTGCCCACTTCAGCCTCCCAAAGCATTGGAATTACAGGTGTGAGCCACTGCGCCCCGCCCGCCCAAAGTATTTAAAAAATATATGGAACATGTCACAAATTTGCATGTGGTCTTTGCGCAGGGCCCATGCTAATCTTCTCTGTATCGTTCCAATGTTAATACATGTGCTGTCGAAGCGAGCACTGCCCTGCTATTTAGGGACAGACTTTTCCTGTTCTCTTCACACTTCTCAAAAAGACTAGTTCAAACATCACTGCTAATAGACATTTTAAATGCTGTTATCCCCAGGGAGAAAGTACTTCTTCCTGGTCATGAATGGACTCCAGTTCTTGGAACACTTAATCTTTCTATAATAAAGAACTCCTGGCTGGGCGCGGTGTCTCACACCTGTAATCCCAGCACTTTGGGAGGCCGAGGCGGGCGGATCACCTGAGGTTAGGAGTTCAAGACCAGCCTGGCCAACATAGTGAAACACTGTCTCTACAAAAATACAAAAATTAGGCGAGCATGATGACGGGTGCCTGTAATCCCAGCTACTTAGGAGGCTGAGGCAGGAAAATCGCTTTAACTCGGGAGGAAGAGGTTACAGTGAGCCGAGATTGAGTCACTGAACTCCAGCCTGGGGGACAGAGAGAGACTCTGTCTCAAAAAAAAGAAAAAAAAAAAAGGCCGGGCGCAGTGGCTCACGCCTGTAATTCCAGCACTTTGGGAGGCCGAGGTGGGCGGATCACAAGGTCAGGAGATCGAGACCATCCTGGCTAACACGGTGAAACCCCGTCTCTACTAAAAACACAAAAAATTAGCCAGGCATGGTGGCGTGCGCCTGTAGTCCCAGCTACTTGGGAGGCTGAGGCAGGAGAATGGCGTGAACCCGGGAGGCGGAGGTTGCAGTGAGCTGAGATCGCGCCACTGCACCCCAGCCTGGGCGACAGAGCGAGACTCCATCTCAAAAAAAAAAAAAAAGAACTTCAAGTCCTGGGATTAATAATTTTTCTTGTGTTTAATGGGGCTGCTTTATGTTCTTCAGGGGCAAACAGCACCCCCCTCCCATATTAGAAATGGACTCTCCCTGTGACTAAAACAGCTGAGCAATTTCTGTCCTCCTGGAATCCAAAATGGACTTTCCCAGGCCCCATTCCTGGAAACCCAAATGGACGCATCCATTGAGCCTGGAAGGTGGGCTCTTCTCAACCTCCTTTCCATCTCCCAGGATTCAGAATGGCCATTCCAAAGGTCCAGAACACACCCCCAAGGCTCATTCCAGGAATTCTTGGCTTCTGAGATTAGAAAAGGCTGATGGGGTGGAGTTTTGTTCCTACAGGTGACAGAAATGGACTCTTCCAGTTCCCTTTGTCCCAAATTTCTCAATCTCCTGGGGCGTTGGGAGTTCTGGCCGTTTTGCCTTCCCCAAAGCCAGTTTACCAAAGAGTCTCTGGGGAGCTGGGGGTTGGGGATGGAGGCTGGGGCTGGGCCAAAGCAGATTCACCTATTTCTTCTTTTAACAAATGTTGTTGAAACTGTTCAAGGCCAGGTCCCATTCTTGCCCAGAAGGAGTTCCCAGTCTGGAGGAGACAATCAATTTTGGTTTGATATCTGCTACAATGGAGGCTGCCCGAGAGACACTGCGGTTGGACAAAAAAAAAAAGGCAACATATATTGAAAAGTAAGCCAAGATACGGTTTACGTTTATTTCTGCTTTTTCACTTCCAAGCTGTGTGGCCCTGGGCAAGTCATTCGCCCTCTCGACCTAAGTTTTAACTTCTGCTTAATGGGACTAGCCTTGAATTACTGTTTTTCACTCTGAGATTCTAGGTCTCCTGACAACTCAAGTCCCGACACGTTGGCTGCAGAGAAGGGGGGAGGGGAGGAAGGCTTCCTAGAAGAGGATTTCAGCAGTCGGGGGTGACAGTGGAGGGAGAAAGGGAACACGGAGACGCTTGCGCAGTAAACACCGCACGCTCTCTTGCCTCGCCCAACCCCTTCTCTGCAGCAGGGAATTGCAGGCGTCGCTCCACCTATCCCAGCCGAGCGGAGTGACACCCTCCCCTCTTTCCTTCTCTACTGATCTTCGCCTTCCGCCCGCCCCACAGCCGCCCAATGGAGGGCTGAAGTAGGACAGATCTCGCCAATCCGCGACGCCTGCGGGGCAGGTCTACCCGTTCATTGGTCCCAGTCAACCTAAGTCCCGCCTCCTAGGACCGTTCCCCGCCTTCCTTCACGTCCCTCCCTTCCTCCTTGGAGAGCCGCTAGATCCAATCAGTGTTTGACCTGGCCGCGCGGAGGGGGCGGGCCCATGATACGCAATCGAACCCCGCCCGTCTCTCGGGCAACGCCTCCTCCCCCCCCTCCCCAGCTCCCAAACGGAAATAGCGGAACACTGGGCCAATCGTAGCGTCGTGCCTTTGCTTGGCGGCCAATGAGAGAGGAAGTGGGGGAGAAACCCGCCTGTGAGCGGCAGGAGCTCAAGCCAGTGGGCGGCTCAGAGCTCCGGACCGCGGGCGGAGGGGAGGGGCAGGGGGCGGTGCCACGGCCTGCCAGCCCGCCCGCCCGCCCGCCAGCCAGCCCTCCCCGCGGCCGGCTCGGCTCCTTGGCGCTGCCTGGGGTCCTTTCCGCCCGGTCCCCGCTTGCCAGCCCCCGCTGCTCTGTGCCCTGTCCGGCCAGGCCTGGAGCCGACACCACCGCCATCATGCCGGCCGTGTCCAAGGGCGATGGGATGCGGGGGCTCGCGGTGTTCATCTCCGACATCCGGAACTGTGAGCGCGCGGCCGGGGGACACTGGAGACGCGGGGGAGGGGGGAGCGTGAAATTGAGGGGTTTGGGGATCACAGAGGGACCCGGGGGATCAAAAGCCTCTGCGGCCGTATAGGGACAGCATAGATGGGCCCCAGGAAGAACTTTAGAGTGGGGGGCACGTAGGGGCTTGGGGTGTCATAGAGTGCCTCTTGAGGTGACGACACGGAGTAGCTAGAGGGGTCCGGGAGGGCTTGAAAGGGGAGGAAGCCAGTGAGGTCCCGGGGATGGGAGCATAGAGGTGTCCCCTGGGAAAGACTGAAAAGCTGGGGGATCTTACAAACGATGGGGTTAGAGGGATTCCCAATGTAGAGAAGAAGTGAAAGAAGTGTATGGCGGGGGTGCCCTGTGGAGCGATGGAATGGGAAGAGGCCAGAGGGGACCTGGAGGAAGTGGAATGCCGGAAGCCTAATGAAGCAGGGCTTGAGGACCTGGGATAGGGGGTGTCATACAGGGGAAAGGGGTTAGATAGGTCACCGAGGCTCCTGGCCAGTGGTATAGAGGAGGCCTGAGAGTGGTTGAAAGTCCATGAGTTTGGGGCAGGGAGATGATGGGACGGGGAGACTATAAGGACACCCTGGTGAAGGATAGAGGGGCTTCAGGGTGGGAGATTGCCTAGAAGACATGGAAGGCAGTGTGGAGGGGGCTAGAGGGGCAGCTGAGGGGAAAGGAGGGACCCAAGGAACACAGAGGAAAAGAGCTGTCGGTGTAAGGTCTTGGGAGAACCTGTGACAGGGAACGGGGGGCCAGGAAAGAAGAGGACATTAGAGTAGGGGATTGGGGAAAGGGTAGAAGAAGGAGCGCCCAGACCTCAAGGAAGGCGTTGGGTTCTGAAGTGCTTGAGGGGTAGATATCTGGAAAGCTGGGAATAGGGGAAGTCTAATCCCAGAGAGAGGTCAGGGGTCAGGCAGCAGGACAGGCAGGGATCTGAGCCCTTTTCTATTTGACCACAGTAATATGGGGACGGTGGTCCCTGCCAGGAAGAGTTGTCGTGACGATGGGAATCCTGGCGGCAAGTCAGCTCTCAACTCCTGGGAATGGCTGTGGGTGATTGGAGCTGCCAGGAGTCTTCAGAGGCTGCATCCGCATGGGCTCTGGGGTCAGCCAGACTTGGGTTTGCGTTTGAGCACTGCCACTCCCTGGCTGTGTGACCTTGAATGAGGGACTTCACCTCTCGGTTTCCTCATCTGTCAAGAGAGACTGCTGATAGTATCTTCCTGAGGGGCTTGTGACAATGCCCCTCAGGCCTTTCACTCGTTCCAGGCCCCAGATGGAACTTGGCTATTGTTTTTACTCCGTTGGCTCTGAACAGCAGCCCTGTAAAGTACCCAGTGATGGTTGTTGTTTTAGAATTTAACTGTTATGGAAGGATCTGGCATGTAATAGGTGCTCAGGGAACAGGAGGGTGGAAACAGTTGAGTATCAGTTGGAGGAGAAATGATCACTTGTTATGATAAGGGGCGGGGCTATGGGGGTTGTGGAGGAGCTGGGAGCCACTGTTAGCAGACGGGGGCTGCCTCTGTTACCCACCAGGGATGTGACCCTCCACGAGTTGTTTAACCTCTTTCAGGACGTTTTCTTGTCTGCAAACTTCATTCATAACAGTGTCTTGCCTCTGAAGGCTCATTTATTCATTCATTCACTTGACAAATACTTTTTGATTGCTCTAGTGTTGTCCAGGCCCTGTTCTAGGTACTGGGGTGACAATAGTGAACAGAAATTCCTGTTCTTGCTGGTCATGGTGGCTCATGCCTGTCATCCCAGCACTTTGGGGGGCCGAGGTAGGCGGATCACCTGAGGTCAGGAGTTCAAGACCAACCTGGCCAACATGGTGAAACTCCATCTCTACTAAAAATACAAAAATTAGCCAGGTGTGGTGGTGGGTGCCTGTAATCCCAGCTACTCAGGAGGCTGAGGCAGGAGAATCGCTTGAACCCGGGAGGCAGAGGTTGCAATGAGCCGAGATTCACACCATTGCACTCCAGGCTGGGCAACAAGAGTGAAACTCCGTCTCCAAAAATAAAAAAAAAGAAAAAGAAACTCCTGTCCTTGGGAGCTCCCTTCCCCGAGGAAGACAGAACATATGCACAGGGAACACCCTGATATACAACCTCAGGACCTGACTGGTTCTGTGAAGAAAAATAAGGAGGAAATGGTCGGGAGAGGGACTAGGATGGAGAGGGTACTCAGTAGGCCTCGTGGAGGAAGTCATATCTGAGTGGAGCAAGCCCTGTGGATTTTGGAGGAAAGGGGTCCTGGCACAGGGAGGTGCATTCAGAGGTCCTGAGGTTGCGGCATGCTTGACATGTGTTCGAGCGAGAGGGAGAAGGTCAGTGTGGCTGAAGCTGTGGGAGTGAAGGGGAGAGAGGGCGGGTGTGGAGGGGAGTGGGAACAGGATCGGGAAAGGCTTTCTGGGCCATGGTGAGCACTTTGGCCTTTGTCTGCATGAGAATATTTTGAGCAGGGGAGGGATGTGACCGATTGATGTTTTAAGATAATTCCTCTGGCTGCTGTGAGAACAGATTCTAGAGGTAGCCATGGAAGCAGGGAACCAAATTAGGAGGGTGTTGCAGGCCTCTGGGTGAGAGATGGTGCTGGCTTAACAGGGTGAGAAGGGACTGGTGAGAAATGGGTTGGTGATACATTTTTTTTTCCGAGACAGTCTCTGTTGCCCAGGTTGGAGTGCAGTGGCACGATCATACCTCACTGCAACCTCCGCCTCCCAGGTTCAAGCAATTCTCGTGCCTCAGCCTCCCCGGTAGCTGGGATTACAGGCACCCGCCACCACGCTTGGCTAATTTTTGTATTTTTAGTAGACGCAGGGTTTCCCCATGTTGGCCAGGCTGGTCTCGAACTCCCAACCTCAAGTGATCTGCCCGCCTTGGCCTCCCAAAGTGCTGGCATTATAAGCGTGAGCCACTGCACCCAGCCTGGGATACAACTTGAAGGAAAAACTGTCAGGATTTGCAAAGGGATTTGATGATGGGGGTTGGGGAAGGAAAGAGATCGTCCCGTCACTGCAGGACCCCAGAGACGAGCCAGAGGACAGAGGGGAGATGCAGGCTTGGGGCACTGGTAGTAATTTAGCCACAGGAATTAGGGCTGGAGAATCAGGAGCCTTTTCTTAGCAAGCGTATGTTGAACGGCTGGTATGTCTCAAGAATTGTGCTGAATGCTGGGGACACTGGTGAACAGGACAGACTTGTCCACCCCCTCCATGAAGCTCCCAGCCCTGTGGGGGAGAAGGTGCAACATACAAATTGCAGTAGTCCTTCACACTAATACCTGGACACGGATGTTCACTGCAACATTATTCATGATAGCCGGAAAACAGAAACGGGCCAAATGCCCATCAACTGAGAAATAAAGTGTGGTCTATGTAGTGGAATATTACCGGGCCTTAAAAAATAATGACGTCCTGCTACATGCTGCCACAGGGATGGACCTTGAAAACATGACACCAAGTGAAAGAAGCCAGACACAGGAGGCCACGTGTTGTATGATTCCATGTTGATAGAGTATCTTGAATAGGCAGATCCATGGAGACAGAAAGATTAGTGGTTGCCTAGAGTAGGGGCTGGTGGGATGGGGAGTGACTGCTCATGAATGCATAGGTTCTTTTTTTATTTTTTGAGATGGAGTCTCACTCTGTCGCCCAGGCTGGAGTGCAATGGGGTGATCTCGGCTTACTGCAACCTCTGCCTCCCAAGTTCAGGCGATTCTCCTGCCTCAGCTTCCTGAGTAGCTGGGATTACAGGCGTGTGCCACCACACCTGGCTAATTTTTGTACTTTTAGTAGAGACGGGGTTTTTACATGTTGGTCAGGATGGTCTCGAACTCCTGGCCTCAGGTGATCCACTACCCCAGCCTTCCAAAGTGCTAGGATTACAGGTGTGAGCTACCATGCCCGGCAGCATTCAGAGCTTCTTTTGGGTTCATGAAAAAGCCTACAGCTGGACACGGCACATGCTTGTAGTCCCAGCTACTTGGGAGACTGAGGTAGGAGGATCATTTGAACCCAGGAGTTCGAATCCAGCCCGGGCCACATAGTGAAACCTCATCTCTTAAAAAAAAAAAAAAAAAAAAAAAGAAAGGTCCTGGAATTCGATAGTAGTAATGGTTGCACAACATCATGAATGTACTAAAGAACGCTGAATTGTTCACTGTAAAAGGGTCAATTTTATGGTATGTGAATTGTATCTCTTTTTTTTTGTGACAGTCACAAAAATGGCGCGATCTTGGCTCACTGCACCCTCCATTTCCCAGGTTCAAGCGATTCTCCTGCCTCAGCCTCCCGAGTAGCTGGGATTATAGGCGCCCGCCACTATGCCCCGCTGATTTTTGTATTTTTAGTAGAGACAGGGTTTCACCATGTTGGCCAGGCTGGTCTCGAACTCCTGATCTCGAGTGATCTGCCTGCTTCAGCCTCACAAAATGCTGAGATTACAGGTGTGAGCCACCGCGCCTGGCCGTATCTCGATTTTTTTTTAAATGGGGAAAGAATTTGCAGCTGTCCTAAGCCCAGTGAGGAAGAGGGCCATGGTGTTGAGAGAATGGGGATTCTGTGTGGTCAGCGAGCTGCGGCCTGGCTTTGCTTCACAAGAGACCTTTGGAGCTGTGTGGGCAGGAAGTAGGGGAGTTACCTAGGCTGAGGGCAGTGAGAAGAGCTGTGAAGGCAGAGGCGGGGCAAGTGCAAAGGTCCTGACTTCCGGACGCCATGGCGGGCATCTCTATCTAGTCCCAGCTACTCAGGAGGTGGAGGCAGAAGGATTGCTTGAGGCCAGGAATTTGAGACCAGCCTTGGCAACATAGCAAGACCCTGTCTCTCTTTCTTTTTTTTGACAGAGTCTGGCTCTGTCATCCCGGCTGGAGTACAGTGGTGCGATCTCAGCTCGCTGCAACCTCCTCCTCCTGGGATCAAGCTATCCTCCCGCCTCAGCCTCCTAAGTAGCTGGGACTATAGGCACATGCCATCATGCCCAGCAAATTTTTTTGTATTTTTCATAGAGTTTTTTTTTTTTTTTTTTTTTTTTTTTTTTTGAGATGGAGTCTTGCTCTGTCGCCCAGGCTGGAGTGCAGTGGCGCGATCTCCGCTCACTGCAAGCTCCACCTCCCGGGTTCACGGAGATGGGTTTTTATTATGTTGCCCGGGCTGGTCTCAAATTCCTGGGCTCAAGTGATCTGCCTACCTCGGCCTCCCGAAGTGCTGGGATTACAGGAGTGAGGCTCAGTGCCTGGCCCCCTTCTCTATTTTCAAGAATTCTTTTTTTTTTTTGGAAACGGAGTCTCGCTCTGTCCCCCAGGCTGGAGTGCGGTGGTGCGATCTCGGCTCACTGCAAGTTCTGCCTCCCGGGTTCATGCCATTCTCCTGCCTCAGCCTCCCGAGTAGCTGGGACTACAGGCGCCCGCCAACACGCCCGGCTAATTTTTTGTATTTTTTTTTTAGTAGAGATGGGGTTTCACTGTGTTAGCCAGGATGGCCTCAATCTCCTGACCTCGTGATCCGCCCGTCTCGGCCTCCCAAAGTGCTGGGATTACAGGCGTGAGCCACCGCGCCCGGCCCAAGAATTCTTTCTGGAAACAAAAAAAGGCCCTGATGCCCCAGTGAGACCCTGAGAAAAGGGCTGTGTGGCTGGTGCAGAGAGGGATGGGATCTGACGCTGGGGAGTGGGCAGAGGCTAGGTCCGTGTTTGTCCTGAGAGCTCTGGAGAAGGTTTCAAGCAGGAGCGAGGGAAGAGAAGGGCGGAGGGATGCGGAGGAGGAGGTGGGGAGAGGCAGGGCTCAGAGAGCAGCAGAGGGAAGAGTGTGGAGCCAGCCAGCAGGAGGATCTGAAGGGCACAGTGGGGCTATGGGGAAGGGTCTAGAAGGTGAAAGGCAGGCTCTAAGGAGGGCAGGGAGGGCAAATTCTGCAGATAAGGAGGGGGAGAGGTTGAGGCTGGGCCCAGCCCGAGGGCGTGTTCTGTCCTGTCTGCAGCAGGAATACAGCAGAAGTATTATCTCACAGGGAGCAAGGGCTGGGGCTGCCTCCTATCTAGGCAGAGTCTGGCTGGAGTGGGCCTTAGGAGAGTTGGACGAGTGAGCCAATGGGAGCGGGGTGCTGGCTGCACACTGCCCTGAGCTCTTCCATCAGAGCACATCCCACTCCAAATGGTGATCCACTGCAGTGGTGACATCGAGCCCAGGCCCTGGGTCTCACTCCAGCTTTGTCCTCTGTAGGTTCTAGCCCATGGGAGGCCTCAGGAGATGATTGCCAGTTGAATGAATGAATGAATGATGGAACCAGTCTTTCTTGAGTTCCAGCTGGGTGCCAGGCACTGTTCTAGGTGATGGGGCTACAGCAGTGAGCAGAAGTTCCTGCCCTAGGGTGCTCACGTTCTAGAGAGGAGATGGTCCACTACACAGGTGAATATTTTGGGGGCCGGACAGGTGGGAGTAGGTGTTGATGGAAAATGAGGCAAGGAAAGGGCTTGGGGATGGAGTTAAGGATGATGCTCTTATATAGGCTGGTCAGAGAGTGTCGCTGAAAAGGTGGCATTGGAGCAGAGAATCTAACTAAGTGGGGGAATGGTGCATGCATGACTCTGGAAGAGGGAGCTGCCTGTGCAAAGGCCCTGAGGCAGGATTGTGCTTGTAGTGGAGCAGGGACTTAGGAGGAGGAGAGGGCAGCTCCTGCCTTGGAGAGAGAGGACAGGAGAACCGGCCAGAGAGGGAACAGGGTAGATGGTGCAGGCCCTTGTGGGCTGCAGTGAGAACTTTACTTTTACTTCGAACTTGCTGGGAGCCATGGAAGGGGTTTGGAGGAGTGCTGGGGTCTGACTCAAGTTTTCACATGATCCCTCTGGCCTCTGTGAAGAGCACAGGAAGTCAAACAGATTTCAATTTGGTATCCCTTAAGAACGGGACAGATGCAGGCCTGAGCCCCAGCCCCACCCGTTTCCAGCTGGTTATTGTGTGATGGCTTTGGTCCACAAATCCGCATTCAACACCTCCCCTGTGCCAGGCTGCCCTGGGCCCTGGGAACACTGTGGGGACTGAAGCAGCCGTACATCCCTGGCCTCATGGCACTGGTGTTCCGATCCAGGAGGAAATGAACATGCAAACCCTTAATATGTAAGGAGGCAACTCAGGCAGGGTCTTGGTGGCCCAAATAGTTCGCCCTGCTGAGCAGGGGGGCTGACCAGGAGAATGAGAGGGTTTGATTTTGTTATTTACGAAGAATATATTTTCATCACCCAGGAATAGTGATGACCTTGAGAATATGAGTGGTGTAACCCAGCACCAAAATGCAAGCCATATATATGTTGAAATTTTCTTTTTTTTTTCTTTTTTTGAGACGGAGTCTTGCTCTGTCCACGCCCGGCATATGTTGAAATTTTCTTGCCACATTGCAAAAGCAAAACAGGGGCCAGGTATGGTGGCTCACGCCTGTAATCCCAGCACTTTGGGAGGCCGAGGCAGGCGGATCACGAGGTCAGGAGTTTGAGACCAACCTGGCCAACATAGTGAAACTCCGTCTCTACTAAAAATACACAAATTAGCTGGGCCTCGTGGCACACCTGTAGTCCTAGCCACTCGGGAGGCTGAGGCAGGAGAATCGCTTGAACCCAGGAGGTGGAGGTTGCAGTGAGCCGAGATTGTGCCACTGCGCTCCAGCCTGGGTGACAGAGAGAGACTTTGTCTCAAAAAAAAAAAAAAAGCAAAACAGGCTGAGCATGGCAGCTCACGCCTGTAATCCCAGCACTTTGTGGGGCCGAGGCGGGCAGTTTGGTTGAGCCCAGGAGTTTGAGAACAGCCTAGGCAACAAGATCCTGTCTCTCCCCACCACAAAAAAACTTTTAAAATTAGCCACGCATGGTGGCATGCACCTGTAGTCCTAGCTTCTTCGGAGGCTGAGATGGGACGATCGCTTGAGCCCAGGAGGTCGAGGTTGCAATGAGTCAAGATCGCACCACCACACTCCAGCCTGGACAATACAGCAAGACCCTGTCTCCATATATTTTTTAAAAAAGCAAAATAATCAGTGAAATTCATTTTAATATATTTTCTTTACCCTAGTATATCCAAACTATTATTTCAGTGTGTAACCAGTGTTTTTTGAGATGGAGTCTTGCTGTATGGCCCAGGCTGAGTGCAGTGTCAGGATCTCAGCTCACTGCAACCTCTACCTCCCAGGTTCAAGCGATTCTCCTGCCTCAGCCTCCCTAGTAGCTGGGACTACAGGTGTGCACCACCATGCCCGGCTAATTTTTGTATTTTTAGTAGATATGGGATTTTGCCATGTTGGCCAGGCTGGTCCCAAACTCCTGACCTCAAGTGATCCACCTGCCTCGGCCTCCCAAAGTGCTGGGATTACAGGTATGAGCCTGTGTTACCCAGGCTGGTCTCAGATTCCTGGGCTCAAGTGATCTGCCTGTCTCAGCCTCCCAAAGTGCTGGGATTAGAGGCGGGAGGCATTGCACCCAGCCTTCAGAAGGCTTTCTGAGGATTCAGGGCTGCTGGGGCTTGTACAGGAAGCACATCAGGTCTCGGTCTCTGTAGAGGAAATGTCCTTGGTCTAGAAGGCTCTGAAGGCCTTTGCGGTGAGATGCTGGGTGATGCCTGTGTTACCTTCATAAATGCACATTAGTCCCTCCAGGGCAGGGCCCAGGTTTGACAGGATGCCTTTGCTGGTAGTAACAGACCCACCCTGATCTGGGGCTTACATGTTTAGGGAAGGCGTTATCTCCCCTAACCAGAAGCTCCAAGGTAAGGCAGCTCCCTGGCCCCGTCAGCACTTCCCTTGACTCTGCCTTACTCTGCCTGGAGCAAGATGTTGGCCGCCTTCGCACCCGAACACCCCTCACGGCAACAGCCACTGGACGGAGCACGGCCTGCCCCTCCCATGGCCCCCCCCAGCACCTCAGAAAACTCTGGAGAGGCTGCGTGGTCTGGCCCCACCTGCTGTGCTCTTCTCCACCCGCCCCCGCCGCCGCCCGCATCCTCAGACTCTGTGCCTCTTTCATCACCGTCCGCCTGCCTTGCCTCATGCTGTCCTACCTCCAGGCCATTGCACCTGCTGGTCCTCCTGCCTGGAGCGCGCCTCCCCTTGTTTCTGCCTGGTCCATTTCAGCCTCATCTTTTGATCCTCAGATCCCAGCAGCTGTGTGCAGAGAAGCCTTCCCCGTCCCCTGCGCCATTCTCATTTTAGCCTCTCAGCCCCGAAATGTGTATACCTCTTTCAGAATACTTGCCACTGTCCCTGTCTGCCACCACTCCAATCCAGGGATGCCTCGAGAGCAGGGTAGATGTGACTCATCCTTAAGCCTGGCCCCAGAAATCCCATTGTGAATGAGAGAATCCCTTTAAAACTCTCTCACAGGCTTGCTTGCCTCCTGTGACAGTGAGCTCATTCCCCCTGTTGCTGGCCCTGAATGCCGGGTCATTCTTCCCATGATCCTGGTCTGTCAGAGCTGCCTCAGCCCTTTCCCCAGGCACCACCCCAGTAGCACCCATACAGTATCCCTGGGCTCCCTGGCCATCACGGGCCTTTAGATCTTTGCAGAGCTGGGCCTCTGCCAGAGCCCTCCCTTTGGGGCCACAACTGCTCCTGTTTTGAAGACCGAGAGCTTTTCTTCTCTCTCTGAATTCCTTTTTTTATAGCAAATTATACCAGTTATGCAGAAGATAGCATCAAATAGATGTGGACCATTTAAAGCCTATTTAAAGGCCAGGTGCAGTGGCTCATGCCTGTAATCCTAGCACTTTACTTTGGGAGGCTGAGGCGGGTGGATCACTTGAGGTCAGAAGTTCAAAACCAGTCTGGTCAACATGGTGAAACCCTGTCTCTACTAAAAATGCGGAAAAAAAAAAAAGCCAGGTGTGGTGGTGGGTGCCTGTAATCCCAACTGCTCGGGAGGCTGAGGTAGGAGAATCGCTTGAACCTGGGAGGTGGAGGTTGCAGTGAGCCAAGATGGTGCCATTGCACTGTAGCCTGGGTGACAGAGCGAGACTCTGTCTCAAGAAAAAAAGTAAAAATAAAGCCTATTTAAAGAAAAATATACATATATATGCATATTTGTATATATATGTAAATACATTTTAAATACAATTTAAGTAATACTTTAAAAAGAGATTTCCAGCCGGGCGCGGTGGCTCATGCCTGTAATCATAGCACTTTGGGAGGCTGAGGCGGGCGGATCACCAGGTCAGGAGATTGAGACCATCCTAGCTAACATGGTGAAACCCCATCTCTACTAAATATACAAAAAATTAGCCAGGCATGGTGGCGGGCGCCTGTAGCCCCAGCTACTTGGGAGGCTGAGGCAGGAGAATGGCGTGAACCTGGGAGGCAGAGCTTGAAGTGAGCAGAGATGGTGCCACTGCACTCCATCCTGGGCGACAAAGCGAGACTCCATCACAAAAAAAAAAAAAAAGATTTCCTGGCAGTAAGCGGTGGCCCATGCCTATAATCCCAGCACTTCGGGAGGCTGAGGTGGGCGGAGGAGTTGAGACCACCCTGGGCAACATGGCAAAACCCTATCTCTACAAAAAATAGAAAAAAAATTAGCTGAGTGTGGTGGCGCACCTCACAGTCCCAGCTACCTGGGAGGCTGAGATGGGAGGGTCATTTGAGCCCAAGGGGCCAAGACTGCAGTGAGCTGAGATCAAACCATTGCATTCCAACCTCAGTGAAAGAGTGAGACCCCGTCTCAAGAAAAAGAGAGGAAATCTATATATTATAGATATAATAATATGTATTTCTTTAAATGAATACTAGTTAAAGAAATACGTAAATATAAATATATAAGTACATATGATATATATTTCTTTAAATTTAAAGAATATTTAAAGAATACATATACATGCACATATTTGTGTATATATTTAAATCATTTCAAGTACAATTGAGTGAATACACTCGTGTATTAACGATGGGGATATGTTCTGAGAAATGCATCGTTAGGTGGTTTTGTTGTGGTGTGAACATCCTGGAGTGTGCTTACACAAATTGAGATGGTATAGCCCACCACTCACTGAGGCTCTGTGGCGCAGCTTGTTGCTGCTGGGCTGTAAACCTGCACAGTGGCCAGGCGTGGTGGCTTACACCTGTAATCCCAGCACTTTGGGAGGCTGAGGCAGGCAGATCACTTGAGGTCAGGAGTTTGAGACCAGCCTGGCCAACGTGGTGAAACCTCGTCTCTACTAAAAATACACTAATTAGCTGGGTGTGGTGACGCATGCCTGTCATCCCAGCTACTCAGGAGGCTGAGGTAGGAGAATCACTTGAACCCAGGAGGCGGAGGTTGCAGTGAGCTGAGATCACGCCATTGCTCTCCAGCCTGGGCGACAAGAGTGAAACTGCGTCTCAAGATAAAACAAAAAAACCTGCACAGCATGGGACTGTCCTGTAGGCAACCGTGACTCAGTAAGTATTTGTGCATCTAAACATAGAAAAGGAGCAGTCGAAATAAGGCATTAGAATCGTATGGAACCACTGCAGTGTGTGCGGTTTGTTGCTGACTGAAATGTTGATATGCGGGGCAGGACTGTATTGAAATAATACATATTATTTAAATTAAGTAATACATATATTTAAATAACACATATTCTTTAAATATGTGTATACTCTTTATATATACTATATTTATGGTATGCATATGTATATATACGTATTTATGACAAAACCATATATATATAGGCCAGGCATGGTGGCTCATACCTGTAATCCCAGCACTTTGGGTGGCTGAGGCAGGTGGATCACTTGAAGTCAGGAGTTCGAGATCAGCCTGGGCAACATAGTAAGACCTCATTGCTACCAAAAAAAAAAAAAAAAATTAGGGCTGGGCGAAGTGGCTCACTCCTGTAATCCCAACACTTTGAGAGGCCAATGTGGGCAGATCACGAGGTCAGGAGATTGAGACCATGCTGGCTAACATGCTGAAACCCCATCTCTACTAAAAATACAAAAAATTAGCTAGGGGTGGGTGGCAGGCGCCTGTAGTCCCAGCTACTTGGGAGGCTGAGGCAGGACAATTGCTTGAACCTGGGAGGCAGAGGTTGCAGTGAGCTGAAATTGCGCCACTGCACTCCAGCCTGGGTGACACAGTGAGACTCCGTCTCAAAAAAAAAAAAAAAAAAAAATTAGTTGAATGTGGTGTTATGCACCTGTAGTCCCAGCGACTTTGGAGGCTGAGGCACAAGAATCACTGAACCCAGGAGGCAGAGGTTGCAGTGAGCCGAGATTGCACCACTGCACTCCAGCCTGGGCTACAAAAAAAAAAAAAAAAAAAAAAAACAGAAACAGGCAAAATTAATTTTAATAATATGTCTCTATAACCCAGTACACCCAAATTATTATTTCAGCATGTGATCAATACTTTATAATTTGTATTGTTTTATTTAGTTGACACACAAGTTCTCACTGTGTTGTCCAGGCTGGTCTCCAACTCCTGGGCTCAAGCCATCCTCCTGCCTCACATGCGTGAGCCACCACGCCTAGCCCCTATAATTTTTACTGAAATATTTTACATTTTTTCTCCACACTGTCTTCTAAATCCCGTGTATGTTTGCTGTTGACAGCCCCTCTCAGTTTGGAATGGCCACATTTCAGGATCTCAGGAGCCACTGGCTGGCAACTGCTATATTGGATGGTGCAGCGCTAGGGTCCTCTTAGCACTGATCAGGAGGTGCTAATCAGAGGGGCTTCCTGGAGGAGGTGATACCTGAAGTGAGGCTTATGGGAGCTTCCATAGAAGTTGGGAGCAGGGACAAGACAGGATTTCTAGAGAGAAGGATGGCACATATACTTGCTTTCTCAGTCATTGACTCATTTGTTGAATGCACACCCCACCCTGCTGGGGACTACGCCCTGAAGGATGTGGGTCAGAGCAGATCTCTGCCCCTTCCATAACTAGACATTTATAGAGCACCTGCTGTATGCAGGGCACTGCTCTAGGAGCTCCCTCCTGATGCTTACAGTCTGAAGTGGGAGGAAGTTCGACAGTGGAGAGAAATAAAATTGTGACATGGTGAAATGTACCAGAGAGGACTTCTTGAAAAATAACTCTTTAAGCAGAATAATAAAGAATTGACTTTAAGGAAGTGAAACGGAACGGCCTTTCAGGGGTGGCAGGAGCCGAGACCCAAATGATGGGAAGATGACAGGGGAGGGGTGGCCCCAGGAAGAGGGCACAGCTTGTGTGAAGGCCCTTGAGGCAAGAGGATGTGCGTGTTCCCGGAGCAAAATGGAGGCCAGGGGGCCTGGATGGACAGTAGGGGTCTGAGGGGTGACACCGGCAGGGTTGCTGTGACAGGGGCAGAGGACTTGATGGGCCGTGGAGTGGAGCACCCCCAGCTGGCATCACAGAGCCCAGGATATGGAAACACGAGGGAGGCAAGAAGGCTGGAGGGGAGGCTGCTTCACTGACCTGAGCGAGCGAGCATGGGATCTGGATGAAGTGGTCATCGTGGAGGTGCTCAAGACATGTTCTGAAGGTCAAGTTAGGAGGAGGTGGCTGGGCACAGTGGCTCATACCTGTAATCCCAGCATTTTGGGAGGCTGAGGTGGGAGGATCGCTGGATCCCAGGAGTTTAAGGTCACAGTGAGCTATGATTGCACCACTGCACTGCAGCCTGGGCGACAGTCTAAGACCCTGTCTCAAAAATTAAAAGGACGAGGCAGTAGCCCGATTGGCGTGAGGATGTCCAGGTTCTGTTTGGAGGAGAAGAGGGAACGGTAGAACCTGTCAAGGGAGGGATGAAGTCTGGGGTGAGTGGAACAGGGACAGGAGAAGCAGAGAGGGCAGCCGAGAGCATCCAGTCGGATTGTGCTCTGAAGGGGGTGCTGTAGGGCATTGAGGAGCATGGAGGAAGCAGAGACCTGGCCTGCAGGATCAGGGGAGGCTTTCTGTGCTTATTCCACAAGCAGGTCCTGTCAGAGGTGTAGGAATGTCCCAGACAAATTGGGGAGAGGTTGGCAGCCAGAGAACAGGAGGCAGTGGGGACAGGCCACGCGGGAGAGGACAAAGCCATGGCTGTGGGGACAAAGGGGGTGAGGACAGCACCCAAGGGTCTGACCTGGTGACTGGGTGGACAGTGGGACCTTCATGGGATTGAGAACTGGAAGAGGCAGTGAGCTCAGTGGTAGGGGTGAGCACCCTGCGGCCAGCCAAGCTCTTTATTCATTCATTCATTCATCACATGTTCATCGCATGTGGGGAGTGGGGACAGGAGCTCTCAGGGAGCGTGTCTGGGGCCCTGAGGAGCCCCACAAATCAGGGGCCACAGTGGTAGGAGGAAGGAGAGAGGAAGTCAGGGACAGCCCAAGGGTGTGTGCTCTGTGCTGTGGGGCTCAGCCAGCGGTGGTTCTTCCCTCTTTGAAACTCCCAGCCAGAGAAGGGGTCCTGGCCTGTCCTGAGCCCCAGGGCTTGGGGGCGGAGAAGATCTGCCCTTCCTGCTGGGTGGGGCCGCGCCTAGGAAAGAGAGGGCAGGTGGCTGACTCCCCAGACCCCTCACTGCCTACCCTCCTCCTCCTCTCCCAGGTAAGAGCAAAGAGGCGGAAATTAAGAGAATCAACAAGGAACTGGCCAACATCCGCTCCAAGTTCAAAGGTAGGCTGGGGGCCCAACTTCTGGTTCTGAGGGAGGAGGGGGCTGGGAGCTGGGGCTCCTGTGACCTATCCTGTGACCCTTCCTTATTTCTGGCTCCCCTTTCCTCCTTCCTCTGCCCTAGGAGACAAAGCCTTGGATGGCTACAGTAAGAAAAAATATGTGTGTAAACTGCTTTTCATCTTCCTGCTTGGCCATGACATTGACTTTGGGCACATGGAGGCTGTGAATCTGTTGAGTTCCAATAAATACACAGAGAAGCAAATAGTGAGTCTGGAGAGGGGGGTGCCAGGGCCTGGACTCCTGGGTCTGCGGGGGAGGGGGCTGGAGGTCTGGACTCCTGGATCTGGGGGAGGAGGGGGTCTAGGGGTCTGGACTCCTGGGTATGAGGGAGGAGGGGGTCTGGGGCTCTGGACTGCTGGGTCTGAGGGAGGAGGGGGCTGGGGGTCTGGACTCCCCATTCTGAGGGAGGAGGGCTGGAAGCCCAGACTCCTGGGTCTGAGGGTTGAATCTGGGGCCTGGACTCGTGGGTCTGAGGGAGGAGGGGCCTGGGGGCCTGGACTTGTGGGTCTGAGGGAGGAGGGGCCTGGGGGCCTGGACTCCTGGGTCTGAGGTTGAATCTGGGGCCTGGACTCCTGGGTCTGAGGGTTGGATCTGGGGCCACTCAGTCACAAGGCTCCTAGCCATCCACGACCTCCCTCCCCACAGGGTTACCTGTTCATTTCTGTGCTGGTGAACTCGAACTCGGAGCTGATCCGCCTCATCAACAACGCCATCAAGAATGACCTGGCCAGCCGCAACCCCACCTTCATGTGCCTGGCCCTGCACTGCATCGCCAACGTGGGCAGCCGGGAGATGGGCGAGGCCTTTGCCGCTGACATCCCCCGCATCCTGGTGGCCGGGTAAGGCACTGGGGACCCGTTGGCAGTGGGGGGCCTGGGGGTGATGAGTCCCAGCCAAGTGTGAGGCTCAGAGAGGCTCTGTTGCCTGCCCAAGGTCTCCCAGCCGAGATGTGGGCTAACGCTGGGCTGGGGACCCAGTGGTTCCGGTGGCAGCCCCATACTTGTCTCTTCCCGTGATACGAAGCTGACTTGATGGTGTGAGGCTGCTCCCGGCAAAGCCAGTGGGGTGTTTCTGAACTGCAGAATTCTAACACCTACGATAAGAGGCGTAACTGTGCTATGTGGGTGACGGCCCTCCAGAACTTCCTCATCTTCTCCATTCATTCACCAAACATTTACTGAGCACATACTATGTGCCAGGCACTGTGCTGATTGCTGGGGATGTTGTATTGTCCAGAGATGGACACGGTCATTGCCCTCCTGTGTTCATGGTCTGGAGCAGGAGACAAATGGTGATGGAAGAATTGCAGGATGAAGTGTAGAATTTGCCAGGTGCGATGGCTCATGTAATCGCTGCATTTGGGGAGGCTGAGGCAGGTAGATTGCTTGAGTCTAGGAGTTTGAGACCAGCCTGGGCAACATGGCAAAATCCCAATCTCTACTAAAAATACCAAAAATTGCCAGGGCATGGTGGCGTGCACCTATAGTCCCAGCTACTCGGGAAGCTGAGGTGGGAGGATCTCCTGAGCTGGGGAGGCCTAGGCTGCAATGAGTTGTGGTTGCGCCAGTGTACTCCAGCTTGGTGTGCACACAGGTGAGACTTCTATTTCTGGCAGTGTGGTCAGCTAGATACCCGACTCATGTTCTCCCTGAAACCTAACTGTCAATATTGGATAAAAGAGGAAAGACAATATTATTTAATGGATTCATGAGGTAGCCAGAAAATGAGGAGCACACAGGCCACAAGCTAAGAGAAGCCGGGCACCCAAGCAGATGAGCCGCGTGCTGGAGCCAGCATTTGCTTAGAAGGCATTTGCTGAACTGGGTGAACCCGAGTATCGGTTTTGGGGCCCTGCAGCCTCTGGGAACAGAAGACAAAGCTTGTCCGAGAAGTTCTCGAAGGCTGTACTTCAAAGTGAGAGTGACCTAGAAATAAACCCCCTTGGGGACTATGAGGAAAATTACCTGTCTGAAACGTTGGCACGGAGCAGCCCTCAGACTGGTTTTCAGCCTGACTTTACCCTATCTGGGTAGTCCAAAAGCCCCTAAGTCAACCTTTAGTTTAAAGTGATGGAAACTGGAGGTTCCCTAGTGCTTCACAGAAGCAAACACGAGCCTTTTCTGAGGAAGCCCATTTTCACCACAAGCTTCAGTGATATCCACAGATAAAGCTCCAAATGATATGAGTAGCTCACAGCCAAAAATCTCTAAACACATGACACAAGACACCATGAGGGAGAACCAGCAGAAATAAAACAGAAGGCCGGGCGTGGTGCTCACGCCTGTAATCCCAGCACTTTGGGAGGCTGAGGCAGGCAGATCACCTGAGGTCAGGAGTTCGAGACCAGCCTGGCCAACATGGCGAAACCATATGTCTACTAAAAATACAAAAATTAGCCAGGTGTGGTGGCACATGCCTGTAATCCCAGCTCCTCTGGAGGCTGAGGCAGGACAGGAGAATCACTTGAACCCGGGAGGCAGAGGTTGCAGTGAGCCGAGATCATGCCACTGCACTCTAGCCTGGGTGACAGAGCAAGACTCTGTCTCAAAAAAAAAAAAGAAAAAGAAAACAGAAAATAACTTTGGAATTGGAATTATACAGAATGTAAAAGAAGTATATTTCATATGTTTCAATAAATAAGAGAAGCATTTTAAAATATGAGTAAAGTTTAAGCAGATTTGAAAATATAATTGAAATAGTCAAAAATTGCCAGGCACAGTAGTGGCTTACACCTATAATCCAGGCACTTTGGGAGGCTGAGGTGGGAGGATCACTTGAGGCCGGAAGTTCAAGATCAGCAACATAGTGAGACCCTATTGCCACAAAAACTAAAATATTAGCCGGGTGGGGTGCTGTGTGCCTGGGTAGTCCATCCAGGAGGCTGAGGCAGGAGGATTGCTTGAGCCTGGGAGGATGAGGCTGCAGTGAGCTATGATCTCATCACTGCACTCTAACCTGGGTGACAGAGTAAGACCCTGTCTAAACAAACAAACAAAAAAAACCAAAAAACAAATAAATGTTTAAAACATTAAAAATTAGGTGTCTGAATTTAGTTAGCAGAGTAGGCACAGCCAAAGCCAGAATTAGTGGCCTGGCAGTAGAACTGAAGAAAGACATCAAAATGCAGCCCAAAGAAGACAAAGCGATGGGGATTTTAGGAAAGAGACAAAGACTCATGGAAGACAGAGAACATCTAACAGAATTGCCATTTAGAGTTGTAGGGAGAGATCGTGACATAGGCAGTGTTCGAAGAGAGATAATGGTTGAAAATATTCCAGAATGGATGAAAGAGGCTGATCCCCAGATTCAAATAGGCCAGGAAATCATAAGCAAAAGTACAGACTGTAGGGGGTGACTGTGGGGCAGCAAGACCAGCCAGGCATCTGTCACCAGGTCCAGGTCAGAGCTCGCGGTGGCTTGGACCAGGGCTGTGGCGGTCATGTGGTTATGAGAAGGGCATGTTTCGGGAGTAGAGTCGATGGATTATATGTGCTGTGCTAGGATGAGGTGGGGACATTGAACAGGTGAGTGAATGATGGCAGACCTTTCAGCAATGTGACAAAGGCCATAGGAAAATGGGTCAGAGAGGGCAGAACCTGAGTGTGGTTTGGTCATGCTGAATTTGAGATGTGTATTAGACATCTGAGTAGGACTCTGGGGAGGAAGTTGGATTGCAGGGAGTCAGGGCGGGAGGGAGAGAGATCTGAGAGAGATCGGCACCGTCCAATAAAAATATAATGCAAAATACAGGCCAGGCACAGCAGCTCACACCCGTAATCCCAGCACCTTGGGAGGCCAAGGTGGGCAGATCACTTGAGGTCAGGAGTTCAAGAACAGCTTGGCCAACGTGGTGAAGCCCCGTCTCTACTAAAAATACAAAAATTAGTCAGGTGTGGTGGCGGGCACCTGTAATCCCAGCTACTTGGGAGGCTTAGGCAGGAGAATTGCTTGAACCCAGGAGGTGGAGGTTGCAGTGAGTGGAGATTGTGCCACTGCACTCCAGCCTGGGTGACAGAGCGAGACTCCATCTCAAAAAAAAAAAACATTAGTGGGGTGCAGTGGTGCACACCTGTAGTCCCAGCTACTCAGGAGGCTGAGGCAGGAGAATCGCATAAACCCGGGGGGCAGAGGTTGCAGTGAGCCGAGATTGCACCACTGCACTCCAGCCCGAGTGACAGAGTGAGACTCCATCTTAACAAAAAACAAACAAACAAAAAGCAAAATACAAATGTGTGCCTGTAATCCCAGCTACTCGAGTGACTGAGATGGGAGGATTGCTTGAGCTCAAGAGGCCCAGGCTGCAGTGAGCTGTGATCATGCCTAGGTGACAGTGACACCCTGTCTAAAAAAAATATAATGCAAGCCACATAGGTGTTTTTCTGTTTTCTAGTATTTAATATTTCAGTTTAACCTGATCCACACAAAATATTATCACTTTGACACTGAATCAGCGTAAAAATTATTCACGAGCTATTTTATTTGACATCTGTGTTTGGTGCTAAGTCTTTGGAATGCGGCGTTGCGGGTGTCTCTCAGTTTGGACTCGCTGCAGTTCCAGTGCTCTGGGGGCTGTTGTATCTGACAGCATGGGGATTGATGGCAGTTAAGCTCGGGCCTGGTGAAGCCCCTGAGGGCAGGTGTTAACTGGGAATTCCCAAAAGCTGGGCCCTTGAGTGGCCCTGGTGCAGCCCAGCGTGTTACGCTCTGGCAGGGGGGGTGGGAGTCATGATCAGGGGTGTGGGAGGAAAATCAGGATCAGGCCATGACTCAGAATGCTAAGAACTTTGATGGAGGAGGGAGTGGCCAGTCGCAAATGCTGCCAGCAGTTTCTTTAGGACAAGGACAGGCAGTCAGCATCAGCTTGGGGGAGACAGAGGTTACAAGCCACCCTGAAGAGGGAAGAACCGGGCACTTTGAGGACTGAGAGGGAGGCCACCGTGGCCAACATGTGTGGGTGCAGATGACATTGTCCCTGGAGTGGATGCCGAGGGGTGGTGCTCTGCCAGGGTCAAGGGGCCAGGGTGGGGCTGTCTGGCTCTAGGCTGCCCCCTCCACACTGGAAACTTGGCCTCAGCAGTGACTGGGGCACGAAGGAACTTTATTTTGTAGGTAGACTTTTATTTAACTTTTTATTTTTTGGAGACAGGGTCTTGCCCTGTTGCCCAGGCTGGAGTGCAGTGGCACAGTCTTGGCTCACTGCAACCTCCGACTCCTGGGCTGAAGCGATCTTCCCACCTCAGCCCCCTGAGTAGCTGTGATTATAGGCGTGCACCACCATGCCTGGCTAATTTTTGTATTTCTTTTTTTTTTTGTAGAGATGGGGTTTTGCTATGTTGCCCAGGCTCCAGGCTGGTCTTGAACTCCAGAGCTCAAGCAATCCTCCTGCCTCAGCCTCCCAAAGTGTTGGGATTACAGGTGTGAGCCACCACTCCCATCTAGGCTTTTTTTGTTTGTTTTTTTTGTTTTTTGTTTTTTTTTTTTTGAGGCAGTCTCTCTCTGTCACCCAGGCTGGAGTGCAGTGGTGCAATCTTGGCTCACTGCAACCTCTGCCTCCCAAGTTCAAGCAATTCTCTTGTCTCAGCCTCCTGAGTAGCTGGGATTACAGGTGTGTGCCACCACACCTGGCTATTTTTTTTTTTTTTTTAGTAGAGACGAGGTTTGCCATGTTGGCCAGACTGGTCTCAAACTCTTGACCTCTATTGATCCATCTGCCTCAGCCTCCCAAAGTGCTAGGATTACAGGCGTGAGCCTCTGCGCCCGGTCATTTTAACCATTTGAAGGTGTTCAGTTCAGTGGTTTCTAGTATATTGATGATGCTGTGCAACAACCACTACCACCTAATTGCAGAACACTCATTGCTCCAAAAAAAGACTCTGTACCCATTAGCAGTCCCTCCCCATTCCCTCTTCCCCCCAGCCCCTGGCTGCCACCAATCTGCTTTCTGTCACAGATTTGCCTAATGTGGACATTTCATAGAAATGGAACCGCACAGTAGGTGGCCTTCTGTGTCTGGCTTCTTCCACTCAACAAGATGTTTTTCAGGTTCATCCACATTGTGGTGCATATCCGTGATTTGCTCGAGATAGAGTCTCACTCTGCTGCCCAGGCTGGAGTGCAGTGGCATGATCATAGCTAACTGCAGCCCTGACCTCCCAGGCTCAGGTGATCCTCCCACGTCAGCCACTCCAGCAGCCGGGACTACAGGCACAAGCCACCAGGCCTGGCTAATATTTGAATTTTTTATAGAGACAGGGTCTCACTATATTACCCAGGCTAGTCTTGAACTCCTGAGCTCAAGTGATCCTCCGTGGCCTCAGCTTCCCAAAGTGCTGAGATTACAGGCGTGAGCCACCGCGCCTGACTTGTGGTTTTATTTTTTATACTTGAATATGCAGCTTGATATTGTGTAGTTTAACATTTTCCTAAGTAGCGCCATAGCCCTTATTCCACTTAACCAAGTTGATAAATAGCTCTTATTCCTTTGTGTGGTATCCTTATCTGTAAATGGAGATGATAGAATCCGCGTCCTTAGAGGGCTGTGGTGGGGAGCGAGCGAGCTGTGCGGGAACACTTAGAGCAGAGTTTGGCCCAGAGTCAGGACTCGGGAGATGCGCTGTGGCTCAGGAGATGTGTGCCGTGGCAGCGATGGGAAAGTGGCCCAGAGTCAGGGCTCGGGAGATGCGCTGTGGCTCAGGAGATGTGCGCCGTGGCAGCGATGGGAAAGTGGCCCAGAGTCAGGGCTCGGGAGATGCACTGTGGCTCGGGAGATGAGCGCCATGACAGAGATGGGAAGGTGGCCCAGAGTCAGGGCTCGGGAGATGCGCGCCGTGACGGAGATGGGAAAGTGGCCTGGAGTCAGGGCTCGGGAGATGTGCGCTGTGACGGAGGTGGGAAAGTGCCGTCACAAATGGAGCATCGTCTGTGGCCAGGCTTCTTGCTGGTTTCTGGTTCTAACTTGATGACCACTGGGCAGTGAACGTTTCTGTAGGGTGAGCGTCTGGGGGCAGCACTGCTGGTCTTGGTCTGCTGCACACACAGCAGTGGCCTTTCTAGACAGAGGAAGCCCAGAGCCTCTCCAGAGGGCCTGTCCCTGTGTCCGCCTCCAGCTGCAGCACACGAGGGTTCCCAGCACTTTAGGAGGCCGTAGCAACAGGCGTCAGTCGGGCGAGTATCTGCCTGGATGACGGCAGGAGCCACCTGCTGGGTGGCTGCACATCCAGTGAGACATGCTGCCACAGGCCTTTGACTCGTGCAGGTCTCCCCTCTGAGGACTTCTCCCCTGTGTCTTTTGCTGTCTGTTGGGTGCTTTCTGGGAAACCCTTTACTGATAGGCCATGGCTGGGCCAGTCTTGACAGCTCCCAGCACCTCCTCTTACTCAAGGCTATGGCCATGCACCACACAATCTCATTTCTGTTTTTTTTTGAGACGGAGTCTCACTCTGTCTCCCAGGTTGAAGTGCAATGGTGAGATCTCAGCTCACTGCAACCTCTGCCTCCCAGGTTCAAGCGATTCTCCTGCCCCAGCCTCCCGAGTAGCTAGGATTTCAGGCACGTGCCACCATGCCCAGCTAATTTTTGTATTTTTAGTAGAGATGGGGTTTCACCATGTTGGCCAGGCTGGTCTCAAACTCCTGACCTCAGGTGATCCACCTGCCTCAGCATCCCAAAGTGCTGGGATTATAGGTGTGAGCCACTGCGCCTGGCCTTTTTTTTTTTTTTTTTTTGTAGAGACAGGGTTTTACCACGTTGGCCTGGCCAGGCCGGTCTCAAACACCTGGCCTCAAGTGATCCGCCTGCCTCAGCCTCCCAAAGTGTTGGGATTACAGGTGTAAGCCACCATGCCTGGCCCACCATCTTATTTCTTTCTCCCCAAAGCCGACAAGGCTCCTCATTTTCCTGAAGGGGAAACAGCCCATCAGAGAGGGTCAGTGGCTTACCCCCATCTGTGCCCCACAGTCACAACCTCATGCAGGCGTGTCTGACCCCAGAAGGTGCTCCCCTGGGATCCTCTTCTAGAACAACATCATGCTCCATGCTCTTTGCTGTGCTAGGAGCTGGGTTATGGTTGGGGCCTGGAGTCAGCCCTCTGAGATGGGCTGCCCGCTGGCTGCCAGGTTCTGTGCCAGGCAAGTGCTGACCCTGGTTTCCTGTGACTGCTGTGATGAATTACCACCAGCACAGCGGTGTCAAACACCGGTTCTGGATGTCGGAAGTCCAACATCCATCTCACGGGGCTAAAATCAAGGCGTGGGCAGGGCTCGTCCCTTCCGGGGGCCCTAGAGGAGAGGCCGCGTCCTTGCCTTCTCCAGCTCCTAGAGGCCACCTGCTTTCCTTGGCTCGTGGCCCCTTCCCCCATCCCCAAAGGCAGCAGTGTGGCATCTTCTCTCCTGCCTGACCTCTGTTCCATCCTCACATCATCTCTGACTCTGAACTGTATCTTTCCCTTATAAGGACCCTGTGATGACATTGGGTCCACCTGGATCACCCAGGATCCTCTCTCCATCTCATGATCCTTAACTTTATCATATCTGCAAAGTACCCCCACCCTTTTTTTTGTTTGGAGACAGGGTCTTGCTCTGCCACCCAGGCTGCAGCCTTCACCTCCCAGGCTAAAGCGATCCTCCCACCTCAGCCTGCCAAGTAGGTGGGTCTACAGGCATGCGCCACCACGCTTGGCTAATTCTCATATTTCTAGTAGAGATGGGGGTCTCACCATGTTGCCCAGGCTGGTCTCCAACTCTTGGGCTCAAGTGATTCTCCCACCTCAGCCTCCTAAAGTGCTGGGATTACAGGCGTGAGCCACCCTAACCCCCAGAACCTGTGAATATATTCCCTTGGATTCAAAAGAGCCTTGCAAAGTCTGTTCCCTCACAACAGGCAGAGGGACCCTTTAAAAACCTAAGCCAGATCAAAAATACACCCATTTTCTCAGTTTGTTGTGGAGAGAAGATAAACGTGTGAATCCACCCAGAGACCTGTGGGAGTGCTGGACAGGCCGAAGGGGTCCGGGGGCAGCTGTTCCTGCTGTCGTGTTAACATCACGCTGATTCTCTGCTCACCACCCACAGCGGCTTTCATCTCCCAATCGGTAAAAAGCCAAGTCCTCACTTCAGCCAACAAGGCCCTGCAGGGTCTGGCTCTCTGTTCCCTCCCTGTCCTATCTGCAGCCCTCCTGCCCCATGGCTCAGGCCGCAGCCTGCAGGCCTCCTTGCTGCTCCTCCTACACACGGGCTCCGCCTTCCTGATGGCCTTGGCACAGGCTGTTCCCTCTGCCTGGGATGTTCTGTTGCAGAGGATTTTCAGTCTTTCCTCCTTAAGTTACTCTGTTTTGTTTATTTTTAAATTTTTTTATTTATTTAGAGACAGCTCTAACTCTGTTGCCCAAGCTAGAGGGAGTGCAGTGGCACAGTCATGGTGCACTGCCGCCTCGACCTCCCAGTCTCGAGCAATCCTCCCACCTCACCCTCCCGAGTAGCTGGGATTACAAGCCTGCGCCACCACACCCAGCTAATTTTTGTATTTTTGAAGAGACTGGGTCTCACTGTCGCCCAGGCTGGTCTTGAATTCATGGCCTCAAGTGATCCTCCCACCTCGACCTCCCAAAGTGCTGGGATTATAGGCGTGAGCCACCATGCCCAGCCCTGACAGTATTTGATGTATGTGTTTTCGTGGTGCTGTCTGAAATGTAAGCCCTGTGAGGACAAGTGTTTGGACCACTTTATTCACCACTCTATCCATGGAGTGAACAGCAGTGCCTGGTACCCCATGGGCACCCAGTAGGTGCTTGGTGAATGAATGAAGGTGCAGAGCCAGGCTTGACATGTTCCTGAGCCCTGTGAGGTTACTGAGATGCAATCATTTTGCAGATGAAGACACTGAGTCCTGGTGGGCCGTGAGGTCAGCGCCAGACTGGATCCTGCGGCCGCCTGGCTGTCTGTCCCTCTCGCTGGCCTCGCACACCCTTCCTGGGAGGAACAGGAGAGGAGGGGAGGTGTGCAGGGCTGGGGTCACTGACTCTGCTTCCCCTGCCCTGCATGGTGTCCCCACAGGGACAGCATGGACAGTGTCAAGCAGAGTGCGGCCCTGTGCCTCCTTCGACTGTACAAGGCCTCGCCTGACCTGGTGCCCATGGGCGAGTGGACGGCGCGTGTGGTACACCTGCTCAATGACCAGCACATGGTGAGCCCCCAGCCCTCACACCCCCGGATACCCAGGGCTCCCACCTCAGCCCTGACCCCCCTGGATGCCCGGGGCTCCCACCTCAGCCCTCACACCCCCGGATACCCAGGGCTCCCACCTCAGCCCACGCACCCCCTGGATGCCCGGGGCTCCCACCTCAGCCCTCACGCCCCCGGATACCCAGGGCTCCCACCTCAGCCCTCACGCCCCCTGGATGCCCAGGGCTCCCACCTCAGCCCTCACGCCCCCGGATACCCAGGGCTCCCACCTCAGCCCTCACGCCCCCGGATACCCAGGGCTCCCACCTCAGCCCTCACGCCCCCTGGATGCCTGGGGCTCCCACCTCAGCCCTGATCCCCCTGGATTCCTGGAGCTTCCCCCTCGGCGCTGACGTTCACCAGACACCAGAAACCATGATCCAGTGTCCCCGGTACTCATTACCTGCCCAAGTGTCCAGAAACCCTCCCATCCCCATCTCTGACACTCCCCTGGCTGGCCAGGGATCCTGTCCAGTGACCCCCACACCCCTCACCAACCACCCAGTCCCTTAGAAAATCCCACTCTGTTTCTAATACCTGGAGATTCCCCCAACAGCGCCCATCACCTGCGCACCAGCGCAGAAACCTTGACTGTCCCACCCCCACAGTCCCAACCCTCTAGAGTCTCGCCCCTTCACTGCTCCTTACCCAGCTGCCTGGGGTCCTGCCAGGGACACCCCACACACCCAGGTCAGTGCTGGCCATGGCGCCCGAGGCCCCGTGGCCTCCTCACCCCACCCCTAAAGCACGCACAGTGACACATGTGCACACCCCTAAACCCCATCTTCCCGACTGCACACACATCCCGACCCTGTCCCGCTCCTGAGCCTCTGCTCTCAGGTACCACCTCCCCCAGGGGCCTGACTTGTCTCTCCTCTGCCCCTGCAGGGTGTGGTCACGGCCGCCGTCAGCCTCATCACCTGTCTCTGCAAGAAGAACCCAGATGACTTCAAGACGTGCGTCTCTCTGGCTGTGTCGCGCCTGAGCCGGGTGGGTGTGGCCTAGATATTGGCTGCTGGAGGTGGCCCTGGCATCCCTATGCCCTCTGACACCCCTCAGGCCCCCACTCTCCCTGAGAGGCAGCCCAGCCCAAGGTTTACAAACTCAGGCTCTGAGCTGGATTCATCCTGGCTCGGCCTCTTCCTGGCTGGGTGGCCCTGGACAAGTGGCTTCACCTCCCTGGCCTCAGCTGCCCCCTGTGTTCAGTGGGGATAATACCGGTGCCCACCTGGAGGCACAGAGCGCTGTGGATAGAGTGCTCAGAACAGGGCCTCGCGGGCCGAGCACCCCGGGAGCCAGCCGCCCTCATGACCTCCTCCCTCTCCCACTTCTCTCTCTGTCTCCCACTTTCCCTCTTCTGGCTTTGCCTCCCGCCTCTCTCTTTCCTGTGCAGCCTCTCACTCCTGCCTGGCGTCCCTCTCCCACCTTTGCTCCTGTCCTGCCCAGGAACATCCCCTGAGGCCTTGTGCATGCCAGGCTCCATGTCGGGTGACACCAGGGACACAGATGAGTCAGAACCAAGCTCTGCTCTTAAGGAGCTCCCTGTCCTTCTGGCAGGGAGGTGACTCAGTCACAGATTGTCAGAAAAGGGGTGACTCGTGCTATAATGGAGGTAGGATAGGTCACCCATAGGAGGCACTTAACACAGCCTGTGAGTCCACGAAGGCTTCCTGGGGGCGGCGATCCCAGAATTGAGACTTAGAATACACATGCGCATCTCCTGGGCAGTCAGGAAGAGGCCTGGATTCGCAGGCAAAGAGAAGAACACACCAGCTCGTGCATCCACTCATTGTTTCTTTTTTTTTTTTTTTTTTTTTTTTTTTGAGACGGAGTCTCGTTCTGTCCCCAGGCTGGAGTGCAGTGGCGCGATCTCGGCTCACTGCAAGCTCCCAGGTTCACGCCATTCTCCAGCCTTAGCCTCCCGAGTAGCTGGGACTACAGGCGCCTGCCACTATGCCCGGCTAATTTTTTGTATTTTTAGTAGAGACAGGGTTTCACCGTGTTAGCCAGGATGATCTCGATCTCCTGACCTCGTGATCCACCCGCCTCGGCCTCCTAAAGTGCTGGGATTACCGGCGTGAGCCACTGCGCCTGGCCCACTCATTGTTTCTTTCTCAGGTTTTTTTTTTTTTTGAGACAGGGTCTTGCTGTCGCCCAGGCTGGAGTGCAGTAGTGCAGCCATGGTTCACTGCAGCCTCTGGCTCCTAGGCTCAAGCGATCTCTCGCCTCAGCCTCCCGAGTAGCTGGGACTGCAGGTGCCTGGCTAATTTTTGTATTTTTTGTAGAGATCGGTCTTGCTTTGTCGCCCACACTGGTCTCAAACTCCTGGCTTCAAGTGATCCTCCCGCCTCAGCCTCCGAAAGTGCTGGGATTACAGGTGTGAGCCACTGCACTCAGCCTCAGTCATTGTTTCATTCATTCATCACACATCTGAGTACTGCAGTGTGCCAGGATGACAGTGAGGTAGGAACACAGACCAGCACGGAGGTGGGACAGAGCTTCCTGGAGAAGGGCTTTTCAAGGTTGAATAGGAGTTTGCAATGAGGAAAAAAAGTCACATGATCTTTCTTTTTTTTTGAGATGGAGTTTCGCTCTTATTGCCCAGGCTGGAGTGCAATGGCGTGATCTTGGCTCACTGCAACCTCTGCCTCCCGGGTTCAAGCAATTCTCCTGCCTCAGCCTCCCAAGTAGCATGGATCACAGGCATGTGCCACCACGCCCAGCTAATTTTTGTATTTTTAGTAGAGATGGGGTTTCACCATGTTGGTCAGGCTTGTCTTGAACTCCTGATCTCAGGTGATCCACCCACCTTGGCCTCCCAAAGTGCTGGGATTACAGGCGTGAGCCACTGCACCTGGCCATGATCTTTCAATCTTTCACTAATTCCCTGCCTCTTCCCCGAACCTCTTCCTATCTGACCTTGTATTAGGCCTAGGGACCCAAAAAAGGGTCAGACCCAATCCCTGCCCCTGAGTGGCTTCAAGCCTTGTAGGGGGACTACAGGAAACAGCCTCCAGGAGCCGGTGCGCTGTGTGCTCTGACGGAGGAAGCCTGGGGCATGGGAGGCTCAGAGCCGAGTGAGGAGGGGGCCCTGGGAAACTGTCACACAGAAGGGAACCAGCAGAGACCTTTCCTGCCCACCACACACCAGCATTACTTGGAAAGATCAACCAGCCGGGCTTAGTCCTAGTTTTGCCCCCATTCAGTGTGCCTGACGCTTCCTCGCTCCCTTCCCAGAGCCTCAGATTCCTGCTTCATAAAACCATTGCATTGGTCGGGCATGGTGGCTCATGCCTGTAACCCCAGGACATTGCGGGACTGAGGTGGGAGAATTGCTTGAGGCCATGAGTTCGAGACCAGCCTGGGCAACATAGTGAGACCCTGTCTCTACAAAAAAAACCCACTAACAAAACCATTAACACTGACAGCACTGCCCTTGGAAGGCACCATTTGCTCCACCCTGGCATGTGGACCCACGTGCCCCTCCCACCCCAGCCCCCAACTTATTTCTTGCTCTTCCCCGCCAGATCGTCTCCTCTGCCTCCACCGACCTCCAGGACTACACCTACTACTTCGTCCCAGCACCCTGGCTCTCGGTGAAGCTCCTGCGGCTGCTGCAGTGCTACCCGCCTCCAGGTAATGAACGCCGTGCACTCCCCAACCCGGGGTGGCCTGCTGCTGGCATCTGGGGGCCTCCTGCTCCACGGCGCACCAGGTGGGACTGGAGGGTCTGGGTCAGGATTTCTCTGAAGCTGGGGCGGTTCCTCTGTCCCCTTACGTGGCTGCACTCGGGGAGGCAAGCAGGCAGCCCGAGGCCCAGCGCCTACCCTGTGCAGCATCGTGGATCAGCCTCATAGCTGAGGTCCCTGCTACCCGGGCTCTCACTCCAGCCCTGTTGCGAGGGACTGTTAACTGTGCCTGTTTTATAGATGAGGAATCTGAGGCTTGGAGAGGGAGCTCCTGGCCCAGCGTCACTCACCCGGTCAGTGGGTGATTCCAGGCCGTGCTACCTGAATTACCATAGCCCTGTCAGGGGTTTTCACATCTGTTGGGAACCTTCCCCTACTGCTCACAGTCACAATAGCCAGTGTGTATGAAACTCCTGTAGTGAGCCAGGCACTGGGCAGGGGGCACCTGCACCTGCCGAACAGAGCTGGCAAGGAGGAACAGCCAGTGTGATATGCACACAGGGAAACTGAGGCTTGGAGGTGAGACATCACCATTCTAGGCAGTAAGTGGCAGTTGGCCCCCAGACTCTCTGCTCTAAACCCCTCCCTCTGCCACTGAGCTCCCCCGAGCTTCTGTCGCCTTGGCTGACTGACCTCATGGAGCAGTTTCTTCGGACCCTGTGCTGAGGGGCTTGGCACACAGTAGGTGCTAATGCACCAGTTCCCTCCATTCAGCCAGCATGTCCAGCACCTGCCAGGGGCCAGGGCTGATGTACACCACCAAATCTCTGGGTGTGCATGCCTGTCTGTGTGCATGCCTGCATGCGTGCATGCGTTCGCCTGTGTGTGTCGATACCTGCCCGTGTGCATGCATGTCTGCGTGCATCCCCTGTGTGTGGATGTGTCATTGTGTGTGCATCTGTATGTATGCGTGTCTGTGTCTATATGTGGCAGTGTTCATGGTATCTCTGTGTCCCTCTATGTGTGTACATGTGTATATATCAGTGTGTGCATCTACATGTGTACCTGTGCATGCAAGTGGATGTGTACATGAGTGTAGATACCTGTGTGCATGCCTGTGTGTGCGTGTCTCAATGCTTGCCAGCATCTACGTGTGTCCATGCATGTCCCTCTGCACATGGTGTGTGTGTACACACTCTGAGTATACGATATGGAGGTGACACCAGAGGCCCATCGTGTGTGAAGCCAGTGATGAATTCTGTTGTGTGGCCCTGGGGACATGTCTTCCTTCTCTGGGCCTCTTTTTCGTCCTGTCAAGAAGGGCTTAAGTCATGCTCTAAGCCCATGACCACCCCAGAAGGCCCAGCTGGTAATTCTGGGGTACACCCATTGCAGGCACCTCACCCACTCCAACCCTCGGTGGTGTAGGAACTGGAGACACAGCCTTGTCCTGAGGCTGGGCCTGAGGACACACCAACCCTGTGTCACCTCCTTTTCAGCAAATGGTGGTGGGCTATTGCCAATTTGTTTGCAAGTCATTTTTTTGTCATATGCATTATGAAAAGTTTCCCAGCATCCAGATAAGTACAGAGATTTCATTACTTGGACTTCACATTTTGCCATGTATGCATGCTCTTGTTTATTTTCTTCTGAAATATTTAAAAGTAAATTACAGACATCATGATGTTTTGCCTTTAAATATGTTGTTCTGGGCCAGGCACAGTGGCTCACGCCTGTAATCCCAGCAATCTGGGAGGCCGAGGTAGAAGGATCACTTGAGCTCAGGAATTCGAGACCAGTCTGGCCAACATGGCAAAACCCCATCTCTACAAAAAATACAAAAAATTAGCCAGGTGTGGTGGTGCATGCCTGTAGTCCCAGCTACTCAGGAGGCTGAGATGGGAAGATCGCTTGAACCCGGGAGGTGGAGGTTGCAGTGAGCCAAGATTGTGCCACTGCACTCCAGCTTGGGTGACAGAGTGAGACTCTGTCTCAAAAAAAAATAAAAAAATAAAAAAACAGAATATATATCACAGTACAATCTAGGATCACATATTCAATCGGATTCTGCCAGGCTCAGTGGCTAACACTGTCATCCCAGCACTTTGGGAGGCTGAGGCAGAAGGATCGCTTGAGCCCAGGAGTTTGAGATCAGACTGGACAACATAGTTGCCCTGTTTCCAAAAAATAGGATTTAAATTGGATTCTGTCTTTGTTATTTCTCGTAGTCTGGACTAGCCCCCCTACACCTGTTTATGGAGAAACCAGGAGATGCCATTGCTGTGTGTCCCATGGTGGCGACTGGGCTCATTGCTGCCTTGTGGTGTATTTTAGCTTGTTCCTCTATCTGGTGAATTTTCCTGCGGAAAATTCTGCAGAAAAATCTGCGGAACCATTTTTTGCTGGAACGCTTGACAGCTCTTGCATACACTTGAAAACACGTCACATTCTAGGAAACGTGGTGATTGGTGCTCCTGTGAGCTGCTGGCTGGCATCTGTCAGTGGTGGAGAGCTCTGGGGGGTGAGGGGGCACCTGGTTGAGCCTTGTCTCCTTTGGCCTCCCAGCCTCTAGGCCAGGAGGATGGCACCGAGTGTGCCTGCAGTGGCCTCTTGCTGAATGGACACTTGGGTGGGTGGCTTGTGCATTTTTGTCAGGGGCTGCTCAGCACTCACACCAGTCCTTGGGAAGGCCTGGGTTTGGGGGCACCTCTGGGGAAGGTTCCTGGAGCTTCCTTTGCTCTGTGAGAAACCTAAGGAGCCTCAGAGCTGCAGATGAGGAAACTGAGGCTCACATGGTGCCACCTCTTGCCCGAGAGGGTCAGAGCAGGAGGAGAGCCCAGGTCTGGGGATAGATCTTGTGTCTCCAGAGGTGCCTTGTCTCACCATCTCTGCTGGGCTGGGAAGAGGTTGAGGGAGCAGAGACCCTGGCCCTGAGCTGCAGAATTCTCGAGTGTCAGAGGCACCCCGAGCTCCTCCTTTGGAAGACAGGAGCTGGGGCATGGCCACCACCCCAGCAGGTGTGCCAGGTGGGCAGGACACTCAGCCGGGGGCGTCCCCTTCGTTTCCCCAGAGGATGCGGCTGTGAAGGGGCGGCTGGTGGAATGTCTGGAGACTGTGCTCAACAAGGCCCAGGAGCCCCCCAAATCCAAGAAGGTGCAGCATTCCAACGCCAAGAACGCCATCCTCTTCGAGACCATCAGCCTCATCATCCACTATGACAGGTGCCCGCCTGGGCCTATCAGGGCCTGATGCCTGGGGCCAGGAAAGAGGGGCATGGAGGCCCGGACTCCTGAGTCCTAGGCAGAGGGCAGGGAATCTTGACTTTTAGGTAGGGTAGGAGGAGGATGGGGCTGTGAAGTGTCACCTGTGAGGTTGGTGCTGGGGCCCTTCCTGGGGGCAGAATTGCTAGGTATCTTTCTCTGGGCTCAAAGGCCCAGTTGTCTGGGTCACTGGAGGTGCAGTACTGCGATGCAAGGCCGGCAAGGTTAAGACCTGGATCCTTGGGGGCTGTGAGATGGGTCAGCTGGGGCCCGAGTCCTCCACCTTCTCCTGTCAGTTTCTCTCACCATCCCTCTCTTGTGGCCCCTGCTGGCAGTGAGCCCAACCTCCTGGTTCGGGCCTGCAACCAGCTGGGCCAGTTCCTGCAGCACCGGGAGACCAACCTGCGCTACCTGGCCCTGGAGAGCATGTGCACGCTGGCCAGCTCCGAGTTCTCCCATGAAGCCGTCAAGACGCACATTGACACCGTCATCAATGCCCTCAAGGTGTGAGCCCTTGGAGCCCACCCCGGGCCTGCCACCCCCCTCAGAAAGACCAGAGGCTCAGAGGCCCTTGGGTGGCCAACCCTGTGCCAACAGGGAGTCTAAAACACACCTGGGCTCTGCTCTCCGCCCTCAGACGGAGCGGGACGTCAGCGTGCGGCAGCGGGCGGCTGACCTCCTCTACGCCATGTGTGACCGGAGCAATGCCAAGCAGATCGTGTCGGAGATGCTGCGGTACCTGGAGACGGCAGACTACGCCATCCGCGAGGAGATCGTGAGTGCTGTGGGGTGCGGGCTGGACTCTTGGGTCTGAGGCAGGAGGTGGCTGGGGGCCTGGATTCCTAAGTCTAAGGGAGGAGGGGCTGGGGCCTGGACTCCTGGGTCTCCAGATGGGGGCAGTGGTGAGCCCAGATCCAGGTGAGTGAAAGCCCGACATGGCCTGCGGCACACTCTCTCTCACACGCCCCGGCGGCAGGTCCTGAAGGTGGCCATCCTGGCCGAGAAGTACGCCGTGGACTACAGCTGGTACGTGGACACCATCCTCAACCTCATCCGCATTGCGGGCGACTACGTGAGTGAGGAGGTGTGGTACCGTGTGCTACAGATCGTCACCAACCGTGATGACGTCCAGGGCTATGCCGCCAAGACCGTCTTTGAGGTCAGCATCCCTGACCCTGACCCTATGACCCCACGACAGGACCTAGAGGCAGAGCAAGGATGGCCGGGGCCGTGGCGCCTGCCAGCCCGCAGCCACCCTCCTTCTCCTGCACTGCCGTGACCTCAAAATGGGGCCTCTGCCTCTCTGGGCCAACCCAGGGGACCCAGGGCTATGGTCTCATGGGCCTGATGTGAGGAGTCCCCAGGGCATGGGCATGGGGCACCCAGTGTGCAGTCCTGGCCCCCGGATCTCGGTAGTTTCCCTCTGCCCCAGGAAAGGGGCCCCACACAGTCCTGTTTTTTGTTTGTTTGTTTGTTTGTTTCTGGAGACGGAGTCTCACTCTGTTGCCCAGGCTGGAGTGGGGAGTGAGTGCCGTGGTGCGATCTCGGCTCACTGCAACCTCGGCCTCCCAGCGTCAAGCCATTCTCCTGCCTCAGCCTCCCCAGTAGCTGGTACTACAGGCACGCGCCACCACACCCAGCTAATTTGTTTGTATTTTTAGTAGAGACGGGGTTTCACCATGTTACCCAGGCTGGTTTGAAACTCCTGAGCTCAGGCAATCTGCCCGCCTCGGCCTCCCAAAGTACCAGGATTACAGGCATGAGCCACTGCTTCCGGCCCACAGCCCTGTTTTACTTCCTGTGTGAGCTTGGGCCCGTCACTCAACCTTTCTGTGACTCAGTTTCCCACCTATAACCCCACCTGCAGCAGAGCTTTCAGTGTTCCACCAGTCAGTAGGTGGCTGCACCCACCGATCCCGGAGAGGGCGCTCATTGTTGTCCTCTCCACGCCCTTCCCCACCCCACTCAGGCGCTCCAGGCCCCTGCCTGTCACGAGAACATGGTGAAGGTTGGCGGCTACATCCTTGGGGAGTTTGGGAACCTGATTGCTGGGGACCCCCGCTCCAGGTGAGGGAGCCTCAGCCTGCAGGGGAGAACACACATGCTTCTGAGGGGTCCAGGGCTTGGGGGATCCCCAGGGGTCTCAGGGCAGGCAGTGATGGGCTCCCATCCTCTCGGCCTCCACCCCAATCCACCTAGCAGGGTAAGAAAGGAGCTTAGTCCCAGGATCGTGGACAGAGTGTGACTGCGGCCCCTGTCTGGTGCCTGGGGAGGGCCACTCCCCTCCAGCAGCTTGGGGTCCTGGGACGGGTCCATCCTAGGGAGGGGCACCTCTCGAGGGGGTTTCTGGGAGAGGGCAGTGGAACCTGGCCCCGCTGACACCCACTCCTGCACACAGCCCCCCAGTGCAGTTCTCCCTGCTCCACTCCAAGTTCCATCTGTGCAGCGTGGCCACGCGGGCGCTGCTGCTGTCCACCTACATCAAGTTCATCAACCTCTTCCCCGAGACCAAGGCCACCATCCAGGGCGTCCTGCGGGCCGGCTCCCAGCTGCGCAATGCTGACGTGGAGCTGCAGCAGCGAGCCGTGGAGTACCTCACCCTCAGCTCAGTGGCCAGCACCGACGTCCTGGTCAGAGCCCTGTCCCCCCACCCCACCCCTCTTGCACACCCCCTTCCCGCCCTCCCCTCCTCCTGACCCGAACTGACCTTCCCCACCCCGACCGCGCCAGGCCACGGTGCTGGAGGAGATGCCGCCCTTCCCCGAGCGCGAGTCGTCCATCCTGGCCAAGCTGAAACGCAAGAAGGGGCCAGGGGCCGGCAGCGCCCTGGACGATGGCCGGAGGGACCCCAGCAGCAACGACATCAACGGGGGCATGGAGCCCACCCCCAGCACTGTGGTGAGTCCCCTGGGGTGGGCCCTGCCAGGGTGCCTGGGGCTGGGTCCTGCCGGGCGCCGCCTGTCCTCACCGTGACCTGCGCTTCCTACAGTCGACGCCCTCGCCCTCCGCCGACCTCCTGGGGCTGCGGGCAGCCCCTCCCCCGGCAGCACCCCCGGCTTCTGCAGGAGCAGGGAACCTTCTGGTGGACGTCTTCGATGGCCCGGCCGCCCAGCCCAGCCTGGGGCCCACCCCCGAGGAGGCCTTCCTCAGGTAGCACCCCCTGGGCCCGGGCCCCTTCTCGCGGCCACCCCCAGGGCTGTCCCTTCTCGGCCTCTGTCCCCGTTTTCCCTGAGCCCCTCCCCCGCCCCCGACTCGCTCCTCTCTCCATCCTGATGCCTTCGCCAGCCCTGGCTGCTGCCTCCCCTGCCCCAGCCTCCCTGCTCACGCCCTCCCTCTGCCACTCTGGACTCCGCCGACCCTGGCCACCCTTCGTTGTCTCCTTTCCTGTCACCGTTTCTCAGCCTGCTCTTCCTTTTCTCCTTCTCTCCTTCCCTCTTCCGTCCCTCCCTCTCTGTCTCTCTTCTGCCCTCTCGCTGCCTATGTGGAATTGGCTGCCTGCCACGCCTGTCTTCTCTTGTCTGCTCTGGGATTGGATGGCTCAGCGAGCTGGAGCCGCCTGCCCCCGAGAGCCCCATGGCTTTGCTGGCTGACCCAGCTCCAGCTGCTGAGTAAGGGGTGGCCTGGGGTGGGAGGTCGGTCGGGGGGGCGGACTCGGGTGTCCCCAGGGAGAGTTAGGGGACTGGGAGCCCTCGTCAACGGGTTCCTGATGAGCAGCAGAGGCAGGGACTTGGAGGAAAGGGAAACTTGGTGTCTGCCGATGCGGGGGCACGGGCCAGGGTTCTATTCCCATTGGAGGCCACTGCTGGATGGATGCGAGGTTCCTCGAGGCTCTGTGAGGGGTCTGGATATGTGGTTCTGGGGTTCTGTCCTTAGGGCTTGTTCTCGCACTCAATCGCTCTGGGCCTTTGCCCCTCCCCACCAAGTTCCTTCCCATCTCACTCTGCTCCATGCCTCCAGCCCAGGTCCTGAGGACATCGGCCCTCCCATTCCGGAAGCCGATGAGTTGCTGAATAAGTGAGTCCTGGGAGTGGTGGGGGAGGGGAACGGGACAGGTGCGGAGCCCAGGCCAGGTGCAGACAGGCACCCCCGTCATCTTGCGCCCCCTGCCCCCTCAGGTTTGTGTGTAAGAACAACGGGGTCCTGTTCGAGAACCAGCTGCTGCAGATCGGAGTCAAGTCAGAGTTCCGACAGAACCTGGGTGTGTCCCGGGGGACTGTGGGAATGGGTCGGAGGGAGACCTTGGGGAAGGGGTCAGAGGGACTCAGATGGAGCTCTGCCTCCCCCACCTACTGCAGGCCGCATGTATCTCTTCTATGGCAACAAGACCTCGGTGCAGTTCCAGAATTTCTCACCCACTGTGGTTCACCCGGGAGACCTCCAGACTCATATCCTCTCAGGCCCGGCCCAGCCTCCTGCCTCTCCACGTCGGCCTTCCTCACCGTGGGGAAGCCGGCTGACCCAGGTCCACACTTCTCTTCAGCCTCTCTTGGGCACGCAATTAGTTCTCTGAGATTGAGTGTCTGCATCTGTTAAGATGGGGGTGGGATTCCTTCCCCCAGGACAGGGGATGACAGTGAAGTGGTGTGTGGGAGGCTTTACTTCCAGAACTCCACCTGCTCCAGGCCTCATTTTGTCCCTGTCTGGCACCTTCCGTGTCCTGCCATCGTCCTCCACTGGGCTCCATGTCATGATGCCAGCACCGCCTGCACTCAGGAGCCAGGCCTGCGGGTCCAGACGCTGATCAGGCCTGATCTGGGCTGAGTCACTTTGCCTCTCTGGGCTCTCCTGTCCCCGCTGTGAAGTGTATGTAGACCCTCCTCTTCCTCATAGGGTTATTGTGAAGATCAGAGTGTCTGGAAAACCCTGGAAGGGCGGCTGGAGGTATCAGTCCCCCCTGCCCGTTCTCTGGGCCTCCATTGCCACATTCATGAAATTAGAAAAGCTCGACCTGAAAACTCCTTCTGGCCGGGCATGGGGGCTCACACCTGTAATCCCAGCACTGGCAGGCTGAGGCCAGTGGATCATTTGAGGTCAGGAGTTCAAGACCAGCCTGGCCAACATGGTGAAACCCCATCTCCACTAAAAATACAAAAATCAGCTGGGTGGTAGTGGCACGCGACTGTAATCCCAGCTACTCAGGAGGCTGAGACAGGAGAATCGCTTGAGCCTGGGAGGTGGTGGTTGTGGTGAGCCGAGATTGTACCACTACACTCCAGTCTGGGCGACAGTCTCAAAAAAAAGAAAAAGAAAAGAAAAAATTCCTTCTTCGGTCGGGCACGGTGGCTCACGCCTGTAATCCTAGCACTTTGAGTGGCCAAGGTGGTTGGATCACGAGGTCAGGAGATCGAGACCATTCTGGCTAACATGGTGAAACCCCTTCTCTACTAAAAATACAAAAAATTAGCCGGGCGTGGTGGTGGGCGCCTGTAGTCCCAGCTACTCGGGAGGCTGAGGCAGGAGAGTGGCGTGAACCCAGGAGGCGAAGTTGCAGTAAGCCGAGATTGCGCCGCTGCACTCCAGCCTGGGCGACAGCGAGACTCCGTCTCAGGAAAAAAAAAAAAAAAAATTCCTTCTTTCATAATTTCCAGAGGCTCGTGCAGGCAGCTCAGTGGAGGCAGTGACAAAAGAACATGAGACCCAGGCCTTCCCAGTGGGCTACTGACACGGATGCAGATGATGATAACACTAATTGCTACCATCTTTGTGTACTTACCATGTGCCGGGCACACAGACAAGTACTTGTGATGGATTCTTTTCTTTTCTTTTTTTAAATAGAGTTGAGGCCTCGCTATGTTGCCCAGGCTGGTCTCAAACTCCTGGGCTCAGTGATCCTCCCCACCTTGGCCTCCCAAAGTGCTGGATTACAGGCGTGAGCCGCCACACCCGGCTGGATTATTTCATCAACTCCTGAGGACATTTTACACATGTCCTTGTGTTGAGACAGGGCCTCACTCACCCAAGCTGGAATGCAGTGGCATGAACACTGCTCACTGCAGCCTCGAACTTCTGGGCTCAAGGCATCCTCCTGCCTCAGCCTCCCAAGTAGCTGGGACTACAGGTGCACATCACCATGCCTGGCTAATTTTTTTGTAGAGATGGGGTCTTGCCATGTTGCCCAGGCTTACACATGTCCAGAGGCTAAGAGAGGTTAAGTGGTTGCCCACAGCCACTCAGGTGGTTAAGAGCTGGGATTCAAACCCAAGTCAGCCTCCAGAGCTAATACTATTATGTCTCAGTGCGGTGTGACATTGTGGAAGGCCAAAGGAGGCACCTAGGGGGCGCCTCAGAGGTTTCCATAGTATGAACTTTGTAGTTGAACCTTGTAGGATTGAGTCCAGGATTGCACCATGGGGTCCCTCAAAGACCTGCAGGCGGGAGCTGCCGGGAGCTCTGGGGTTCCTGACCCAGACCTCCCGGGGGCCCACCTCCTCTGTCTGGCTTCCTTGACTCCTGGCGGGCACAGCTGGCTGTGCAGACCAAGCGCGTGGCGGCGCAGGTGGACGGCGGCGCGCAGGTGCAGCAGGTGCTCAATATCGAGTGCCTGCGGGACTTCCTGACGCCCCCGCTGCTGTCCGTGCGCTTCCGGTGAGTCAGGTACGGCGCGGCCGGTGGGCGGAGCCTCCGGGGTGAGGGGCGGGGCCTAATGGAGCCTCCCTTTCACCTCATCAGGTACGGTGGCGCCCCCCAGGCCCTCACCCTGAAGCTCCCAGTGACCATCAACAAGTTCTTCCAGCCCACCGAGATGGCGGCCCAGGATTTCTTCCAGCGCTGGAAGCAGCTGAGCCTGTGAGGGGTGGGGAGGGGGCGGAGCCAAAGCCGCGCCTCTGGGTGGGCGGGTCGGGCCGTCCAGGTCCCTGACTTGAACCTTCCCGGTCCCCAGCCCTCAACAGGAGGCGCAGAAAATCTTCAAAGCCAACCACCCCATGGACGCAGAAGTTACTAAGGCCAAGGTGAGAGACCGCGGGCGTGTTTGCCGGCCTATGGCTGCTTTGCTTCTCTGAGCCTCTGTTTTCCCATCTGTAAAGTGGGGCCAATTCCCATCCCCAAGGGTTTTTTGGGATCTGGGATGCCACTGTGTGGTAACTAACAGCTCTGGCACACTCTGACGGCGCCCCCCCTCCTCCCAGCTTCTGGGGTTTGGCTCTGCTCTCCTGGACAATGTGGACCCCAACCCTGAGAACTTCGTGGGGGCGGGGATCATCCAGACTAAAGCCCTGCAGGTGGGCTGTCTGCTTCGGCTGGAGCCCAATGCCCAGGCCCAGGTGAGTGCTGCTGTGGGAGGCCTGAGGCCGGCAGGAAGGCCGCCTGTCATCTCTGCGTCCACCCTTCCTGCCTCACTGTTCTTTAATTCACGTCCCCACTTTGACCCTCCTCCTCTCACATTTCTTTGTCCACTTTTACTCCTCTTTATCTATCAGTTTAATCTCCTGTCTCCAACCTCTGGTGTTCCTCTCCTCTTCCTGTCCCTCCCTGATTTCTACCTTTCCATATCCTTTCCACCTTTCTCTCATCTTTTATAATTTTCTTCCTCTCTGGCGCCTCTGTTGATTTCAGTCTTACATTTTTCTCTCCTGTGTCTTGTATCACCTTTCTGGCCCCTTTATCCTTCCTTCCTTCTATCTCCCTTGGGTCCCGACTTCCCTGGGCTCCCCATCTCCTCTGAGTTCTGCCCCCAATGCCCCCACCCAGATGTACCGGCTGACCCTGCGCACCAGCAAGGAGCCCGTCTCCCGTCACCTGTGTGAGCTGCTGGCACAGCAGTTCTGAGCCCTGGACTCTGCCCCGGGGGATGTGGCCGGCACTGGGCAGCCCCTTGGACTGAGGCAGTTTTGGTGGATGGGGGACCTCCACTGGTGACAGAGAAGACACCAGGGTTTGGGGGATGCCTGGGACTTTCCTCCGGCCTTTTGTATTTTTATTTTTGTTCATCTGCTGCTGTTTACATTCTGGGGGGTTAGGGGGAGTCCCCCTCCCTCCCTTTCCCCCCCAAGCACAGAGGGGAGAGGGGCCAGGGAAGTGGATGTCTCCTCCCCTCCCACCCCACCCTGTTGTAGCCCCTCCTACCCCCTCCCCATCCAGGGGCTGTGTATTATTGTGAGCGAATAAACAGAGAGACGCTAACAGCCCCATGTCTGTGTCCATCACCCACTGCTAGGTAGTCAAAGAAGTGGGGTGAGGGCATGCAGAGTGTGGGTGGCCAGGCTTCGCAGCCCATGGGTGGGACTCTGGGGAGACAGCAGCAGCAGCAGCCGCCGAAGCCCCAGCTGCAAGGCCACCAGACGCACTCCTGTGCCTGGTTCCTCAGTCCCCAACACCAGGTAGCAAGCTCTGGGCAGCTGGGCCTGGTAGACCTCATCTTCTGTCTTCTCTGGTGGCCCTGGCTCTGGAGAAAGAACAGGGGGCACTGACATGACAAGTAGCATGCTAACCTTTGCAAGCCACACCACATCCTGATCCCAAGTTCTGAACGCGTGGGGTCTCTGAACACAGGTTTTGGGAGCCTCCTGCCAGGGGAGGGCCTCGGGGCTCTAGCTGGCTGTCAGCAACTTGAAGACCACAATGATGTCACTCAGCTCACCCTCTTCCTCTTTCTCAGCCTTGGCCCCCATTTTCCTGGAGAAACTGTGCAGCTGCAGGTGATCCTCTTAGCAATACACATGGCGAACACGGCAGCAACACAGGAGCTCCTGTAGCCTTTTCCAGGAGCCCACCCGCCCCACTGTACAAGGCGGGTGGAGGGAAACAGGCAGGGGCCAGTGGGAGGTGGAGTCGCACAGCTAAGAAGGGGTGCAGCCCCCGAGTTGGAGCTCTTGACCACTGTGCTGCATTCATCCGGGCTTCACTGGGGTCACAGCGCCATCCCAGGTCCCTTTCTTTGTCTTTCTGGGCCCTTAAGGGTTCTACGACAATTTTTCCGTTCTAACCCAGAATCTTGTGAAATCCTCCTCCATACCCTCAGCCTATCAGCAAAGCCTGTGCTTTTGGCAGTTGTGCAGAGCGCTGGACTGTGTGGATATGGGAGCAAGATCCCCTGTGTTCAAATATGGCTCTGCCACTCATGAGCTGAGCCTCAGTTTCCTCATCTGTAATATGGGAATGATGAGGTAATGGGATAGTCCTCACCTGTGAGGATGAAGTGATTTCATTCTTTCATTACGTGTAAAGGCACTGGGAAGAGGTGAGGTCTCAGTGTTAACTATTGTTGACTATGATCCAGGAGATTCTGAAGCCAGGCGGGGACCTCCCTTCCCCTCCCTTCCCATCTGCATCAATGCTCAGATCTCAAGGAAAACCACTGCCCTATGGCCCAGTGCATACTGGGTTCCTCCGGATCCTCCAACCCCACCTCCTACTCCCATTTTGTGCGACCTGGGACTCAGTGTCCCCGCCTGCGCAGTGGGAGCACTGTGCCTTCCGCTGACCTGGTGGGAAGTGCGTGGAGGTGACCAGGGTATAGAAGTTTCGGAGGAGGCGCCGGCGCTGTTCTGGTGAAGGCTCTGCTGGGAGGAAAAGGCGGTGATGCAGAGCGCCTCCCCGGCCCACGCCCCTCCTACCCCTGCCCCTGCCCCTGTCCTCAGTCACCTTTATCCCCCAAGGGCTCCACGGTGAAGAGGCAGCGCTTCAGTTCCAGGTGGAGGAGCAGCAGCCTGTGGGAAAGGGAAGGGAATGTCATGGCTGGGGAAGAGGACATGACCCCCGACCCACTCCCTCCATCCGAGCCCTACCCGAGGATGTCTGTGTGAAGGGGGAAGCCACTGGGCAGCGCCCGGGGTCCCAACGGCAGACAGGCCCGCAACGGGTCCAGCAGTGGCTGCCACCAGCGCTCCAGAAGCTGCAGGGGGCGTGGTCATTGTGAGGTCGTCATGGGAAGGCGGGGCCGGCGGGGGAGGTCGGGGGGTGTACAAGGATAGGGGCGTGGTCAATCGGGAGGGGCGGGGCCTGCAAGAAGAGTGGAGGGCGGAGGGCAGAAGGGACTGGGGAAGGGGCGAGGCCTGGAAGAATAGAGGCAGAGGCGGGAGCGGCCGATCTTGGCGGGTAGGTGAATGACTGGAGCGCAGTCCAGAAGAGGCGGGGCTGGGGAAAGATGCCGCTGGCAGGGCAGGGTGGTGGGGAAGGGCCCTCCTGGTAGCGGGTGTCCTAAGAGCGAAAGCGGGACGTGGCGCGGGTTCACCTGTGGATACAACTGGCTGAGGGGTGGGCTCGGCCCGCAGAGTAGACACAGCTCCAGGCTCGGCAGCAGAGTCAGGGTCAGGAGCCGGTGTGGGACCTGAAGCAGGGCACAGGCTGGGGCTCATCGCGGCCCGGCCCCTTTCCATCGCAGATCCCGCCTCCTCGCGACTCGGCCCCCAGGTCACATCCCTCCGTCGGTGCCCGCCACCCACTCACCGTGGGGCTCCCGTGCGGCAGGTACACCGGGTAGTCGCGAGCGGTCTGCGGCGGCAGGGACCCCACCAGCCAGGGGAGCAGCACGGCCTCGGGCGTCCCCAGCCGCCACCAACCCTCTGTTGCTGCCACCACCCGGCCGGACACCACCAGACTGACGAAGGTCGTGCCCGCGGCCTCAGCGAACCCGGAGAGGGCTTCCTGGGTACGGGAGGCAGGAGGACTGGGAGTCAGCAGACAAGCGTAGGGGGTGGCAGCGACTTCCCAGATGGGCAGGGAATGGGGAGAAACCCACAGCCAGCCCCGAGCTCGCGCAGTGGCCATGCTCCTACGTCTCACCCTCTCTGAGCCTGAGTTCCTTCACTTTCATACGAAGTCACATCCCCAACTCACACTGTGAAGTCTGTGAAATCTGATTAAACATCTAGCCTGGGCGGGCAAACTGAAGCTAATAATGTAACCGCAGCAGCTACCGTTCATCCAGGCCTGTTACATGCCGAGTAGGCACCATTAGCAACGTAGAGAAGCCAAGTCACCTGCTGAGAGTCACATGCCTGGGAGGCCGCCACACCAGGCAAGTCCACAAGAGCAGTATTTAAGTAGAGGTAGCTAGAGATCTGAGAGGCAGGAGGAAGAACATGCACTGAGGTTGGAAACTTGTTGGGATCTCAGGACTGTGAGGTAGCTGGGTGGAAGTAGACTGTGGATTTAGCAACAGGTTAGGGGGTGCCAGGTGCCACAGGCCTTCAAACACCAGGCTGAGGAGCTGGGACCTTGTCCTGGGGGAGGTGGAGGCTGCCGGAGGGCTGTGAGCAGGAAAGGGGCAGAGCCAGCTCTGGATATAGTAGGGTTCTTCTGGTGGCCGGGTGTGATGGCTCACACCTGTCATCCCAGCACTATGGGAGGCTGAGGCGGGAGGACTGCTTGAGCCCAGGAGTTCGAGACCAGCCCGGGCAACTTAATGGAAACCCATCCCCAACCCTAGTCCATCTCTTAAAAAAAAAAATAGCTGAATGTCAGCCGGGCGCGGTGGCTCATGCCTGTAATCCCAGCACTTTGGGAGGCTGAGGCGGGTGGATCACGAGGTCAGGCGTTCAAGACCAGCCTGGCCAACATAGTGAAACCCTGTCTCTACTAAAAATACAAAAAATTAGCTGGGCCAGGCGTGGTGACCAGCGCTTATAATCCTAGCTACTCGGGAGGTTGAGGCAGGGGAATCGTTTGAACCCAGGAGGCAGAGGTTGCAGTGAGCCAAGATTGCGCCATTGCACTCCAGCCCCTGTGACAGTGTAAGACTCTGTCTCAAAAAAAAAAAAAAAAAAAAAATAGCTGAATGTGGTGGCACAGTGCCTATAGTGTCAGCTACTGGGGAGGCTGAGATGAGAGGATCACTTGAATCCAGGAGTTCAAGGCTGCAGTGAGCTATGACTGAGCCACTGTGCTCTAGCCTGGATGACAGAGCAAGACCCTGTCTCAGAAAAGAAAGAAAGATGGCCCAGGCGCAGTGGCTCACGCCTGTCATCCCAGCACTGTGGGAGGCCAAGGCAGGTGGATCACCTGAGGTAAGAAGTTCGAGACCAGCTTGGCCAACATGGTGAAACCCTGTCTCTACTAAAAATACAAAAAATTAGCCGGGCGTAGTGGTGGGCGCCTGTAATCCCAGCTGCTCGGGAAGCTGAGGCAGGAGAATTACTTGAACCCGGGAGGCGCAGGCTGCAGTGAGCCGAGATGGTGCCATTGTACTCCAGCCTGGGCAACAAGAGTGAAACTACGTCTCAAATAAAAAGAGAGAAAGAAAAGAAAAAAGAAAAGAAAGAGAAAGAAAAGAAAAAAAAAAAAGAAAAAAGATTCTTCTGGGACCAGGTGGGGATAGGACTGGAAGCTGAGAGGATAGGAGGAGGTTGGGACAATGGTCCAGAAGAAAGAGGATGAGGACTGAGCCAGGGCCAGCAGAACAGGTGTAAGAGTTTCCATAGCATCCCCAGTACCTGCAAGAGGGACCCCTCTGGAGGAATCACGCAGTCCACACACTGGGTCAGGTCCCCGATGAGCTCCGAGTCCCCCAGGAAGCTGTCGATGAGGCAATAACTGGCCTAGGAGAGGAAGAAGGGACCAGCCTAGGATTCAAGTGGGCCCAGGGTCAGACAACCAAGAACCTGTGGGACCAGGCTGCCCCAGGGGCTGCTGGGAACTGTAGTTCCCAAATGGCAGTGCCCAGGTATCCTAACTTCCCACCCTCATGTCCTGCAACCTCACCCTCAAGTCCTTCTTCAGTCTCTCCACGTTGCGGATATTGGTCAGTTCTTCAAGTCCCACAAGAAGGACCTAGAAGAATCATATAGGAGAGGATGGGCGAGGGGCTGGGACTTGAACTCCTGGGTCTGAAGGAAGAGGGGGCTGGGACTCCCACTTCTGGGTCTGGGGACTGGGGAGTCAAGATTCCTGGGTTCTGGCCGGGCGCGGAGGCTCATGCCTGTAATTCCAGCACTTTGGGAGGCCAAGGTGGGTGGATCACTTGAGGTCAGGAGTTTGAGACCAGCCTGGCCAATATGGTGAAACCCCGTCTCTACAAAAAATACAAAAATTAGCTGGGCATGGTGGCACGTGCCTGTAATCCCAGCTACTTGGGAAGCTGAGGCACGAGAATCGCTTGAACCTGGGAGGCAGAGGTTGCAGTGAGCCGAGATCAAGCCACTGCACTCCAGCCTGGGCAACAGAGCGAGACTCCGTCTCAAAACAAAACAAACAAACAAACAAAAGATTCCTGGGTTCTGAGGAAGGAAGTGTTGGTGGTCTGCACTCCTAGGTCTGAGGGAAAAGGATGCTGAGATCTCAGATTCCTGGTCTGGGGAGAAAAGAGGACTGGTGAGTCTCACCATGGCTCCAAACACCATTTGGAGTAGTCTCTCCAGCCTCAGCTCAGAGATGCCCACCTCAGATGACAGAACAATGAGGGTGATGCTGTGGAATGGAAGTGAGAAGAATGAGTCAAGGCCTGGGGAATCAGGAAGGGGTATGTTGGAGTCCGCCCATTGATCCTAGAACACCAGATACATCCTCTCTCAGACCAACCTGCCTTTCTTATAGAGAACATCAGGGATCAAAGAGGGTAACTGGCTTGCTAAAGATCCCATAGCCAAATTAACAGCTGCTTTTAGAGAGCTGGAAGGCCTCCGGGGTCATCTTCAACAGGGACTATCACCCAGGCCCTGTCCCTGTCCCACGTTCCCTCCTGGGGACCTGTCATGGAAGCTTTTCCACACCACAGTCGTGTTCTCGGTCCTCGCAGAGCTCAGCTGCACCTCCAGATTCTGCCCAAACATGTGGACTCCATTGAGGGAACCGATGACAGAGAACGGGAGCTAAGGAGGGGTTAGGGACATCAGACAAGAGCACCCCCCCATCCCCTTCCCCCTTAGGACCCAAGTGTGCCAGCTCCCAGCCCCATCCTCTTTCCATATGACCTGGCAGTGCCTCTTTGGGGAACCAGGCTTATTGGTCCATTGCCTCCTCGGTCCTACAAATTCAACACTGAAACTTCCCCAGCCCCTACTGCCTTGAAGACCCAGAGTCAAAACACCGAACCCCCTTCGGTTTAGATACAGGCGTCCAAGGCCCCACCTGCTGACGGGCGGGGGCGCCGCCGCGACTGCTCCTGCAGAATAGGGGGACCCCGCTGGAGGCCGCGAGGCACAGCAGATGCACAGTGCCGCCCGTCCCCTCCTCCCCCATTTAGGACTCCCACCGCGGTCCCTCACGTGGGGACTGTCAGTGCGGGTCTTGGAGCATGGCGGTAATCAGAGTAACTCGGCCTGTGGTCCGGAGCCGCCAGAGGGCGAGATGGGGAGCTGATTGGAAGAGGATTAACTTCCCGCCTTCTTCACCCAACTCAAACAGACCCTCAAACCCTATTCAGGCACCTCCCCCAAACCCATTAGGTTCTCTTCCGCCCTAGCCGGAAGTCACGGTACCCCTAACAAAGATGGCGGCAAATTGAATTTGCAAAGCTTTCTAGTTTCTCCGAGGAGGTAAAGAGAACCAAGAAGCCGGATTGAAGATGATGACTGCGCCAAGGCGTTGCCTAGCCACCATCCTGTAGGCTTTGATGATTTACATTCTAAACGGAAAAAACAGCTGTGCCCGGATCAAAGATTGCGATGGTCCCAAAGCATTGCCTAGCAACCACATTCCCTGTAGGTTTCCAGTATATAGTAGTAAACAATGTGCCCTACTCAAAGATGGCGACCGTGGCGGGGCGTTGCCAAGCAACCACCATTCAGCCTGATATCCATTCCAAGGCTGTAAACAGCTGTGCCCTGCTCAAAGATGGCGGCACGTCGAAGTCCGAGCACCCTCCTTGGGGCGAAATCGAGAAAAACACCATCTCCCCTACAACCTTCGAGGGTGGTTGAGTCCAGCGATCGTTGCCTAGTAACCACTAAAAAAAAGGTTGTTTTTGTTATTAGAAAAAAGAAAACAAGGAAATCCTTTATTTTCCAGAATAATAAAAATAATATCATTTCTGTAATGAATTTATACATGATAGCATACCATGTAAAATGTGAAAAATCCCTTCCCCAATTTTTTTCCTAAAATACAGTTTAACGTAGACTATTCATACGTTTTCACAAAGATGATCAATATACTAACATTTCCACACTTTCTTTTTTGCCATGAAAAAGTATGTCTATTTCATCTTAATAATGTATTTTTATAATCTATTTTATGGATGTGACAAATTGATTTGACCAATTCTGTATTGATGTACATTAGGTTGTTGAACTCCTCCAGACTAGCCAACTAGTGCTGGGACAGCATTTTACTGACTTTTTAAAATGCCCTTATGAATATTTTTATTATTTTACACAGGCAGCATTTACTTGTAATGACAAAAGTATTTATGATTCATTTTTCCCTTCCTCTTCCTTCTTGCAGATCAGCCCATCTTTCTAGCATAATTTTTAATTTTCCTACTTCCTAAAGTACATCTTTTTCTCTTTTTTTTTTTTTTGGGAGAGGGGACAGGGTCTCGTTCTGTCGCCCAAGGTGGAGTGCAGTGGAACCATCTCGGCTAACTGCAACCTCCGCCTCCAGGATTCAAGCGATTCTCCTGCCTCAGCCTCCTGAGTAGCTGGGATTACAGGTGTGCCCCCACCACGTCCAGCTAATTTTTGTAGTTTTTGTGGAGACAGGGTGTCGCCATGTTGCCCAAGCTGGTCTCAAACTCTTTGGCTCAAATGATCCACCCACCTCAGCCTCTCAAAGTGCTGGGACTACAGGCAGGAGCCACCATGCCTGGCCTAGGTACCATTTTAATCTTCCTTCTTGCCTATTGATATTTTTTTTCCTTTCTCTGGATTACTTTTATCTTCCTTACAACTTTATTAAAATGTTAGTTACACAGGCATAAAAGAGGGGGCTGCTCTAGATGAAAAGAAACTTGAGACATAATGTCTAAATATGTGTGTGGTCTTTGTTTGGATCCTGATACAAATAAACCAACTGTAAAAACACATTTTGAGACAATTGGAACGTTTGATTACACACTTACTGTTGGATGATACTAAGAAGTTAATTTTGTTACAGGTAACAATGGCATACTAGTAATGTAAGAAAGTGTTCATAAAATTGGAAAGATGCCTGCCAAGCACACAGGAGTAAAATCATATGATTGTATGGATTTGAAGGCTTCAGCAGGCCAGGCGCGGCGGCTTACGCCTGTAATCCCAGCACTTTGGGAGGCCAAGGTGGGCGGGTCACCTGAGGTCTGGAGTTCGAGACCAGCCTGACCAACATGGAGAAACCCCGGCTCTACTAAAAATACAAAATTAGCTGGGCGTGGTGGCGCATGCCTGTAAACTCAGCTACTCGGGAGGCTGAGGCAGGATAATCGCTTGAACCCAGGAGGTGGAGGCTGCCGTGAGCCGAGACTGTGCCATTGCACTGCAGCCTGGGCAACAAGAACAAAACTCCATCTCAAAAAAAAAAAAAAAAAAAAAGCTTCAGCAAATGAGACTGTCTCAAAAAAAAAAGGGCTTCCGCAGGCTCACTGCCTATAATCCGGGCACTCTAGGAGGCCAAAACGGGTGGATCACCTGAGGTCAGGAGTTTGAGACCAGCCTGGCCAACATGGTAAAACCCTGTCTCTAACAAAAATACAAAAATTTGCCTGCGAGGTGGCACACACCTGTAGTCCCAGCTACTGGGGAGGCAGAGGCAGGAGAATCGGTGGAACCAGGGAGGCAGAGGCTGCAGCGAGCCGACACTGCGCCACTGCACTCCAGTCTGGGCGACAGAGCGAGATTTTGTCAAAAAAAAAATAATAAAATAAAAAAAAATAAAAATAAAAATAAAAGATAAAAGAAAAATAGAAACCCAATAAAAAATAATTTTAAATGATAAAGGTAAAAACCTTTATCATTAGGCTTTCTGTAAGTACTTTTCAATTGGTGATTATTATTATTATTATTACTTTTTTTTTTTTGAGACAGCGCCTCGCTCCGTCCCCCAGGCTGGAGTGCAGTGGCGCGATCTCTGTTCACTGCAAGCTCCGCCTTCCGGGTTCACGCCATTCTCCTGCCTCAGCCTCCGGAGTAGCTGGGACTACAGGCGCCCGCCACCACGCCCCGCTAATTTTTTTTTTTTTTTTTTTGGATTTTCAGTAGAGACGGGGTTTCACCGTGTTAGCAAGGATGGTCTCGATCTCCTGACCTCGTGATCTGCCCGCCTTGGCCTCCCAAAGTGCTGGGATTGCAAGCATGAGCCACTGCGCCCGGCCTGTTTTTTTTGTTTTTTTTGTTTTTTTTTTGAGACAGTCTCGCTCTGTCGCCCAGGCTGGAGTGCAGTGGCGTGATCTCGGCTCACTGCAACCTCTGCCTCCCGGGTTCAAGCGATTCTCCTTGCCTCAGCCTCTCGAGTTGCTGGGATTACAGGTGGGCACCACGACGCCCAGTGATACTGACCTCGTGATGCGCCCGCCTCTACCTCCCAAAGTGCTGGAATTACAGGCATGAGCCATCTCGCCCGGCCGAAGATTATGTTTTAAAATATTTACTGGCCATTCAAAATTTTGTGTGTGTGTTTGTGTGAAACTAGTCAGGTTTCTTTTTATTTATTTATTTTTATTTTTTTTGAGACGGAGTCTAACTCTGCCGCCCAGGCTGGAATGCAGTGGCACAATCTCAGTTGACTGCAACCTCCGCCTCCCGGGTTCAGGAGAATCTCCTGACTCAGCCTCCCAAGTAGCTGGGATTACAGACGCCCACCAGGACGGCTAATTTTTTTATTTTTAGTAGTTAGAAGGAGTTTCACCATGTTGGCCAGGCTGGTCTTGAACCCCTTACCTCGGGTGATCTGCCCGCCTTGGCCTCCCAAAGTGCTGGGATTACAAGCGTGAGCCACGGCGTCCGGCCCTGGTCAGGTTTCTTTCTATTAAAACAAATATAAAGTGGCAGGGCACGATGGCTAACACCTGGGATCGCTTTAGCCGAGGAGTTTGAGACACGCCAGAGCAACACAGTGAGACCCCATCTCTACAAAAAATTTAAAAATTAGCTGGAAGTGGTAGTGCGCGGCTGTGGTCCCAGCTGCTCCACAGGCTGAAGAGTGGCTCCAGTGCGAGTAGAGGCTGCCGTGAGCCAAGATTGGGCCACTGCACTTCAACCTGCACAACAGAAAGAGACCCTGCCTCAAAAAATAAAAATTAAAATTAAAAGATAATAGTAATGAAGTGTTTCTATTTTTCTATATTGTTATTCATCAGTAAGATTTATTTGCGTAGTACATTTCTGTCAACAAACACGCTAGAAAGATTTTCCCAGTTGGCCGTATATTTTTCAACTTGGTTTATACAGTCTTTTGGGAAAAATTAATGAAGACTACGTTTTCTAACTTTGCTGTAGTGCTAAGAAACTCCATGGCAGTCATTAAGATTTTTTCCCTTCAGATAGTTTTCGGGTTTCATTTGTTGCACTTACATTTTTAATCCACCTGGAATGTATTTACGTTCTAAGCCAGTTTCTGGCTCCTCTCCCAGAAAACAACGCTCAGGTGTTGCTTAGCAACCCGCACTTGGTTTGGTGTTCGGCTTCTTTTCGGGGGGGAAAACAACTGCCCTCCCTTCCAAGTTGAGGACGACCTTAAAGCGTCGCCTAGTAACCTCGTTTCCGCCGATGTGATTGGATCCTTCTCGCGTCCCTCCCCTAGTCCCCACGCCCGAAAGAACAGAACCAGAAACTTAATCTAACGGTTACAAAACAAGGGCAGCGGGCCCGGCGCGGTGGCTCACGCCTGTAATCTCAGCACTTTGGGAAGCCAAGGCGGGCGAATCACTTGAGGTCAGGAGTTCGAGAACAGCCTGGCCCACAGGGTGAAACTCTTTCTCTACTAAAAATACAAAAATTAGCGGGGCGTGGTTGCGGGCACCTGTAATCCCAGCTACTCGGGAGGCTGAGGCAGGAGAATCGCTTGAACCCGGGAAGCGGAGGTTGTAGTGAGCCGAGATCGCGCCACTGCACTCCAGCCTGGGCGACAGGGCGAGACTCCCGTTTCGAAAAAACAAACAAACAAAAAACAAAACACAAAAACGAAAACAAGGGCAGCGTACGCGTTGCATAGCAACCAGGTCTCCTGCCCCTCCCTTTGAGACAAGAGGCGGACCTGGACGCCCCGCTCAAAGATGGCGGCTGACTGAGCCGCTTTCAATTTATTTAGCTTTTGACAATAATTCCGTCTAACCCATCAGGCCCCTAGAAGGGCTAACTATGCCCTTTCTGAGTCTTCCACGCGGTGGGGGCGAAGGAGGATGGAGCTAGAACGAAGCCTCAGCGCGTGCCCCGCACAAACATGGCAGCATTCCCAGCAGCCCTAAACCGCCCGACGCGAGCGCGCGCGCGGCGCAGGCGCATTTCTGCTCATTCCGCGGCGTCGGCTGCGGCTGCAGTGGTGGTGGCGGGTACCGCACGGGGTATGGTCCCCGGGTCCGAGGGCCCGGCCCGCGCCGGGAGCGTGGTGGCCGACGTGGTGTTTGTGATTGAGGGTACGGCCAACCTGGGACCCTACTTCGAGGGGCTCCGCAAGCACTACCTGCTCCCGGCCATCGAGTGAGTGCTGTTTCCGCGACTCTAACCCCGCCCTCCCACTTCAGTTTCGCACAGTTTCTTGCCTGACTCCGACCTTTCACTTCCTACCCTCACAGGTATTTTAATGGTGGTCCTCCTGCTGAGACGGACTTCGGGGGAGACGTGAGTCTAGGGACTCCTGGGCCTGAGGGAGGAGGGGCCGGGGGCCTGGACTCCTGGGTCTGAGGGAGGGAGAAAGGGCTGGGCCTGGACTCCTGAGTTTGAGGGAGGAGGGGCTGGGGGTCTGGACTCCTTGTTCTGAGGGAGGAGGGCCTGGGGGCCTGGACTCCTGGGTCTGAGGGTGGAGGCGCTGGGGCCCGGATTCCTGGGTCCGAGGGAGGAGGGAGCTAGGGGCCCAGATCCCTGGGTCTGAGGGAGGAAGGGCTGGGCGTCTGGACTGCTGGGTCTGAGAAAGGAGGAGCTGAGGCCTGGATTCCTGGGTCTGAGGGAGGAGGTGCTGGGGCCTGGGCTCCTGGGTCTGAGGGAGGAGGGGCCGGGGGCCTGGATTCCTGGGTCTGAGGGAGAAGGGGCTGGGGCCGAGATTGCTGGGTCTGAGGAAGGAGGAAGCTGAGGAGTTCCTGGTTCTGGAGGAACGGGAAGCTGGGAGCCCTGATTCCTTCTCTAAGGGAAAAGGGAATTGAGGTCCCAGATTAAAAGTTTTCTGTCCTCCCCTCCCAGTATGGGGGGACCCAGTACAGCCTCGTGGTGTTCAACACAGTGGACTGCGCTCCCGAGTCCTACGTACAATGTCACGCTCCCACCAGCAGCGCCTATGAGTTTGTCACCTGGCTCGATGGCATTAAGTGAGCTTTCCCCCACTTGGGGTGGGTTGCTGGTCCCTGTGAGGGGCCGTGAATGAGTGATGGCTTGGGGTGGTTGGTGTCCCCGTGAGAGGCTGTGAATAAGTGATGGCTTGGGGTGGTTGGTGTCCCCGTGAGGGGCTGTGAATAAGTAATGGCTTGGGGTGGTTGGGGTCCCTGCGAGGGGCCGTGAATGAGCGATGGCTTGGGTTTGAGCTGCAGGAAACATCTCATACATTAAGGGATTGAAAGGACTTTGAGGGTGATTGTGTTTTTGTCAGAAGTCACTTTTGTGGTGGCTTCTGTGTGCTCAGCAATGTTGCCATCAGTTTAGAAGTAGGAAAAACCTTCCCATTCAGGGAGGCCTGGCTGAGCTCCAGCAGCCACCTTGTACTCCCTGTGTGATTGTCCCCTTTCTGTCCTCTCTTTTTCCGTCTACCCCTGTCCTCCTTTTCCAGATGGGTACATTGTAGCCTCAGTGCAGGGGGATGGGTCAGAGCCAGGATAGATCCCTCTGTGGCTTGGGTCAGAATTTTTTTTTTTTTTTTTGAAACAGTGTCTTGCTCTGTCTCCCAGGCTTGTAGTGCAGTGGCACAGTCGTGGCTCACTGCAACCTGTACCTCCTGGGTTGAAGCGATTCTTCTGCCTCAGCCTCCCAAGTAGCTGGGATTACAGGCACACGCCACTATGCCCAGCTAATTTTTTTTTTTTTTTTTGTATTTTTAGTAGAGACAGTTTCACTGTGTTGGCCAGGCTGGTCTCAAACTCCTGACCTCATGTGATCTGCCTGCCTCAGCCTCCCAAAGTGCTGGGATTATAGGGGTGAGCCACTGTTGCGGGATTCAGGACGACAGGAGAGAGCCCTCGGGTTAAAGCAGGAGAATCTTTCATTGAGTGCACTCAGGCCCAAGCCGACTCACGTCCAAAGACGGCCCAGAACAAAGGTAGCACTTGACTTTTATACACACTTCACAAAAGGGGGTGGGCTAGCTTGAAGCAAGCTTACAGTGGCGTGACAGCAGGGATACAGAGGCAGAACAAAAACAGTTAATCAAATTGTTGTAACAGGTTTATAACTCAGGATTGCACATAACCGTTGCTATGCAACCCAGATGTCCCTTATCTAGGTTAGCCTAGGCACGGGCTTATCCCATAACCTTCACTGTGGTGCCCAGGCAGCTCAGGCTTCTCATGACCTTCGCTGTACTTCTTAGATAAAACAGAATACTTGAAGTCATGAGTTACAGAGAACAGGAATCTATAAACTCATTCCATAAAACAAAGGAAAATTTGTTTTTTCTTCTCTCTATGTTGAGGGAGTGCTGGGAGAGTCTCCAAGAGCACTTTAGATAGTATTATCAAGACTTTTCCTGGGTCTGGGCTGTGCCCATTGCTGCCTCTCAGACAAGTCAGCCTAATACATAGAACTTATTTCTCTTTTTAATTTTTTTTCTTTAATTTCCTGCCTCACCACCACGCCTGGCGCTGGATCGGATTTTGATAGTTGACATTGTAGAGTCTGGAGTCAGGCAGACGGGTTAAATCCTGGCTCTTCCAGCACAGAACTAACTCTCAGACCCAGGAGTCTGTCCCCTCTGTGCCTAGTATCTCACTTGTGAAGTGGGGATGTGGATAGTACTTGTATTAGTATTTCATTGTATTACTTATTCTTAGCTGTATAATAGATTACCACCAAATAATGGCTGCATACTGCAAACATTTATTATCTAACGCAGTTTCTGTGAGTCAAGGACACAAGAGTGGCTTGGCTGGATGGTTGGGCTGAGGGTCTCACAAGGCAATAGTCAGGAGGTCGGCAGGATTGCAGCCATCCAGGGGTTTGACTGGTGGTGGGGAATCCGTTCCCAAGGTGGCGAGTCTGTGGCTGTTGGCCACAAGACCTCTCCACAGGGCTGGTTGACTGTCTAACATGGCAACTGGCATTCCTCAGATTGAGGGACCCAATAGAGAGAGCAAAGAGGAAGCCCCAGGCCTCTCTTGTTTTTGAGGAAGGGTCTCACTCTGTCACGCAGGCTGGAGTGCAGTGGCTCAGTCACGGCTCACTGCAGCCTCGACCTCCTGGGCTCAAGCTCAAGCGATCCTCCCATCTCAGCTTCCCGAGTAGCTGGAGTAGCAGGGACGGTAGCCAAATGCCAGCACACCTGGCTGATTTCTTAAAAATATTTTTGTAGGTCGGGCGTGGTGGCTCACGCCTGTAATCCCAGCACTTTGGGAGGCTGGGGCAGGTGGATCACCTGAGGTCAGGAGTTCGAGACCAGCCTGTCCAACATGGTGAAACCCTGCCTCTACTAAAAATACAAGCAATCATCCTGCCTTGACCTCCCTAAGTGCTGGAGTGCTGAAATTACAGGCCTTAGCTGGGCATGGTGGCGCATGCCTGTAATCCCAGCTCTTGGGAGGCTGAGGCAGGAGAATTGCTTGAACCTGGGAGGTGGAGGTTGCAGTGAGCCGAGATCACACCATTGCACTCCAGCCTGGGCAACAAGAGTGAAATTCTGTCTCAAAAAAAAAAAAAAAAAAAAATTTTGTAGTGGCGGGGCACGGTGGCTCATCCCTGTAATCCCAGCACTTTGGGAGGCCAAGGCGGGCGAATCACCTGAGGTCAGGAGTTCGAGACCAGCCTGGCCAACATGGTGAAACCCCGTCTCTACAAAAAATACAAAAATTGGGCAGGCGTGGTGGCTCACGCCTGTAATCCCAGCACTTTGGGAGGCTGAGGCGGGTGGATGATGAGGTCAGGAGATGGAGACCATCCTGGCTAACACGGTGAAACCCCGTCTCTACTAAAAATACAAAAATTTAACCGGGCGCGGTGGCAGGCACCTGCAGTCCCAGCTACTCGGGAGGCTGAGGCAGGAGAATGGCGTGAACCCAGGAGGCGGAGTTTGCAGTGAGCCAAGATTGCACCACTGCACTCCAGCCTGGGCAACAGAGCAAGACTCTGTCTCAAAAAAAAAAAAAAAAAAAAAACCATACAAAAATTAATCAGGTGTGGTGGCATGTGCCTTGTAATCCTAGCTACTCAGGAGGCTGAGGCAGGAGAATCACTTCAAGCCAGGAGGTGGAGAGATCGCACCACTGCGCTCCAGCTTGGGTGACTGACTGACTGAGACCCTGTCTCAAAAAAAAATTGTTTTTTTTGTGGAGACAAGGTCCTGCAATGTTGCCCAGGCTGGTTTTGAACTCCTGGTCTCAAGTGATCCTCCACTTCAGTGTCCCTAAGTGCTGGGATTAGAGGCATGAGATGCTGCACCCAGAGGCCCCACTAGGCTCTTTGTAATCAAGTCTTGGAAGTTACACGTCATGTCATTATTTCTGTTACATTCTTTTTTTTTTTTTTTTTTTTTTTTTGAGACAGAGTCTCGCTCTGTTGTCCAGGCTGAAGTGCAGTGGTGCGATCTCAGCTCACTGCAAGCTCCGCCTCCCGAGTTCACGCCATTCTCCTGCCTCAGCCTCCTGAGTAGCTGGGACTACAGGTGCCCGCCACCACACCCAGCTAATTTTTTGTATTTTTAGTAGAGACAGGGTTTCACTGTGTTAGCCGGGATGGTCTCGGTCTCCTGACCTTGTGATCCACCCGCCTCGGCCTCCCAAAGTGCTGGGATTACAGGCGTGAGCCACCGCGCCTGGCCTACATTCTGTTTTTTAACCTGAGACAGGGTCTTGCTCTGTTGCCCAGATTGGAGTGCAGTGGTGGGATCATAGCTTGCTGCAGCCTCGACCTCTCGGGCTCAAGTGATCCTCCCACCTCAGCCTCCTGAGTACCTAGGACTGCAGGTGGGCACCACCATGCATGGCTGATTTCTTTATTTTAATTCTTGTAGAGATGAGGTCTTGCTGTGTTGCTCAGACTGGTCTTGAACTCCTGGCCTCAAGCGATCCTCCTGCCTTGACCTCCCTAAGTGCTGGAGTGCTGAGATCACAGGCCTGAGCTGCGGTGCCAAGTCCACTTCTGCCATACTGCATTTGGTGTGCAGTATAAGCCTATCCCGTTCAGTGTAGGAGGAGACTACCCAGTGTGTAAATAGCAAGAGGCTGGATTGCTGGGTGCTGTATTGGGGGCTGGGTACCGCAACCTCACAGCGATGTTTGGAGAATTAAGTTAGTTGATGATGTTTAATACAGTGCCTGGCATGTATTAAGTGCCGTGTAAGTGTTTCCTAGGATTTTGTGCCTCACTCTCCTGGTTTGCAAATGGATAATGGTCGCGTGTATCTCCGTGTTGTTAGAAGATCACAGGAGCTAAGTTGCTTGCTGTGTGTCGCTTAGGGCCTGGTCTGCAGTCAAGGTTCATTAAACAACACCTGTTCGTAGCGGCCGTTACCTCTGTATGCTTCTGCAGCAGGTGTTTGTTGAGTATCTGCTTTGTTCCAGTATGTGCGTGCAAGTGCTGGGTGCAGGACATATAGTGAAAAGGTGACACAGAAGCTTCCCCTTCGCGGTAGCTGGAATTCGTAGGTAACACAGAGCAGGGTTTCTCATCCTTGGCCCTAGTGACACTGTGGACACAGTCATTCCTTGTAGTGGGGGCCGTCCTGGGTATTGTAGGATGTTTAACATCATCCTTGGCCTCTACTCACTAGATGCCGGTAGCCCCCTCCCAAAGGTGTGACAACCAAAAATGTCTCCAGGCATTATAAAATATCCTCTGGGAAGGGGGCGCAAAATGTATTCCATTTGAGACCACTGGGAGAGACCGGTAAGACAGTCTTGAGTGATGTTAAATGGAGACTTCTTGAGGCCCAGGTCCAAGTCTGATGCTCCTCAAGTGCCTGGCAGCCAGCACAGGGCCTGGTACACAGGAGGCCTCGGGTAAATTCTGTAGAATGAATGTCCAGAATGCATTTAATACTAACCACCCTGGAAGACACTGCATAGCCTTCCAGACCCAGCTCAGGTGTCTTATACCCTGGGAAACCTTCCCGATTCTTGCAGCCAGATGCTTCCTCCTCTGCCTCCATGACCTGTCACAGCCCCACACCTCTGGACTGTGAATGTCCAGGTCCCTGGGTGCTTCTGCCATTTGCTTCCAGCTGGGGCTTGGCACCCACGGGGCTTCAGGAGACTGGCTGAATAAATGAATTAGTATGTAATACAAAAACAACAAATAAATAGAAAAAATTAACCAGGCATGGTGGTGCACACCTGTAGTCCCAGCTACTCAGGAGGCTGAGGTAGGAGGATCAACTGAGACTGGGAGGCAGAGGTTGCAGTGAGCCGAGATTGTGCCACCGCACTCCAGCCTGGGTGAAAGAGCGAGACCCTGTCTCGGGAAAAAAAAAAAAAAAAAAGAGGTGGAAGGAAAATAGACCCAGTGTGTTTCCCATAACATTATGACAACTCAGTTGTTCATTCATATGTTCACTCATTAATTCAACAAATGTTTGTGGAACAAATCGTCCTGGGCACCAAGGAGTTAGTGGGCATGAGATAGGCAAGGTCCTGGCCCTCATGGAACTAGTTTGCCTGGGTGACAGGCCGTGTGTAGGGAGCCCTTGGTCATGGCCGGATGCTGTTAACATTCACTCATTTTGACCTCCTGGGGCTCCAGGCACCTGTTAGCCGATGAAAGCGGGCAGCAGAGACCCCGGGGAATGATACTGGGTAGAACAAATGGGAGTAAGTTAGAGGACTTGGGAACACCAAGTCAGAGCCCACTTGTGTCACCTAGGGGGCTTTTATTTTTATTTTGTGTCTGCCATATCAAGGGGTTTATTTGGAATTTATCATAAACTTGATATTTTAGCCATATTTTGCAGCCAGCCATAGTGCTTCTTCTGTTCAAGTTTTCCACATTTCTTTGACAAAATGTTTATTACATGTCGCCCTTTGAGCTTGTAGCACATGACTTGTACTTAGTGTTCAATAAGAGAAACGCAAGTTTTAGCATCTCAAACTGGTTAGTTTATCACACTTTTCCTCATAAGGGTTTTGTTTTGTTTTGTTTTGTTTGAGATGGAGTCTCTCTCTCTCTCCCAGGCTGGAGTGCAGTGGCATGATCTCAGCTCACTACAACCTCTGCCCCCGAGGTTCAAGTGATTCTCCTGCCTCAGCCTCCCGAGTAGCTGGGATTACACGTACCCACCACCATGTCTGGCTGGTTTTTGTATTTTTAGTAGAGATAGGGTTTCACTTTGGCCAGGTTGGTCTTGAACTCCTGACCTCAAGTGATCCGCCCACCTCGGCCTCCCAAAGTGCTGGGATTACAGGCATAAGCCATTGCACCCAGTCACTTCCAACTGTTTTACAGGGTCATGCCTGTAATTCCAGCACTTTGGGAGGGTGAGGAGGCGGATCACCTGAGGTCGGGAGTTCGAGACCAGCCCGACCAACATGGAGAAACCCTGTCTCTACTAAAAATACAAAATTAGCTGGGCGTGGTGCCGCATGCCTGTAATCCCAGCTACTCGGGAGGCTGAGGCAGGAGAATCACTTGAACCCAGAAGTCGAAGGTAGTGGTGAGCTGAGATCGTGCCATTGCACTCCAGCCTGGGCAACAAGAGCGAAACTCCATCTCAAAAAAAAAAATTTATCACCCCAAAGAGGACACCCCATATGCATGAAGCACTAGCTCCCCATTCCCCCATCCCCCCATCCCCAGCCAGGGTGGTTTTGGCTCGAGTCCCAGAAAGGCCCAGGAAAATATTGGCTTAATTTCACCTGTAGCAGAACAGCTGGGTCCAGAGTTGGTTCACCCCAACTCTTTGCACACAGTTGAAGTTTCTGCGTGCAAAGCTGTCTTGATGCCGGGCACAGTGGCTCACGCCTGTAATCCCAGCACTTTGGGAGGCCGAGGCGGGTGGATCATAAGGTCAGGAGTTCGAGACCATCCCGGATAACACCGTGAAACCCCGTCTCTACTTAAAAATTAAAAAAATTAGCCGGGCGTGGTGGCGGGCACCTGTGGTCCCAGCTACGAGGGAGGCTGAGGCAGGAGAATGGCGTGAATCCGGGAGGCGGAGCTTGCAGTGAGCGGAGATGTGCCTCTGCCCTCCAGCCTGGGAGACAGAGCGAGACTCCGTCTCAAAAACAAAAGCTGTTTTGATGGCTAGGAAGAGGAGGGCTGGGAAGTGTGTGGTGGGTTGGGAGCAGCGCCCGAGTGCCCTGAGAGCAGGAAGAAGGCTCAGGGGCTCAGTGTGCTCACTGGCCGGGCCGAGTGGGACTGGAAGGAAATCAGTGCGAGAACTCAGGCAGGAAGCGGAGAGCCCCGCTGCATGGCCCTGCCAGGCCACCAGTGCACTGAGTACTCAGCAGATGGTTCCTAGGCCTTGTGTGACCTAGGGTCAGACGCCTTGGTGTCTCTCTTGGAGGGCTGCACAGGGTGCGGAGAGAAGCTTGACAGCTGCAGTATCGGGTGATCTATGATGTGACTAAGGGCAGGCCGTAAAATTAGGTGGCATGTAGGGAAGGCTTCCTATAGGAGGGCACACCAGGATGGGTGTCGTAGTTTAGCTGGATTCCATCCGGGCCGGAATGGGTGTGTTCCAGCACATGCAGAGACCTGGATGTCTGGGCTTTGTCAGTTGAGAGGACCTATAGGTGCGGGCATGGAGCAGGAGAGATGGACGGGGTGCAGGACTCGGAGGCCTCGGATGCTGGGCCGATGCCGGGCCGAGGGCCTGGGTTGGTTCCAGTCTTGATGGACACGGTTGGGCCTGTAGACGTTCATTCACTTAGCCTACATTTCCTGAGGCCTCACATGTGCCCCGCTGTGGTGGGCAAGCCTGGGGGTAAGAGAGGACTCAGACCCCATCCCCGCCTGTGGGAGAGGTAGGATCAGAGACCACACTTCAGGGGGACAGGGCCCTCAAGACCCTCAGAGGGGTGCTCGGTCTCCACACACGTCCCCTGCAGCAAAGGTCAGCCTCTCACGACCACGTGACCGGAATAATGGTGGCAACCACAGCTGCCCTTGAGGAGAGGCCATCCCCGGGCCACAACCCATGTGGGACGGATGCTGCGACGCGACTGCAGATCAGGCGGAGGAGAAACGAGAGTCTGTGTGTGTTAGTTTCCCAGGCTGCCGTAGCAAAGTATGAGAAACTGGCCAGAAGAATGGAAATTGATGTCTCAGGGTTCTGGAGGCTGGAAGTCCAAAATCCAGGTGGTAGGGCCAGGCTGTCTCTGAAATCTTACAGGGGAAGGGCCCTTCTGCCTTTCCTGGTGCCTGCTGAGGCTGCATCACCCGTCCTCACATGGCCTCTCCCTGTGTCTCTCTGTGTCCTTGTGTCTTCCCTCTGTGTGTGTGTCCGTGTCCACGTTTCTCCTTTTCACAGACACCAGCCATAGTGGATTAGGGCCCGCAATTTAACTCGATTACCTGTGTAAAGATCTTTCCAAATTAGGTCACCTTCTGAGGTACTGGGGCTTAGGACCTCAACCTGTCTTTTTGAAGGGGGCACACTTGAACCCATAAGACTAGGAGGACAGAGGAGGCCCCCGTCTCTGGCTGGGAAGGTGAAGTGGGGCCAGGACTGATTTGGAGCAGACAGCCCAGAGAGGGGAGGGGACAGCAGGAGGCTGGGCATGGAGTCAGTCACTCCAGGGTTGGAGTCAGCACAGGATCCTAGGCTTGGGGTCCCCAGCCCTTTCCCATTCCCTCCCAGTCCTCATGATTAAAGACAACAAATGTCGGCCGGGTGTGGTGGCTCACTCCTGCAATCCCAGCACTTTGGGAGGCTGAGGCAAGTGGATCATGAGGTCAGGAGATGGAGACCATCCTGGCTAACATGGTGAAATCCCGTCTCTACTAAAAATACAAAAAATTAGCCAGGTGTGGTGGCAGGCACCTGTAGTCCCAGCTACTCGGGAGACTGAGGCAGGAGAATGGCATGAACCCAGGAAGCGGAGCTTGCAGTGAACTGAGATCATGCCACTGCATTCCAGCCTGGGCGACAGAGCGAGACTCCATCTCAAAAAAAAAAAAAAACACAGACAGCAAATGTCCCCTGTCCTGTCTGGGACTGGTGCTGTGCTAGCACCAGGGATTGGGTAGGGAACTCAGCAGGGTCCCCGTCATCCCAAGGTGCATAGCCCAGGATAGAGTGGGGGACAGCATGGGAGCAGGCTCTTCAAGCATAGCCTGGGGATGGGGATGATGGCAACCCTGGGGGCTGACCGCTCTGCCCCTGCAGGTTCATGGGCGGGGGTGGTGAGAGCTGCAGCCTCATCGCGGAAGGACTCAGCACAGCCTTGCAGCTGTTTGATGACTTCAAGAAGATGCGCGAGCAGATGTGAGTGCCCCCTCCACCCAGGCCGGGCCGGTCTCTCTCTGCCTGGCCTGGAACCACTTTGCCTGTCGAGTGGTTCTACCTCCAGCCTCACCCTGTAGGGCATGGGCTCTGTGTCCCCAAGCACGCTGAGCCAGGAGGCTGCAGGTGTGTCCTTGGGGGACGCCTGGCCAGTGCCCGGTCTCAGCATCCCCATCAGGAAGCAGTGCCAACTCTGGGTGTCACTCCTGCCTGCCCTGCCTGCTGGGTGACGTAGAGCACATCCCAGAACCTCTTGGAGCCTCAGTGTTCTCAGCTGTAAAGTAGGGGCGTTGCTTCTGATTCCATGTGAGGCGGAATATGTGCATCTCCGCTGGTGCTGGGTCTGGGTTCCTTCTCAGGGCCTCTGTTGCTGCTGGCTCCATGTCTTCTCTCTTTCCTGGTAGTGGCCAGACGCACCGGGTCTGCCTCCTCATCTGCAACTCACCCCCATACTTGTTGCCTGCTGTTGAGAGCACCACGTACTCTGGATGCACAACTGAGAATCTTGTGCAGCAGATTGGGGAGGTGAGGACTCCAGGGTCTGAGGGACGAGGGTCTGGGGGCCCGGAGTCTTGGGTCTGAGGCAGGAGGCACTGAGGGCCTGGACTCCTGGGTCTGAGGGAGGAGGCACTGGGGGCCTGGACTCTTGGGTCTAAGCGGGGAGGCACTGGGGGCCTGGACTCAGACACAGAATAGTCACAGACTGGTGACCAGCTTTGCTTACTCTCTTTTCGAAACAGTCTGGCTCTGTTACCCAGGCTGGAGTGCAGTGGTGTGATCTTGGCCCACTGCAGCCTCTGCCTCCAGGGTTCAAGCAATTCTCATGTTTCAGCCTCCCGAGTAGCTGGGATTATAGACGCCCGCCACCACGCCCAGCTGATTTTTGTATCTTTAGTAGAGATGAGGTTTCACCATGTTGGCCAGACTGCTCTCAAACTCCTGGCCTCATGTGATCTGCCTGACTCGGTCTCACAAAATCCTGGGATTACAGACGTGAGCCTCCACACCTGGCCCACTTAGTCTTACTGACAAAACTAGAACCCAGAGTCTCCCGGGGCAGGTGATACCTGGTTTCAGGGTCTCCTGCCTCAAAGCCCAATGGGAATTGTGGTTGTAGGGCTGGTGCCGTCCAGCCACACAGCAGTTGTGGTAGGTTGGGGGCCGGCCCCAACACCCTTATGGAGGGGGCCCGTCATGACTGCTCGGCCCCTCTCCTACAGCGGGGGATCCACTTCTCCATTGTGTCTCCCCGGAAGCTGCCTGCGCTTCGGCTTCTGTTTGAGAAGGCAGCCCCCCCGGCCTTGCTGGAGCCGCTGCAGCCTCCGACAGATGTGAGCCAGGACCCGAGGCACATGGTGCTGGTTCGGGGACTCGTGCTGCCTGGTGAGGCCTGGGCACCGTGCGCGGGGATGGGGGCTCGACGTGTTTCCCCAGCTCCCTCTGACTTGGATTTTGGATTTCTCTCCTTTCTCTGCATCTTGAATCCCTTCTCTCTGGGGTTGGCCATCCCTCCTGCTCTCAGTTGGGGGTGGCTCAGCCCCAGGCCCCCTCCAGTCAAAGCAGCCAGTCCCCCTGCCTCCCGCCGCACCCTCAGGTGCCACTCTCTCAGCAGCCCCCCAGCAGCCTCTGCCCCCCGTCCCCCCGCAGTACCAGGTATGGATATTTCCGGGAAGGGACATGCTTCTGGGGACTTGCTGGAGCCCTGGCCCCTGGGGAGAAATCTAGTTGCATGTTGGAGCTTGTGGGATGATGGGAGTCCCATGGGACATTGGGAAGGTGGGACTCTTGGGGCCATGGAAGCTCATGTGCTGTGTGATGGGTGTTGTGAGCTAAGCTATCCCAGCTGGTGCCTCATGGGGCCATGGGTGGTGTGACCTCGTGGGATACCAGGACTGGGGGGCCATGGTCCTCACCAGTCCCTTCCCTTCTTCCCTTCTACCCACAGGTTCCCGGGAACCTGAGTGCAGCTCAGGTGGCCGCGCAGAATGCAGTGGAGGCTGCCAAGAACCAGAAGGCTGGGCTGGGCCCTCGCTGTGAGTCCTGGAGTGAGGATGAAGGGCGGGCAGGGGCCAGGCAGGCCTCTCTCCACACACTTGTTCCCCACTTCTTCCCTTGGTCTCTCCCACAGTCTCGCCCATCACCCCTCTCCAACAAGCTGCTCCCGGAGTGGGTCCCCCCTTCAGCCAGGCCCCAGCTCCCCAACTACCCCCAGGACCCCCTGGCGCCCCCAAGCCACCACCTGCTTCCCAGCCCAGTCTGGTCTCCACTGTGGCCCCTGGCTCCGGCCTGGCTCCCACGGCACAGCCCGGGGCACCGTCCATGGTAGGTGCCTGCACGCCTCCTGCCCCTGCTCCTTCCTCCTGCTGTCCACAGCTAGGACAGTTAGAGGATGAGTCATTTGCCTTCCAGGGGGATGTGGCTCTCGTGGTTCTGGGGCTTTGGGGGCTCGTGGTGTGTGTGCTGCAGATGCCTGAGATGAGGGTCTGGGGACAGAGTGGGGAGGCTCATGGCTCCAGGAGGGTCAGGGCTGTTCCGAGAAACCCAAGGAATCCCTGGGTCTGGGAGTCCAGGGCATCGCACAGCTTACGAGTCCTCGAATCCTGCAAGGTCCAAGCATTTGGGGTCCTGCGGCTGGCCAAGTGCTGTTCTGGGGATGGAGGGGCAGAAGAAGGGATCTTTCCTCCTTCCTGGTTTGCCCTCACAGGATGGCCCCCGGAGGCTCCCGGCCTTCCCCATTCTCATGGCCCTCCTTCCTCCCCTCTGGCAGGCAGGCACTGTGGCCCCAGGAGGGGTGAGCGGCCCTTCCCCAGCCCAGCTGGGAGCCCCAGCCCTCGGTGGGCAGCAGTCAGTCTCCAATAAGCTTCTGGCCTGGAGCGGGGTCCTGGAGTGGCAAGAGGTGAGGGGCCTGAGGGTCCATTGGGCACTTGGGACTCCTGGGGCCGTGGGGCTGGGCATGTAGGACTCATGGGGCCAGATGCGTGGGGTCTGCAGTGCTGGGTTTGGAGGCATTCGTTGCGCTGGACCTGTGGGATGCGGGGCGAGGCCAGGAGCCCCATGGAGTGGTGGGACTTGCGGTACAGAGGAGAGTCCCCATGCAAAGAACCCAGAAAAGCCCAGGATTTGGGGCCCAGAGAAGAGCCCAGGCGATGTATCATCTGGGGCACAGTGGATGGTGGGATTTAGGGGCCGGGCACGTAGCTGTAACATTTGAGGAACTGAAGGCTTGCTGGTCTGGAGGAGGGGCCTGGGGCTCATGGGACTTAAACTGGGGAACATCCTGAGCTTTGGGGCTACCAGGGTAGGACATGAGGGCTCAAGGGGACTGAGGCTTATGGCCCTTTTTACTGACATGCTCTTTTTTCCCCCTCAGAAACCCAAACCTGCCTCAGTGGATGCCAACACCAAGCTGACGCGGTCACTGCCCTGCCAGGTCTACGTGAATCATGGCGAGAACCTGTAGGTGACAGTCAGGGGCGGGGTGTGGTGGGGCTGGGGCTGGCCCCCTCCTCACACCTCTCCTGGCATCGCCCCCAGGAAGACGGAGCAGTGGCCCCAGAAGCTGATCATGCAGCTCATCCCCCAGCAGCTGCTGGTGAGTGGCGGTGGAGGGCCAGCCCTGCTGCCGGGCAGTCCTCACCCTGCTGTCTCTTTCCTGTTCCCTGCCCCACCCCCACTCCCTGCCTCATGTCCCCGCCTCACTTGCCCACACCAGCATGCCAGCCGACTTCTGTGTCTCCCGCAGACCACCCTGGGCCCTTTGTTCCGGAACTCAAGGATGGTCCAGTTCCATTTCACCAACAAGGACCTGGAGTCTCTCAAAGGCCTCTACCGCATCATGGGCAACGGCTTCGTGAGTCCAGGGCATGGGGGGCCGAGGGGTGTTGACTCTTGTCCTGCTTTCTGCTGACCTTTGACGGGAATCCCAGAGTGCCTGGGCCCACGGAAGCCGTTTTTGATGGTTGGGTGCACTTCATGCCCTTAGGTTCCTCGCCTTTCTTCTAGAGCCGTGACTTTTATTATAATCATCGTATGCACCAGATTTGAGGGATATTCCACATTAAAAATGTGAGCTGGATGTGACAGGATCAGTTAGGAGGAAGCTGTTGATTCTGGCATGGCTTTATGGGATGTGTTCATTTCCTGTGGCTGTGGTAACACATTACCACAAGCAGAGGGGCTTAAAACAACAGAAACGTGTTCTATCCCAGTTCTGGAGGCCAGAAGCCCAAGGTCAGGGTGTCAGCAGGGCCACGCTCTCTCTAGAGGCTGGAGGGAAGGCCTCTTCGTTGCCTCTTCCGGCCGGTAACCCCAGGCTTCAGGTGGCATCGCTCCAGGGTCTTCCTCCATCCCGCAGCTGTCTTCCCTCTGTGTGTGTCTCCACATGGCATTCTCTCTGTATCTTTGTGTCTGTGCTTATAAGGACATCAGTAATTTTGGATTAGGCCCCATTTTCCTGACCTCATCTTACTACAATTGCAAAGACCCTCTTTCCAGATAGAGTCACCTTCACAGGTGCTGGGGACTGGAACCTCAGCTTAGCTTTCTGGTTTTGTTTTTTGAGACAGAGTTTCACTGTTGTCAGCCAGGCTGGAGTGCAGTGGTGCAATCTTGGCTCACAGCAACTTCCGTCTCCTGGGTTCAAGCGATTCTCCTGCCTCAGCCTCCCAAGTAGCTGGGATTACAGGCATGTGCCACTATGCCCAGCTAATTTCTGTATTTTTTAGTAGAGACAGGGTTTCACCATGTTGGCCAGGTTGGTCTCGAACTTCTGACCTCAAGTGATCTGCCTGCCTCGGCCTCCCAAAGTGCTAGGATTACCGGTGTGAGCCACCGCGCCCAGCCTCAGCATAGCTTTCTGGGAGTCACAGTTCACACTTTGTAACTCGGGGAAGGAGCAGATCAGTTACTTCCGTGCACCAGGCACTCCTGCAGGAAAGAGAACCTTAGGGGGATCACCTCACGAGACCCTCACAGAACCTTGTGAAGAAGGCATTCCTGAGAGTTAGTACTTCCGGCTGCAAATCACGTAGTTTCCCAAACACATAGATAATTGGGGGCACTCGGAAAAAATGTTCTCTTATGATTCTGTGGGTCACCTGGGCTCAGTGGGCCATCTCGCTTGGCGACTCTCACGGGGTTGCCATCAGATGGCAGCTGAGACTCTGGTCATCTGAAACCTTTACTGGGCTGGATGTTCAAAACAGCTCCTCACACAGCCCTGGCTGTTGGCTGGGGCTTGGCTAGGACCGGCCATCCCAGTGTCTGCACATGGCCTGTCCACGTGGCCACACTGTGGCAGCTGGGTTCTGAGAGGGCAGGCGTTGTAGGAGCAGGCATTTATATTTTGCACAGGACAGGACATCTAGAGGGGGCCAGCTATTGGGATTGGTTTCATAGGTCTGTGACATCAGGGACAGGGCCCTGTGGTTCTCTTGGCCTCTCCTTTATAGTCACAAGGTAGCTCTCATGGCTCCACGCATCCTGTGTGCTTTCATGAAGGAGGGGAAGGGGGCTGTGTGTTTCCCTTTCTTCAAGACAGCAGAAACTTTCTCAGATTCCAGAGCAGGCATTCCTTTCACCTCCTATCCCGGACCTAGGCCACTGGGCAGCCCCTAGTTGATGGGAGGCTGCTGGGAGCAGGTATCCGTGACTGTCTGGGGCTGGGACATGTTACAGCCCCAGACAGCATTGGGAATGCAGGGGAGGAGGACACTTGGATATGGAATAGGCAGCTAGCAGGGTCTGTCTCAGGCAGGAAACCGAGGCTCAGAGAAGTCAATTCACTTGGCCAAGGTCAGCCTCGCCTCCCTCAGGAGCCCCTGCCCTGAATGCTCCATGTGTTACCCCCCTGATGACCAGTGATGTTTCCTGGGTGCTTCCTGTGGGCTGAGCCTCAGGCAGGGCTCTTGCTGTGGATCAGACATCGCATAGTCACAGCGACCCTGTGATGTGGGAGCACTCCCCGTGGTGTACACTGGCCGGTGCTGAGGGCTGGAGGATCTCTTGGATACCCGGGGTCCGACCCACCGTTGATCACAGGCCTGTGGGTACCACGCTGTGCATCTAGGCCGCTCTCCCGGCCGTGACCCTCAGCCGCCCTCTGAGGAGGCCGCCGTGGCATTTTATGCCCAAGAAACTGGGTCCATGAGGAGCAGGTGGTGGCTGAAGGTTGAAGAGCTGGGCTCCAGCACTTTCTCTCCGCTTTCCCTCTCAGTGGGCAGCTGGAACCCTAGCTTGCCCTGAGCGCCTCAGTTTCTGTCTCCAGAGCAACCCATAGCACACCTGTTCTCCTTAACCTTCTATAGCAGAAACCTCACCTCACCTTGCCTGTGGGGCCTCTAGAGCCTTCTGGAATGGGGAGGGGGTCAGGGCTGCCTCTTTCAGGGCCTGAATGGTTCTGAAGAGCTGTTGTCCACCCAGGCGGGCTGCGTGCACTTCCCCCACACGGCGCCCTGTGAGGTGCGCGTGCTCATGCTCCTGTACTCGTCCAAGAAGAAGATCTTCATGGGCCTCATCCCCTACGACCAGAGCGGCTTCGTCAACGGCATCCGGCAGGTCATCACCAACCACAAGCAGGTCCAGCAGCAGAAGCTGGAGCAGCAGCAGCGAGGAGTGAGTGTTGACAGTCCCCAAACCAGCACTCCGACCCCCTCCTGCCCGGGCCCCACATGGCCCCCTGGGGTCTCCAGGACCAAGATGCCCACCCTTCTCCCAATATGTGGTGCCTCCAAGCTAAGTCCCACTCAGATTTTCTTGCAGTCTCTCTCCTTTTTCAGCATCCACATCAAAGCCCTGACACAGCTTCCTCCTGGAGACCTTGGAGTGTACGGCATCCCTCCCAGACCACTCACCCCCAAAGAGAATGTCCCCATCTCCTTACTAGTTCCCCTCAGGGCACAGGCCCTCCCGCCTCAGATTCAGGATGCCACCACCCTCAGTTACTGACCTGCCCCTCTCTCCCCGTGCAGATGGGGGGACAGCAGGCACCCCCAGGGCTGGGGCCCATTCTGGAGGACCAAGCCAGGCCCTCACAGAATCTGGTGAGGACAGGGCTGGCGGGGTCGGGGCTGGGTTGGGGAGGCCCCAAGGCTGCGCTCTGTGCCTGCAGAAGGGGCGTGAGGCCCTGCCCATCTCCCTCACCCCTGTGTCTCTTCCCACCAGCTCCAGCTCCGCCCACCGCAGCCCCAGCCTCAGGGTACCGTAGGGGCCTCTGGGGCCACGGGGCAGCCCCAGCCCCAAGGTACTGCCCAGCCCCCGCCAGGTGCCCCTCAAGGCCCTCCTGGAGCAGCTTCTGGCCCACCCCCTCCTGGACCCATCCTTCGGCCCCAGAACCCTGGGGCCAACCCTCAGCTGCGAAGCCTCCTCCTCAACCCACCACCGGTGAGATGTTGGGGTGGGGTAGCGAGAGTTCCAGATCCTGGCCCTGGTGGTTCTGGTCCTGTTGTCTGGGAGGAGGGAGGTTGACTGTGGTCAGTGGGTGTGAATGGGGACCCGCCCAGGGCTTTAGGCAGAAGGCAGACCGCCTCCTCTCCGTCCATCCCCCACCTTTGAAGAAAAACTTCCCCTCACCACTAGCTGATTCCATCTCTGAGCAGTGTCTGTGTTGAGAGGTGGGGAGTCTCTACCAGGAGCCTCTGAGCCACTCTCTGTGTTCTCCCAGCCGCAGACTGGGGTGCCCCCACCCCAGGCCTCCCTCCACCACCTCCAGCCACCAGGGGCTCCTGCGCTGCTGCCTCCGCCGCACCAGGGCCTGGGGCAGCCCCAGTTGGGGCCCCCACTCCTGCATCCACCACCTGCCCAGTCCTGGCCCGCACAACTTCCCCCTCGGGCTCCACTGCCAGGTAAGGGGACCCGGGGGAGGGCAGAGGTCTGGACTGAGTGTCCCAGCAGCTCCTGGGCTAGAGCACCAAGACCGAGTGCTCCTGGGAAGTAAAGACATAGGATCCAAGAATGAGGGTTCCCCCATGGCCTTTGCGGAGCTCTGAGGGCTCCGGGAAAGTACAGCCCATGGGTCCAAGGACCTAGTGGGTTAAGAGCGTTTCCCATGATCCTCCTGTGTGTGCTCCTGGGATTGCTGGGAAATGTGGTCTTAGGGCCAGAGAAGTAGTTTTGGAGAAGGGCCCCCAAAGGCTCATGGGAAACAGCATATTTGTAACTAGATGGGGCCAGAAGGTGCTTCTGTTGGGTCCCCCAAGGGCTGCCTAGAAAACTTAGTGCCTCTGGGCCCTCCTGGGCCCAAGGGCCTACTGGGAGATGCAGTCCCTTCCCCACTGCCCCTCAGGTCAGATGCTGCTGAGCGGGGGTCCCCGGGGCCCGGTCCCCCAGCCGGGCCTGCAGCCCAGCGTCATGGAGGACGACATCCTCATGGATCTCATCTGAATCCCCAACACCCAATAAAGTTCCTTTTTAACACACGCCCCGGCTCCCGTCACTGACATCCCTCAGGACTGGGCAGGAGGAAACCCCAGGGGGCATCTCTGTCCTTGTTCTCACTTCAGCAGACATCCCTGGGGCCCTGGGTGAATGACGCTGGGGCCTCCGTGGTGAGTCACAGGCAGTCTGGTGCAACCTGATTCGTGGGAGATGCAGGGACAGGCAGGCAGCGCTCAGGACTCAAGCTCTCATGGAGGTGGCAGGGGCACCATGGGAGCCTGGAAGAGGCATCTGACCCAGCCCCAGCTCCTCAGAGTCTTGAAAGAGAATCAGCCGTCAGGCTGGGAGGGAAGGAGGTGAGGGGTGATCTGGGTGCAGAGGACAACAGAAACTTTGAATACTCAAAGGCAGGAGGAAGCCTGAGACATTGAGAGGAGCAAGTTGATGGATGCTTTTGGAGCATGAGCATGTAGGGAGCTAGAGAGATGGGCAGGTGCAGAGTTTGAGGAGCTCGGATTCCAAACTGAGCAGCCCATGGTTTGTCCTGGGGACACAGGAGAACCAGGAGGCTTTGAGCAGTGGGGCGGGCCTAGGCCAGCTCTGGATGTCAGAAAGACCCCTCTCAGCTGTAGAGCGTGATGAGGCCAGACAGGAGGCCAGGAAAGGTGAGGCTGGGTGGTGGCGGTGTCGGGGGCTGGGGTAGAGGTTCGCTCCCGGGGGCCAGGCCTACGTGATGGTAGGTGGTGGGGCTCCTGGGAGAAGGAGCTGGTAGTAAGTGCAGGTGGTCCAAGGGACATCCAGGTGACAGGTGCCATGTTGGGAGCTCAGGACGTGTCCTTAGGGGACAGTGTATGTTTGGCAGTTCAAGCCACAGAAGCAGACAAGATCGCACATGGAGAGAGGGCAGTCCCTGGGTCCATGTCAGAGACTGACCTTCCAGGGCTGTGGATGGGGAAGACGGTGGGTCTGTCCCCAGGATAGAATACCCAGCAGGGAACAGGTTTGGGACGTGGCAAGGTGAGGGACCTGAAGGATGTCCTCAGAGACGTCCCGAGGGCAGGGGGATCCAGACAGGCTTGGAGCGCAGGGTGGTCTCTCCTGGAGGTGGTGAGTGAGTTGTCTGTTGTTGGACTCTGGACCAGTGTTGCTGAGAGCGCGGTCCATGCCTGGACCACCAGCATCCACATCATTTTGCATGCTGGTTAACGTACAGATTCACGGGCCCCACCCCAGGAGAGAGATTGCAATCTGGTGGCCTATGGGCCATCGTGCGGATGAGTTTTGTTTGGCCTTCCCTGTGTTAGCATATGTGGCATTTTTTTCTTACGAGTTAGTTGTAAAAATCAGGTTAATTCACACACACACACGCACACACACAAAATCTGCAGTCTTGGCTTCTTTTGACAAGTCAGAAGAATTGGCACCCCTGGGCCCGCCCTTCTGCCTGGCAACAATGGGCTGGAGCTGCCCCTCTCCATGGGGCGTGTGCTTTCTGGTTCGCCACAGTCCCCACCACTCCCTCTTGGCTTCCCTGTGAGGCAGAGAGTCACTGCCTTTGTCACGGGGTTTGCACTGTGGTTGTTCTGTGGTAGCATTCAGAGGAAAGTGAAATCTTTCTTGTACCCATGTCTCTATCACAAGCGGCAAAACGAAAGAGAGAAGGAGAGGGCCGTGTGTTTCGAGAAAAATGGGAGCGAGCCTATTTCTTTGTGGAAGTGAAGAGCATGCCTATGTGTTTAATATGCAAACAAATCGTGTCTGTGTTGAAAGAATACAACCTGAAACGCCACTATGAATCAAAGCATAGTAAGAGCTACGACCAGTACACAGAACAGACTCGAGATGCCATCCTCAACGAACTGAAAAAGGGACTCAAATGTCAATAGGGTTTGTTTTGAAAAGCGAATTAACAGAAGTGGCGCGGCAGTGGTACGCCGTTCCGGAATCACGTGAGAAGAATGACCTGGGCATTCAGAGCTACAGCAGATGGCAAGTTTATAAAGGAGCAGAGTGACGTGTCCTGCACAGAAACACATGACTGTTGAGACCGTTATTTAAGTCTAACGGGCATTTGCGTTGCACAGTGAGTTGGAGATAACTCGGGGGATTTACAAGTCCAGTTGCTTGAAAGAGTCAAATTGATTGTGGCCTTTTCTTTCGCTGCTCATAAACTATTACCACCCAGTTAGCTTTATTTATTTGTGGTGTTAAGAATCTTGATGTGACCGAAGAAGTCTGTGGCATGGTGCCAAGGCAGGCCCAACACTGGGAAAGGACTAATTTTTTTTGTATATTGAGAGAAAAGTTTCACATAGACTGGCCAGAGTTCCGAAGCACAACTACAGACAGCGTCATGACAGGGGGACTTGGCAGGACACCTTGATCCAAGGCGACAGCATTTGGCAAGGACACGGAAGTTGGGTCGTTGCATCCATCATCAGGAGTTGACTTGTTCTGAGCAACTGAACAGAACACACCGCGATGCTCTCGACACTTCCGCTCCTGGACTTCAGTCACGAGTGAGTTGATGGTGACTTGACCTGAGAGATTTCACAGAAGCTCTGTGACTTGGTTGTGGAAGAAATCTGAACTGTTCAAGTTAACCAACTTGGTTCATTTTAAATCAGGCAAAAGCCACAGTGGGTTCCCCTGAGAAGGTTAGTCAAAGACTTCTGGTCAAGGTTATGACCGTTCTGAACACTGAATATTTCTCCGCAAGGATGTCCACAAACAGCTACTTGAATGTATGATGGTGTATGCTTGGTCCTGGGGAATCCACCGGCAAGGAAAAAAAACCTTTACTCTTTCCTGTGCTGCAGTCGGCTTTCAGAAATGAAAGAGGTGGCCCGGACTGTATTCACCTACGTCCTGGGGTTGAAGACCAAATTCCCCCAAAGGCTCTCGGAATCCAGACTCATGAGAAGGAACAGACATTGTCCAGTTTGCCTTTGTTGGCAGATGTTTCTTGTGTGAATGCAGACCATAAATAGTAATTGAACTACAGTGCAATACGGCGCTGGTTCCTAAATACAAGTCTGTGTGAAGATGGTGAGATTCTACAACTATCTCCAGTAGTTGTCCTGAATATCTGTGTTTGGGAGTACCCACGCTTGTGAACAGCTGTTTTCCGTTACGAACCTGAATCAAATTAAACATCGTTCCCAGTTGAAGGATTCAAGGCTGAATTCTAAACTGCCCGTCCCCACCGTGCCACCCGAGGCCTGACACTGACATCTCGGTGTGGAAGGGAAGACGCCAGCCTTTTGGCTTCAACTCAAAGGCGCAAAAAGAATTATGAAAGAGAAAATTTTAATAATTAAATATTTCTATTTTTCAATTTGTATTTTTTCAATTTTGAATTTAAAAATATAAACTCCAGTAACATCCATGTTTGTATTATGTTCCATGCATTCACCATAGTTGAGTAAAGATCCGATTTGATGATATTTCTGGCCGTCGACTTTTCTTATACCTGGCTAGTTCACTCATTTATGTGACCCGCCTGGCCCCTGTAGGCATGTGAGTTTCCGATCCCTGCCCTGGAACTGTTGGATCCAGTGGGGGGAGGGCGGGGGTCTGGGAGTCGTGTGAGCAAGCTCTCTAGGCGATCCTCAGGAATGTGAGTGTGGAGCAGGAGGCACTGGTGACAGCGAAGAAGTGCAAGTGGGTGATTTCCCAGGCAGCCTGTGTAGCAGGGGTTTTTGAAAACTCAGATGGCTTCAGGGACCAGGCAGGTGATGAAAATGTGTGAAGCGGACGGGTGTAAGACAACAGGGAATGATGGGGACTGTGGCGAACTTGGAGAGTGCTTGCCCCGCCTAATGGCATTCAAATTGAAAACAAAAACACTGTGAGGACCAAACAAAATCTGCCTGTGGGTCTAATGAGGCCGCCAGGCCGCCATTTTGCGACTGGAAGAAGGAGAAGACTCGAGAACAAGGACAGAACCCTGAGAAAGAGCCACGCGTAAGGGTTGGGCAGGGAGCCAGAAGACAGGAGAACCAGGCAAGTGTGGCGTTCTGGAAGCTGAGTGTTTGAGGAGGGAGCAATCGACTCTGTCAGAAGCCGCTGAGAGGAGCAGGAAGCAGCCTTCAGTGTTTCCACCAGGGTGGCCATGTCCCCCGGCAAGGGAAACGCAGGTTTGGATCAGAAACAAATTGGTTAAAAGGAAAGGTTTCCAGTCGCCAGTTTGGCCATCTCATGCCAGTGGCGCCCTCTTGACCTTAACACTCAAATTAGAGGAACCAGAGGGACTGTCGTGGCCTAATCACACGGTTTACAGGAGTGAACCGGGGCTTGCTTATTAATAGTAGCAGACCTGTTAGGGGTGAAAGAAAATGCCCACCCACCAGCTCCAAAGAGGAATTAGGAGAAAAAGGACACCTCAAAAGGGGTGTTAAGAATGTATTTGTTTCAAGGTACGCAAAACACTAACATATTTTCTCACCATCTTGGCATTTAAAAAAAAATTAACTTTTAAAATGTATTAAGTTACACACACTAGAACAGTTTCCTAAAATGAAAGGCCACTGAAATGTGTGGAATAAAAAGGAGGCCCAGGCTGGGCGCGGTGGCTCACGCCTGTAATCCCAGCACTTTGGGAGGCTGAGGCGGGCGGATCACCTGAGGTTGGGAGTTGGAGACTAGCCTGACCAATATGGTGAAACTCTGTCTTTACTAAAAATACAAAATTAGCTGGCCATGGTGGCACATGCCTGTAATCCCAGCTACTTGGGAGGCTGAGGCAGGAGAATCACTTGAACTCGGGAGGCAAAGGTTGCAGTGAGCCGAGATTGCGCCATTACACTCCATCCTGGGCAATAAGAGCAAACCTCCATCTCAAAAAAAAAAAAACCCACAAAAAAAAAACCAAAAAGGAGGCCCAAGGAATGAGGCCAGATCTAGGCACATGGGACTCACCTCCCCATTTCATAGGTCAGGTGACGATAAGGCCTAAGAACTTCACATGCCCCTTAGAACCAGCCAACACCAACAGAGCAAATCTTTTGGGAAAGTTTTTCCCTGAATACAAGGTTCTCCTAAGGCAAGAAATAGTGAAAACCCTAGAACAGCAGGGTTTAATCCCAAGATTCTGCGCTGATTAGCTCTGTGACCTCGGGCAGGTCCCTGCATGTCTCTGAGCCTCACTTTCTCCATATGTCAAATAGTGACTACCCCAGAGGATTCTCATAAGGAATACAAGATCTGGCCCAGCTCAGTCCTGGACACAGGAGAGCTGCTGGTAGCCACTGTTGTCATCTTTTGGCTGAAATGCACTCTAAGAAGGTAAAAGGTGGGCAAAACTGCTTCTAGAAATGCATGCCAAGCTGGACCTCACGCCTGTGATCCCAGCACTTTGGGAAGCCGAGGTAGGAGAATCGCTTTGAGGCCAGGGTTTCAGGACCAGCCTGGCCAATAAGGTGAGACCCCATCTCTATTTAAAAAATGCATCCTGACTGGGCGTGGTGGCTCACGCCTGTAATCCCAGCACTTTGCGAGGCCGAGGCGGGCAGATCACTTGAGGCTGGGAGTTTGAGATTAGCCTGGCCAACACGGTGAAAGCCTGTCTCTAGTAAAAATACAAAACTTAGTTGTGGTTACGCACACCTGTAATCCCAGTTACTTGGGAGGCTGAGGCATAAGAATCGCTTGAACCCCGGAGGTGGAAGTTGCAGTGAGCCAAGATCGTGCCACCGCACTCTAGTCTGGGTGACAGAGCAAGACTCTGTCTCAAAAAAAAAAAGCATCCTAACTTACAAAAATCACTTGTGTCCAGAAAGGTTATAATTGAGTGAGTGACTTGTTGGAAACATTTTCTTTTTGACCAGTTTGCTTTTGAATCATGCATCATGACTGGAGGCAAGACTGGGGATTCATGAAAATTCTTGCAAAGGAGCAGGTGGTAGGACGTAATTGGAAAAAAGTGATTGTTGAGGCAAAAATGCTAAAACACCAACATATTAATAGTTGGAAACCTGTTCGGGGTGAAAGAAAATGCCCACCCACCTCCAAAGGATTATGAGAAAAAGGACACCTTCTCAAAAGGGGTGTTAAGAATATATTTGTTTCAAGGTACACAAAACACTAACATGTATTTTCTTACCATCTTGGCATTTAAAAAAAATTAACTTTTAAAATATATTGAGTTACACACACTACAACAGTTTCCCAAAATGAAAGGGCGCTGAAATGTGTGGAATAAAAAGTGGAAGTACCACCAGGCATGGTGGCTCACGCCTGTAATCCCAGCACTTTGGAAGGCCAAGGCGGGCAGATCACCTGAGGTCAGGAGTTCGAGACCAGCCTGGCCAACAGGGTGAAACCCCATCTCTACTAAAAATACAAAAATTAGCCAGCATGGTGGCATGTGCCTGTGATCCCAGCTACCCAGAAGGCTGAGGCACGAGAATCACTAGAACCCAGGAGGCAGAGGCTGCAGTGAGCAGAGATTGTGCCACTGACTCCAGCCTGGGAGACAGACCAAGACTCTGTCTCAAAAACAACAACAAAAAGTGGAACTACCCTATCACACCTCACTCTCGCCTCTCCTGCCCAAACACACACCCTGAGCAAACCACTTACCTCCCTAGAGGCTGATGTACCAGTTCTGCATTTGGGTTTACATGCATGCGGTTGTGGATATATTTATAGTTTAATTTTTTTGTATAAGTGAGTCAATTTCTTTGTTCTTTAGCTTGCTTTTTTTTTTCTTCCAACCAAAGTAATGGCCATTATTTATTTATTTATTTATAGACAGAGTCTCACTCCGTTGCCCAGGCTGGAGTGCAGTGGCGTGATCTCAGCTCGCTGCAACCTCTGCCTCCCAGGTTCAAGCTATTCTCAGCCTCCCAAGTAGCTGGGATTACAGGCAGGAGCCACCATGCCTGGCTAATTTTTCGGGTTTTTTTTTTTTTTTTTTTTTTGAGACGGAGTCTCACTCTGTTGCCCAGGCTGGAATGCAGTGGCGCAGTCTCGACTCACTGCAACCTCCACTTCCCAGGTTCAAGCGATTCTCCTGCGTCACCCTTCCGAGTAGCTGGGATTACAGGCGCCCACCACCATGCCCAGCTGATTTTTGTATTTTTAGTAGAGATGGGGTTTCACCATGTTGGCCAGGCTGGTTTCAAACTCCTGACCTCAGGTGATCTGCCCACCTCAGCCTCCCAAAATGCTGGGATTACAGGTGTGAGCCACCGACCTGGCCTGCCTGCACTGTTAATTACCTGTTCCTCTATGTCCCCACTTCTCATGGTGGCCTCAGGTAGTGCACTAAATGGACGCATTTCAGTTCCACGAGCCATCCTGCCTATAAGTTATCTGTTGTGTAACAAACCCCACCACCGAGTGGCTTAAAACAAGAAGCATTTATTGCCTCACCGTTGCTGGGGGTCAAGAATCCAGGCTTGGCTGAGCTGCTGGCTCCCAGGCTCTCGGGGTTGCGGTCGAGCTGGTGGCTGGGGCTGTGCAGTCATCGGAAGGCTCCGTGAGGAGGGCCCACTTCCAGCCCACTCACATGCCTGTTGGCAGGATTCAGTTCCTCACAGGTGATGGGGCCGAGAGCCTCAGTTCCTAGCTGTTGGCTGGAGGTCTCCCTTGTTTTCTCGCCGTTGCAGGCCTCTTCACAGGGCACCTTGCAGTTGCAATGTGGCATCCAGCTTCTCTAGAAATATGAGAAGGGCTGGGTGCGGTGGCTCATGCCTGTAATCCCAGCACTTTTGGGAGGTCAAGGCGGGTGGATCACCTGAGGTCAGGAGTTTGAGACCAGCCTGGCCAACATGGTGAAACCCTGTCTCTACTAAAAATACAAAATATTAGCTGGGCGTGGTGGCAGGCATCTGGGAAATCCCAGCTACTCGGAATGCTGAGGCAGGAGAATCGCTTGAACCCAGGAGGTGGAGGTTGCAGTGAGCCAAGAACACACCATTGCACACCAGTCTGGGCTGCAAGAGTGAAACTGTCTCAAAAAAAAAGAAAAACAGAAATGAGAGAGGACGCCCAAGGTGGAAGCTGCAGTCTTTTGTAACCCAATCTTGGAAGTGATATCTTGTCACTCTTGCTATATTCTGTACATTACAACAAGTTGCTAGGTTCTGCCCACACTCAAGCTGAGAGGACAGTGCAGACAGGAGGTGAGGGTCATGGGGGCTGTCTTTCAGGGTGCCCACCACACTGCACCCTGCCAGTTGAGGGCCTGTCCAGTTTTTCTTTTATTTCTTCTTTTTTTTTTTGAGATGGAGTCTCGCTCTATTGCCCAGGCTGGAGTGCACTGGTGTGATCTCAGCTCACTGCAGCCTCCGCCTCCCGAGTAGCTGGGATTACAGGCACATACCACCACACCCAGCTAATATTTGTATTTTTAGTAGAGATGGGATTTTGCCATGTTGCCCAGGTTGGTCTCGAACTCCTGACCTCAAGTGATCCACCCACCTCGGGCTCCCAAAGTGCTGGGATTACAGGCGTGAGCCACCACGCCCGGCCAGTTTTTCACTATTATCAGACATGCTGGAGAGGATGAATGTGTATTTTTTTAACCCACTTGTGCAGGCATTCCTATGGGATGCATTCCCAGCAGCAGAATTTCAAAACTAAGTATGCCAACTTTATTTACATGACCCAAAAAATGTTGTATTCATGTTTCGCATATACGAGAAACCTTCCTATGGTTCACACTTGGAGGGGCTCCAGAAACCAACCAATGCAGTCTCTCTCAGCTCCCTCTAGAGATCAGTTACCAATTGCTTAAGTGTCTTTTCAGAGAGACGTATAAGCAGGTACAAGCAAATAGAGAAACTGATTGATTTTCTGGCTTTTCTATCCAGTGGCAATCTCCTTTATTCTATCATTTTTTTGTTTGTTTTTCAATCTAACAACATATCTTGAAGTTTGGACAAAAAGCCTTCATTTTATTTATTTTTAAAAATAGCCCAGGGGGCTGGGCACAGTGGCTCCTGCCTGTAATCTCAAACCCAGGACGCTGGGTTTGGGGATAGGGCAGATGTATGTCTTTTACAATCTGGGAACACTCAGCATGGTCTGTGCTGGAGGGCAGATGGTGGCAGAGAGGCTGAGAAGCGCGGCAGTGACGAGGGTAAGACGGTCCCAAGCCCGAGGGGCTTGGCCCCTTGTTTATTCCACAAAGTGGAGGCCAACACCTACTGAGATTAAGAACCTGGGCCCTGTCCCTGTCCCGTGTCTCCGCAGCCTGTGACGTCAGGCTTTTGCTTCCAGATCCTTGGTTTCCCCATCTGTGGAGTGGGGATTAAAAGATTGTTGAACTCATGGCCTGCTGTGTGAGAATTCAGTGAGTTCAGACATGAAGTTCTTGAGAAATATTAACTACTATTATTGCCAGGGGTCTCACTCTGTCAACCCTGGAGTGCAGTGGCATGACCTTGGTTCACTGCAGCCTCTGCCTAGAGGGGTCAAGCAGTCTTCCCACCTCCACTTGTCGAGTAGCTGGGACTACAGACACGCACCACCATGCCCAGCTAATTTTTGTATTTTTTGTAGAGACAGAGTTTTACTCTGTTGCTCAGGCTGGTCTCGAACTCCTGGCCTCAAGTAATTCTCCTACCTCAGCCTCCAGAGTAGCTGGGACTAGAGACATGTAACACCACGCCTGGCTAGTTTTATAGTTGTAGAGATGGGGTCTTGCTATGTTGCCCAGGCTGGTCTCAAACTCCTGGGCTCAAGCAATGCTCCAACCTCAGCCTCCCAAAGTGTTGAAACTACAGGTGTGAGCCTCTGCGTCTGGACACACACGATGATGACAAAGTTGAAATACCTAGAGTTTGCAAAGCATGTATCAGGCAGACCTTTAAAAAAAAAATCAGCCATAAACTATTTTGTAATTGCAAAGAAAGAAAAGAAAAATCCAAGCCAGAGATGATCTTACTCCCATTTCTTAGCATAAAGCATTTTATTATCTTTTTTATTTGTTTGTTTTGAGACGGAGTCTCACACTGTTACCTGGGCTGGAGTGCAGTGGCACAATCTCAGCTCAATGCAACCTCCGCCTCCTGGGTTCAAGTGATTCTCCTGCCTCAGCTTCCCAAGTAGCTGGGATTACAGGCACCCACTACCATGCCCAGCTAATTTTTTGTATTTTTAGTACAGACATGGTTTCACCATGTTGGCCAGGCTGGTCTTGAACTCCTGACCTCATGATTTGCCCGCCTCAGCCTCCCAAAGTGCTGGGATTACAGGTGTGAGCCACCGCACCCAGCCTATTAGCATTTTTTGAGACAGAATGTCGCTCTGTCGCCCAGATTGGAGTGCAGCTCACTGCAACCTCCGCCTCCCCGGGTTTAAGCAATTCTCCTGCTTGAATTGGAGGATCAATCAGGAGACTGTATTTGTATTCCTGAGTAGCTGGGATTGCAGGCGCCTGCCACCACGTCTGGCTAATTTTTGTATTTTTAGTAGAGATGGGGTTTCACCAGGTTGGCCAGGCTGGTCTCCTGACAACAGGTGATCCACCTGCCTCAGCCTCCCAAAGTGCTAGGATTACAGGCATGAGCCACCGTGCCCGGCCAGTATAAAACACTTTGTCCATGTTGTCATTGTGTCCTAGCCTATGTCATCCAACCTATATGTACTGCCAGTTTGTTCTTCTAGGAAACTCAGACTTGGTAGTTGATTGGTTTAACAAATGTTGGTTAAACTGGGATTATTTGGGAAAAAAAAATTGTGTATATCAGGAAAGGCCAGATTACCCCCAGATTGCAGTGGCTTGAAACAGCCAAGGTGGATTTTGTCACTCGTGCTGTATTGAGTGTCAGCTTGGAGCCCGTGCGGACAGATCATGAAGGTTGCCAATGGACATAGTAAAGGCAGAGGGGTCTGGTCTTCCATTAGCAATTATGTGCTCTTGCTGAATTCACATGTGTCACTTCTGCTCATATCTCATTGGCCAGATGTAATCACATGGCCTCACACCTTACTGGCCAAAATTAATCACATGGCCGCACTCAAGCTAAATGGGGTCAAATGCTGGCCAAGTGTGGAGCTAGAAATATATGGCAAATAGCACTAACGGCCATCTTAACACTTTAAACATCTTATTTTAACCAAGAACATTTAAACAGACATCTCTTGTACGTAGGACCAAGACCCTTTCTTTCAGTATTGGTCTCCTAGTTAGCACACGACATTACATTCTTGTTTTTGAGACAGGGTCTCACTTTGTCACTTGGACTGAAGTGCAGTGGTGTGAACACGGCTCACTACAGCCTCAATCTCCTGGACTCAAGAGATCCTCCCACCTCAGCCTCCTGAGTAGCTGGGACCACAGGTGCATGCCACCATGCCTAGAAAATTATTGTTGTTTTTGTAGAGGTGGGAGTCTCACTGTGTTGCCCAGGCTGGTCTCGAGCTCCTGGGCTCAAGCAATCTTCCCACCTCAGCCTCCCAATGTGTTGGGATTACGGGCATGAGCCACTGCGCCCAGTAGAACATCACATTCTTGTATAAGCTCCACCCACAAACCACAATGAGTCATTTTTTTAAGTGGCTTGAGAACCTAAAGACATTTATGAAACAAACTGGGGGCTGAGTCTTCCTAGGTTTTTATAAGCTTTTTCATTAAATAATTTACAGTTGCTTTACTTGTACCTAACTTGGCAGCATTTTTTTTTTTTTAAGAGATGGAGTCTTGCTTTGTTGCTCAGGCTGGAGTTGCAGTGGTGAGATCTCAGCTCACTGCAACCTCCACCCCCTGGGTTCAATCGATTCTCCTGCCTTAGCCTCCAGAGTAGCTGGGACTACAGGCATACACCACCATGCCCGGTTAACTTTTGTATTTTTAGTGGAGACGGTGTTTCACCATGTTGGCCAGACTGGTCTTGAACTCCTGACCTGAAGTGATCTGCCCACCTCGGCTTCCCAAAGTGCAGAATTACAGGTGTGAGCCACCACGCCTGGCATGTTTTTCTTTTAACAACTCCCTTTTAGTCTTTCCAAAGCAAGCAATCTGGTTTGTGTATAAACAACTGTCTTGCATTAATTTCATTAGTTTGATAGTAAATTAAACAAGAACTTCTGGCATAAACAGGTTTGGATCAAACAGCTACCTTTCAGGAAGTAAACAGCTTGAGAGATGGAAGTGGAATTGCTTAGTCATAATAGTAGCCTGCTAGCCCCAGCAGTGGGCTTCACAGATGAAAAGGAAAGTGTCTTTCAAGTTGGTGGACCGAGTTAAGTGAGATGGTTTCAGAGAGTTTTGTTGCAGTATTACTGATAGAATTTCAGCCTACATTTTCATTTCACTTTCTGACATGAGTTCCCATTTTGCTCACTCTGGAGTACACCCTGGTATACCGCTCTCCATGCTTATACAATTCAGGGCATTCAAACTCACGTGTGTCCTGATGGGTTCTGAGGGATGGGAAGGCATTAACAGGTAGAGAACAGGAAGGATGGGAGAGAGATTTTTTGGGGGGCGGCAGCAGGGGCCACAGTACCAAGTTTGGATTTAATTCTAAAGGCACTGGGAAGCCATTGGATGGTTTTGATTATTGTAGTGACAGAGAAGGCAGCAAGAGTTAGGAGACGTCACCCAGGCAAGAGATCTTGATGGTTTGGACCAACAAGAATGGGGAGAAGTGAGGATTCCGGGAGATTAAAGCAGCTCCTGTTTTTTCTCCTTCCTGCTGCCAGGTTGTCCTCACATGGGTGATTGACAGGGCATTGGAGGTACCTGTTGATAACTAACTTGCAGTTTGTGTTCAGGGAGCACTGACTCCGTTTGGCCACAATGCAGGTTGGATTTGGGGTTTAAGGCTGGGCTCCAGTCAGCCCTCGGGAGCCCCTGGGCAGGAAAACATGGACAGGCCTACGGGTTCTTCTGCCATTTCACTGGCCACTCCTCCGTGTCCTTTGCTGGTTGCTTCTCATTGTCGTGACTGCTAAAGGGATGAGTGTCCCAGTCTCTTTGTGAGCTCATCCAGTCTCCATTCAAACACTGATGACTCCCGAATTTCTCTCTCCAGGCTATGACATCAATATCTATCTACATTGTTTAGTCAACATCCGAAACAGAAGTAGGGACTCCGTCTCTAACCTCCTACAGCTGTGTCTATTTCTCCTCTCTACCTTCACTCGACTCCGCCCACACTGGCTCCCTTTTATTCCTTCTACTTTCAGGATTTGTCTTTGCTGTTCTGTCCTCTTTGCACACTTTTCCAGCCATCTGGAATGGCAGGTTGCTCACAGGTCGTTTTCTTGACTTCCCTTGCTTGCTAACTTTACCTCGCTATGGTCATATCCCATCGCCCTGTGGATGTGCGCTAGTTAACACTTAGCACAGCCTGTGATTATGTCTCTCCCCAGTGGACCGTGGGGCCTGTGAGGGACGTGGTCTGATTCGGTCGTCGCCGAGCACAGAACTGGACAGGGTACTCATAACAGATTTTTGTTGTTGTTTTTAAAGAAAAGCTAACATTTGAGTAGTGACTGCGCCAAGCAGTCAAGCACAGCCCCTCGGGCTCGATCCCCATAACCACTCTAGGGTTAGGTATTACCCACGTTTAAGGAACAAAAATCGAGGGAAAAATCTTATACAACTACTAGTAAGTAGTCATTCCATTTTAGCAGAGCGAATGAGCGAATCCACGGAAGGCCGGGGAGCGACGTGAGTGGCGAGAAGCTTGGAGTCGCCAGGGACGGCGGGCGGAGCCTGGGCGCCGGGGCTAATGGGCGGAGCCTCCAGGGACAGCTGGCCCCGCCCAGGCCGCGCGGGGCCCGCTGGGAGTTGGAGTCCCTTGCCCACCTCGCCACGTCACCGACTGCAAACCTTCAGCTGTCTCAGGCTCGGGTGCAATCCGTACCCTCAGTGGGTTCCCTTTCAGTGGGTTCCTTTGTCCCCAGGCCCATTATTCCGTCCTCCCCTCTTCCCTGATGTATTTTGGCGCGGTCTCCTGGCTCTGCGGGCCCAGGGCTCCGGATGAGGTCTCCCGCCGTCCCGACCCCCGCAAGGGGCCAGCTTGGTGTCGCCTTCGTTCTTCTGCCACCCCATTCGGTAGGGGCTCCCGTTCCCGCCACGCCCCCTGAAGTTGTGGCTCGCGCGTCTTCCCAGGACTCCCCCGCGCCGGAGAGGCCCGCAGGACCGCCGAGCCCACACTCCGCTCCCGCCCGGGCCCCGCTCCCCCGCGCCGCCTTGGTACGCTCCGGCCACGCCCCCTCGGACGCGCTTGGTACGCGCCGGGCTCCCCCGCTCGCCTCAGTGGTTCGGCCGCGGCGACCCCACTCCGGCGGCGCGTCCCCCGAGCTTGGTACGGCTCAGCCCGTCTCCCCCGAAGCCGCGCGCCCGCGCCCGCGCCCCTCAGTCGGTGGAGCCCGCAGCCCCCCTTGTGGCCCGCGGCAGCTCCCCGCCCGCTCGGCCCGCGCCCGCCATGGTCCGTCCGCGCCGTGCCCCGTACCGCTCCGGCGCCGGGGGCCCCCTCGGGGGTCGCGGCCGCCCTCCGCGGCCCCTCGTGGTGCGCGCCGTCCGCTCGCGCTCCTGGCCTGCCAGCCCCCGAGGCCCGCAGCCTCCGCGGATCCGGGCCCGCTCGGCCCCTCCCATGGTGAGCCCCCCGCCCTTTTTCCAGAGCCTTCCACGGCCCCGCCCCCCCAGCCCCTATCCCGGGCTCACGCCTTTGTCCGCAGCCCCCGCCGCTCCGGGGTGTCCCCTGTGGCCCGAAGGGTGGTCCCGCCCGGGGCCGGGTTCCCCCGTGGAGCACCCGGTGGTTCGCGCCGCGCTCTCCCCTTTGTTGCGCGTTCGGGCCGGGGTGGGGGGTTGGGGGACGGGGGCGGGGCGGGCTCATATTACTGCTGACTCCGCGGCCCGATTTAAACGCGGGCTGGGGGCGGCAGACAGGCAGCCGGCACGCTCGCTTGTTTTTCCTATTGGAGAGTTGCTCGCTCTCCGGGCAGGAAACCTGGAAATGGGGGCGGTTTTGGGGGACAGCGGCGAGGGAGGGGCCCGCGCTTTGTACCAGCGCCCCCAGATGTCGCACCCGTGGGCGTTCTCCCCTGGCGGCCGCTCCGTGCCCGTGGAGTGCGCACCTAGAATACGCGCCCGCGCCCACATGTGGGATGCTTTGATGGACTGCCGTGAGCCCAGACCTTAAACGTAAACATTCAGCTTCGCAGGTACTTTGGGCTGCACACGCTTCTCCGGACCCAAAAGATGCACATGCTTTTCAGAAACCGTAAGGTTTACCTGGGGCTGTAAAACCGCACATCGCGACTTTGCACCGTGCACACGCTTGCCCCGATGTGAGATTTCCCCTGGGTTCGCGCTCGGGTCCGCTTCTTAAATACACTGCCTCAGCGGTGTGGATGGCACAGAGCTGTGGCAGCCCTACTGAAACCTTAAACAGGCTTCCTGGGGTCATAAACATGGATACCGAGACTTAGATCACCTCCCACAACTTAAACGTACCCCTTCACTCCACTGCCTTCGCCCCTTCCTGCAGCATTCGCATCTAGTTGTTCAAAAGTGCTTTCCGGGTCCTCAGACATGCACCCCAAGGTTTTAAACCTCAGTGCAAGTACTAGATGGGCTTCCCTGTGCAATAGGGATGTCAGGCGCGCAGTTTTGCACACGATTGCCAAGATGTGAGATTTACTTTAGGTTGCACCTTAACCGTCGTTTTTAAATATGATCGTCCCATCTTGATGTGCTGCTCCTGCTGTGGAAGGTATCCCTGGGTTTTAGGCAAGCATATGTGTTCTTTACTATGGCTCCAGATCCCAGCATATTTGAAGTCCTGAGTCAACCTGCTCTCCTAGACAAGCAGACATTAAGTATGTCGCTTGGGCTCTTAAGTGCGTTCTCCTGACTTTTACCCATCTTTGTGGCAGTAAATGCATACGTGTCACTGTATATGCGGACTAGATACCTCAGGTCCCAGCGCCATAAACAACTTGTATGTTGTAAGTGTACCCTCATCTCGAAAGTCACCTCCAGCTGTGCGTTTTAACTCATCTCAGATGCTGGATGTCCGGTATGGTGCCTGAAGCCCCCGGGGCAACATCCACTCTCTGTCCAACTCATTCTAACGCCAAGATACTCAGGTTTTCTATCTGATCTTCTGACGACTGCCCAAAAGTCAGAATCACCTGCGTGGGTGAAGAATCACCTGCGTGGGTGGAGAATCACCTGCGTGGGTGGAGAGCAAGTTTGTTCAGGTTTTTCTCTTTTTAAGCACTCACAAAATAAAATTTTTTGTGTTTGCTAGTATTCTGGAAGGAAAGATCTCCTTGTGCTTCATAGAAAATTTGGAAAATACCTGTTTGTAATAAGATAAAAATAAATCACCCTTATAATTTGTTTTCCCCCGCCTGGAGGCGCCTATTACGGGGAAACTCTCGTGGGTTTCCTGCTGCCAGGCTGTTTGCGGAGCTTTCCCTTGTTTGCTTTGAGATGTTTTTGGTTTTAAAAAACAATAAGTGAGGTCAGGCTTGGTGGCCCTCGTCTGTAATCCCAGCACTTTGGGAGGCCGAGGCGGGCGGATCACTTGAGGTCAGGAGTTCGAGACCAGTCTGGCCAACATGGTGAAACCCCATCTCTACTAAAAAAAAAAAAAAAAAAAAAATTAGCCGGGCATGATGGCGCGGCTTGCAGTGAGCGAGGTTGCAGTGAGCTGAGATCGCACCACTGCACTCCAGTCTGGGAAATGAGTGAAACTCTGTCTCAAAAAAAAAATAGTAATAAAAATAGTGGGGAGAGTGCCTGTGAGTAGCATTTGTGGCGTTGCTTGGCTTTATTGCTAGAACTTTCTCTTGGTGTTCTACATGTTTTGGTCTGTGAGACCCCTCTGGGGGTGGTGTCCCAGCTGTCTTCCAAATGTTTCCCCCTTTTCCTCGCTGTCTTTCTCCTGGATGGTTTAGTCCCCTCTGTGTTTCTTGTCATCTCCTTCCTGCCTCCCCCCGGGGTCAGACTTATAAGGCCAGAGAGGTGGGCACTGGCCTGAGCCAGAGGAAGGAATTGAACTTTGGGATGACAGGGAGCTTTAGGAGAGTTTCAGCCTGGGAAAGACAGGGCAAGCTGGTGTGTGGGACAGACACAGCGCAAGCCGGCTTGTGCCTGTGGAGGCTGCAAGGAAGCCCTGGGCCCAGCCTGGGGCACGGGGAAAGCCCCCTACAGCTGGCTTCTAACTTGGGTCTCAAGAATCGATCAGGCGCACAGCTGGGGCAAAGGCTGGAGGTGGGGCTGGCTGAAGGCTTCAGGACTCTGCTGGGCCAGTGTCAAGGTGACAGCAGGCTCTGGGAAGGAAGGGTCCTGAGGGTGGGCAGCGGGAAAGGACATGAGGACCAGCGTGTGGGGGTCCTGAGGGGTGAGCAGAGGGTTTGGACATGGCCCCGTGGGCTTCCAGCAGGGGATTTGGGGCTGAATATTGGGACGTCCCCTCTGGGGTGTGTGGGGACTGCCTGTCCTTGCAGGCCCCGGCCTCAGTTTTCCCACCTATCCCCCACTCCATTGCAGGAAGGTGCTCGGGTCTTCGGGGCACTGGGTCCCATCGGTCCCTCCTCACCTGGGCTCACCCTCGGGGGTCTGGCCGTGAGCGAGCACCGGCTCAGCAACAAGCTGCTGGCTTGGAGCGGCGTCCTCGAGTGGCAGGAGGTGAGTCTCTGTGGGGCTGCGGCTGGCCTCCAGGGTCTTGTCTTGTCCCTGCGGGGACAGGCCAGGGCATCTAGGCTGTGCACAGTGACGCCCCTCCTGCCCCCACAGAAGCGCAGACCCTACTCTGACTCCACTGCAAAGCTGAAGCGGACCCTGCCCTGCCAAGCCTACGTGAACCAAGGCGAGAACCTGTGAGTGCCGGGGCGTGGCAGCCAGGGCGGTGGCAGGGGCAGTGGCTGTGGCCGTGGGGATCAGGGCAGCCCTTTCTGACCAGCTCCTTCCCATAGGGAGACCGACCAGTGGCCGCAGAAGCTGATCATGCAGCTGATCCCTCAGCAGCTGCTGGTGAGACCCGCCCCTCCCACCCCATCCACTCTGAGCACCCCCATGCCTGGCTGACCCAGCTGTCTGTCCTGTCGCCCCCAGACCACCCTGGGCCCCCTGTTCCGGAACTCCCAGTTGGCACAGTTCCACTTCACCAACAGAGACTGCGACTCGCTCAAGGGGCTCTGCCGCATCATGGGCAACGGCTTCGTGAGTGGGGCGGGCTCCCTTGTAGCACTGTGGTGACAAGTACAGCTGGAGGCAGCGCTCTGCTCACACAGTCCAGGCGGGGGTCGGGGGGTCTCCCCTGGGGCCGAGGGTAGCCCTCGTGGCCTCTCGGACCCCATCTGGAAATGACTGACTCCAGGCACCCTCCGTAGAGCACAGGGTGAAGGAACTCAGCCTGAGAGGCCTCCAGTTTCTGCATCTGTGCCCAGCTTCGAGGTGGCCCTGGGGGCGTGAGTGCAGGGAGGGACTGGGGCCAGCCCTGTTGGGGCCCAGGAGCCTGTCGGGGACACATAGCGTATGGCAGGGACCTGGTAAATGGGTGTGCTAGGCACAAGAGCCAGCCAGGAGGGAGTGGCACGTTGGGGCTTGGTATTCTGGTCTGTAAAATGGGCTAACCTCCCCGAGTGGCCTGAGCTGGCCGTGAGGGAGCAGAGCTGAGGGTGCTGAAGCAGGCGCGGTGAGTAGGTCCTCAGGCCTGGCTCCAAGGGGACCCAGGTATCCAGCCAGTGGCTGTGCAGGGACTGAGTGGGGCAGGCGCGGCCATGACCTGGACCCGGGGGGCTGCCAAGGGATCTGAGAGCGGCTTCCGCAGCACTCCAGGGTTGGGCTGGTTGAGGGGTAGAGATGACATTTTCTGAGGTAGGGAGGACAGGGGAGCCGTGCTTCCTAGGGCCACCGGGAGGCTGGAGGGAGGGAATTTGTGTAAAGCGCTTGAGATGGTGACTTTAGTACCTAGTGAGTGCTGGGTGAACCCAGCTGGTGAGGCTGTTCAGGTGACTGAGATTCTGGCGCAGGGCAGGTCAGAAAGGGGGCTTGGGCTGTGAAAGATGGCAGGTGCTGGAGAGGAGGCAGGGGTGGGGTGGGAGCGAGTTGTCTGCCCAGAGGACCTGGCTCTGGGACATTCCCAGTCCCTGTTCCCTGTTGGGACAGTCTGCCTCTACCCGTCCCAGCTGCCGTTGAGCGCCCTGGGTTCCGCTAGGGCCTCCCTTCTCCCTCAGGAGACCAGGGGCAGACCAGGGCTTGTGCCTGGCATGAGGTCTCTTAAGTGACCCGTTCCCCCTTCACCCAGCACCGTTTGTTGAGGGCCTGCCATATCTGGGCCCCGAGTACCCAGTCTGTAGGGAAAGTGGACATCCATACTCACCCCCCAGGCATGGCCCTGGGAGGCTGACTGTGCATGGCTCCAGGGAGGCCAGGGACAGGGCCCTGAGCGGGTGATCCCTGGGCTGGACACCAAGGTTGAGAAGTTAGGCCGGCAGCGTGGAGGGGACAGCACTGTGGGGGTGGCCCGGTGTGGGGAGGGGACATGGGGTTTTGGGACGGTCACACCACTTCATCTAGACACCACAGCCAGGCACATCTGTCAGGCTTAGTTCTCCCATGCGCCATCCTCAAGAGGCACCAGCACTTTATCTGTTGAGCCTTTATGTGGCACCAACTGTGTGCACTATTACCCGGTTTTACAGATGATGGAGGCCCAGAAGCAGGAGGTGGCTGGTGTTAGGTCACACAGCTAGGAGGCAGCAGAACGGTGGGGCGCTGCCTGTGCTCTTAACCCCCAGGCCAAGTCACCCCATCAGGCAGTCAGGAGGGCTGGCGGCAGGGGGTGATGTGGGTGGGAGGTAGTGCCTTCTTGGCATTCTCACCGCAGCCTGGGTGCCGGGTGCCACTCTGACCTCAGCCATGGCAGGGTCGGGGGATGCCGATGGGCGCTGCACGGGCTCTCAGAGGCCCCTCACCTATGGCCATGGCCTTGACTGTGGGGGCCTCTGTCCACCGATGATCTCCCTTCATCCCCTACAGGTGGGGCGGTCCAGGGTGGTGGGGGCACAGTGGCCCCGGGCAGTGACCACAGGGTCCTGACCCGCGGCCCCCGCAGGCGGGCTGCATGCTGTTCCCCCACATCTCCCCCTGTGAGGTGCGCGTGCTCATGCTCCTGTACTCGTCCAAGAAGAAGATCTTCATGGGCCTCATCCCCTACGACCAGAGCGGCTTCGTCAGTGCCATCCGGCAGGTCATCACCACCCGCAAGCAGGTGTGCCAGCCAAGCACAGCCCCTCTGGGGACAGAGGGGGATTAGACCCCACTGCCCTGGTTGGGCAGCCAGACTTGGTGTGGGCGGAGTGTGATGCGATGGCTGGAGCAAGGAGCTGCAGGGGAGCCCGGAGGATGCCGGGCGGGTTCCCACCAGGGCTCCATGGAAAAGCGGCCACTGGGCGGCTCTGCAGGGCTGGAGGGTGGGTCTTGGCGCGGCGGCAGGGAAGCCAGCGGAGCGGGGAGCTGGGCAGGGGTTGGGATCGTCCTGCGGCTGGAAGGCCCTGCCTGGTAACCACGTGTCCTGGTCATGCCTTGCCAGTTGAGGCAGACTCTGCAGGTCCTGTGCACCAGGTGAGGGCCGGGACCTGTCTCAGGCCACTGGGGAGCCATGGGGGGCTGTGAGCAGATGAGGGGCAGGGCCTGTTCCCCTGGGACTAGAGAATGGACCCAGCTGGGGCTAACAGGCCAAGGCTCGGAGGGAGGGATGGCAGGCCCCAGGACAGACAGACAGGTTTCCCAGGAGCCTGGGCCCCTCTTCCCACCCCGTTCCCTTCCAACAGGCAGTGGGACCTGGTGGTGTCAACTCAGGCCCAGTCCAGATCGTCAACAACAAGTTTCTGGCATGGAGTGGTGTCATGGAGTGGCAGGAGGTGAGCACTCGGCAGCCCAGGGACTTGGGACCCCCAGATCCTCACGGACTGTGGCTGGGAGGGGACACTGGCATTGGGGGTCTCCAGCCCTGAGGGCTCCTCTTTGCCTCTCCCCCAAAAGCCCAGGCCTGAGCCCAACAGTCGGTCCAAGAGGTGGCTGCCATCCCACGTCTACGTGAACCAGGGGGAGATCCTGTGAGTGCTGGGCTGGGGGGTGGAGGCAGCATCCAGGGGAGCTGGGGCTTCCTGACCCTCGTCCCTTTGTGCCCCACAGGAGGACCGAGCAGTGGCCAAGGAAGCTGTACATGCAGCTCATCCCGCAGCAGCTGCTGGTGAGGGGCTGGGGCCGGGTGCTGGAGCCTGCACGCAGTAGCTCTTCCAGAGGGCGGGGCTGGGGGCAAGAGCGCCTCCCCAGGTGGCCTGAGCTGGCTGTGAGGGAGCGGAGCTGAGGGTGCTGAAGCAGGTGTGGTGGGTAGCTCCTCAGGCTTGGCTTCAAGGGGTCCCAGGCAGCCAGCTGGTGGCTGTGCAGGGACTGAGCGGGGCAGGGGCAGCCACGACCTGCACCTGGGGGGCTGCCAAGGGATCTGAGAGCGGCTTCCACAGCACTCCAGGGTTGGGCTGGTTGAGCGGTGGAGATGACGTTTCCTGAGGTAGGGAGGACAGGGGAGTCTCAGTTTGGTCCTGGGCCCGGGGGACTCAGCGGGCTGGGAGCCGGGAGGCCGTGGTGGGAGAAGCCAGAGCTGGGGGTCCCCTCGCTTCCCCGCAGACCACCCTAGTGCCGCTGTTCCGGAACTCGCGCCTGGTCCAGTTCCACTTCACCAAGGACCTGGAGACACTGAAGAGCCTGTGCCGGATCATGGACAATGGCTTCGTGAGTGGTGCCAGCAGACGCAGGGGAGGGGCCGGCCAGGGCAGAGCGAGCCCGGACCGCTCACGGGGGCGGACATGGGAGAGGAACAGAGCACCATGTCCCAGACCAGCTGGGGAGAGAGGGTGGCTAGTGTGGGCGTGACTTCTGGGGGCTCTGTGCTGTCCCCACGGCACTGGATGGGGCACTGACCCTGGTTCTGCGGGGGCCTGCTCCTCCTCTGCCACATCAGGGCTGACTCAGCACCAACTCCGCGCTCTCCACTCCTCAGGGACAGGCGCCCTTGTCACTCCTGGTTTCCCGGGAGCTTGTGCCACATCCCAAAGGCCCATTGCTGGGCAGGGAGGGCTGTCTGCCCCCAGCAAGGTCCCAGAATATTTGGCGATTGTCTTATCTGGGGGAGGCTCAGCTGACTCCTCTTCTCTCTCTCGGGCTCAGTTTCTCCATCTGTGAGGTGGAGAAGGTTGGACTTTGGTGTTTCTGAGCCCTCCCCCCGATGTCCACCTTCCAGCTGGGCCATACTTGGGTAATATCCCGAAACTACCTTAAAATTACCTTCGACTCAGTCTGAGTAAACTGTCCACGAAGCTGTTCGTGGGTGGGGGGGGCCTGGGTGTAGGTGCTTTTACATGAAAGCAATTTCAAGCATTCCCTCAGGGGCCGGGTGCGGTGGCTCACGCCTGCAATCCCAGCACTTTGGGAGGCCGAGGCGGGTGGATCACCTGAGGTCAGGAGTTTGAGACCAGCCTGGCCAACATGGTGAAACCCCGTCTCTACTAAAAATACAAAAATTAGCCAGGCATGATGGCCACTCAGGAGGCTGAGTCACAAGAATGGCTTGAACCCGGGAGGCAGAGGTTGCAGTGAGCTGAGATCATGCCATTGTACTCCAGCCTGGGCGACAAGAGCGAAACTCAGTCTCAAAAAAAAAAAAAAAGTTTCCTCAAGGAAACCCAGAAAGGCTCCATGTACCTCAGCCCTTGCTTGTGCTGGGCCGGCCGCTGCAGATCCCTCGGGCTCCTGAGTTGAAGCCATGGCCGGTTGGCTCAGGTGGCTGTGGTGAGGTGGCCCCAGACACAGCCTGGCCTGCCCAGGAGCTCTGAAATGCAGGTTCTTGGGCCCTTCCCGACAGAGCCTGTTGGCCTTTGGCCCACCCATTGCTCTTGGCCACCGTGTCATCCCAATAAGGGGGCCCACCTCCAGGGTGGGTGGGGGGTGTGAGGACAGAGCAGTTAGGCTGTGCCTGGCTCATGGAGCCCACGGCATGATGCCGTGGTTGGAGGGATGCTGGTCCCTGTGGTGCTGTCTGGTGACACCACGCCCTGTGCCTGCCAGGCCGGCTGCGTGCACTTTTCCTACAAAGCATCGTGTGAGATCCGCGTGCTTATGCTCCTGTACTCTTCAGAGAAGAAAATCTTCATTGGCCTCATCCCCCATGACCAGGGCAACTTTGTCAACGGCATCCGGCGTGTCATTGCCAACCAGCAGCAGGTCCTGCAGCGGAACCTGGAGCAGGAGCAACAGCAACGAGGGGTGAGGTGGCCGGCCTCCAGGGCTGCTCAGTCTCCCTCCACCCCCGCTGCCTGCTCACCACTGGCCTCTGATTTCTCGCCGTAGATGGGGGGGTAGTGGTTACCCCGGGCTGGGCCCCTCCAGGAGTCACAGATGAGGCCCCCGCAGAGACTGGTGAGTGGTGACCCTGTCATGTACAGGAGGGACCCTGGGGCATGTGGGGGGGGTGGGGTTGGGAAAGAAGCAGGGCGACCTTGGCCTTGGGGAGAGCAGAGCAGAGGGAGAGGCAGCAGTCCCAGCGGTCCTAGGCTGTCGGGAAACTGCAGCCCAGCCTCAGGGCCATGGGAGGTGGTATCCAGGCCTGGGTGGGGCCAGGCCTCTGCTCACAGGGATGTGGGGTCAGTGCTTGGGAGCCTGTGGCCAGCAGCCCCCACTGCACCCCTGCCCCCAGGTGACACGCTTCTGAGCAGGGGCCCCTGGGGACTTCAACTGCCCAGCAACATGGAGGATGGTGTCCTGAGGCCTCCAAGGACGGTCCCCACCCCTCTACGTTTCCCCAATAAAGCCTTTTAAAAACCTGCCTGCCTTCTCTGCTCACTGCCCGATGCCTTGCAGCCCCCTAGCTCTAAGGTGGCCCAGCAGGCTGGACAGCCCGGGAACTCACTGGGTCTGGCTCTCGGCTGTCCACACCCTCTTCCCCCCCGAATCTCCAGACCCGCAGGCCTTGGGTTCAAGTTCAGTGTCACAGAACCTGAGCTGGATTTTGTCCTCAGGGGTCACACCTGGCCTTGAGCCAGCCCCTCGGTTGAGGCTCGTGGGCTCACCAGCTGGCTCTCGGGGGGCCACACAGCGCCCTCCCTGTGTGTTCCCCGGCTAATGTCTAAAGTGCTCATGCCAGGTCCCAGCTGGACTCCCCTCGGTAGGGCCCCACCTTTTGTTACCTGAAAATGTCCTTAAAGCCTCCTCCATGTAAGAAACTGGCAGGCCTGGAGCCCCTCCCCCGTGGGGACCACCCTCCTTCCAGCAAAATGCCGGCCAAGCTCAAGGAGAAACAGCGTTTATTGTGGAGGGGAGCTGGGCGGGGCTCAGCCCTCGGAGAACTGGCAGTACAGCCGCCCCAGCCTCGGCTCCACCCATAGCCGGAACGGGATCTCCAGGATGGCAGAGAAGCCTTCAGCCAGCGTTGGGGCCTCGAACTGCTTCCTGGCAGTGGTGGGAACAGTGAGGGACAGCCTGGATCATGTGGCCCAGCCAGTGCCCCTGCCCCCTGCTATCCCCAACAGTACCTGTAGCCATACATGACCATGTCTGACACGGGGATATGAGAGGAGTCCGTCATCTCTCGAAACTGTGGGGAACATCAGAGGGGCGGCAGGCCCAGGGGTCAGGGGAGGAGGGGGGTCAGGGGGTGCAGCCCGGGGGGTGTCCGGGCTGAGCGGGCTCACCCGGTTGTTGTGGCGCGCCTGCTCCAGAGTGGCGGTGAAGAGGAAGCAGCGGCAGGGGACGCCCGCGGCTCGGGCACACTGGACGTACCTGTGGGGGAAGGAGCTGGATGTGCAGGCCCCGCCCACCCCGCCGCAGGCCACCTACGGCCCCGCGGTCACGCTACCTGGCGCGGCTCGCGGCGTCTGGGTTTGTGTTGTCGATGGCGACCCGTTTCCCTTGCTTCAGGGCTGTCTCACACGTGGTCACACAGCGCTGCCAGGAGCCTAGCGTGTCCTGGGGACACGAGAGGTCACAAACAGATCGGCAGACCCAGGGGGAGAGAAGACCCCGAGCGGGGACGGGGAGGCAATGATGGAGGAAAGCCGCCCCAAACCAGTTGAGAGGTGGAGATGGGAACTTTATAATAGATTTGGGGCGGCAAAAGCCTGGTCATACCCTGTTCACGTGGACATATCCGGCCGACACGAGGTGCTTCTTGAGAAAGGTGGACTTCCCGGCTGTGTGGGGGGCAGTGTCGGTGGGTGGCCTAGGACCCAGGCGGGGCTCAGGGCACGCGCACAGGAACAGGACACTTACCCCCAGGGAATCCCACTGCGACAACCACCTCCGGGCTGGCGCTCAGGAGGGCCCTGGACTCGGGGAGGCAGAGAGGCCCTGAGCGGGAGACAGTCCTCTGCGAGGGGCGGGGGACACGCGTGAGATGCCGTCCCCATCCCCGGGAGCCCTCCCATCCCCACCCCCACCCCCGCCCCAGGGCCTCACCGGATCAAAGGCTGGGAGCTCGAAGCCGGCTGCTGGCCACTTGAGAAAGAACTCCTCAGGCGTGGCGAAGGGCAGGCCAAGGTTGAGGGCAAACTAGGGGTTGAGGACGAACATCAGACACAGGCCAGGGTCGGGCTCGGGCGCGGGGCAGGGGGCAGGGGCCTCACCAGGCGATCGGCGCAGGAGAAGTCTTTCTTCTTCCGCCCCGGGGCCCAGTTGGCCGGGCGTCCGGCTGCGTCTGGAACACACGGGACACCCCGTTCCCACCAGCTCGGAGGGAGGCGTCCCAGCCCACCCTCAGCAGCCTCCAGGCCCTTACCTCCCACAAAGATGCTGTCCCCGATGGATATGGGCGTGCCGTCGTTGGCCTACGGGAGACGGTAGTGAGGAGGCCCTTCCCACAAATGTCCCCCCGCAGCGGTAGCGGGTCCCTGGGGCTGCTTCGCCTGGTCTGTGCCCCACATCAGGAATCATCCCCCGACCTTTCATGTCCTCACTCTCCAGCCACTTTGCACCGTGCTCCTGGCCCCCTCCCCCCTCCGTGGTCTCTCCACACAGCCCCCTCCCTCCAGGTCTCCCGACTTCACCTCCTCCCGTTCCCCACGCGGCCACCGGAGGGCACCCACCCTGCTACAGCTCCAGCCTCCGGCGTGCCGGCGCCTCCCAGGTTCCCCCTCCCTCAGGGCAAAAGCGGGGCCCTCCCTGTGGCCCTGCCCTCTCCCCTCCCTCGCTTAGAGCCAGCCGCATGGGCCTCGCTGTCCCTAACTAGCCCAGGCTAGGGACTGCCTCAGGGCCTTTGCACTTGCTGTCACTCCCACAAGGGGGGGGACCGCTTTCCCCAGGTGTCCACCTGGCTCCCTCCTTTCCCTGCCTTAGGCCTTTTCCTCTGATGTCACCTCCTCAGAGGCCATCCCTGCCCACCACGGGTGATGCCTGCTTTCTCCAGCTCCCTCCCTCCTGCTGTTTTACACGCCAGTCTGCCCATCCGCCTAGAGTCACCGCCCTCGCCGTGAGGGCCCTGCTGGAGCAGGCCGTCCCGCTCACTGATACCTTCAGCTCAAGAATGCGCTAAACTTCAGAACAAATGCACACACAAACGAATGAACGAAGGAATGAACAGCTTCCCTACTACTCTGATGTAGAAAGTCTGAAAGCACTGGTCTCGTAAACCAACATCTAAGATGTCACAGCAAAAAACAGAAGGAGGGAGCGAGAGAGGACAGAGGAGTAAGGAGGCCCCAACCGGAGGCCGGGGAGCCCAGGAGTGAGGGGCTGGAGTGAGGAAAAGGAGGGGGGCCGGGCAGGCTGCAAGACTCACCTGCTCCTGCAGATGGTCCCACATGCCCGTCACCGGCTTCCGGTACAAGCCTGCGTGCGTGGCCACCAGCACCTGTGGATGGGAGGGGGCCACCAGCTTTAGCTCCCCCTCAAGCACCTACTGGATGCCACCCCAGCCCAGAATTTGTAGCTGATGATGGGTTCCTATCAGCATCACACTGCCTGAGGCCTCCGCCCCGCTTACCCTGGAGTCTAAAGCCCTCGCTCTGGATCTCTGTGCCCCCACATAGCTCCCAGCCTCCCTTCCAGCCATACCTGGAAGGGGACCCCCAGCTTCTCCACCACAGCCTCCACCTTGGCCTTGAACTCCTCGGCTGGCAGCTTCCCGCGCCCGATGCTCATCTGGTTGGTGAAGATCACCAGCTGGGGAGCAAAGGGTGTCACCAGACGCTCTGCTCACCAGGGCCTTGGTCTGACTGCGGTCGGACCGCCACGTGCACGTGCCCATGCAGACAGGCGGCTGCACATACCTTGTAGCCCTCGGCTTCCAGCTCTCGGAGCTTACGGGGAATCTCTGGGTACAAGATCCTACGGCAGGTATGAAGCGGCAGGGGTGACCCGGGGCCAGAGGTGGACTCCAGGCCTCACTCACTCCCTTGTTTTGCCTCTTATCACCTCCAGTCACTGGGGCCAGTGGGAAAGACCTTCCCAGAGCGTGTGGTGATGAGCGTCCCGTCCAGATCAAAGCCAGCCACCTGGTGTCACCAAGGAAAGACAAACAGCAGCACTGTGATACCTCTGACCCTCCTCACTCACAGGCTGACTCACACCAACCCTGCCAGGCAGGGTGTTATCACTGCCATCTCACAGATGGGGAAACCGAGTCACAGAGCACCTCCATCTCAAGCATCCGTGATGCCTCTGAGTGGGGCCCGACATCTTAACCTTACTGTCTCCTGTTACTCCTTATGACGCCAGCCCCAGGATTACAGTCTTTAAAATGGGGGTTAATGTCTTACCCAGCCTCCTTCTTCCCCTGGCCTTCACCACCTCGGTGGGCTAATAACCGTGAAAATAAAAGCAGGAGCAAAGCTTTGGGTGCTAACTGCATGTCAGGAACTATGCCACGTGCTTTTTTTATGGATTCAGCATCGTAGAGATGAGACACATGGGACTCAGAATGTGGTGGTAACAGCATTTGAACTCAAGTCTCTCTGGACATAAAAAATCCTCATCGTAATAGCTCCTACTGAGACAGTCATGGTCATTGCTGATTACTGGGTGGTCACTGTGGGTAACGCAGGAGCTGACATATATCATTCTCCCCACTGCTTAACTGCTTACAACGATCCCTGCATTTATCATTAGGCCCATTTCTCAGAAAAGTAAGTAGAGGCTAAAAAGTTGAGAGCACGCAACAAACGTGGGATTGGGTCCCAGTCTGTGGCGGCTCCCTCAGCCCTCGGCGTGGCCCTCACCTTGCCCTGGGGTTTCACCCCAGCTGCGGTGAACACTAGCAACTTCTCCAAGTTCTCCCAGCCGGGGTTTGACTTCCGCATACGCTTCTTCGGCAGCTCAGCATCTCTCTTCTCATCTTGGGACACCAGAGGGGTGCCAGGCGGAGTATCTGGCTGGGATTCTGGTGTGCGGGTCTCTTCCCAGCGCAGGGTCAGTGGGTGGAGGCCATTGACCAAATACAGTGTGTCCCCCACCCCCAGAGAGCCCTCCAACCCCGGCTTCAACTCCTGGGTCCCGGTAGTTGAGGGGTTAACTCCCAGCTGCAGAAAGAGAGGGAGGAGCTGGGACTGGCTCCGCCCCCACCGGGAGCTTCCTCCAATCAAATACCCAGCGGAAAAATCAGCCCTTCTCCACCACTATCAGACCCTTAGGCCCCACCTCTTCACTTTGGAACGGGCTTTGGAACGGTTACAGGTTTTCAGCCTTGTCCGAATCTTTTTTTTTTTTTTTTTTTTTTTTCCCCTGGAGATATAGGCTTGTTTTGTCGCCCAGGCTGGAGTGCAGTGGTGCAATCTTGGCTCATTGAAACCTGTGCCTCCTGGGTTCAAACGATTCTCCTGCCTCAGCTACCCGAGTAGCTGGGATTACAGGCACCCGCCACCATGCCCCGCTAATTTTTGTATTTTTAGTAGAGATGGGGTTTCGCCATGTTGGCCAGGCTGGTCACAAACTCCTGATCTCGGGTGATCCGCCCGCCTAGCCTCCCAAAGTGCTGGGATTACAGGCGTGAGCCACCGCGCCTGGCCGCCTTGTCCAATTTCTAAGGTCTTGGACAGGTACCCACCCCACTGAAACAGGCAACACTTCTTTCTTTACTGGACACATCCCCTTCTCTCCCAGCCATATTTTTTCTTTTCTTTTTTTGAGACAGGTTCTCGCTCTGTCACCCAGGCTGAAGTACAGTGTGGTGATCACTGCTCACTACACCCTTGACCTACTGGGCTCAAGGGATCCTCCCGCTTCAGCCTCCCGATTAGGAACTACAAGGACGCGCCACCATTCCCGCTAATTTTTTAGAGAGACAGGTTTCACCATGTCGCTCAGGCTGGTCTCGAACTCCTGGGTTCAAGCGATCCGCCCGCCTCGGCCTCCCAAAGTGCTGGGATTACAGGCTTGAGCCACCACGCCCGGCCCCAATCAGATTTTCCTAATGTACCCCTTCACTGACGGCTTGCAATTCCTCCCCAAATCCCATCCCCAGGCCTTGCTGGCCCTTGCAGAGGCACTGATACCTGTTTCACTGCCACTGTCCGGGTCTCAGGATCTGCGACCAGCTCCACTGAGGATTGGAGGGGTGGAGTCAGGATTTGCATCCTTGTGTGATTGGGTCCCTCATTTCTGGGGAGTGTGGCCTGCTTCAGGCTATAGCATCCAGGGAGTAAGAGGCAGTTTATTTCTACATGGGATTGGCTCCTTGACATGCAGTAGCCAGATAGTGGCACTAGGATTGCCTGACACTGGTCCTTGCAAGGGACAGGGAGGTACTTTTCTCTACAGAATTGGTTTCCTCCTTGACAAAAAATGTGGCTAGATATAGGTCCGGGGCTTGGCCTGTTACCATCCATCCCAACCTAGCGACATTTACTTTTCTCCACAGGATCATTTTTCTCTTGACGAAGGTCGTCGCCTGTTTCTGGATTTCCCGATGGCCTGAGCATCATCCGCGCAGTGAACATCCTCCCTAAATCGGCTCGATCCCCTCTCCCCCAAAGGATCTAGCTAATTCTAAATCAAGCACAAACTTTATCTTCCTGTACTCCCTAGAGAGCACCTTCCGACTTCGGGGCTGGCTGCACCACTGCAATCCCGCGTAGCAGCCAAGCGTCCCTCTGGATTGTTCCCGCTTTTGCAGCAGGCCACACCCCCTCCAGCTCAGGCCCCGCTCACCTTGAGTTCTGGAGCACTTCCGGTCCGTAACCTGGGTCAGGGGTCCCCTGCCCAGGACCAGGGCTTGCCCGTCCGAGGGCAGGAAGATGGGGGGCGCTCCCCCAGGGGGGCTCTCGAGCCACAAGCGGCCCGGGGCCTCCACCTCGCCCATCCTGGGTGCCGGCCTGGGGAGCAGGTAAACGGGCTTGAGCGGCGCACAGCCCCAATTTGCTGCAGGAAGTCCCGCCTCCTCCCACATCCACTAGAAAGTTTCCCCACCATTAACTGCTCCGGAAGTCCCACCCGCTCGCCTTCCGCGGGTCGACCCGTTTCCCAGGCGACGACGCGTGCTCCATCCCTCCCCGAGTTGCAATCCCCACTTTCCAGCGTACAGGCAGAGAGCCTCGCACATGCCTCCGCCCCGCCCCGTACTCACCCGGGACCGCGGCTTGGGCTCACGGCCACTTCCGACCAGGGAGGTCCTGCCCGAGGTGCCCCGCCTGCAACCCGGCCGGCGGCGGTCGGTTCCTCGGCGGACGGAAATGACTCGTCCCCTCGTGGGTGGGGGGCGGGGCCTGGCCTCCTCCCACAGCAGCCACGCCCCTTCCCCGACTCCCGGCCCCCAGGGTCTCTCGGCAGCCCTGACCTTCATCTCTCTTGCTGCAACGCGAGGCTCAGGCCGGTAGCGGGGACTGGATCCTCCGTTAGCAGATTTGCCTCTTTCCACCTTGACTTCTAATTTTCATCCCAGGGAGGAAGATTTTTTTCCCATCTGATGGTCATTGTCAGTCGAGGAAACCTCCGCCCCCGACAGCGCCCCTAAGTCCTTCTTTGGCTTCACCCTCGATGTTCTAGTTTCCTCATCTATAAAAAGGATAATCGTTTCCGCTTCGTGGGGTTACCATGACGATTAAAGGAGCTAACACGTGACAAAAGCTTTAAAAAATGGGTGGTAGTGAGCCCTGTTTAAGTCTTTTTTTTTTTTTTTTTTTGAGACGGAGTCTCACTCTGTCGCCCAGGCTGGAGTGCAGTGGCGCGATCTCGGCTCACCTGCAAGCTCCGCCTCCCGGGTTGACGCCATTCTCCTGTCTCAGCCTCCCGAGTAGCTGGGACTACAGGCGCCCGCCACCACGCCCAGCTAATTTTTTGTATTTTGAGTAGAGACGGGGTTTCACCGTGTTAGCCAGGACGGTCTCGATCTCCTGATCTCGTGATCCGCCCACCTCGGCCTCCCAAAGTGCTCAGATCCGTTTAAGTCTTATTTAGTGTTAGCATTCTTTCGGTAGTGGTCTGGTGGGACTACGTTTACCTAGTCCTAATTTCGGACGAGGTTCCACCTGCTTTCTAACCTCCAGCCATTTTTTTTTCCCTTTGGAGAAGGGGTCTCACTGTGCTGCCCAGGCTGATCTCGACCTCCTGGTGTCATGTGATCCTCCCGCCTTGGCCTCCCAGCGTGTTGGGCTTATAGGCGTGAGGCACCAAGCCCAGTTGCTCCAGTCCTTTTATAATAGAAGACTCCCGGCTGGAGTTCCTGGCTTTGCTGGTGAATATGTGGGCTCTGTCTCCAACACTCACCTCCTCAAGATTGGGTTCCATGGTCACATAAGACTGGGATGCTCTCCTCCACCCCATGAACCTGTGTCTTCATATCTATAAAATGGGCACAAAGCCAGGCGCCGTGGCTCACGCCTGTAATCCCAGCACTTTGGGAGGCCAAGGCGGGTGGATCATTTGAGGTCAGGAGTTCAAGACCATCCTGACCAACATGATGAAACCCTGTTTCTACTGAAAATACAAAAATTACCCGGGCGGCAGTGGCGCGTAATCCCAGCTACTCGGGAGGTTGAGGCAGGAGAATCGCTTGAACCTGGGCGAGAGTGGGACCCTGTCTCAAAAAAGTAAATAAAATGGGCACAGTAATTCCAACCCCCAGCTATTCACTGATAATCAGACGCTGCCATTCGGTTTCAGAAAATGTTGAATGAACACTCACAACACACTTCACATTTATCTCAGAGGTAAAACTCTTTAATCTCAGAGCGCCCCTCCCAACTGCCGATCCCCCAACCCCTCACTCTCTCCCCCACACCAGGGCCGGAGAGTGAGGGCCCCTGCCCCCCACCTTGGGTGGACGAGGGCCCTTTAAGGCACCTGTGGAGGTGGGGGGCGAGGGGCGGGAGCTGGTACCATCCTGGATGCAGGGACGGGCTTCGATTGGCAGGCTGTTGTGGGGATGGATGGAACCAATGAAAGGGGGTGCCAGAGGCAGGGACAGTTTGGGGCCATCCCTGAGGGGGTCAGGGAACAAGTTGTCGGGACGTGGGCAAAGACGACCCCAGTCCCCGTAGTGTAAAGAACGTAAATTGAAGGCCCCGGGCCAATTCTGGGAAGAGGAGGGCTTGGCCACGCCCCCAGGAAGCTGGAGCCAATTGGGAGGGAGAACTCAGGAAAAGCGGACGGTGACTATGTAGAGACTGGTCAAGCCCTTTACAGGATTTGAGCCAATCAAAAAAAGAGCTGTCCAGCGACTAGGGGATGGAGCCAATGCCGTGCGAGCAAATCCCTTGTCGCTAGGCGGAAAACAAAGGAGTTGACCCATTTAGAGCTTAGAACTCAGCGAGCCAATCCCTTAATAGAAGGAATCTGTCGCTAGGCGGAGAGAGACGACAGACCCAATCGGGAAACGGGACAGATGCCGCTCCTCGGCGCGGCAGGTCGTGGGCTGGAAGGACGGCGGGGATTGGCAGAGGCGGGACAATCTTGGGAATGGGAGACGCAAGGAGGCCGGTCCCGGATCGGCCTCAGATTAGCAGGCCCCGGGAGTGGGGCGGGGGCGTAGTGTGGGACGGGGCGGACGCGGCCCGGGGCGCTCCCTCCCTGGACTTCAATATTTCCGCTTCAGCTTCTGGAAGTCGCTGGTGTTAAGCCGCGGCCGTGGCAGGTCCCCGAAGACCTGGGTGTCCTCGGCCTCTCGCAGCACCAGCGCGCGCATGCTCGCCGCGATGCGGTCCAGGTCGGGCGAAGAGGGCTGCGGGGACGGCGACGGGGCGAGGTCAGCGCCGGCAGGGCAATCCCCCTGCACCCACACGCGGTCCAGGGGTGCACCCGGGCTCCAAGCCCACTTCTAGCACGTCCCTGCCCTGCCACCTGTGCCCTGCGATGCCCACTGCCAGCAGTGCCCCTCCCCGTCTTGCTCCACGTAGGAACCCTTCTACCCGGTTCAGACACCTCCTCCACGAAGCCTACCTGCCCCTCTCCCTCTCCCCTTCTTGGCCTAGGACATTGCTTCCTACACAGTGGAAGTGCTGTTGCCTGCTAGCCATTAAGGCTGAGTGCACCGTCTCATGTCTGAGGATCTGGGCTGGGGTTTCAGTCATGTTCCAATCAGACCTCTGCCGCTGACAAACTATGAGCAAGAGGTTTTGCTTCCCTAGGCCTCAGTCTCCCCTTCTGAAAAATGGGGCGGATAACAGGGTCTCTGTGAGGGCTGAGATAATCAGCTGTTACTGCCTTATCATGTGGCCACTGCGCTACAGAAAAGATCCCTCGCTGTGTCAGCCCCCGCCAAGGAGCCTGCAGTTCTGGCACCTAGTACTGCCTCCACTACAGCCCCCGTCACCCGGAGCTGGGCCTGTCCCCTCGCAGGATGGGACCCGGAGACCCAGATCAGGAACTGGACCTGAGCCCAGTGGGAGACCAGCCCCCGGGCACAGCACGCAAGAGGCCAGAGCATTCAATTAACTGTGTTGCCATGAGTCGCAAGCACAGAGAGCAGCAGCAGGTGGACCCCGCCCGCACCAGGCCCTGTTCCTGGTCTTCAGTGCTCACTGCTTCATTGAGGGAGGATGCACAGAAAAGGTCACCACTGTGACTGCTGGTTTGCATATAAGGACACTGAGGCTTGAGGGGGGGACTGTGGGGACCCAGGCCTCCTCCCTCAAAGCCCACAGCTCCTTCCTGAAACACACCTGGGTTCCAGTCCCAGCTCTGCCTCTCAGGGAAGTCACATGTCCCCTCAGTGCCTCAGTTTCCCCTCTGCTTCAGGGAGGCTCAGTGAAGGGTGAGGAGGACCCACCTAGGCCAGCAGAGCCCAGCCCAGGAGCTTCAAACAGGGGTTGCTACAAGGGGTGAACAGGGGACCAGGGGGTGGGACAAATTCTGCAAAGGGCTAGGAATGTGCAGGGTGGGGATGGGAGGTGATCTGAACCCTCCAAGCCTCAGTTTCTCCACTGGAGGGCATGCCAAAACACCTGTGCCTTGCCCAGAGCAGGTGTTCTATAAATAGAGACGCTCCTGGAAAGGAGAGGCCTTCTCTATAAGGCACTAGGACACATGGTAAGGCTGCAATTGTTAAAACTGCAAGGCTCGTGTCCAAGAACTCGCCTCTTGAGGTTGAGGGGAGGATTCAGTTAGCTTATGGGTGGAAAGCAGCATCCATGCTGGAGGGCTTCCTGGAGGAGGCGGCTCAGAGCCCTTCCAGCTGCCCTCCCTACCTCCCCACATTTGCCCCTCACCGGCCCATTCTCCTCATCTGATGACCGCGCCTCTGTCCTCTTCTCCTTGAAGCCCCAGACGGGCACAGACACAGGCAGGGACTTGGCGTACTGCTGTGTGGGTAGGGCTGAGGCTGGGGGCACTGAGCAGGTGGGGGGGCCGGCGGGGGTCTCCTCGCTCAGGCTGCCATCTGAAAGAGAGGGTGGACTTCAGCTTCTGTCCCTGCCTTTGTGTCGGCCGTGTGCCTGCCCTCAGGTCGGGAGGGGAACAGCCTGGGACACTCACCATCTGTACTCTCGGGGTCTGACTCACAGAAGGGGGGAAGGTCCTGGAGGGTGGCGTCCTCATCCATCACAAAGAGCCCTGTGGATGACCTGAGTTAGAGGCCCAGGCCAGGCAGCACCTAGCCATGCTCCATGTGTCCTCCTCCTCAGCCACGGCCACTGCCACAGCCACCACCTCCACCTCCCTGAAGCTTCTGAGACCCATTTCCTTCACCTCAAAAACAACTTCCTCTAGCAGCCTGCCTGGTCATCGGCAAAAACCAACCCAGTTTCTATGGATCTGCCACCCTCTCAGCTGCACACAACGGGCTGCTAACATGAAACCTCTACGATCTGTTCGGGACAATGTGACTCAAAACACAGCCTTAGAGAAACATGCAATGACTATGACCTCTGTTTCACAAATGGAGACCTGGAGGCCCAGAGAAGTTAAGTCACTTGCCCGAGGTCCCATGGCTACTAAGGGACACCACCAGGATTTGAACTCAGGATGCCTGCCCTTCACCCTACACGGGTTTTCTCCAGCAATGGTGAGGAGGCCTGCCATTGGTAATAACAACAAACAAGGACCTCCTAGTGACTGATCAAACTCCTACTAACTCCGCAAAGCCCTAGCGTTACAGTCCAGCCTCCGGGAAGTGCCCGACCCCCAAATTCCCCCCAAAACAGCTGGCTGCTCCCTCCCTGGCTTCCTCAGATGTTGGCTGCATCCCAGACAACTCTTTAACTCCTGCTTGGCCTCCCAGGCGTTGTGGAAACGACTCTGGTTCTACCCATGACCTGCCCCAGAGCCTCCCAACCCCCACCGGGACTCCAGTTCCTTGGCTAGACCGGGAGCCCCTTGAGAAAAAAGCCCGAGCCTGCTCTGTGTCCTTGTGCCCACCACTCCCAGCACAGAGCTGGCCCCAGGACCAGTAAGGCTCAGAGCAGGGAAGGGACTGGCTTTAGATCACACAGCAAGCCCCAGGCAAGCCTGTCTGGCTCTGGGGTCCTGAGACTGCACTTCTGTAGAAGTACTCTGGGCTAAGCAGGCCCCCACCCCGACAAAGCCTCCTGCGGGCACCTCAAGCGCTGGGCCGCACCCGCCCCTGCCCCCACCCTCTCACCTCCATTATCACTAATGCCCAGCTGCTCCCCGGAGGTCTCTGTCTCTGTGGGCTCATCCTCGTCCTCCTCGTTGTCCTCTCTGGCCAGGGTAGGCCGGGGTGGGCTGGGTGTGGGACTGGGTGGCTGTGGTGCTGGTGGGGGCGCAGGAGGCCGAGCAGCAGTGGCAGCCCTGTGGGCCAGTGCGATGTCGTGGAGGCAACGGCGCGCTGCCTCCGCCAGGGCTCCTCGACCATGGGCAGCATAGGCACAGGGGCCCGGGCGGGGTGGTGGCGGCGGGGCCGCGGTCAGCAGCACCAGCTCCGTGCCAGTCCGGGCCCGGAAGCGCTCAGCGGCCCCCACCACGGCCTCCCACAGCTCCTCGGGGCGCCCCGACGCCATCCGCGCCCTGCGGGCCAGAGCAGGACAGAGGGGGCTGAGGCTTGGCGGCCTACATCATCGCCACCCACTCAGAGTGCCCGCCCGTCCCCTGGATGGCACTCACCACCCTCCACCCACCTTGTCCCAGCGGTGCTGTGTGTCCTCCCCAAACCTGCTACTCCCCAGGATTCTCACCATCCAGTCCTCGCAGGCCCAGACCCTGGCGACGTCCTCTGCCCCAACCCATTCCTCCTGCCCCAAGTCACTGTACTCCTTCCCCTTTGGCCCTGCCCTGGCCTCTGTGGGAGCCGCCAGCCACATGTGAACAGGGAGTACTGGAAAGGCAGGGAGTCCTAGCAGAGAGTCCTAGCAGAGAGGCCTCTAACAATAAAACCTGCACTGGGTTCTGAAGACTGAGTACAATAAAGCCGAACGAGCCGGGCGTGGTGGCTCAGGCCTGCAACCCCAGCACTTTGGGAGGCCGAGGCAGGCGGATCACCGAGCCCAAGAGTTCGAAGCCAGCCTGGGCAAAAAAAAAAAAAAAAAGGAATTTCATCTGCTTTTTTTACTCTTTTAACATGGTGTCTAGAAAATTTAGAATTCCACGTGGGGCTTGTGTTGAATTTGATGGATGATGCCACCCTGCTCCGTCGCCCAGCCATCCCGTCAAGAGTGTCCTGCACAAGGCCCAGGGGGTTCCTTCAGCACCCGGAGCTGATGCTACTCCTCGCCATAGTCCTCAGGGCAGGCCCTGGAGGCTCTAGGTGTTCTGGCCATCCCCAGCTCCTGGGCCATCCTGCCTCCACGGCCTTCCAGAGCCTCTGAGGCCCGAGGCCTTCAGAAAACGTGGTCCCTGACCTTGATGACTTGTGCTCCATTCCCCACCAACCTTTCACTCATCCTAGGGTGGAAGAAACTTTCCCTCGCCCATAGATCCAGCCAGTCTGCTCCATAGGGGGTCCCACACTGTCTGAGTGGCCACCTTCCCAGCACACTTCCTTCCAGAGGGAACTGGCTGGTTCTATGACTGAGGCCTCAGAGAGTCGGGGCTGAAATGGTGCTGGCGCTGCTCTCTGTGCTGGGAAATCCACACGGCTTTTCCTACAAGACTGTTCTGGCAGGTCCTCTGTTGTCCCTGATCCCCCAGGGTGCATCAGATGACTTCAGGAGCCCATCCGATGCCCTGGGCTTCCTCCATGAGCATTCATGTCACCTGAGCTTGTGACAGCTGTAACCTGGCTGCCTCCTGCATCAGACTGTGAATTCCCCCAAGGTCAGGGATTTGTGTTTGCAGGACAGGTCGGCCCTAAGCAGACAATGCAGGGTGCGTCTCCTTACTGGGTGAGAAGAGCGAGGGCAGGGGGGCTGGGTCCTTGCCCTGACTCTGTCTCAAACCTGCTGTGTGACCTTAGATGGCTCACTGGCCCTCTCTGTGCCTCATTTTCTTCCCCATTAACCAGCGTGGTTGAGCCAGAGCTGCTGGGCTGCGGAAGACGCTCTTCCGGGAGGCAGTAAGCACACCGCCACTGCACGGATTCAGGCACAGCTGTGGTCCAGCCCACCAGGGTGAAGGGAGCAGGGAGTCTGGAGTCTGAATGAAATTTGCAGGCCTTTTATGACTCACGATCATTGATGTTGGTGTTTGCTGAGCACCTATTCAGTGCTGGGATTCCACACCTGGCATCTCACCTATCTGACTCACTCAGGGAGTTCAAAGCCCCAAGGGAAGGAAGAGGTTTATCCACCACCTCCCAGAAGCCACGCAAGGACCCAAGATGGGATCAACCTTCTCATCCCACCCTTTCACCTACACTATGAGACAGGAGCTTTAGTTACAGTTCACCCCATTTTACAGTTGCAAACTCAGGCCCAGGGGCAGTCAGCATCTTGAAGGGCCACAACTGGAAGAGGCAGGGCTGGGACCTGGACTCAGAAAGTCTAGATCCGGGGCCTGTTCTAAATCCTGACCGCCATCCTGCCTGCCTTTAGGAGGGCAGATATTCTAATCCAGATGGAAAAGTGAGGCTCAGAGAGCTTAGGACACTGGCAAAAAAGCACACAGCTACACAGGGCACAAGTGGGGCTGAAACTGTGAGGCTCAGAGAGCTTAGGACACTGGCAAAAAAGCACACAGCTACACAGGGCACAAGTGGGGCTGAAACTGCTGACTGCCCAGCCCCAAAACCCCACTGAACTGGGGGGTACCCGGTGTCTCAAACACACCCATGTCCTTCCCAGCTGATGAGGGAGGAAACTGAGGCTCTAAGCAAGAAATGGCTGGTCCAAAGTCAACTGCCTCGCCGTGCTAGGCCTGGGGCTCTCACTTCCACGGGCCTCCAGCCCCTAATGACATGCGGAGAAGAGGGGGAGAGGAGGTCCCGGAAGAGAACGTCAGGATGAACTCTCCGTGTACTCAATCTTGGAGTAGCCACGGGATTAAAGAGTGAAATAGGGTGAGTGAGTTGTGAGGGCTCCCCCAACTCAGGAGACATGAGCAAAAAGGACAGGGCGACTTCCACAGACCTCTTTGCCAAGGTCCAGGGGCACCCTGTAATGCTACCCAACAGGAGAGTAGCCAAGACCTGGGGGTCCTCCTTACCCTTCAGCTTCTAGAGGAGGTCCTGTTTCCTCCAAGGAGCTGAGAGATGGAGGAAGAACCCGCCCCGATAGACGAGTTTCGTGTAAGATCAGGGAGAGATTAGAGGAAAGTGAGACGTGTTCCCCACAGGAGGGGGAGCACGATGTGGCTGTCCTCTTTGGATGCAGGGAGGAGGGAAAAGAGCTAAGGAGGAGAGGGGTGGAACCACCCCTCCTGTCGAAATTTTAGTACCCCACACCCCAAGATGTGAGGAACCTGAGCATGAACGCGGTAGCCATGGGGTGAGCGCCTGGGGCCACGCTCAGCTGCCCCGAGACCTCCCAACCTCGCCCGGGGTCCAGGGAGGACCCACTGGTCTAGGAAGAAAACAGGAAATCCCGCCCAGACGGAGGCCAGGACCGGAAGTCCCGCCTTTGGACGGGTGAGGGGCGCCCCGAGGCCCCCCAAACCATCCCCCGACCCCGTGGACGTGGTCCACGGCCCAGGTAGAGATCCCAGGCGCTCTGGAACCGCAAGGTGAGACTGTCTACGATTTGCCTCAGGTCTGACAGGACGATTCCCACGGGCGACCCCCTTCCAGCGCTCAGCAAAGGATCGCTGGCAGACCTCTGCCCTCTGATCTGTGCAGGCCATACCCCTCCCGTGAGCCGCTCGCCCTCCCAGCGCCCCGCTGCCTCAGGACGGCCAAATCCTCCCCACACCGCGGTTAACAACGCCGCCTCCACTCACGTGCCCGTAGCCAGCATGGCCGGCCCGGCGCCGTCACCGCCCTCAAAAGACATGGCGGCGCCTTGCGTCACGTCCGCGCAGTTGCCCCGCCTCCTCTCCGCACACTCCGCCTCCCTTATCGGGGCCGCCCGAGATCAAGATGGCGGCCACAGGGGCTTCATCCGAACCAGTTGACAAGGGTGACGACAGCTTGCCCCTAAGAAAAATGGCCCCGCCTAGAGCATTTCCATTTGCCCCCAACAATAATGGCCGTCCTCATATGCTCAATCATGACCACAGTAAACGAAGGCAAGCGACCTGACGTCCCTGACCCACAATAAACTTCTTCGACAAAAGTAGAGGAAATCGGTGCTCGTTAACAACATGGCAGCCAACCGGGCTTAATCAGCCCATAGTGTATATTGGCTCTCCCTCCCTCCAACCTGCTCCCATTCGGCACGAAGGCTGGCAAAGATCCAACACGGCAGCATTTCTTGCTTCGGTTTGCCAGGCTTCAAAATGGCGGCTCAGCCCGCTTTCTCGCGACGGTGACTCAGAAATTCGTCCGGGGCCGCTTCGTTTCTGGGGGCACTGACGGCTTCATCCCGTTATCCTGAGTCCCTCAGTGCCTCTTGTGGTGTACAGCTCCTCTCACCTCCTCTTCTCTTATCCGTTCGGCTCTTCCAGCTGTCGCGCCCCGCAGAGAGATGGGACAGCCCCGTATTAACATGGCCTTAGCTGACCGGCTTAGGCCATGCCCTCGAGCAAAATGGTACCTCCTTGGCTTCAATTCCAGTATACAATATGGAGAAGGAAGTGGGCGTTTCAAGGCGTGCTTGCCCCAGGTGGTGCAGCTCTCAGACCCTCCCACTTGTTTACTTCGTGGCGAGAGGGCGAACACTGCGCCTGCGCACTCTCCGTAGCCGGATCCACCTTCAGCGTCTGCGCCACGTGACTCCGATCCACCCTCGAGGTTCCAGTGGAATAACCCCCTTCTGAAAAATGGTTTCACCCGCTCCTTCTCTAGAACGGGTCGGGCCGCTACCACTGTCCGGCCCGGAGGGGAACTGTTTTCTCCGGAAGTGACAACACGCTGACTAGGAAAAGGAGGAGGCGGGGCAGTGGGGCCTTCGGCGGCGACTATGGAAGGAGCCGGCTACAGGGTAAGCACTGAGGACGCATTCCCTCGCTTCAGTGTATGCGAAACGCCCCGTCTAGTGATCAGCTCTTCTCTCAGGCCTTGGCTCTCGAGAATCCGGCACGGCCTTGGCAAACACCGATCTCTTATAAACGCGCCGTCACCCTCCCGTCCACCGCCCCAGGGAAGAACCTCCCATGGCCCCGCCCCCCCGGCTCAGGCGACTCCTTGAGCCCTGCCCCCTGTGGAACGCACGTCAGCATCCGAACGCGGGCTGGACCATTCTCCCCGCCTTGGTCCCGGGGCAATGGCCCTCCCGGCCCCGCCCCCTGAGGGTGGCTCCTCCCTGGGCCCGTCCCTATTGGCTCCCCAGGCTGGTCCCCTCGCTTGGGCCCCAGCCCTCGCTGGTTCCCCCCAACTCAGGTGGTGTTTGAGAAGGGCGGAGTGTACCTGCACACCAGCGCTAAGAAGTATCAGGACCGAGACTCTCTCATCGCTGGTGTCATCCGTGTCGTGGAAAAGGTGCGCTGGGAGGGAGCAGGGCTCGGACCCGCTCCGAGCGGGATGCAGGCGGTCTGGGATGCAGGCGGCAGCTGTAGGAGTTTGGTCTGGCGGTCAGCAGTGGGACCTGAAGAAGGCTGGGTGTGGGAACTGGAATGAGGGGCGGGACTTTGAAAGGCTGAGGGTAGAAACTGGGAAAGTTTGGAAATTTGCAACGGAAAGTTTTGGGAATGTGGTTTGGGGAGCGCCTCTAACCCCGCCTCCCTCCTTACCCTAGGACAATGACGTCCTCCTGCACTGGGCTCCTGTAGAGGAGGCTGGAGATTCCACCCAAATCCTCTTCTCCAAGAAGGTAGGCTCCACCCGCTTTGCCCTTCTCCACTCGCTTTTTTTCTAGGTCCGTGCTGTTGTAAGTCATTTGAGGGACCTGCGTACAATCCCAGACCTACTCGTGGGGCATGTGTGACCCTGTTTAGGCTTGGGTACTCTGCCTCTCCTTTTGCTCCTCTCTGTGAAATGGGCAGAGGATGCCCATTCAAGGAAAAAGAGCAGGGAGCATAAGACGCACGGTCGTGGGGACGGCTGACCCCTCTCTCCCTTTGCTTCTTGGGAGATCCCTGCCAGGGTGCAAGATGTGGATTCGAGTTGCTTGAAGGGAAATGGCATTTCCTCTGGTGCCAGAGGACAGGGCCTGACAGCCTACTCACCCACTTCGTCACTGCTCCCGGCTTTCCCTTCGTTATGTCTCCTGGGACTTCCCATGGCTGGACCCCGTCCTGGGCAATTCTGAGACCCAGAGATAAGTCAGATCCAGACCCACCTAAGCCCTGACCCTTACTCACTTTTTGAGAAACTGATAGATGAGGTCGAAAACGCTAGGAAGTGTTGGAACTTTTTGCACCCAGACAGTCTGATTCCAGATCCCCAACGCTTCCTGGGAGAGCAGACATTTGAGCTGGGACTCCCAGGATATGAAAGGACAAGAAGGTATTTCAGGGACAGCAGAACAACCTTCAAGGCACACGGAGAAGTTGGATGCCTCTGTAGGGGGGTTCTTTAGTGGGGAATGAGACCTCCATTGGAGCTGATGAGTTCCACCCAGGGGCCGGAAGTCAGTCGGCACCCACAGAGCTAGTGACGAGACACTGGAAGGCTGAGCTGACCACCTGCGCTGCCCCAGGGCAGGAGGATGAAGATGAAGATGAAGATGACTCTCCACCTTGCTCCACAGCCAAACACAGCCAAGGCACCAGGAAGTTGCGTTACATCACTTCCGCTTTCCAGGTTGGCCTGCATCTGGTTGGTAGAATTTGTCCTGTGTCCTGGATTCCAGCTGCAAAGAAACCTGGGAAATGTAGTGTGTTTTTTTTGTTGTTGTTATTGTTTTTTTTTTTTTTTTTTGACAGTCTCACTGTCTCAAAAGAGTGCAAAGTGGTATCTTATTGTGGTTTTGGTTTGTATTTACCTGGTGAGTACAACAGTGTCCATTGAGCACTCCGCAGCCTGACTGCAGAGCCACCTGCTGTGTAGCATGGACCTCCCCATGCAGTGGGAGACATGGGGTCAAGTCCTGGCTCGCTCTCTGGCTGCATTGGGTGACCCTGAGCAAGTGCTGTACTTTCTTTTTTCTTTTTTTTTTTTTTTTTTTAATGAGACAGAATTTGCTCTTGTTGCCCAGGCTGGAGTGCAATGGCGCCATCTCAGCTCACTGCAACCTCCGCCTCCCAGGTTCAAGCGATTTTCCTTTCTCACCCTCCCGAGTAGCTGGGATTACAGGCATGCGCCACCATGCCTGGCTAATTTTTTTGTATTTTTTTAGTAGAAACGAGGTTTCTCCATATTGGTCAGGCTGGTCTCGAACTCCCGACCTCAGGTGATCCGCCCGCCTCAGCCTCCCAAAGTGCTGGGATTACAGGCGTGAGCCACCGCACCCGGCCTGCTGTACCTTCTTTGTGCCTCAGTTTCCCTCTTTATTCAATGGGGCTATCTTCCAGGGTAGCCTCGAGGCTAAGATCTGAATCCATGGCCCCTTACTGTCTGCTCCTTTCCTCTCCTAAGGACTCCAGTGGGGGTGACTCATGTGCTTCTGAGGAGGAACCAACCTTTGACCCCGGCTATGAACCTGACTGGGCTGTCATCAGCACTGTGCGGCCACAGCTCTGCCACTCAGAGCCCACGAGAGGTAGGCTGAGGTGGCGGCCCTTGAGAAGCACGTGTGGGCCAGGTAGGACACATCTTGCCCTCAGTGGTCACGGTCCCAAGGGCTTTGCTGCCCACAATCAAGAAGGCCACCAGTCACCACCTTCCAGTCCCAGGAGCATGGAAGTGAATGGGAAGACAGGACTGTCCCAGCCCAGGTCAACATGGCCAGTGTCTCTGAGACTGCAGCCTTGCTCATCCTACTGGGCTCCCGGATTGGCTGTGGGTGCTCCCACACCAGGCCTGCCCCTGAGGTTCGAGGCTGGTGGGGTGACAGATGCAGCCAGTTAGGGTGATTTGCACCATCCTGGGGTCACACAGGGTGCAGGGGACATCCAGAGAAGGCACGTGACCCCTCTGGGGAATGGAGATTCCTTCCAGGAAGAGGTGATGCTGGAGCTTGGCACTGAGGGACTCTTGGGAGTTTTCTCTTCTGGCAGAGAGAGCAGCCCGTGCAAGCCAGAGGCAGGCGGCCCCCGTGTGTTTAGGGAGCCGCTGGCCTTTCATTGTAGCTCAAGTGTGGGATTTTGAGTGAAGAAAGGTTGGAGGTAAGATAGGCAGGGGCGAAGGACAGACCCGAGGGGCCTCGAGTGCCAGGTTGAGGAATAGGGCCCTTACCCTGCAGGTCGAGGGGTGCCTAGGAAGGTTCTGGAAAGGTACATGTCCACTGGGCCCCCTTCCCATCTTACTCATTTGTGCTTCCAAGGAATGTGAGGCCAGGGGCAGAGGGGTGGCTTGTGGCGGGGCCCTCAGGAGATGCCTGTGCCGAAGGAACATCCTGGGTTGTGGTTGATAAGGCTGACTCTGGCTTCCCACGCGCTTCCCCCAACACAGTGCCGTCTCCCTAGGTGCAGAGCCCAGCTGCCCCCAGGGCTCCTGGGCCTTCTCAGTGAGTCTGGGGGAGCTAAAGTCCATCCGCCGCTCCAAGCCAGGCCTCAGCTGGGCCTACCTGGTTCTGGTGACCCAGGCTGGAGGTTCCCTGCCCGCACTGCACTTCCACCGCGGGGGCACCCGCGCCCTGCTCCGCGTCCTCAGCCGCTACCTGCTGTTGGCCAGGTGAGCTCTCTCCCAGTGCTGGGCCTTAAACCGGGCCCAGTCCCACCATGGCTGCAGCGTGACCCCTCGGGGCTGTGAAAGAAACACAACTCACACTGATTTAAAGGCAGGCAAAGAGTTGACCAGCACATATAACTAAAAAGTCAAAAAGGAGTATTGATTTCAGGCAGGACCCAGGTCCCAAAATGTTAGAAACAGTTATCCTTTTTCCCTCTGAGTTCGTTATTCTCTGGGGCCCCAGTATCCGTGGCTTAACAACCCGGCTGGATAGAAGGCACCTCTTTCCCCACGTTCCAACAAGATCCCAGAGCTGCTTCTCATTGGCTCGTCCCTGAGTCAGTCACACTGGACCGGAAGGTGAAAGGCCCTCATTGGCCAGCCCCGAGTCATGTGCCCACCCCTGGGATCCAGCTGTGGGCCTCCTTTAACAGCATTCCCTGAAATGAGGGGTTGCCCAGGGGTGGTTGGGACGCTGCAGCTGGAACCGATGTCGGCCGAGCACAGACAGCCTGGGACACTGGGCCCCTACCTGTGCATCACCTGTGCGTCACCTCCCGCCTCCCAGCTCCCCGCAGGACTCCCGCCTCTACCTTGTCTTCCCCCACGACTCCTCTGCTCTCTCCAACTCCTTCCACCACCTGCAGCTCTTTGACCAGGACAGCTCCAATGTGGTGTCAGTGAGTGTCCCCAGCAGGAGGCCTGGCGGGTGTGGGCAGGGAGGGACGAGAAGGGGCGGGCCGTGACCTCCCTTTGGCCTCGTCCCCAGCGCTTCCTCCAGGATCCCTACTCCACCACCTTCAGCAGCTTCTCCCGAGTGACCAACTTCTTCCGGGGTGCCCTGCAGCCACAGCCTGAGGGAGCCGCCTCCGACCTTCCCCCGCCACCCGACGATGAGCCCGAGCCTGGATTCGAGGTCATTTCCTGTGTGAGTAGTGAGTGGACCCTCCCTGTTATTTCTGGCCGTGTCTCCCTGGGCGCATGATTTCATTTCCCTGGGCCTCAGTTTCCTCTTTGGTAAAACGGGGATGGTAATGGGACACCCTCAGGGGGTGCATGAGGAAAGCGCTCATGGCTCTGCCAGACACTGTGAGCACCTGCTCACCCTTATTGGGGGACCCCTCCTAACTGGGGGATGACTTGGCTGCTGAGCCCCGGAAGAGGCTGCTGCCTGCCCCTGAATGTTAGTCATCCGTCAAGCTAATAAGCTCTCTGAGCTTGTGGACTGAGGCTGGGTTGGGTCCCCCCACCACCCCGCCGAGCCCCAGGCTCATTTGCTCTTTGCCTGCAGGTGGAGCTGGGGCCTCGGCCAACCGTGGAGCGGGGCCCTCCAGTTACAGAGGAGGAGTGGGCACGCCACGTGGGCCCTGAAGGTCGCCTGCAGCAGGTCCCTGAGCTGAAGAACCGGATCTTCTCGGGGGTGAGTGCCAGGACAGGTGGAAGAATGGGGCAGGGCCAGAACAAGGCCCCACTGAGCTGCCTGCCCTCCTGCACCCCCAGGGTCTGAGCCCCAGCCTGCGGCGCGAGGCCTGGAAGTTCCTCCTAGGGTACCTCAGCTGGGAAGGCACAGCTGAGGAGCACAAGGCCCACATACGCAAGAAAACGTGAGTTCTCAGGAGGCCCTGCCCTGCCAGGCATGACACCTGGTACCTCCTAGGGCACCAATGGGCAAGTTCTGTGGACGCTGGTTGTGAACCTGCTGTATCTGGGCACCATCCTGCGCCTGTGGAATACGGCAATGATCAAGCCAGACCCATCCTCACCCCTGTATGGTCTGTCTCCATTGCAGTTTTCATTCCTGTGCCATACTGTTTTAATGATCACAGTTTTGCAGCATGTTTTATAACCTAGGAGGGCCCGTCTCTCCTCATTCCTGGTGTAGGTTATATACCTGCCAGGCACTGAGGATGCAGCAGTGCTGGACGATTCCCTGTCCCTGGTGCCCTGTCCAGTGGGGGGTGACAAATTTTCATCAAAAGGCCACAAGGCTATGTAGTGAGAGATGCCAGGAAGGTGAAGTGTAAGGGATAGTGGCAAGAATGACGAGGTGACCTGCTTGGGTCTGTGTGGTCAGGGAGGGGCTCTGCAGGGCTGACCTGGGAGGTGGCGCCAGGCTTGGAGGTCTCTGGGTGTTGCAGACAGTGGCGGCCTCACATCTTGTTTCCCTCTGTCACTCAGGGATGAGTATTTCCGCATGAAGCTGCAGTGGAAATCTGTGAGCCCTGAGCAGGAGCGGAGAAACTCACTTCTGCATGGATACCGCAGCCTCATCGGTCAGTGTCAGGGGTGGCACTTAGGGTGGATGGGAGCAGGGAACCACAGGAGGGCCTCAGGCATAAGTGCGAGTGGGAGATAGAGGGAGCCCCCTGCCTCCCCAAGACCAGTGAGAGGGCATCTTGGGGGAAAGCTGCATGGGCTGTTGGGGAATGGCCCTGGGGGAGCAAGGCCAGGGACAGGATGGGAAAGAAGGGGAGCCCAGCTCCCTTCAGGCCCAGTCTCAGTTCTGTCAATGCCTGGTGATCTTGGCAAGTGATTTTGCCTCCCTGGGCCTCAGTTTCCCCTACTGTGGGAGGATATAGCCAGCTGGTGAGTGGGAGGCCTGGCGCCTCACAGCAGGAGCATCAGTGATAGTTTCTAGAACCAGCTCTGCTTCTCCCCCAGAGCAAACCCCGAGGCTGGGGGCTGCCAGCAGGAGGAGCAGTGGGGGCTGGCACTGGTGGCCAGCAGGGATGGGCCCCCCTACCTTTCTCACCTTTGCACCCTGTGCCCGGTCCCCGCAGAAAGGGATGTGAGCCGCACTGACAGGACCAACAAGTTCTACGAGGGTCCCGAGAACCCGGGGCTGGGCCTGCTGAACGATATCCTCCTCACCTACTGCATGTATCACTTCGACCTCGGTGGGTGCCAGGCCTGGGGACGGGCGTGGCCGGGGCTGTCCAGGGGAGCGCTGCGGGCTTGGCTGCAGCCTGACCCCATGTCCCCCCAGGCTACGTCCAGGGCATGAGTGATCTTCTCTCCCCGATCCTCTACGTCATTCAGAACGAGGTGGATGCTTTCTGGTGTTTCTGTGGCTTCATGGAGCTCGTGGTGAGGCTTGGGTCAGGGGTGGGACACAGGCCTATCGAGCGATCAGGTGTCCTGGTACCTCACGGGGTCTGCTCTTTCCCCCCTCCTTCCGTCCCACAGCAAGGGAACTTTGAAGAGAGCCAGGAGACCATGAAGCGGCAACTCGGGCGACTGCTGCTGCTCCTGAGGGTGCTGGACCCCCTGCTCTGCGACTTCCTGGGTATGTCTCTCGGGAGGGTGGGCAGGAGACAATGGGGCCATAGACCTTGCCAGATTCTCTGGTAGCAGCCACAGTGGCATCCTGGACATTGGGTCCTGATCCAAACAAGAGAAACATCCCCACACAACCTAGAATGTAGAGGCAGAATTGCTGTTTGAAGCAAAACTTCACCAAATGCAGACACGCAGGAATGCTGACTCACCCCGTCCTCATGCTCACCTAGATCCTGTTTGGGCTTTGCCTTTGGCTTAACCTGCAGGGTATTTTTCAGAAATAAGGACCTAGGCATTCCTGCCACTTCTTATCCCCACCTGGCTGTGGCTCACCTTGAACCAGGAATCAGAGACTGGTTCTCTGGGCCCTGGGGCTGGGGGTGCTGCATCCCAGCTTTAACATTTTTATTCTTCGACCAGGCACAGTGGCTCACACCTGTAATCCCAGCACTTTGGGAGGCCAAGGCGGGCGGATCACTTGAGGTCAGGAGTTCAAGACCAGCCTGACCAACATGGAGAAACTGTCTCTACTAAAAATACAAAATTAGCTGGGCCTGGTGGCACACGCCTGTGATCCCAGCTACTCAGGAGGCTGAGGCAGGAGAATCGCTTGAACCTGGGAGGTGGAGGCTGCAGTGAGCCAAGATCACACCATGGCACTTCAGCCTGGGCAACAAGAGCGAAAGAAACTCCATCTCAAAAAAAAAAAAAAAAAAAAATATATTCTTTATTACTTGGTCAATGTAAAAACTGCAGGAAATTAAGATGAAGAAGAAAAAGTAAGGCTGGGTGTGGTGGTTCATGGTTGTAATCCCAGTGCTTTGGGAGGCCAAGGTGGGAGGATCACGTGAGCCAAGGAGTTTGAGACCAGCCTGGGCAACACTGGGAGACCAAAAAAAATTGGGAGACTACAAAAAGATTTAAAAATTAGCCTGGGCGCAATGTCATCCTGGGATCACGCCTGTAATCCCAGCACTTTGGGAGGCCAGGCAGGTGGATCACTTGAGGCCAGGAGTTCCAGACCAGGCTGGGCAACATAGCAAAACTCTGTTTCTACTAAAAATACAAAAAAATTAGCCAGCCGTGGTGGCGCCCACCTGTAATCCCAGCTGTTGGGATCGGCTGAGGCACAAGAATCACTCGAACTGGAGTGGGGGAGGTAGCAGTGAGCAGAGATTGTGCCATTGCACTCCAGCCTGGGCAACAGAGTGAGACCTTGCCTCAAAAAAAAAAAAAAAAAAAAAAAAGGTCGGGTGTGGTGGCTCACGCCTGTAATCCAGCACTTTGGGAGGCCAAGATAGGCAGATCACCTGAGGTCAGGAGTTCGAGACCAGCCTGGCCAACATGGTGAAACCCCGTCTCTACTAAAAATACAAAAATTAGCCGGGGGTGGTGGCGAGCACCTGTAATCCCAGCTACTCAGGAGGCTGAGACAGGAGAATCACTTGAGCCAAGGTTGCACCACTGCATTCCAGCCTGGGCGACAGAGCGAGACTTTGTCTCAAAAAAAAAGAAAAAAGAAAGTTAAAGTTGCTGTTTGATATCATTGTTTTTCTTGAGTGCAGATGGTGATGATAATAAGTTAAACTTATTCATGAACATTTCCTCGATGCTTTAGGACCCCCGGGGGAGGGAGCTGAGATACTCTGTCCTCACCTTACTGATGAGGAAACTAAGCCATAGAAAAGCATCACCTCCTAGGGCACAAGGACAGAGGCTGCCTCTGGGTCATTCAAAGTCTTCTGAAACATCACTTTTCTTGACTGCGCGGCATTGTGTCCACCTGCAAGATGTGGTAGATTTGATGTAACTTGACCTGCTGGAGATTCGGGTCCTTTGCAGTTTTTCATCACGGTGCATAGTCTGGGTAATTTCTTCTTTAGGTTCACTTCCAAGAAGTGGAATTTTGTTCAGGACAGTGCTTGTTTTCACACAGCTTTGGAGAGTTTGTCCTCCGTTGTTACTTTCCTCAAAGGTTAGAATGCTCAGACTCTCACTTTCATTTGAGTTAACTTGGGGGGAAAAAAAGGTTCAACACCAGCTTAATTTTTTTTTTCTTTTTGAGATGGAGTCTCGCTCTGTTACCCAGGCTGGAGTGCAGTGGTGTGATCTCGGCTCACTACAACCTCCACCTCCCGGGTTCAAGCGATTCTCCTGCCTCAGCCTCCCAAGGAGCTGGAATTACAGGGGTGTGGCACCATCCCAGCTAATTTTTGTATTTTTAGTAGAGATGGGGTTTCACCACGTTGGCCAGGCTGTATTTTTAGTAGAGATGGGGTTTTACCATGTTGGCCTGGCTGGTCTCGAACTCCTGACCTCAGGTGATCCACCCGCCTCACCCTCCCAAAGTGCTGGGGTTACAGGCGTGCGCCATCGCACCCGGCCTTCAGCTTAAATTTTTGCTACAGCGTATCTAGGAGTGTCAGTTCCCTTAGCGCTCACCAGCAGCGGGCAGAGGTCTGTTTCGTCGGGCGTGCTGGGCGTCCTGCCTCCCTTCCATGTCCATGGCAGATGTGGAAGTATAATAGCACACTTCCTCTGGAGAGTGGGAGGAAGGAGGGGCAGGGCCCGCGTTCAGGGCTGCTCCTGCCTCACCTCCGAGGTTCCCCAGCCAGGCATAAGTCACTTGCCTAGACTTGGGGAAGGTCTTCCAGTCAGGATGACTTCTCAAACTCTCAGTCCCAGCGCTGGGCAAGGCTGAGTGGGCTCCATGTCATCCCCCAGATTCCCAGGACTCCGGCTCTCTCTGCTTCTGTTTCCGGTGGCTGCTCATCTGGTTCAAGAGGGAATTCCCCTTCCCGGATGTCCTTCGGCTGTGGGAGGTGGGCCAGCCAGTTTGGGCGAGAGGCCTGAAGGGGTGGGCTCACCTGCCCTGGGAGGTTGGGCGGAGAGGGACAGACCCTGGTGGGACCTCAGGCCCAGGCTGGGCTATGACCTCCCTCCCTCCCTCTGTCCCGCACCCTCAGGTGCTGTGGACAGGGCTCCCTGGCCCCAATCTGCACCTGCTGGTGGCCTGCGCCATCCTGGACATGGAGAGGGACACCCTCATGCTGTCCGGCTTCGGCTCCAATGAGATCCTCAAGGTGAGGCTCCGGCCCCGCCCCCGCCCTGTCCCCCCTGAGCTGGGCGCTGCCCAGGGCCGCAGTACCTCCGGGGAGCAGGTGTTTAGTGTGGGATTATTGAAAGCCTGGTTAGTTGGGAGCGCAGTGGGGGTGGGGCCGCGTAGGTTTCCCTTCTGCCCCATGCCATGCCTGCTCCCAGCAAGGTCCTCCGGGCAGGTGGGTGGGGACCTTCCCTCCCCGAGTACGTGCTCAGAATGCTCCCGGAGGCCTGAGAAGCATGTCTCGCCCAGCGCACTTCTGAGCCCCCAGAGGGCCAGCCCGGTGTGTCTTCATTGTTTCCCAGCACGAAGCACAGAGTGGGCGCTCGGGCGGAGGTGGTTGAGTGCCGACTGGCGCCTGACCCACCCCCTCCCGCAGCACATCAACGAGCTGACTATGAAGCTGAGCGTGGAGGACGTGCTGACCCGCGCCGAGGCCCTGCACCGCCAGCTAACCGCCTGCCCCGTGAGTCCCCGTCCGCCCCGCAGCGCCCCGCCCGAACCCCGACCGACCCCCGCCCCCTTCTCACCTTCACCTTCCGCTTTTCGCTTCTCTCATCCCGTGCCTCCAGGAGCTGCCCCACAACGTGCAGGAGATCCTGGGGCTGGCCCCGCCCGCAGAGCCCCACAGCCCCTCGCCCACCGCCTCCCCGCTGCCTCTGTCGCCCACCCGGGCCCCGCCCACCCCGCCGCCCTCCACGGACACAGCCCCGCAGCCCGACAGCAGCCTGGAGATCCTGCCCGAGGAGGAGGACGAGGGCGCCGACTCCTAACCCCGCCAGGCAGCCTCGTTCTGCACAGGCACTTTAGCCCGAGCCAGGCACACCTGCGAGGGGGCAGGTGTGCTCCGCCGCCCTGCTGATAAGCTGGCTTCATTAAACTGACACTTCTCATGTGCAGTTGGCTTCTTGTTGGTGGGGGGAAGGCTGCCAAGTGGGCTCTGACCTGGTTGAGGAGGGGATGGTGGCTGGGCAGAGCCTAGGGTGAATGATTGGGGTTTGTGGAGGCAGGGCTTCCTGAGTTGCCTGATTTGTTTTTTTGTTTGTTTGTTTTATGAGATGGAGTCTTGCTCTGTCGCCCAGGCTGGAGTGCAGTGGCAGATCTCGGCTAACTGCAGCCTCCGCCTCCCGGGTTCAAGCAATTACCCTGCCTCAGCCTCCTGAGTAGCTGGGACTACAGGCGTGTGCCACCACACCCGGCTGATTTTTGTAATTTTGGTAGAGATGGGGTTCCACCATGTTGCCCAGGCTGGTCTTGAACTCCCGACCTCAGGTGATCTGCCTGCCTTGGCCTCCCAAAGTGCTGGTATTACAGGCGTGAGCCACCGCGCCCGGCCTGATTTGGGGTTTTTGGAAGAGGATAGGGTGCTCTGGGCTGTGGCGGCGACCTGGTAGCTGTGTGGGAACACTTCCCGGACATAACCAAGGTGGAAGGGCCTGCAGAGATGCACTCTGGGGAGCCTGCCCTCCCAGCTGCTGCTTGTGAGAAAAATCACCTCCTGTTCAGCCACTGTCAGCTGGGCTTTCTGTTACTTGCATTAGGGCCCATCTGGACTTCAGCCTCGTGACAGAGGTGGTCGCTGTGATTGCCATTTCCCGGTGGTGCAGGGCGTCCTTCCGGTTCCCTCTGTGCGCACCACCCCCCACCCTCCTCTGGAGCCCCACTGTCCAGGAAGAAGTGAGGGGCAGATTTTTGGGGGGGCTCCAGGATGGGCGTGGCGCCTGCTAACTGCAGGGCTAGTGGTTCCGATGCAGGCAAACTGGGGAAGTAACTGAGCCACGGGGGAGGCTGGACCACACGGCTTTTTCCGAAAATACTTTAATGCGAGGTCCTCGTGTGGGTCGTGTTTTGGAGAGATAACTGGCCTTGGACTGGAGGGTGGCTGCCTTCTTCCTTTGCCAGGTCATGCGAGGGGCTGCTGGCCACCCCATGCACATGCCCCTGCCCCTCCATGTCAGATGCGTGCCCCTCGGGGCTGGCCGTGTCCGATGCAGGCCCCTTCCGGCTGTTGATCTTGATGGCGGCGCGCAGCGCCGACTTGACCGCCGTCTCCACCCAGCCGTGCGGGTAGGCGGTGTGCTCGCCGGCAAAGTAGATGCGGCCATAAGGGACCGTCCAGTCATCCTTTTCGGTTTGCCAGAGCGCCGGCGGCTGTACCACAAAGCCACCCTGGCTGTGCTGGTCCTCCGCCCAACGCTTGACGACGCCGGTGCCGTCCCAGAGCTGGCGCACGACAGGCCCGTGCAATGCCGCCACGTCGTCGAGCGCCAAGCGCAACGCCTCTTCCCGGCTCAAGCCGGCGAACGCTGCCGCCGCGTCCGACCACGTGTACGAGGCCAGCAGCAGCGCGCCCTCGCGCGGCGGCGGGTAGAAAATCATGCGCGACGGGCGATCGGTGTTTGAGTGGCCGCCTTCAATGTGCTCCTCGCGCCAGAAGGGCCTGCGGAAGCTTAGGAACACCTTGGTGGCCGGCACGTAGTGCAGCCTCCGCAGCGCCTCCTGCATGTGGCGGGGCAGCGGCGGCGAGAAGGTGATGCGCTTCACCGCCGGTCCGCTCGCCGTCAGCAGCACCACGTCGGCCTTCAGCACCTTCAGATTCCGCGCCGGGGGAGAGGTCTCGATCTGCACGTGCACATCGTGCGGTCCCTGGGTCATCGCCACCACGGGCGCGTTCAACAGCACAAGCCCGGACAGCGAGCTCAGCAGCGCGCGCGGCAGCAGGTCCCAGCCACCCACGATGCGGCTGTACCTGCAGGCGGGGCGGGGCGGGGTGGGGGCGTGACCTGGGCTCTGCGGCCCTGCCCCTCTGCCTTGCCCCACCCACCCCGGCAGCTGGCCCTTATGGGCACCGGCCCGCTCCCCCGTCATCCACCTCTCCCGACCCCGCCCGTCCCTGACATCCCAAAGGCCGCAGGAGTAGTGGATTGTGTCACCAGGGACCCCACCACTTCTCCCCTAGGCCGTGTCCTTTATCTGGGAACCCTTAGCCCCGCGACCATCAATTAGGCCACGCCCTTCACAACAGCCCCGCCCCCAGACCCAGAGGCTCCTCCCACTCCCTGCTACTTTCCCTGATTGCCCCCCGCCCCCCCCCCCTGCCCGCCAGCCCCGCCCCTTACTGGAGTCTGTCGCTGAGGCAGCTGTGGGCCCGGAGGGCCTCGGCGAAGCTGAGATAGAAGAAGCCATCCTCGGACATCACGTCTCCCAGAAGCTGCACGGCCGGCCGGCTCAGGTTCCCCTCCCCGAGAAGATATTCCTGCAGGTTGGGCACAGGCCGAGGTTAGGGCCCAGGCAGGCTGCACCCCTGAGAGAGCCCCTCCGCAGCTGGGCCTCCTGGTCCCATGACATGTCCTTGGACCGTAGGATCCTGTCCCCACTCTCTGACAGATGAGGGAAACGGAGGTCCAGACAGGGGGCGTGTCCAGCCCCCGGGTCAGGCAGGAAGGCGGTGGCAGGACTAGGGTGCCAGGTACCCGCCTTCTGACTCTCTGGGGAAGGCCTCATGGTCACTCTCTTTGCCCTGCATCTCAGCAGAACCAAGATCCCCACTTACCAAGAGCGTGTGCCTTTCAAACTTCTTCATCGCCTTTCTGCAGCCCAGTGCCTTGAGGTCTTTGAGGGCCTGTTGTGGAAGAAGCAGACATGGTGCTGAGCTGCCCGGGCAGCCAGGGTGGAGGCCGGGCCTGGAGCCCACACTCGGCTTCTCCTCGTGGTTCTGCCCACGGCTGGCCATTCACCACTCTCAAGCCCCTGGGCTTTTGCCCACACCATGCCCTCCGCCTTGCCCTCCACGGCAACTCAGATGCCACTGCTCCTCCGATATTACCGAACTGTTAACGCCGCCCATCCCCCCTCATTCGGCTGGCCCGGCTGGTCACAGCTCATCCCGGTTGCGTGTTATTTTGCCTATTTTTCAGCCAGCCAGCCAGACTGTGAGCTCCATGGAGGCAGGGATGTGGGCAGCTGGAGAGGAGACTGGGAGAGGGTCCCAGGCGTGCTGTGTCCTCCCGGGGGCTCAGTGATTATTTGTTGCCTGAATCACTGTGGCCACGGACAGAAGCTGGTCCCCTGTGCCACTGGTCAGTGCTGACAGGGCATGATGGCTGAGAAGTTTATCTACCGTCCGTCCCCTGCCCACAGCCCTCCTGTAGCTCCCCAGTGCCTGGAGCCACAGAATTCTTGCCCCTCAGCCTCATGTTCAAGGCCCCTGCTAGCCCCTCAATGTCTTTTTTTTTTTTTTTTTTTTTTGAGATGGAGTGTCGCTCTGTTGCCCAGGCTGGAGTGCAGTGGCGCCATCTCAGCTCACTGAAACCTCTGCCTCCCAGGTTCAAGTGATTCTCCCACCTCACCCTCCCAAGTAGCTGGGATTACAGGCGCCTGCCACCACACCTGGCTCATTTTTGCATTTTTAGTAGAGACAGGGTTTCATCATGTTGGTCAGGCTGGTCTCGAACTCCTGACCTCAAGTGATCTGCCTGCCTCGGCCTCCCAAAGTGCTGGGATTACAGGCGTGAGCCACTGCGTGCCAGGTACCCGCCTTCTGACTCTCTGGGGAAGGCCTCATGGTCACTCTCTTTGCCCTGAATCTCAGCAGAACCAAGATCCCCACTTACCTCAGTCCATGTCTTTTATGGCAGCTCTGGTTCTGTGAACAGTGTACAGTGCCCAGACCACCTGCCCTCAGGGCTCTCCCACCTACACATCTGGCACCTATTGTTTCCCTGCCTGTCTTTGCGTGGCACATGAGTGCGTGTTCTTCAGCACTTTGTTCGAATCTCACCCCCTCCCAGAAGCCTTGCTGCCCCCATCTAATTTCAGCCTTCTTCTTGGTCCACCTGGCTTCCCCCTTCTGGCCAGGACCTCAGAGGGAAGGCAGTGCCCCTTCACTCACTCATGCATCTCGCATCTCTCAGACTCCCAAACCAGTCAGTGTCAAGGCATAGAAATGACCTGGACATGGCCCCCATCCTGGTCTAGAAGGGGAGATGGGCAAGTGGGCTCTGACCTGGGTGGGGAGGGGATGTTGGGTGTGGCCAGTTCCTCCCTAAAGGTATCAGGGAAGGCTTCCTGGAGGAGGGGACATTGGAGCTAGTTCTTGAGGGCTGAGCAGGAGTTCCTGTGTGGGGAAGGGAAAGGCATTCTGGAAAGGGAGGGTGATACACAGGTATAGTGGGTGTGAGGAACACAGAGCTGGGGGCATGTGGACCACCATGAGGACAAAAATTTCTTAGAGGAGAAAAGAGCATGAGGCTGGAGGGGTGCAGAAGGGAAGGCCAGTCAGGGCTCAAAGCTGAGCCTGAAAAGATCAGACTTTGTCCTGGAGGCAGCGGGGAGCCACTGGGGGCTGTGAGCAGCATCACTCTGGGTGTGTGGGAAGACGTTTCTGGTACCAGGCTGGGGAGACTAGAGCCTGGGCAGCTTGAGAGGAGGCTGGGGGAGGGTCCAGGGCAGAGGAGGAGGCCTGAGCTGGGGCAGGCAGAGGGGAGCAGGGCACAAGCGTCAGGCGGCAGGGGTGGGCACTGATGGTGGGGGAGGTGGGCGAGGAGGAGGTCAGGAGGAGGATGGCTCCTAGGGGTCTGCCCGTGACTGCGGGATGGTGGGGCCATCGTGAGATGGGGGCACCGGGAGGAGGAACAGGTTTAGGGGAAGCTTCTGAGCCCAGTGTCCTGGGGAGGGACACAGATCAGGGTCTCGGGAGGCAGATGTCTCCATCAGCCCATGGATCTATGTTTAAGCCAGAGGTGGAGACTGGGGAGGTTATCCAGGACAGTGTGTGGGTGAAAGGGGAAGAGGCCAAAAGCTGATGCAGCTTTGGGGTCAGCAGTGTTTACGGGGAAGCTAAAGAAGGGAGTTGGGGCCGGGGGCAGTGGCTCACGCCTGTAATCCCAGCACTTTGGGAGGCTGAGGCAGGTGGATCACGAGGTCAGGAGTTCAAGATCAGCCTGGCCAAGATGGTGAAACCCCGTCTCTATTAAAAATACAAAAATTAGCTGGGCGTGGTGGCGGGCGCCTGTAATCCCAGCTACTCGGGAGGCTGAGGCAGAGAATTGCTTGAACCTGGGAGGCGGAGGTTGCAGTGAGCTGAAATGGCGCCATTGCACTCCAGCCTGGGTGACAGAGTAAGACTCCATCTCAAAAAAAAAAAAAAAAAAAAAAAAAAGAAGGGAGTTGAGAGATGACCCATATGTGTAGAAGCCCCTGGGCTGGCCCATTCTCATTCTCGGATTTCAGTGAGTAGGTCAGTGGTTAGACCTCATGGCACACATCCCCTTGGTAGAATTTCCATCTCCACCAACAGGCGCCCCACCCCATGGAGGGGACTGAAGGGATGCCAGAGAGAAGAAAAGCCGGGCCGGGGCGAGCTTAGGAGGAGGACAGAGAAGTCAGGGCGGGAGGAGGGTGCAGGCGGTACCCACCTGGTTGAGAGCCATCTGGTAGATGTCTTCGGGCGAGTGGCCCTTTTCCTGGGGACGCAAGGCGTAGCCCAGCTTCTCGGGCACCTTCTCCACCACATAGTTGCGCAGCTTCACTTCGTGCACCTCCGTCCACGTGTTCTTGTCGTACTGGGTGAACTTGGTCAGGTTGAGCCCCAGGCCCTGGCAGAGCTTGTGGAGGATCCTGATCAGGGGAGTGGGTGAGTGAGGGCCGGGCTCCAGTGGGGGTGGCCTGGTCCCTAGTGGGACTTGGAGAAGAGGGGTGGGAGGGGAGAGTAGCTGGGGACCAGCATGAGGCTGGGGGTGGGGCTAGATTTGGGGTAATCAATGCTGGGGGATGGGAATGAAATGGGGACAAGGCTGGAGGCCTCAGGGCAGTACCAGGATTAGGATTGGGTTAAGAGTGGGATAGAGCCCAGATTAGAATTGGGAAGGGGGACAGAGTTTGGGTTGGACGGGGGTTTGAGATGAAGAAGGGGCCTGGGGCTGGGGTGCCTGAGGGTGTGGGGATGGTGGAGCTGCAGGCCTGGAGGGGCCAGCACAGGAGCTGGCTTTTGCACCAGGCAGGGCCAGCTGGAGGTCTGGTTGGACCAGGTGGCCCGAGTGTTGCCAGAGGCCCAGGGCTGGCGCTGGAGGCAAGACTGAGGTGAGGATTAGGCGAAGGATGGGGTTGGAGGCTGGGTTTGGGAGTCAGAGTGGAAGTTCGGGCCCACTCTGGTGTGGGCATGGAGCTGGGGGGCTAGTTGAGTCTAGGCACACAGGTGGGTGGGTTGCTAGGTCACCTGTGAGAGCTGGGCATGCGCATGGCTCCCAGCTCCCCAATCCAGCCCGTGTTCTGGTCCCGGTAGGTGAAGATGCGGCCCCCGATCCTGTTATCTGCCTCCAGGATGGTGACCTGAGGGAGTCCGTGGGGCGAGGAGGGCCCTTCAGCTCCACCCACTGACCATCCCCTGCCCTCTACCACCCCGTGCCAGCCCCCTGCCTTCTTCCATCCCCACAGTGGCCCAGACCCAGACTAGGAGAGGGTCCCCTTCTGTATGGAGGTGGGGGAACAGAACTGAGTGAGCAGTTCCAGACTGCAGGAGGAAGGCTGCCAGCTAGACTGCAAAGGGACTTCCCAGCTCGGGGAGTTCGGAGATGACCCATATGCGTAGAAGCCCCTGGGCTGGCCCATTCTCATTCTCGGATTGCAGTGAGTAGGTCAGTGGTTAGACCTCAGGGCACACATCCCCTTGGTAGAGTTTCCCTCTCCACCAACAGGCGCCCCACCCCAGGACAGAGGAGCTTTGAGCCAGTGAGACTTCCCTCTGGGATGAAAAACGTGGGACAGGAAAGTCTGGGGCCTCTCAGTGGAGACATGTGACAGCAGGGGGCTTGGGCCTCACCCCCAGACTACAGGGAAAGATAGCCTCTCCCCCCACATCCCCACCTCCACCCCCTCAAGGAGGAACGCGGCCGTGTCCCTGTGCCCAGGGACTCCAGCCTGCAGCAGGAGGGACTCCAGGTAGACTGCAAGCAGTGCTTCCCACCTTGTGTCCAGCATCGCTGAGCACCTTGGCGGCCACCAGCCCGGCCACACCAGCGCCAACCACAATCACCCTCTGGGGCTTCAGGGTCCGATTGAGCCCCCAGGTCACCACCTTGAGCAGCTGCTCATAGTCAGGATCCTGCATGCATTTCTCGAAGGGGTCTTGGCTGCGTTCAGCCTTCCAGTCCTGGGAGGCCACCAGGCTGAGGAGGATGGGGACGAGGACGAGGAGGTGCAGGGCTGGGAGGAGGAGGACAGGGTCAACGGGGTTGTGGCAGGTCGGGGGAGAGGGGTTCTACTCACTTGTTCCAGAGCCCCTCCCCTGCTTACTCACCCAATGGGGCCATGACTCTCGGTGGGAGATGGTGTCTGGGGTGGAGGAGAAGGGAGGGCTGTTGTGACTGAGGCCTGTGACCACTGTAGCCTGACTCTGTCTCCCATGGGCTGCCCAGCTGCTAGAGCCGGCCCTCCCCCAGTCACTGTCCTGCTCTCTGGACCTGTGTCCCCTAACCCCATTCCTTCAGAGTCCCCTGGACCGTCCCTGCCTCCCTCCTCACCGGTCTCCACCTCTGCCACAGCTCTCTCGGGTTCCTGTCTCTTTCTCTTCTTTTCCCTCTTTCTTTCCTTTCTTTCTTTTTTTTTTAACAGTCTTTCTCTGCCATCCAGGCTGGAGTGCAGTGGTAAGATCTTGGCTCACTGCAACCTCCGCCTCCCAGGTTCAAGAATCCTCCCACTTCAGCCTCCCAAGTAACTGGGATTACAGACACCCATAACCAAACCTGGCTAATTTTTGTATTTTTAGTAGAGACGGGGTTTCGCCATGTTGGCCAGGCTGGTCTCGAACTCCTGACCTTAGGTGATCCACCCACCTCGGCCTCCCAAAGTGCTGGGATTCCAGGCATGAGCCCCCGCGCCCGGCCTCTTTTCCCTCTTCCTCATCTCCCCAGCTCCTGACTGCTTCTCAGTCCCTATTTCTGTGGGTCCTGTCTCTCTGTCCCCCCACCACTGGCCGTGTCACTACCTCCAGCTCTTGGTGACAGCAGGACAGCGCGGTCCTCTCCACTGCCCTCCACTGTCTCTGCTGTGGCCCTTTCTCTCCCCTTAAACTGGCAGAGCCCCGCCCACCCCTCCTTTTGGGAAACTGGCCGAGGGAAATGAAACTGGTTTCCTGGAGCTGCTCTGGTCCAATGCTCAGAGTCTAGTTGAGGTTGGAGAAAGGGGGTTGGAGGAAGTTAATCAGTCTATTCACTTCCTTTTGCCCCAGATAGTTCTGGGGTGGTTTGGAGGCCAGAAATAGATGCTCAGGTAACCGTGCCAACAACGGGGAATCCCCTTCGGTTTGCCCCCGTCCCTGATCACCAGGCCACTTGTTTCTATCCTCCCCTGCACTCTCTCTGCCTCCTTGATTCCCACGGGGACAGAGGGGCTACAGGTCCCTGGGCCAGGCCAACTTTCCCCTCCAAGTCCCTCTCCGTCAGGTGTCGCCATGTCCTGCAGGGCCCCCCATGGTTCCACTTCCCTCTCCACTTGCCACCCAGAGCCTCAGTCTCCCCCTCCGTTACATGGGTGTAGCAGTGGGGCTGGCAGCCGTGGTCCCGGGGTCAGGACGTGGGCTCTGAGCCCGCCCTCCCCTCTGTGGCTCTCGTCTACAGCTGTCAAATGACGTCTACAGACGTCACAGTGTTTTAGGATCAAGTGAGTGAATCCAGGTTAAGTTCTGTGGCCGGAACCTGGGGTAGTACTGGAAGCTGCTCCTTTGGAAATGCCAGCTGCTGTGGCCGCAGGGGCACTCAGGGGTTCTATGAGTGACCACCCGGCAGAGGGAAGCGCCCAGGCTTCACCCATCCCTGCTTTAAGAACCACCTCAGTGCTCAGGGCAGGGAGTGGGGCGGCACCTTGGAGTGGGTGGGGGTGGAGAAACAATAGCAGGGACTTTCCTTGGGGTGGGGGAGAGGGAGCCAGGGGCTCCGTGAGGAGGAAAACCAGAGGGAGGCAGATTCTCTGCAGCAAGGGTTGGGTGGGGGTTGGAGGGCATTAACAAGAAGGAAGATGGGAAACTCCCGCAGTAAATCAAAGAGGGATGCGGTTATGGCCGGGAGGGGCTGGGGGGTGAATGTGAGTAACAAGGCATGTGACGCAGGGGCGGGAGGCCGTGGCAAAGGGAAATGATCAAAGAGCTGGAGAGTTCAGGGACCGAAAGAGCTTGGGTCAGCAAAAATAGTGACGAGGGCCAGGGGTGGCTCACGCCTATAATCCCAGCACTTTGGGAGGTCGAGGCAGGCGGATCACCTGATGTCAGGAGTTCAAGACCAGCCTGGCCAACATGGCAAAACCTCGTCTCTACTAAAAATATAAAAATTAGCCGGGCATGGTGGCATACGCCTGTAGTCCCAACTACTCAGGAGGCTGGGACAGGAGAATTGCTTGAACCCAAGAGGTGGAGGTTGCAGTGAGCTGAGATCGTGCCACTGCACTCTAGCCTGGGTGACAGAGCCAGACTCCATCTCAAAAAATAAAAAATAAAAATAAAAAATAGTAATGAGGGCCGGGTGCGGAGGCTCACTGCTGTAATCCTAGCACTTTGGGAGGCCGAGGTGGGAGGATTGCTTGAGCCCAGGGGCTCGAGACCAGCCTGGCCAAGATGGCGAAACCCTTTCTCTAAAAAAGAAAAAAATAGTGACAAAAATGTTCCCATGGCGATCACCTGCCTTGGAGGCCGCCTGGTGCTCAGGGCTTTGCACCCATCGTAAGCCTCACAATGCCTGCATTTGAGGCCAGGCACAGTGGCTTACGCCTGTAATCCCAGCACTTTGGGAGGCTGAGGTGGGCGGATCACTTGAGGTCAGGAGTTCAAGACCAACCTGGCCAAAATGATGAAACCCTGTCTCTACCAAAAATATAAAAAATTAGCCAGGCGTGGTGGTGCACACCTGTAATCCCAACTACTCGGGACACTGAGGCAGGAGAATCGCTTGAACCCGGGAGGCAGAGGTTGCAGTGAGCCGAGATTGCACCGCTGCACTCCAGCCTGGGGGACAGAGTGAGACTCCGTCTCAAAAACAAACAAACAAACAAACAAAAAACCAACAACAATGCCTGCATTTGATAGTTGAGGAAACTGAGGCTTGGAGATGGCGAGAGGGTGGGACAGGAGGACCCTGGGGCACAGAGAGGGGAAAAGGCTTGGCCTAGGTCTCAGAGTTTCATTCACAGCGACATGTCAAGTATGAACGCGGCGGGATTGGGGCCTTATTCGCCTGTGCCTCGACCTGGGTCCCACAGTGGGGAATGGCAGTGCTGGCATTCCTCACCAGGTCGGGTGGGCCCCAGGTCCCCGGCCCCTGCCCAATAGCTTGTTCAGTCCTACAGCCGCATAACAGTGGAAACAACCATGGAAAGGTGTGGAGGCCCACAGCCAACTGGCTCCCAGGGCATGTCCCAGGAGTTTTTGGGTCCCCAGAGTGGGTGGGGCCCTGCACCAATCCCCTTGTCCTTATCACAGAGGGTTGTTGCACAAAACTCCTCTGGCCCCAGGCATATGTGCAGCTCACCTTGGGGGACTTCTGGGTGGTTGTTGTTGTTGTTTTGAGAGATGGGGTCTTGCTGTGTCACTCAGGCTAGAGCACAGTGGCACAATCTCGGCTCACTGCAGCCTCAACCTCCCGGGCTCAAGCAATCCTCCCACCTCAGCCTCCCTAGTAGCTGGGACTACAGGAGTGCACTACCACACCTGTTTTTTGTTTTTTTTGTTTTTTTTAATTGAGACGGAGTCTCACTCTGTCACCCAGGCTGGAGTGTAGTGGCGCTATCTTGGCTCACTGCAAGCTCCACCTCCTGGGTTCACGCCATTCTCCTGCCTCAGCCTCCAGAGTAGCTGGGACTACAGGCACCTGCCACCACGTCCGGCTAATTTTTGTATTTTTAGTAGAGATGAGATTTCACCGTGTTAGCCAGGATGGTCTCAATCTCCTGACTTTGTGATCTGCCCGCCTCGGCCTCCCAAAGTCCTGGGATTACAGGCGTGAGCCACCTCGCCCGGCCACACCTGGCTAATTTCTGTGCTGTTTGTAGAGATGGGATTTTGTTATGCTGCCCAGGCTGGTCTTGAACTCCTGGGCTTAAGCGATCCTCCAGCCTCAGTCTCTCGAGTAGCTGGGACCACAGGTGCACACCACCATGCACAGCTAAATTTTTGTACTTTTTCATAGCGACGGGGCCTTGCTATGTTGCCCAGCCTGGTCTCAAACTCCTGGGCTCAGGTGATCTACCTGCCTTGGCCTCCCAGAGTGCTGGGATTACAAGCATGAGCCACTATGCCCGGCCCCTTTGAGCTTTTTTGTGCATTTCACATCATCTTCATTCAGCATGTATTACTTTTGTAATTAAAGAAAAAAAAATCCCAATTAATGTTAGTTTGAAGCAATACATCAGACAGGCCAGGTGCCCCCAGTGAAGAGCAGAGGGCGCAAGTCAGCTGGTTCAGGATTGATGCCTTTCCAGAATGCTCTGTCGCCCAGGCTGGAGTACAGTGGTGTGATCTCAGTTCACTGTGGCCTCTGCCTCCTGGGTTCAAGTGATTCTCCTGCCTCAGCCTCCCCAGTAGCTGGGATTACAGGTGCGCGCACCACCACGCTCAGCTAATTTTTATATTTTTAGTAGAGACGGGGTTTCTCCATGTTGGACAGGCTGGTCTTGAAGTCCTGACCTCAGGTGATCCACCCACCTGGGCCTCCCAAAGTGCTGGGATTACAAGTGTGAGCCACCATGCCCAGCCTCCAGAATCATTTCTGATAATACTAAGGAGATTGGTGTTCAGGTTAAATTAGGTTTAGGGATGAGGGTGGAATTAGGGAAAAGCAGTTTGGATAGGTGAGTGGGAGACAGGAGGGAGGGGAGGGGCAGGTGGAGGGAGCGGAGGGGAGGAAAGGCCCAGTCAAGTATCTGTTGACTTCAGCTGGTTTGGGGGTATTCTGGTTTTTTGATGGAGTTTCTGGAAAATAAGGTTAATCCTCCCAGATAATGGTCTTTGGTGGGGCAAATCCTACCTTATTTGGTTGACTTCTAGAACCACAATGATGGTTTCGATGAGGTTTAGGTCATGTCTATACAGCAGCCAGACACCTGGCCCTGGCCCCACTGGGGGCCTCGTGGCCCATCAGGGCAGCTGATGCTGATGAGGGCTGCACAGATGTGCTGGGGACCGGGCCCCTGCCTTACGTATATACGCATTCTCTTCTCTGAGTCTGTCCAAAGACCCTAAGTGGTCAGTATTAAAAGTTTCATTGGCCAGACGCGGTGGCTCACTCCTGTCATCACAGCACTTTGGGAGGCCGAGGTGGGCGGGCAGATCACGAGATCAGGAGTTCGAGACCAGCCTGGCCAACATGGTGAAACCCTGTCTCTACTAAAAATACAAAAAAATTAGCCGGGCGTGGTGGCGGGCATCTGTAATCCCAGCTACTCAGGATCCTGAGGCGGGAGAATCGCTCGAGCCTGGGAGGCAGAGGTTGCGGTGAGCCGAGACCGCGCCATTCCACTCCAGCCTGGGCTACAGAGCGAGACTCTGTCTCAAAAACAAAACAAAACAAAACAAACACAAAACTTTCACCAAGGCTTGGGTGGGCAGGGCCTGCCCAGGGGATGACCTGGGACCTGGGTGGGAGTCAGGGGGTCCAGGCCCAGATTGGGGAAGGGACTCAGGGATCGGAGGACAGAATTAGTGAGTCCCCCAATCTTTGGCCTGACCCCAGGACAGGGTCCCCCTTCCCATGGAACCCTCCTTCCTGTTTCCAGAACATCCCAGGGCCCCGGGTGGGGGCACTCACTGCATGGCTGCCTCTGGGGGGCTCTCTCAGCACCCATGGCCTTTATGGTTAGCCCAGGACAGAAGTCATCGTTGGGCATGTGCGGAATCAAGGTGAATGATGGTGGCTTTGTCCTTGTTAGTGGTGCCCTTGTTAGATCAGAGATGCCAAGTTCCTGATATTGGGGTCAGAGCAGCTGGGAGGCTGTGAAAGGCAGGTCCCCCTTTCTCAGAAGTGTTTTATTATGGAAACTTTCAAACATCTAAAACCAGAGTGAGCAGGGGATAAACCCAGGTGAATTCATGGCTTCACACAGCCCTTGTCTCACTCACCCTCCCCGCCCTCTCACTGGATTTATTTTAGAGCAAGTCCCAGGCACCATATTGTCTTCTGATTTTTTGGGACTGAGTCTCGTTCTGTCACCCAGGCCGGAGTGCAGTGGCACAATCTCAGCTCACTGCAACCTCCACCTCCTGGGTTCAAGTGGTTCTCCTGCCTCAGCCTCCCGAGGAGCTGCGATTACAGGTACAGGCCACCATGCCCAGCTAATTTTCGTATTTTTAGTAGAGACAGGGTTTCACCATGTTGGCTGGGCTGGTCTCGAACTCCTGACTTCGGGTGATCCCTCCCATCTTGGCCTCCCAAAGTGCTGGGATTACAAGGCTGAGCCACTGCACCTGACCATGTTTTGCTTTTTAAAAACTACAATATCATTATCATATTTTAAGATGGCAGCCATTTCTTTTTTTTTTTTTTTTTTGAGATGGAGTCTCGCTCAGTTGCCCAGGCTGGAGTGCAGTGGCACGATCTCGGCTCACTGCAAGCTCCGGATGGCAGCCATTTCTTAATATCATTAAATCAATGTTCACGTTTCCTGGAATAGCTCATCACTGAAAAACAAAACAAAACAAAACAAAAAAACAGTTTAGGCCGGGCATGGTGGCTGACACCTGCAATCACAGTACTTTGGGAGGCCGAGGTGAGCGGATCACCTGAGGTCAGGAGCTCAAGACCAGCCTGGGCAACATGGTGAAACCCCATCTCTACTAAAAATACAAAAATTAGCCAGGCGTGGTGGCGGGCACCTCTGTAATCCCAGCTACTCAGGAGGCTGAGGCAGGAGAATCACTTGAACCTGGGAGGCAGAGGTCGCTATGAGTTGAGATCATGCCACTCCAGCCTAGGCGACAGAGCGGGACTGCATCTCAAAAAAAAAAGGCCAGGTGTGGTGGCTCATGCCTGTAATCCCAGCACTCTGGGAGGCCGAGACAGGTGGATCACAAGGTCAGGAGATCAAGACCATCCTGGCCAACATGGTAAAACCCTGTCTCTACTAAAAATACGAAAATTAGCTGGGTGTGGTAGTGCACGCCTGTAGTCCCAGCTACTCAGGAGGCTGAGGCAGGAGAATCGCTTGAACCCGGGAGGCAGAGATTGCAGTGAGCCGAGATCACACCACTGCACGCCAGCCTGAGCAACAGAGCAGGACTCTCTGAAAAAAAAAACAACAACAAAACAAAAAACGGTTGGTTTGTCAAGATGCAAATCACAGTCCATATTGCATTTGAGTGACATTGTCTTGGTCAGTAAGTGTCACTATCAGTTCTGTGGATTCAAGGGAACTAGGGTATCTGAGGTGACCCCAGGGCACCAGGCTAGTCCCCATCACGGCAGCGCACCCGGTCTGCTTCTTGCCTCGGGAAACCTTTGGCGTCTGAGAGGGTTCAACCTGATGGTGTCTGGAGGGGAGACGGGACAAGGGCGCCCATGTGGGTCACTGTGTTTGAAGTCACCAGGGCCCTGGTGTGCAGAAGCCAAGGGTGTGGTCCTGTGGGACAGGCAGGGGAACAGCCGGGGTCACTGAAACCTGGCTGGGGGGCTGGCTGCTGTGCAAGAAGCAGACCTCGCTTCCGAGCGTGAGGGCTTTGCTCCCTGGGAGGTTCTGTGGAGAGCCGCTGCCCTGAGTCTGAGGGGCAGATTTTTAAAGCACCCTGACATTTTTGGGGTTTACTGAAAACTTGGGAGCAGTGGTGTGCTGAAGCTGAGTCATACCAGGTCATAAGAGCTGATTTACATTTTCAGGAGTTTTTGCTTTGCAAGCCACTCATTACTAAAAAATAAATTGTATTGATGATTAGTTTTTACTAAAAAAGAATAAAAAGTCATCATTCCCTCATGGTTTGACTACATATTATACTGTTATATGTGCTGGGTTTTTTTTTTTTTTTTTTTTTTTTTTGAGACAGGGTCTCACTTTTGTTACCCAGGCTGGAGTGCAGTGGTACGATCTCGGCTCACTGCAATGTCTGCCTCCCAGGTTCATGTGATCCTCCCACCTCAGCCTCCAAGTATCTGAAACTACAGGCAGGAGCCACTACGCCAGGCTAATTTTTGTATTTTTGTAGAGACGAGGTTTCGCCATGTTGCCCAGGCTGGTCTCAAACTCCAGACCCCAAGTAATCTACTCCCCTTGGCCTCCCCAAAATGTCGGGATTACAGGCATGAGCCACCACACCCAGCCCCCATTTGCCACTCTTATCCCTAAACAGGGGAAAGCAAAGCAGTAAGAGCTGAGATTCACCTTTAAAAGCCTCTGATTCCAAATTTAGTCACCAAATGTGTTGTCTTCATATGAATTAATGAGGAACTTAAGGAAAGGCCATTTGTCAGGACTGGGAAGGAAGCACATCTGTGTATTTTCTTCCTGGAAAGGGAAACTGAAATTACGATGGAGCCATCACCCGCGGTGGCACCCAGTCGGTTGCTGATGCTGCTGCGATCTCGGGATCCCTCCTAGACTCCCCCAGGAGGCCTGTTGGGACCATTTCTCACATGGCTTTGGGGCACAGAGCCTCCTGATTTAATGGAATCACTTGTGTTATTCAGAGTGGGGTGCTCAAGATCCTTTGGGGTATGGGAAGAAAATGCAGAACTTAAAATTTTTTTTTTGAGATGAAGTCTAACTTTGTTGCCCAGGCTGGAGTGCAGTGGCGCGATCTTGGCTCACTGCAACCTCCGCCTCCCAGGTTCAAGTGATTCTCCTGAGTACCTGGGAGTTACAGGCACCCACCACCACGCCGGGCTAATTTTTGTATTATTTATTTACTTATTTGAGACGGAGTCACTCTTTTGCCCAGGCTGGAGTGCAGTGGCTTGATCTCTGCTCACTGTAAGCTCCGCCTCCCGGGTTCATGCCATTCTCCTGCCTCAGTCTCCCGAGTAGCTGGGACTATAGGCGCCTGCCACCACACCCGGCTAATTTTTTTATATTTTTAGTAGAGACAGGGTTTCACCGTGTTAGCCAGGATGGTCTCGATCTCCTAACCTCGTGATCCGCCCACCTTGGCCTCCCAAAGGGCTGGGATTACAGGCATGAGCCACCGTGCCCAGCCCCTAATTTTTGTATTTTTAGAAGATACGGGGTTTCACCATGTTGGCCAGGCTGGTCTCAAACTCCTGACCTCAGGTGATCCACCCGCCTCGGCCTCCCAAAGCTGGAATTTATTTTAAAAATATAACTATAAGAAAGCAATTAAGCTTTGCTAATGGTTAATATACAAAATAGGAAATAATATGCAAAATAATAGGAAAAATATACATGTACACTTTGGAAATACATGCTCAAATTTTCTCATCATGATTGTGTGGCCCCTGCCAACGACCTTGTGGGCATTTTTTGGTACCTCCAGCACCAGATCAGGATCAGCTCTAAAAATGGATGCTGAACGCACAAATGTAGGTAAAATGCAAACTGCTTCCTACCTCCTAAGGGGACTCAAGGCCTCCCTTCCGGCAGAGGGGACAATATGAGTCAAGGCCTATGAACTGCAGGAAAAGGTCCCTGCTGTAGGTGACAGCTTTCAGAGAGAAGTAGCTGGGTTGTGGGGTCTTCCTCTGGTTTACTGCTCCCACCACACACACCCATGGTTTCTACTTAGACACAACTCTTGTCCTCCAGAGCCCAAGATGGTGCAAGGAAATTTTATTTATTTATTTGAGACGAAGTTTCGCTTTTGTTGCCTAGGCTGGAGTGCAATGGCATGATCTCGGCTCACTGCAACCTCCACCTCTCGGGTTCAAGCGATTCTCCTGCCACAGCCTCCCGAGTAGCTGGGATTACAGGCGCCCGCCACTTAACTAGCCACCAGCTCATGTTTGTATTTTTGGTAGAGATGGGATTTCTCCATGTTGGCCATGCTGGTCTCGAACTCCTGACCTCAGGTGTTCTGCCAGCCTTGGCCTCCCAAAGTGCTGGGATTACAGGTGTGAGCCACCGCACCTGGCCGGTCCAAGGAAATAATGACTCATGATCATGACTTCGGGAGACTTTTGGAACCTGGGCCATGAATCTCCCAAGTGTTGCCCACAGACTGAGATGGAACAGGCAGCAGGAGGCCAAAGGGGTACACTCCACTCCCCACAGCCCAGGAGATCTGAGTGCTTAGGACCATTCCAGTCCATAGAGCGAGGCTGGAGGGTGGAGGAAGAGCATTGGGCCCGTGTCTTTAGCCCCAGGTGACAGGAAGGAATGCTGCCCATGACATCTGTAACCACTGGAATAGCGCCTTAGGGATGGTACTAGATGACTTAACATGTGTGTATATTTTTTGAGACAGAGTCTTGCTCTGTCGCCCAGGCTGGAGTGCAGTGGTGTGATCATGGCTCACTGCAGCCTCAAAGGCCTGGGCTTAAATGATCCTTCCATCTCAGCCTCCCAGGTAGCTGGGACCACAGTTGCGTGCCACCACGCACAACCAAACTTTTTTGTAGTTTTTATAGAGACGGGGTTTCACCATGTTGCCCAGGCTGGTCTTGAATCCCTGACCTCAAGTGATCTGCCCATCTTGGCCTCCCAAAGTGCTGGGATTACAGGTGTGAGCCACCTCGCCCAGCCATATTTGTGTATATTCTACGACATAACTGTCACAAAACACCTGGAGCCCACTCCCCGTGGCGGCTTCACTCGTGTGTTCCTCTTCTACCACTAGCACCACCCCTTCCTGGAGCAAACCACGATTTGCATTTGTCTATTACTCTGTCTCATCAAACAAAAGCTGCTTCATCGCATACCCCTATGTCTATGCAAGCACTACTTCATTTGCTTGCCTGTGCGTTTCATGTGAATGGCACCCCTGCAGAGTCTCCTGGAACCTGCTCTTTTTACTCAGCTTTCTCCTCCTAACATTTATCCATATTAACAGCAGCTGTTTTGGTTTCACAATACATTTATTTAGAAAAGCAACATACAGTAATAGGTATTTCAGAGAATTCAGCAAAGTATAAAGACAAATACAAAAGATGCTTGGGATACAACCGCTAGCTTCTGCCTTCCACACACAGTGGATTTTACTGTAACTGACTAGAGTTACTCTGGTGCCACTAAGTTCCGAGCCAAGTCTACGGCCACCACTGGAAGCTGTGGCTATTTCTGTGGACTGACGTTACACTGGGCTTCATTGTTCTTTCATTTAACAAATGTGACAGGGACCGGGCTGGGGACACACGGGGAACGACAGTGGGTCTCTGCCCATGGGAACTCACAATCTAACAGCGAGACGAGGCACAAACGGCTAGCACAGGATAGCATAACAAGTGCCACCCAAGGTACAGGCTCAGGGTGCTACGGGGACCTGCAAGAAGGCCACCTGAGCTTCGGGTAGCTGGGAAGGCTTCCTGGAGGAGGTGAGGCCCAAGGTGGGGGTGAGCCTGGGCCAGGCAAAAGGCAGGCCTCTCGGCGCCCATCTGTGGTTCCTCAACACCCTGTGTGTGCAGGCCCCTCAGCTGACCTGTCTTCTGTGAAATTCTTGATCCCGCTCTGTTCTATTCACACTGTGCTGCTTTGCCTTGGTGGTTAGCATGGTTAGCTTTCACAAGCACAAGCTCACACTCGAAAACTAGGCTGCTGTCTCCTGGGAGTTTCTTTTTTTTTTTTTTTTTTTTTGAGACAGAGTCTCTGTTGCCTAGGCTGGAGTGCAGTGGTGTGATCTTGGTTCACTGCAACACCTCCTGGGTTCAAGTGATTCTCCTGCCTCAGCCTCCCGAGTAGCTGAGATTGAGATCACAGGCGTCCACCACACCTGACTAATTTTTGTATTTTTAGTAGAGACGGGGTTTCACCATGTTGGCCAGGCTGGTCTCGAACTCCTGACCTCAAGTCATCTGCCCGCCTTGGCCACCCAAAGTGCTGAGATTACAGGGGTGAGCCACTGCGCCCTGACTTGGAGGTTCTCTTACATTTGGTATTTTTTCATGACACCTATGACTATGCTTTGGAGAGAGTGGCTGCCCCCACGACCCTGGCTGGGACCAAGACCATCAGCACTTCTCCATCACCAGGCTGAGCCAGGATGAGGTGGGTGGTCGCAGTAGGTGAAAAGGGGCCAAAGATACTCAAATGAAAGCCACAGAAGCCACACCCATGAGGCTGCTGCCTGGGCAGAAGGCCCAGAATACCCTCCTAAATGGAAAAACGCAAAGCACACAGCGATCATGTCAAGGGCAGTCATGTGAAAGAAAGAAACAAACAAACAAGTATCTTGCCACAACCCCAAACTACAGACAACAGGGCGCATTCCCCTCATGAACTCCCTAGGGACCTGCGGGCCCCAGGGCTGCTGTCGCTCAGTCAAAGGTGATCCGGAAGCTGCGCTCCTGCTCCTTGCGCCGGCCCTCGCACACCTTGGTCACCTCCTCCACCTTCCTCTGCAGCAGGGCCGAGTTCTGGTCGATCCACTGCAGTGAGTCCATGTGCGCATTGAGGATCTTGCAGATCTGCTGCAGTGGGTCACTGGTGTCGGCGGGGGCCCCGGACGTGTTCAGGTGCTCGATGATGTCCTTGAGATCCTGGGCCATGCGCTTGAGCTGTGCATCGATGTTCTCAGCCAGCTTGTAGGTTTTCTCACGCTCCTCATCCGCGTGCTGCAGGTAGATGGTCCCGCTCTGCTCCTTGACCAACTCCTCCAGTGGGCTCAGCAGGTCTTCCAGCTCCTTCTGCTGGGACAGGATGAAGTCGAGCTCCTGGTCCAGCCTCTTCTGGTCCAGCTTCACCTTCTCCACCTCGCGGTGCAGGCTGGTGATCTTTTCTCCATTCTCGATCAGCGTGCGGTCCCAGGCGTTGACCTGGGTGGCCTGCTGGAGGAAGTGCCGCTCCTGGTCCTCTAGCTCCAGGCTCCATTTGTTGATCAGGCTCTCCAGCTGCGCGTAGGTCATGGCGGAGCTGGCAGCCGCCCCTGCAGCTGCGCCAGGGCCAGGTGGAGCGGTCACGGCAGCTGCTGTATTGCTGGGGATCCCGGCTGGCGCCAGTGGTTTTAAATTCAAGGCAAAGCCGGTGGTGCTGCTGCTGCTGGTGGTGGTGGCGGTGGCGGTGGCAGCGGTGGATGTTGTTGTGGAGGTGCCGGAAGCTGCTCCAGGTGCCTTTAAGCTGAAGCCCTGTGTCCCAGCAGTGGGGGCGCCCGCTGTGGTCACAGGGGTACAGAGGGAGAGTCCAGTGGTGGCAGATGAGGTTGGAGCAGTTGCTATTGACGCAAAGAGGCTGGGCCCAGTGCTGGTGATGGTGGCTGTGGGTGTGGGAGCAGCTGGCTGTGTGGCACCTGCTGTGGTGGCTGCTGGCGTGGCCGGAGTGAAGGGCAACGTGGCAGGTGCCGTGGGCTGGGCTGAATTCCCTGCTGAGCCAATGTTGAAACCGGAGGGTTGGGCCGTGCTTCCACCAGTGAATGAGAAGCCTCCAGATGTGGTAGCTGGAGCCACAGAGGTGGTGGAGGGGCCAAACACAAAGCCGGTGGGTGCTGTGCCCTGGCTGGAGGTGACGGTGCTCGATATGGCATTAGTGAGGTTGCTGCTGCCCAGCCCAAAGCCGCTGGGGTTTGCCATGGCTGGGGTGGCAGCTGTGTTGCTCAAGTTGAGCTTTGAAGCACCGATCCCCAAAGAAAATCCAGTTCCCCCCGAAGCAAGAGTCGCTGTTCCAAAAGTGAAGCCTGTCGTCTGTGTGGCCGGAGTCTGGGTGGCAAGTGAGAACAGGCCGGTGGAAGGGGTACTTGTGGCTGGTTGGAAGGGAGCCCCAAAATTAAACCCTCCAGTGCCAGAGGTGGAGAAAGAAAACCCTGTAGCAGGTGTGGTTGTTGCCGTCTTTGCAGTGCCAAACGTGAACCCGCCTGTAGGGGCCCCAGTGCCTCCAAAATTAAACCCGCTCATGGCTCCGGACTCTGGTGGCGGCAGCTACTCTGGCTCCCAAAGCAAATCCGTCGGTGTCTGCAGCCTTGGGAAGATTTCTAAAGCAGAGGAAGTGACATTGTCAGATGGCAGTTTTGGAAAGGCAAGCTCAGTGGCATGACTGGGCACAGTCGGTTTGGAGGGTGGTGGGATGGGATAATGATGCATGCTGTGTAACCTAAACTAGGCTCTGCTACATCGAGAAGGATCCAGAAGCACAAAAGCACGCCCCAGGGGTCAGGTACGAGGAGCCGGGGTGCTAGGGACGTGCGTGGCCATGTTCAGCCCAGTGGAAAGCTCCCACTCTGTGGAGGACGAGGCGGGAGAACAGGACCTTGGACCCACCTCAGCCTGAGGAGATCAGATTTGAGGCACTGCCACAAGCGGGACTAGGACACACAAGAACAGCTGTAGGACCTGCTCCCAGCGTGGGACCCAGTGAGGTTCCCTGGCTGACTCTAGCAGGGTGTGAGCGGATCAGCTCTTGCCACCCTGAGGGCCTCTCTGGACCTCAGAGAGAGAGATGGGGCCGGGAACCCAGGCTGGATGGCAGGGTCTGGGTTGCTGAAGGCCCCCCAGGCCCACACCTGCACTCTCTAAGAGCAGGAGAGGACACTGGAACTCCTCCTCCTAACTCAGGGGAGGGTCTGAAACCCATGTGCTCAGAGCACAGATGCCCCTGGCTGCAGTGATTGGCTCAAGGATAAACTGAGACCTGAGCCAGGCAATCGGAGCCTCCCCTGGGGTTTTCTCCAGGCTTGGAAGGCAGCTGCCTCCTTCACCTGTAGGTGTGGTGTGGAGGATTGCACCTGGGCCTCCCTTGGACACCTTCTCAACCATCTGCAGACACTGGGACATCACGGGAGACCATGAGCCCCACCAGAGATGGGTGGGGGTGGGGGTGGGGGAGGGATAAAGAGCACCCCAGAAGACCCATGGGCCACAGTATTTCCATTCAGTTCAAACTGACTTGATTTTGGTAATGTCTAACTGAAAAATCTCCCAGTGGTGCCATCTATCAGCAGGAAGGTCAAAGGTTACCTGGTGAGGAAAGGGTGAGAGGGAGTGCTGAATAGGGGTGGTTTCTTTTTCTTTTGGGAAAGGGTTTTTTTCTGTCATACTAGCTGGAATGCAGTGACATGATCACAACTCACTGCAGCCTCAACCTCCTGGACCCAAGTGATCCTCCCACCTCAGCCTCCCAGAGTAGCTAGGACTACAGGTGCATGCCACCATGCGTGGATAATCTTTTTTATTTTTTGTGGAAATGGGATCTCACTCTGTTGCCCTGGTCTTCAACTCCTGGGCTCAAGCGATCCTCCCTCTTTGTCCTCTCAAAGTGCCAGGACTACAGGCGTGAGCCCTAAAGATGATCAGCAGTATCCTTAGAAGACGGATTTGACTGACTGGAGAAGGGAAGAAAGCTTGTGGTGACACGAGCAGACTGGAGTGATGCGCTTTGGAATCTGAAGATGTGAGAAAGCCAGGAGCCAAGGAAGGCAGAAGCAGCTCTAAAAGCTGGAAATGGAAAGAGGGAGGCCCTGTCTCAAAAAAACAAAAGAATAATCAAAGTCAAGACTGAGAAGCCAAGTGCCTGACCCAGAGAAACACCCACGAGGTCTGTTTCCTCTTCCCTCTCTCCAGGCCAGTTTTTAAATTGCTTGGTGTCTGTCCTCAGGAAATCCCCTTCCAGCTTGAGTAAGAGGCAACCTATCTCACTACCCCCACCCCTTCCACTGCACCCTTCTGCTTCCTCACAGGCCCCTAAGTTTTGTTTCGTCTGCTCCTCCTTCTCCACACAGCCAAGCAAGCCTGGGGAGATGACCCCAGGGCCAGCTGCACACGCTCTGCCTTGTCTAAGCCAGTAGATCTCAATGGGCGTCCATCACTACTGACTGGGAGCATTCAAAATACACAAGGCTGTTAGCTCCACTAAGCCAGTCTCTCCGGGGCTGGGATGCTGTGGCCCTGGCATTTTCATAAAGCTTTCCTGGGGGATTCTGAGAAAGGTCTCTTCAAGAGGCCACGGCAAGTGCCTGAGCCCCCAGGACTGCTGGGGCCTGGCCCGGCCTACATCCATTCCTCCCGTTGTGGGACAGAACAAAAGTCCTCACTGCTGAGCCACCTCAAGCCGGTGTGTTGTTACTGGCAGCTAAAGGCATCTGAGCAGCTACACCTACACATCTCAGTTCTCAAGAACTCAGCTTAAAAAAGCTTTTGCTATTAATAAGTTGTAGCTAAAATTTCCAAGAAGAGCATTTATAAAAAGCTCTTTGCAACTATGAAAAAACTACAAGGAAAACAATCTTCTATGGGGACTTGTCTGGCTTAACAGTTCACCTTTTTTTTTTTTTTTTTTTTGAGACGGGAGTCTCGCTCTGTTGCCCAGGCTGGAGTGGAATGGCATGATCTCGGCTCACTGCAACCTCCGCTTCCCGGGTTCAAGCGATTCTCTCGCCTCAGCTTCCAAGTAGCTGGGATTACAGGCGCATGCCACCACGCCCGGCTAATTTTTGTATTTTTAGTAGAGATGGGGTTTCTCCATGTTGGCCAGGCTGGTCTTGAACTCCTGACCTCAGGTGATCCGCTTGCCTCGGCCTCCCAAAGTGTTGGGATTACAGGCATGAGCCACTGCGCCCGGCCAACAGTTCACCATTTATTAAGTGCCACATTGGTTTCCAATACTCAGGTGCCAGGGATCTATTCACAATGGTGAACCCATACTGATCCAGCCCTGATCCACGCAGTTTAGATATGGCCAGGTGAGGTGGCTCACGCCTGTAATCCCAGCACTTTGGGAGGCTGAGGTGGGGGGATCGCTTGAGCCCAGGAACTCGAGAACAGCCTGGCCAACATAGCGAGATGCTGTCTCTACACAAAAAACACAAAAATGAGTTGGCCGTGGTGGCAGGCGCCTGTAGTCGCAGCTACCTGGGAGGCTGAGATGGGAGGATCACTGGAGCCCAGGGAGGTGGAGGCTGCAGTGAGCTGTGATTGTGCCACTCACTCCAGCCTGGGCAACAGAGTGAGACCCCATCTAAAAAAGAAAGAAAGGAGACCTACCATTACTCACCGTTTCCTCAAAGCAAACTTTGGGGCAGATCCACTTGACAAATGAGGAAAGTGAAGCCCAGAGTGGCTGGTTAAGCCACGGTCCCTGCCCTCAAGGCAGCCAGAGTCAAATGTCAGCTCTACAACCAGGGCTCAGGGCAGGCACAGGGCCGGGCCACATGCTGTGGGAGCAGGTTCCAGGGAGAAGCTGAGCGTTGCAGATGCAGCATCAGCCAGGGAAAGGATGGCGGGGGAGAGGCGCCGTCCACGCGGGAGGAAAGGCCTGTGTGAAGACAGGGAGGCCCACACAGCAGACATGCCTCTGGGTGCTAAGTGATCTGGTGCTTCTGAAGGGAGATGTTTATGTGTGAAGGAGTGACTTGGCAAGCCTGGGCTGTTCAAATCTGCACATTCCAAAGAGAGAAAATGGCCCTTGACCAGCTCCAGGAGAATCTCTATGTTCTTGAAATGTGCTGCCAGATAAGAGCGCCTTTGTTTACCTGGGGCCCCAGGCCACTCTAGAGAGTCCATGTTGACGCTGTGACCTAGAGTGGGGGCTTTGGGTCATACAGTATCAGCACGACCTCTGGAGGGGCTGGAGTCAGCAGACCTCAGTTCAGCCACACGGGTGCGCCATGTCCTCCCCACAACCCGGGCCGCCACTGCTCCGTAAGCGTTACCACACGCTGTTGCAGGGAGAACTGAGCACTGTCCGCGGGACTCTCTCTACCTGCAGAGGAGAGCTGGAAGCTCGTGCCTGGTCTCCCTTGGGGCTTTTGCATCTCTCCCCTTTGCTGTTTTCAGTCTGTATCATTTCTCCATAATAAACCGTGACCGTGACTGTGAGTAGAAAGCTTTGCTGAGCTCTGTGAGTCTTAGCTCATCACTGAGCCGCAGGGTGGTCTTGGGGACTGTGGGCCACGTGACAGGCGGGAGAATCTGGCAGACCCATACATACCATGCTAACGGTTCGGGCGTTATATTGAGGGAGCCACAGGCGGACTTTATGGGTGTGGGGGATGAACCGTAGGGGTAGAGGCTGGAGGCCAGGTGGCTTAGAGAAGACTGGGAGAAGGTCCAGGCCAAGAGCCTGAGGCCCGAACTGGAACTCAGAGAGGACAGCATCACAATTTGAGCAAAGTGTTAAATTTGCACCAAAACCACAGGGTCTGTCCAGGTTAACAGTGACAGGCCAGGCATGATGGCTCACACCTGTAATCCCAGTACTTTCGGAGGCCAAGGCAGGAGGATTGCTTAAGCCCAGGAGTTTGAGGCAAAAAACAAAAAACAAAAAGCCACAAATACTAGAACTTGGGAAGTTTCTCACAAATGCAAACTATTACGAGCTCTGATCCCGGAATTACCACATTTGCCAAAGGGGAGAGTTTCCTTACCAAAGAAGCTGATGGTGCTGGTGGCGGTGGAGGAAGCAGGGAGGAACCCAAACTGAGGGAGTGTTGCATTTCCAGGGAAAGGAGGAGGGTATGCCTGGGCCTGTGCTCAGGGCTGGGTGGCTGTGACCATCTGTAGTTCACCCAGGCAGGACACAGCTCCAGAGAAGCGCTGCCTTGAGGTCACCAAGGAAAGTGCTGGCAGAGCCGCCAGTCCCTTCCCTTCCTGCCTGCCTGCCCCAACATTTACCCTTGAGTTTCAAACAACACGGCCGCCTTCACAGCCCTGGGAACCCGGAGGAAGACCCGCTTGGGATTCAGATGCGGAATCATCTGAATTCAGGTGGGCATATCCCACCCCCATCTGTGAGAACCAGGGTTCTTTGCTGTCACCCCAGCCTTCGGTCAGCTCTACTACCTTACCTCCATCTGTGATTCTTGTGCCACTCCAAGTCCCAGTTTTTTTTTTTTTTTTTTTTTTTTTTTTTTTGAGATGGAGTCTTGCTCTGCCACCCAGGCTGGAGTGTGGTGGTGCGATCTTGGCTCACTACAACCTCCGCCTCCCGGGTTCAAGCAATTCTCCCACCTCAGCCTCCCGAGTAGCTGGGATTACAGGCGTGCACCACCATGCCCAGCTAATTTTTGTATTTTTAGTAGAGACGGGGTTTCACCATGTTAGCCGGGCTGGTCTTGAACTCCTGACCTCAGGTGATCTGCCCACCTTGGCCTCCTAAAGTGCTGTGATTACAGGAGTGAGCCACTGTGCCCGGCCCCCAACCCCTTTCCTTAGATGCCTGGGACAGGAGTCTGTGCCTGGGAAAGAATACAGGAGACCTCAGCTTTGGACCAAAAGGAAAGGAAGAATTAGGAAGGATGTGTGCTATGTGTGTGGGGGGGTAGACAGAAAAACGGCCCCCAAACATGCCCACACTCTGATCCAGGACCCTGTCAATGTGACCTTACATGGCAAAGGGACTTTGCAGATGTGATGAAGATAAAGAGGTTACCCTGGCTTATCCACGTGAGCCCCAGGTGACCACAGGGGTTCTTCAGGGAGGCAGGAGTCAGAGGGAGATGTGCCTATGGAAGAATGGACTGAGAGACACTGTGCTGCTGGCTTTGAAGATGAGGGGGCCACAAGCCAAGGAACACAGGCGGCTTCGGCCTCTAGAGCTAAAGAAGGACATAGCCTCTCCCCTAGAGTTTCCCAGAGGAACTACACACCATGCACCCATTTAGACTCTGGACCCCCAGCACTGTGAAAATACATTCGTGTTGCTTTAAACCACTACATTTGTGATGACTTGTTACAGCAGCCACTAGAAACCAATGGCGGTAGGTTGAGGGACGATGGAGAAAGAACAGAATGAAATCTAGATAGGTGGATGGGAATACACAGAGCAGAGCTGGGGTTGAGAAAGGGGCTGGGGTCAGGGGCAGGTCTGCCCTTGTGCATGGAGACCAAGGCGGCTGGTACAGAAAGGAAAGTGAGGTGTGATTCTGAAAATCCAGACATCCCCTGGTGCTGGGGCAACCCTGCCAGGACTGTGGATGTGTGTGGGTGGATTGCCACTGACACCCAGCCACGATAGGCCATCTATGATGGGAGGGAAGGACAAGGTTGCCTCCGAACACAGAGGAAGGCTAACGGTGGGGATGGTGTCGGCTCCACTGGGCCAGATTTCCGTTTGTTCCCTGCTGTATTCGCAGCACCTGCAGCAGTGCCTGGTACACAGTAGGGACTCAGTAACAACCATTTACTAGGGACCTACTGTGTAACCGGCACCGTGCCAGAGCACTGCACTGCAGCACACCGAGCCCTTCCTGGGTGGGAAACAAGTGCAGACTCCCCAAGGCCACCCAGCAAACAGCAGACCCATGATGGGAAACCAGAGCTTTCCAGGGCCAAGTCTTGACATTCTGCCTGGGACGGGAGAGTTTCATTGAGGAAAAGATGTTAGAATTAAGTGTTGGCCAAGTGTGGTGGCTCACATCTGTAATCTCAGCACTTTGGGAGGCTGAGGTGGGTGGATCACCTGAGGTCAGGAGTTCGAGACTAGCCTGGCCAACATGGTGTATCTTTTGTATTTTTTTTTTTTTTTTTGAGACGGAGTCTCGCTCTGTCGCCCAGGCTGGAGTGCAGTGGCGGGATCTTGGCTCACTGCAAGCTCCGCCTCCCGGTATCTTTTGTATTTTTGTATCTCTACTAAAAATACAAAAATTAGGCCAGGCGCGGTGGCTCACGCCTGTAATCCCAGCACTTTGGAAGGCCGAGGCGGGCGGATCACTAGGTCAGGAGATCCAGACCATGGTGAAACCCCGTCTGCACTAAAAATACAAAAAAAAATTAGCCAGGCGTGGTGGTGGGTGCCCGTAGTCCCAGCTACTCGGGAGGCTGAGGCAGGAGAATGGCATCAACCCGGGAGGCGGAGCTTGCAGTAAGCCGAGATCACACCACTGCACTCCAGCCTGGGAGACAGAGCGAGACTCCGTCTCAAAAACAAAAAAACAAAAATTAGCCTGGCATGGTGGCGTGTGCCTGTGATCCCAGATAGAGGTGGGAGGATGACTTGAGCCCAGGAGTTTGAGGCTGCAGTGAGCTGTGATCATGCCACCATACTTCAGCCTGGGCGGCTGAGCGAGACCCCGTCTCAAACAAATAAAAAAGTTCTGGGAGGCACTTGAACAAAGGCCCATGGCATTCGGCTGACAGCCACCTGGTGGCACTGCTGACAACGCAGAGCCCAGATGCAAGACGGACAGGGTGCGGAGCTGTCTCCGTGGGACCTCCCCTTTCCCCATGGAATTCGTTATTTCAGATTTGGGGGAAGTATGACCGGTGGAACCAGAGAGACCAGAACAGGGCAGAAAAGAGCAGAGAGTGAGGGAGTGGAGAGGAGAGAAACAAGGGGAGATCAGAGATGGGCTGGGCTCAGCCCAGGGAAATTTGATTCCTGCTGAGGCTCAGACGCCGTCCTCCAACACTGCCTTCCCTCACTTGCCCTCCCGTGGGAACCTCTGGCCAGGACCATCTCCATGAGTGCTAGTGCTGGGATTCTCCGTCTGCAAACTCCACAAGTCTAACTACTCTGCTTCTTAACCGTCTCCTGAATCAGTTCCTCTTTCCTTTGCGTCAAAGAAAATCCCCCTAAACCTTGAATAACAGATCAGCTCCAAGTCTGCCCTTCAAGAACTGAAGTCAACTGACCAACACCTTCCTAAGTGGACCTTAGCCAAGGCAGATGCTCAAGCGGTCCAGGCCAAATGGCCAGACCAGAGTGCCTTGGGAGCATGAGACCATGAGTGGGTCAGGGTCTGGGTTATGTTGGGAAAGACTCACCGAGACTCTGTGTGGGAGGAGTGAGGAGACTGTTGCAGTCGCCTGGCGGGAGCTGGCGGTGGCCTGGGCTTTCCTGTCCTGCTCTCTTACATAACTACCCTGCCTGGGGTATGGCCAACCCCATTGGTAGAAAACAGAGTGGGCCAGGGATGGTGGCTCGCGCCTGTAATCCCAGTACTCTGGCAGGCCGAGGTGGGTGGATTACCTGAGGTCAGGAGTTCGAGACCAAGCTGACCAACATGGTGAAACCCCCGTCTCTACTAAAAATATAAAAATTAGCCAGGTGTGGTGGTGTGTGCCTGTAATCCCAGCTACTCGAGAGGCTGAGGCGGAGGTTGCAGTGAGCCGAGATCGCACTACTGCACTCCAGCCTGGGTGACAGAGCGAGACTCTGTCTAAAACAAACAGACACACAAAACAAACAAACAAACAAAAACCCAAAGCCATGGAGAGGGTCTGCTTTCCTTTTTCTTTTTTTTTTTTTGAGACAGAGTCTCACTCTGTCATCCAGTGCAGTGGTATAATCACAGCTCACTGCAGCCTCGACTTTCTGGGCTCAAATGATTCTCCTGCCCTAGCCTCCCGTTAGCTGGGACTACAGGCATACGCCGCCATGCCCAGCTAATATTCGATTTTTTGTAGAGATGGGGTCTCACTATGTTGCCCAGGCTGGTCTCCAACTCCTGGGCTGAAGCCATCCTCCCACCTCTGCCTCCCAAAGTGCCAAGATTACAGGCACGAGCCACCACGTCCAGCGAGGGTTGCTTTTCTAAGCCAAATCTGTGACATGGAAGAGCTCCCCTCTCCCACCCCTATATGTTCACCTCCACCAAAAGGCCACCTCTCCTCCACAGAACCAGGTATCCCCAATAGTAGGGAGGGAGGAAGGGACAGGGATACCTGTGGGTTTTCAACTGTCCTCTCTCTCTCCTCCTTAGGTCACCTGGCATTCTGGTCCCATTTTCCTCCCTGATGCCTTTCAACCTACAGGCATAACCGACTTGCATTAAGGACCTGTGTGGAGACAAAGGAACAGGGTGTGTGTGGCTGTGTGTCTGTCAGCTCCTCGGGGGAGAAGCTGTGATGGATCAAGCTGTCTTCCCCAGGCTGTCACTGGAACTTTTACTGCATGTTCAGATGTTTCAATGCCTAAATGTTCCCGTGTGCTCACTACCCAGGAGGCCGCACCACCCTGCCACAACCCAGTGACATTGGTGGGCATTTAAAGACATAAAAGCTAGGCCGGGCGCAGTGGCTCACGCCTGCAATCCCAGCACTTTGGGAGGCTGGGGGGGGGGGGGCGGGGTGTGGGGGGGCGGATCACCTGAGGTCGGGAGTTTGAGACCAGCCTGACCAACATGGAGAAACCCCATCTCTACAAAAAAAAATTACAAAATTAGCCAGGTATGGTGGTGCATGCCTGTAATCCCAGCTACTCGGGAGGCTGAGGCAGGAGAATTGCTTGAACCTGGGAGGCGGAGGTTGCAGTGAGCCGAGATCACACCACTGCACTCCAGCCTGGGCAACAAGAGTGAAACTCGGTCTCAAAAAAACAAACTAACTCATTTTGTGAATAGGTAGTATGTTCACATTGTTGTAGCTCAAAAGGTACAAAAGGGAATAGTGTGGCCTGTCTTCCCTGAGTCCCACAGCCTCCCAGCCCTGCTCCCTGGAGACAGGCTGCTGTTGCACATCTTTGCAGAGACTTGCTGTGCGTTTAAACAAAAGCGTGGTTGGCACTATCCCCACCTGCACACAAAAGGCCGCCTGCTACATGCACTGTTCTCTACTGTTCTTTATGTATCTTAGAAATCGTTTTAAGCAGGCTTATTCTCCTCACCCGGGTAGATGAGGAAACCGAGGCCCTCAGAGGGGGCGACTTGCCCAGGGTACCAAAATCCTGCCTCTGCCACTTGCTACACAGGATGGCCTCAAGGCAGTAGCTAAATGATTTGTGGATTCACTGATTTTCAACCTTCTCTCCTGCTTTCCCCTGAAGTCACCTGACGGCTAATTAGCAGCTACTTTCTCCTTCCCACTCCCCAGGCCCAGAAGCTACCAAAGGAGCTCTGGTCGCAGGACCAACAGCAATTTTCCCCACAGGAAAAACGAATCAGCTAAGACAACCATGGAAAAGTTAGGAAACAGCCAGAGAGAGATTTTAAGGAAGATTCTAGAACCACCGCTTGCTCTTAATATAAAAGGACTGGAAGAGATTTGAGGAATACTCTGGTGCCAAGGCTTCTTCCTTTTTGGCCAATAACTTTTATTTCTTACTCTTGTATTGAAAGTTTTTTCCCCTCTACCTACTGCATTAAAAAAAAATTTTTTTTTTTCTAAGACAAGGTCTCACTCTGTCTCCCAGGCTGGAGTGCAGTGGTGCAATCACGCTCATAGCCTCAACCTCCCGGGCTCCAGTGGGCCTCCCACCTCAGCCTCCCTAATAGCTGGGATTACACATGTGTGCCACCACACCAGCTAATTTTTTTTTTTTGAGACGGAGTCTCACTCTGTCATCAGGCTGGAGTGCAGTGGCGTGATCTCAGCTCATCGCAACCTCTGCCTCCCGGGTTCAAGCTATTCTCCTGCCTCAGCCTCCCAAGTAGCTGGGACTACAGGCGCGTGCCACCACACCCAGCTAACTTTTGTATTTTTAGTAGAGACGGGGTTTCGCCATGTTGGCCAGGATGGTATGAATCTCTCGACCTTGAGATCCGCCCACCTCGGTCTCCCAAGGTGCTGGGATTACAGGCGTGAGCCACCATGCCCGGCCTAGGAGTTTCTTTTTAGCGTGATGAAAATGTTCTAAAATTGACTGTGGTGATGGCTGCACAACTCTGTCAACGTACTAAAGCCACTAAGTTGGACACTGATAAATGGATATGGATTATACAGTATCTCAATAAAGCCACTCAACCAACCAACCGACCAACCAACCAACCAGGGGGTGCTGGGAAGGGGTTGAGAGGCCTCCATGAGGCTGTGGAGGCGGATAGGCGTCAGGCTCAGAGCTGACTTTACCCCGAGGGCAACGGCTCGGGCAGAGTTTCTAAGGGCAGGCCCATGCCTTCCTTGGGGTGGCCGGTAATGCTGGTTGAGAACAGGCTGGGGAAGAGCCTAGAGCTGAAACGCTCTGGTTGGCGGTGCAGGCACAGGACATCAAGGCCTGGAGAGGGACTGAGGCATCAGGGCTGAGGGACTCTGAGAGCAGCGGACAGGCGTGTGTGGCGGGGGAGGAACGGCGCACACCTGTGCCCCATCCGCAGCCCCTCTTCTTGTCAACATCAGCTTCCCCGGGGAGAGGCAGTGATGTTGGTGGGGGAAGGAGGGAAGGGCCCAGGCCGGGCTGTGGTGGAGACGGTTGCTATGGAGGTTTCTCTGGGAACCAGGTGAAGGCAGCCAGAAGATGGGGGCAGGGTGGCTTTCATTATGAGAACTGGAAGCAAACACAGCCCCTTCCTGCCTCGGCGGACATCTCCACACCCACATTTCATGGCATTTCTCACGCGCTGGGCTGTTTCCAGGGCTTCACCTGTTCTCACTCACTTAACTTTCCCCCAGCAATGTGACGAAGCGAAACTATCATGGCTCCCATTTATAAATGAGCAAACTGAGAAAGGGGAGAGGACTTCAGTCACCTGCGTAAAGTCCCACAACCAGTAAGGGCTGGCCCAGGTGTCTGGCCCCACAGCTGAGCTCCTAACCGCACCGAGCCTCTCCAAAACATGGTCTTTTTTTGCTCCCCACTGCCACCACCATCACCGTCCCCTGCCTCATCCAGTCCCCCTTCCCATTCTCCAGAGACTTCCTGGGCCATCTCCATGACCTTCCAGACCAGCCTGGGCTTCACTCTCAAATCCAATTCAGGATGATCCGCCCGCCCCAGCTGCAGACGATGGCCTGAGACGCCTGCAGGGAAGAGAGGGGCGTCCGCTGCTCGCCAACCCCCATACGTTCCTGCTCTGTGGTAGGTCAGGAAGAAGAGGGCAAAGGAGTCTGCATCAAACTGGGCTAAGGCCTGGCGCTCTGATGGCCGCTGACCTCAAAACTCTCCATGGGGGGTACCCCTCTGCCCATTGAGGGGGCACCTAGGGAGCCTAGGGGTCCCGTGAGGCCCTCCCACCATGGTTCCCCGCCTCTGCCTCTCCCCGCAGCTCCGACCATGACCATCCATCCTATGAGTGCTGGCTGGGCTCAAGCCCGGGTACTTTCCTCCGTGCCCAAGCAACCCTGTAGGAACCACATATCCTGGGCCAGACGAATGCAGGAGCTGCCTCCTCTGGACACAGCGGTGGCTCTCACCTCCCTTCCATCTTGGCAGGATGAGTGCATTTGCTGCGAGAAAGCAGCCCCGACGGCAGGGCCCTAGGGCCCCAGGCCAGGCCACCACGACCACGAGGGACCAAGACAACAAGCCCACTCCTGAATCACGCCTCAACACAGACAACATGATGTCCAAACCACAGAAACGACCAAACACCCCTCCTGACTCAGAGCTGCTGGCTGTTTCTCAACTAACCCCGGCGGCACTAGCTCCCTTTGCTTCTCAGGCTCTAGGTCAAATAGATGCGAGTCATGGGCTTGCCCCTGACACAGCCCAACTCCTCAAGTTAGCCCAAACGCCTCCTTATTGAGGTGCCCTGCGAGTCCCTGTGGGGGACAGTCTTCCTGCCGCAATGAGCAATGTGCTCCTGGTGGCCTCTGGCTGGGGGCATGGGGATTAGGAAGAGAGTAATAAGACACCAGCCCCACTTCCAGCAGGCATCCTGAACCTCAGGAAGGATTCTTTAGGCCTCCTCCTCTGCTCCCCAGAAACACTGTCCTCCCCTCCTTCACATGGGACCGGGCTGTGTCGGAATGAAGCCCTACTCCGTCTCACTGCTTGTAAAGTCCAGCACAGAGGGGACCAGCCTCAATCCTCGGAGACTCTTGGAATGAGGGCTGGGTTCCTTTTGCTCTCTGCTGTGGACAGAGAGGATGACAGCTGTGGGGAGGGGAAGTCACAGAGGGCCAGCAGCCTGAGTCCTGTCCACACTGGTGGTTTGCTGGGGTTTTCCAGGTTTTTCTGAATTACTTGCCTACCTTTAAAACTTGGATCTCACAGAAAAAAAAAAAACTGGATTTCCAGCTTCTCCCGTGAAACCAGCAGCTTTGCACCACCAGCGCTGCCAGTGTTGCTGCGGCCCCGGTGCCTTTCAGGGGCCCAGGTGCTTCTGGGAGCCACCCCTCCCTCTGGGCCTGACACAGGGCCCAAGGTGGTCAGCAGTTCACCGGTCCAGGCCTCTTCCCATGTCAACCCCCTGCCCCTCCACACTGCCCCAAGGTAGTTCTATGATTGTGCCCATTTTACTGATGAGGTGACCACAGGTCGGGGGGTACAGTATCTTGTCCCAGACCACTAAGCGGTGAGTGATGGCATCCTGGGCTCTAGGACACTGGTGTCAGTTGTTATCAGTTTGCTGTGTCCCTTTTTTTTTGCATAAGAGCTGTGACTGCTTCTACTGAAGGGACAAGGGCAGGCACAAGGGAGGGAAGGGGCTCTGGAGGACTGTGGGCCACGTGGCAGCCTGTGCTGTCTCCCAGCCCCCGCGTCATCCTCTCCCCAACTGAGCTGGCCTTGGCCTACCTGCCCTTGTTTGCCAGGACTCCCACCTTCAACCCCGGCACCCCTGGCCTGCGTGACCCAGTTACCCTCCCTGGCTCCTCTCAGGGACCTCAGTATCACATTCGCTGGCCTCTGTGCTGAGCAACTCATTAGAAAATGTATTGATGCCTACGGAAATAGCAGCACAGGGCGGGGGGTTGTGGGGAACGTTTCTGGGAATGAGGAGGGCCCTGACTTTGCCCTCGAAGCGTTCGGGGGAGCAGTCACGTAGGCAGACATCTGCACACGGCGGATCTGAAAGCAGAAGCAGGCGTGGCGAGAACAGAGAGAATCACACACAGACCCGGGCTCTGGCAGCCGCCGGCTTCACTGATGCCATCTCCACAGCGCTCCCACACCAGGCCCCAGAGCAGGAACTACTGCTCACAGGGCATTTCCCTATGCCAGGCCCCACTCTAGGTATTTCACGCACATTTACACATTTAATCCTCAAAACCACCGTCTGCAATGGACCATCTCATCCCCATTTTACGGAGGGGAAACTGAGTCATAGAAAGAGGATGCCACTTGCTGAGGGTCACAGAAGTGGTGGAGTTGGGGTGTGAACCCAGCAGGCTGGCTCTAGGGCCCATGCTCTGACCCACGCTGCGGAAGGCAGCCGAGGCTCGGCAGATGAGGGCCCTGCCTGCACTCCAGTCTACAACTGAGTGCTGGGCTCAGGACCAGAACCCCGGTCTGTCTGATGCAAAACTCGGAGCCTTTTCCATCATGCCAGGAGGCCACCGTGATTGGGAAAGCAGTGAGGAGTTGCGGCAATAGCAGGGCGATGGCACGGTGCAGGTGCAGGCAGGAATCGATAGCGTCTGGCAACTGTGAGCAGCAGCAGGCCTGAGGTGAGGGTCAGGGCTTGGAGACCTCCCAGAGACTACACCATGGGCCTCGGGGCCCTGGAAGCTGTGCAGCATGGTGGAGGCTGAGGTCCCATCTAACTGGCACTGTGATTTTCACAACCCCCCTTACCTCTCGGGACCTCAGTCTTGACTCCTGCTAACAAGCCTCTGTGATCTGAGGCCCCTTCTTGGCACCGAGCCTCAGATTCTCAGGGTCCTGCACGGGTGGCTGATCTCCCTCCCTCTCCACACCACCCCTACTCTTGCTGTGCGGGGGTTCTCCCTTATCCAAGGCTCTGCTAACCGGGAGCGGTTGCCAGGTGTGCTGGGGTCCCCAGAGAATCCCCGAACTCCCCGTCCCCGTCAAACAGCCAGGGCTGATGCAACCTGCCTGCAACCACCGCCTCACTCCCCAAGCCAGGCCCCTCCGCACCGAAAAAGAGTCCCCAGTAGCCCCACCCTTGCTTCAAGCCCCAGCTCAGGAGTTGAAGGGGAGCTCGAGGCTGGGGGAGGCCAGGACATGAGTCCTGAAGGGGCCACAGGCCTGGGTCAGGAATGTGCACACGAGGGGACTCAGGGTTCGAAGATCTGGGGAGAAGGGTCGCAGGCAACCACTGATGACCGGCTATGAACTAGAACAGGCTGGGAGGGGCTGGAGAGCTAAGGGTGCCAACTGGCACCCACTCACCCTGAGTCCAGCTGCTAAGTCTGGCTGGGCTGAAGTGGGTGGGACCCAATAGCTAGAGAGAAAAGGCGGCAAAACGGTGGGGAGGGGAAGCAGAGTCCCTGCCCAGACACCTCTGCAGCCAGCATAAACCGCACATAGCCAGCAATGCAATTCTCCTACTGACCAAGCTATTAAAAATTACCCACACCGGGCCAGGCGCGGTGGTTCACGCCTGTAATACCAGCACTTTGGGAGGCTGAGGCGGGTGGATCGCCTGAGTTCGGGAGTTCGAGACCAGCCTGACCAACATGGAGAAACCCCGTCTCTACTAAAAATACAAAATTAGCCATGTGTGGTGACACATGCCTGTAATCCTAGCTACTCGGGAGGCTGAGGCAGGAGAATCTCTTGAACCCAGGAGGCAGAGGTTGCGGTGAGCCGAGATGGCACCATTGCACTCCAGCCTGGGCAACAAGAGTGAAACTCCGTCTCAAAAAACCAAAAAAATTAAAAAACAAAACAAAACAAAAAACCCAGGCCGGGCACAGTGGCTCAGGCTTGTAATCCTAACACTTTGGGAGGGTGAGGCAGGAGGATCGTTTGAGCCCAGGAATCAGGAATTCAAGACCAGCCTGGGCAACATAGTAAGACCCTCCCCCCCATCTCTACTAAAAAAAGCCAAAAAAAAAAAAAAATAGCATCCTACCTGGCCATCCTCTCAATATCCCGCAATCCCAGTCTGAGACAAAACCAAATGGAAGCACATTCCATAAAATACCCAACCAGCATTTTTCCAAACTGTCAAGGTCATGAAGGACAAGGAAAGTCTAAAACCAGTCACAGGCCAGAGGAGGCTGCGGAGCCATGATGCCTAAATATAACGTGGCATCCTGAAGGCATCCGGAAGGAGCAGAAAGGGCATTAAGTAACAACTACCAAAATCAGCATCAAGTGTGGTCAGAATCAAGAATGGCATTTGGTCAATGGTAACATACTGATGTTGCCTTGGTTGTGACAAATGTGGCAAAGTAATGTAAAATGTTAATGGAAAAAACCAAGTGAGGGGCATACAGAAATTCTCCGTATTATCTTTGCAACTTTTCTGTTGAGTCAATCTACAATTATTCCAAAATAAAAAATTTTATTTAAAAAATAACCCCCTTGGGTACGGTGGCTCACACCTGTAATCCCAGCACTTTGGGAGGCTGAGGCAGGCAGATCACGAGGTCATGAGTTCGAGACCAGCCTGACCAACATGGTGAAACCCTGTATCTACTAAAAATATAAAAATTAGCCAGGCATGATGGTGCATGTCTGTAATCCCAGCTACTCTGGAGCCTGAAGCAGGAGAATGGCTTGAACCTGGGAGGCGGTGGTTGCAGTGAGCTGTGACGGTGCCACTGCACTCCAGCCTGGGCAACAGAGCGAGACTCTGTCTCAAAAAAAAAAAAAAAAAAAAAAGCTAGGTCTTGCTTAAGACTGGGTGTGGTGGCTCATGCCTGTAAATCCCAGCATTTTGGGAGGCCGAGGTGGGTGGATCACCTGAAGTCAGGAGTTCAAGACCAGCCTGGCCAACATGGCAAAACCCCGTCTCTACTAAAAATACAAAAATTAGCCAGGCGTGGTGGTGGGCGCCTGTAATCCCAGCTACTTGGAAGGCTGAGGCAGGAGAATTGCTTGAATCTGGGAAGTGGAGGTTGAAGTGAGCCAAGATCATGCCACTGCACTCCAGCCTGGGCGACACAGCAAGACTCTGTCTCAAAAAAACCAAACCAAACCAAACCAAACCCAGTCCCCATGTACAATCTAGAAGATCTTCGTAGGAAAAGATTCTACCGGCGGGGCGGGGGAGATAGGGCACGTCTGTGCGTCCTTACCACTGGCAGTCTGCCCAACAGTCTACCCTTAATTCCATCTGCTTTTGTTCAAAAATCTATACAGCAATGGAATGAGAACACATCCACCTTAATTACAGCAATAACAATAACCACTTTTATGCAGCACCTACTGTGTCCCAGGCGTTAGTCTAACTGCTCGACACGGATTAACTCATTTAATCCTTGTAACAGCCCTAAGAAGTAGGTACTTTTTTTTTTTTTTTTTTGAGACGAGGTCTCACTCTGTCACCCAGGCTGCAGTGTGGTGGCACAATCTCGGCTTACTGCAACCTCCGCCCCACCCCAGGGTTCAAGTGATCCTCCTGCCTTAGCCTCATGAGTAGCTGGGACCACAGGTGCAAACCACCACACCCGACTATTTTTTTGTATTTTTGGTAGAGACAGGGTTTCACCATGTTGCCCAGGCTGGTCTCGAATTCCTGAGATCAAGCAATCTGCCCACCTCAGCCTCCCAGGGTGGTGGGACTACAGGCATGAGCCACCGTGCCTGGTCCAGAGGTAGGTATTCTTAATGCCACTTCGTACCACAGGGGAAACTGAGGCACAGGGAAGGGAAATGGCCAGGGTCACACAGCTAGTAAGAGGGGTGCAGTCAAGTTTTGAACTCATATAATCTGGCTCCAGAGTCTATGCCAGGTATGTATAAAATTTGGCTTCCTGGGGCCACATTGAAGAATTGTCTTAGGCCACACATAACATACACTATTGATAGCTGATGAACTTAAAAAAAAATCGCAAAAAATTCGCATGTTTTGGTAAGGTTTACAAATTTGTGTTAGGCTGCATTCAAAGCTGTTCTAGGCCGCATGCAGGCCCACGGGTGGGACAAGCTCAGTCTATGCTCTTAGCTGCTACTCTGTATACTGCCTCAGTGATAACACAGCCCCTATAGGCCCAAGAAAATATAGGGCAAGTGCTCAAAAACTGGCAGAGTGGACAGTAAGTGCTCTAAGGGAAGGTGGTCAGATCCCAAGAAGGACTTCCTGCCCGCAACAGGTAAGGAAGGAGAAAGAAGCTTGTGTGTACCGCTCAGTATCAGGATTCCTCCACCTTCTCTGGACCTTGATTCAGTCTCCTAACTGCCACAGAAGGGATGAAGGTTGAACTCCAGCTGGGATGTCCTGATGTGGATGGGACAAGGTGGGTTTCTGCAACAGAGAAAAGACGGACATCCACCTCGGCTGGTGGAGGAGGGCCCAGTGCATGAGAAGGGGCAAGATGGCTACCCTGTGACTAAACGAAAACGGAGATCTTCCATTTTTGGCAGGGTTGGGAGATAGTTCCTATCCAGTGGAAGCTGAAGGACGGTTTGAAAGGAAGCCAAGGGCAAGGGATGGAGAAAAGGACGCAGCTGGGGCCTCGATGTCTGAATCCCTGCCAGGGGATGGGGCCTGGGCACCCATCATTTGGAATGGAAGATGAGGATAGCTGGAAACAGACACTTTAGAGGGATGAGGGAGACAGAAGAATGACAGCAGGTGTTGGACAGTCCAACGTCTGCGGCTCTTACAAGTGGTAAGGAAGAAATGAGACTGGGCCCCAGAGTTCCTATTAATAAAATATGCTGAGGCCGGGAGCGATGGCTCACGCCTGTAATCCCAGCACTTTGGGAGGCCGAGGCGGGCGGATCACGAGGCCAGGAAATTGAGACCATCCTGGCTAACACAGTGAAACCCCGTCTCTACTAAAAATACAAAAAATTAGCCGGGCGTGGTGGCGGGCGCCTGTAGTCCCAGCTACTCGGGAGGCTGAGGCAGGAGAATGGCGTGAACCTGGGAGGCGGAGTTTGCAGTGAGCCGAGATCGCGCCACTGCACTCCAGCCTGGGCGACAGAGACGGAGAGACTCCGTCTCAAAAAAAAAAAACAGTTGAACAGGAATGTATGAGTTGAGCTCTGTGCATAAGGCTTGCCAGACATCGTCTTATTTGAGTCTCATAAACCCACCAGGCGAGTTGATTTTTCTTATTTTACAGATAGGGAAATGAAGTAAGAGAACTTAAGTTATTTGCCCGAGGCCATCCTGGCAGGTCTGTATTTGGGAGAGTGCTGTGACTCATGCTGGACTCTAACCCACGAGGGTTTCTCAGAGTCAGCAGCTGGGGGATGAAGAAGTGAAAAGTGACTGGCAGGAAATTCTGCAAGCAAGGAAAGGGAAAGAGAAATGAACTGGTGCAGGTCTGCGGGAAGAGAATGAGGCTGGATCCTCAAAATCACAGGAGGAAGCAGGCCCAGACCTCAGAGGCAGAAAGAGAAAGAAACCAGAGCTTAGAGTCAGGAGGAGGAAACCAGACCCCGGAGCCACAAGGAGAGGGCTGGATCCCCGGCTCAGAGGGAAGAGGTCGGATCCCCAGCTGAGAGGGAGGAGGGTCCCGGACCCTAGGAGTGGGAAGGAAAGGCTCGGATCCCCTGATCCCCAGGAGGAGGGGACCCGGCTGCCTCCCGGTTGGGGCCGCGCGAGGGCGGGGCGCGGAAGGATCCGGGAGGGCCGTGCTCCGCCACCCAGTATATATCTGTCCCCAGTCCCCGGGGCCGCCTCATTCCCTGTCCTCGGATCACAGTCTCTTCTCACTACAGTGTCGCCGCCTCTGCCTGCGTAGCCCCGGCCATGGCTCTGTAGCCTCGACCCCTTTGTGCCCCCGGCCCGTCTCCGCGCTCACCACGCCTGCGCTCTCCGCTCCCACCTTCTTTCTTCAGCCGAGGCCGCCGCCGCCTCTCCTTGCTGCAGCCATGGAGTGAGTAACCGCTTACCTCTTCTCCAACTGCCTTTCCCGCCCTTTCGCAGCTCGTGGCCCTCTTTAGGGAGCCCTGGGGGGTGGGGAGTCGCGAGCGGGGAATCACGGTCGCGCAGGCGCAGAAGTAGTACGGTGGGCCGAAGGCGCGCGGCTGCGCATGCGCACTGGGCCCGGGGCCGGGTGGGAGAGTTCTAGACTCGATGTTTGTCAGCCCGCGTGCAGCTGGGCCTGAGCACTCCAGGGGAGGGTGTGTTTTTTTTTTTTCTAAACGATTCTTCGTGCTTGGTTGTTCCTGCGCAGTAGCCCACCAGTGCCCCGTAGTGAAAGAGCTGCGGACCCTGAATGGCCGCACATGCGCATTGATCCCCAAGAGGGCGGAGGTGTAAAGGCAATTGGACCGCTCGGGCGACGTAGCATGCGCCTTGGCCCTCGGCGCAGAGCCGCGTGTGGACGGGTGGCGTTCGGGTAGCCGTTCTCCGCGTGCCCCCTCTACCCTCCTCCACCCTCCCTGCCCCACGTTGCTCTGGCTCACAGCCCAGCTTCCTTCCTTTTAAACCAGGCACCTGCTGAGGCGGGGACTGGCTTAGATTGACAGGGCAGAAGGCGGGACCCAGAGGCAACCCTCTAAGTGGGTGGGGATAGAACCACTGTCGTCACGATGGGTGGGATTTCGGAAGCACATTGTGAGAAGGGGCGGGGCTAAACCAACCGTTAGTTGAGGGGTGGGGTTTCGATGTGACAAAGAGGCGGGGCCTCTGGGGAATCGGGGGAGGGGCGGAGCTAAATAAACAATGAGGGGCGGGGCTTGGAGGGGCAGCGGCAGAGCGAGGAGTGGGATTTGAGTGGATAACATTGCTGAAGGGCTGCGGCCTGGGGCAGTTCCCCTGGGAACTGGTTTGGGATGGAAGCTAGGAAGGCAGTGGGGCCAAAAGGAAATATTTTAGAGGAAGGGGCGTGGCTGGAAGAAAATGTCCCTGGGATTGAGTTTTTCCTTGAGGCGAAATATTCTGAGGTGGATGGGAGGGGCCTAAGGTAATTCCCCTGGGAGACCTTTAGGTTTTTTTTTTCTGTATTGGGGGAAGGGGTGGGGCATCGGTCCTACTTTAGGACCTAAAGAAATTCCCTTGGGAGTGGGTGGGGCTCAGAGATTTGGGTAAAGAAAGGGCAAATTTAGAATTCGGAGAGGCTGAGGCTTAGTGTTCTAAACGGTGGTTGGAAGGGGGAGGGAGGAGCCTCATGGACGTGCCTGGGGGTGTGGCTTGGCTTCCCCTTGATTTTGGCCGGTGGATGACGCTGTCCTGACCACACCCACTCTTGTCTCACGCGTGTAGGTCTTCCACTTTCGCCTTGGTGCCTGTCTTCGCCCACCTGAGCATCCTCCAGAGCCTCGTGCCAGCTGCTGGTGCAGCCTCTCCTGTTGCCATCAGTGCCCAGCACCTGTGCTACAGCCATGTCACTCCTGGCGACCCTGGGGCTGGAGCTGGACAGGGCCCTGCTCCCAGCTAGTGGGCTGGGATGGCTCGTAGACTATGGGAAACTCCCCCCGGCCCCTGCCCCCCTGGCTCCCTATGAGGTCCTTGGGGGAGCCCTGGAGGGCGGGCTTCCAGTGGGGGGAGAGCCCCTGGCAGGTAAGGGCAGGTGGAAGGTGGAGCTGGGGAGTGGAGGGCAGGGGAAGATGGGGGAGGAAGAACTCATCCATGTATTCAATAAATATTGAGTGCCTACAATGTGCCAGGCACTGTTTTAGGTGCTGAGGATACGGCTGGGAACAAGAAGAACATGGTCTGTGCCTTCCAGCAGCTCACACTGTGGGGAGTAGACCAGAGATAAATTAAATGAGAGTGTATTGGAATAAGTCAAAAACACCTAGCAGCTGAGCTACAAAATGACAAAGGGGACCTAATATAGAATGGGTAGCCAGAAAACCTTCTCCAAGTAGGTAACATGTTGACTGAGGCATAAATGATGGGAAGGAAGCCAGGCATGATGGCCTGTAATCCCAGCACTTTGGGAGGCCAAGCGGGGAGAATTGCTTTAGTCCAGGAGTTCAGGACGTGGGCAACATAGCGAGACCTCATATCTATAGGAAAAAAAAAATTAGCCAGGCATGGTGGCTCACGCTTGTAGTCACAGCTACTTGGGAGGCTGAGGTGGGAGGATCGCTTGAGCCTGGGAGGTCTAGGCTGCAGTGAGCCAAGATGATGCCACTGCACTGCAGCCTGGGCAACAGAGTGAAACCCTATCCCTTAAAATAAAAAAAAAGTAGGGAAGGAATGAGGAAAACACCCAAGGGAAGAGCATTTTAGTTGGAGGGAACTGTATATGCAGAAGCCCTCAGGAGGCAGGAATCATTTCATTCATTACTGTATCCCAAATGCTTGGCACATAGTGGGTTTTCAATAATTAATGAGTAAAGATGAAACAAGGCATATGTGCGTGTGTATCTGTGTGTGTAATGTGATCTAGTTTGCCTTTTAAAAAGAGAGAATAGAGACACCACAGATACAGAGTACTCGGTAAAGGAGATGTTGGAATGGTTGAAGAAATGCTTGGTTGACTGTTGCTTGAGTCATTGGTTGGTTGGCTGGTTCTTTTTTTCTTTTTTAATTTTTTTTTTCTCCTGGACCCTCTTATGGGTTAAGACTGATTCTTTCATTGGCTAATTTGTTGGGTTTTGGTTAACTGGTTCATTGGTTGATTAATGGGTTGATTGGTTGGTTGACTGATTTATTTGGTTGGTTGACCGATTCCCTGATTGATTGGTCGACTAGTTCATTGGTTGGTTGGTTGGTTGGTTGGTTGACTGGGTGGTTAGATGGTTGATTGTTGGTTGGTTCGTTGACTGGTTTATTGGTTTCTTCACTGGTTTGTTGGTTTATTGACTGGTTTGATGATTCAGTGGTTAGTTGTTTTACTGAATGAATGGGACAGATGCACCTGAATGAGACGTGAGTCAGCACCCAACTACGCAGAAGACCAGCAACTCAGGGAATTTTGTGTCCCTCCCCACTTTAATCCCAGGTGATGGCTTCTCTGACTGGATGACTGAGCGAGTTGATTTCACAGCTCTCCTCCCTCTGGAGCCTCCCTTACCCCCCGGCACCCTCCCCCAACCTTCCCCAACCCCACCTGACCTGGAAGCTATGGCCTCCCTCCTCAAGAAGGAGCTGGAACAGATGGAAGACTTCTTCCTAGATGCCCCGCCCCTCCCACCACCCTCCCCGCCGCCACTACCACCACCACCACTACCACCAGCCCCCTCCCTCCCCCTGTCCCTCCCCTCCTTTGACCTCCCCCAGCCCCCTGTCTTGGATACTCTGGACTTGCTGGCCATCTACTGCCGCAACGAGGCCGGGCAGGAGGAAGTGGGGATGCCGCCTCTGCCCCCGCCACAGCAGCCCCCTCCTCCTTCTCCACCTCAACCTTCTCGCCTGGCCCCCTACCCACATCCTGCCACCACCCGAGGGGACCGCAAGCAAAAGAAGAGAGACCAGAACAAGTCGGCGGCTCTGAGGTACCGCCAGCGGAAGCGGGCAGAGGGTGAGGCCCTGGAGGGCGAGTGCCAGGGGCTGGAGGCACGGAATCGCGAGCTGAAGGAACGGGCAGAGTCCGTGGAGCGCGAGATCCAGTACGTCAAGGACCTGCTCATCGAGGTTTACAAGGCCCGGAGCCAGAGGACCCGTAGCTGCTAGAAGGGCAGGGGTGTGGCTTCTGGGGGCTGGTCTTCAGCTCTGGCGCCTTCATCCCCCTGCCTCTACCTTCATTCCAAACCCCTCTCGGCCGGGTGCAGTGGCTTATGCTTGTAATCCCAGCACTTTGGGAGGCCAAGGCAGGAGGATCGTTTGAGGCCAGGAGGTCAATACCAGCCTGGGCAACATAGTAAGACCCTGTCTCTATTAAAAAAAAAAAATCAACCCTTCTTCCCCACCAAACCACCCAACTCCTCTCTACTCTTATCCTTTTATCCTCTGTCTCTGCTTATCACCTCTCTTGCGTATTTCTGGATCTCCTTCCCTCCTTTCTCGTCCAAATCATGAAATGTTTGGCCTTAGTCAATGTCTATGCCCGTCACATAACAGCCGAGGCACCGAGGCCCACAGGGAAGCAGCTGGGAGCTTGGAAACCTGGTCTCTTGAATTTCAAACCTGGTTTCTTACAGGTGGTTGTCTGGGGTGGGTGGAGTGGCGACAGGATAGAGCTGAAGGACTATGCAAATGAGGAAGTAAGTCAGGGCGGGCTTTGAGAAGGGGACCCATATCCTACAGGCAAAAAGCAGGCTAGGTGACCTTGGGACACTACGCTAAGGGAGGGAGGCTAAAGGCGGCCAGGTTTGCAGTGCGGGAAGATGAGCAGGCCAGTGGGAGGAGGGGCAGGGCAGGGCTGTAGTTGGTGACTGGGTGTTCATTTTAGCTCTAAGAAAAAAAATCAGTGTTTCGTGAAGGTGTTGGAGAGGGGCTGTGTCTGGGTGAGGGATGGCGGGGTACTGATTTTTTTGGGAGGTTATGAGCAAAAATAAAACGAAACATTTCCTCTGGCTTGTGCATCTTGTCTTTGAGAGAAGCAGCTGGGGAGAGGCGGCCTTGTAATCTCAGCACTTTGAGAGGCTGAGGCGGGCAGATCACCTGAGGTCAGGAGTTCAGGACCAGCCTGACCAACAAGGTGAAACCCCATCTCTACTGAAAATACAAAATTAGCTGGGTGTGGTGGCGTGTGCCTGTAATCCCGGCAACTTGGGAGGCTGAGGCAGGAGACTCGCTTGAGCCAAGGAGACGGAGGTTGCAGTGAGCCAAGATTGTTCTATTGCACTCCAGTCTGGGAAACAAGATTGAAACGCTATCTCAAAAAAAAAAAAAAAAAAAAAGGGGGGGGGAGGTGGGGAGGGCCGGGCGTGGTGACTCACGCCTGTAATCCCAGCACTTTGGGAGGCTGAGGTGGGCAGATCACGAGGTCAGGAGATTGAGACCATCCTGGCTAACACGGTGAAACCCTGTCTTTACTAAAAATATGAAAAATTAGCCGGGTGTGGTGGCGGGCGCCTGTGGTCCCAGCTACTCGGGAGGCTGAGGCAGGAGAATCACTTCAACCTAGGAGGCAGAGCTTGCAGTGAGCCTAGATTGCGCCACTGCACTCCAGCCTGGGCGACAGAGCAATACTCCATCTCAAAAAAAAAAGAAAAAGACAGTAATAAAGATAACAGGGTGGGTGCAGTGGCTCACGCCTGCAATCCCAGCACTTTGGGAGGCTTTGCCAGGTGAATTGCTTGAGCCCAGAAGGTGGAAATCAGCCTGGATAACATAATGAGACCTCATCTCTACAAAAAATAATTTTTAAGAAAATGGCTGGGTGCTGTGGCTTACGCTTGTAATCCCAGCACTTTGGGAGGCCAAGGTGGGTGGATCACCTGAGGTCAGGAGTTCGAGACCAGCCTGACTAACATGGTGAAACCCTGTTTCTACTAAAAATACAAAATTAGCCAGGCATGGTGGTGGGCGCCTGTAATCCCAGCTACTTGGGAGGCTCAGGCAGGAGAATCCCCTAAACCTGGGAGGCGGAGGTTGCAGTGAGCTGAGATCGCACCATTGCATTCCAGCCTCAGCAACAAGAGTGGAACTCCATCTCAAAAAAAAAAAAAGAAAAAAAATTAGTGGGTGAGGTGGTGTGCACCTGTAGTCCTACATACTTGGGAGGCTGAGGCAGGAGGATCGCTTGAGGCCAGAAGTTGGGGACCAGCCTTGGCAACATAGCAAGATGCTGTCTCTACAAAAAAAAAATTAGGTGGGGCCGGGCGCCTTGGCTCAACGTCTGTAATCCCAGCACTTTGGGAGGCCGAGGCGGGCGAATCATTTGAGGTCAGGAGTTCAAGACCAGCCTGGCCAGCATGGTGAAACCTCATCTACTAAAAATACAAAAAAAATTAGCCAGGCATGGTGGCGCATGCCTGTAGTCCCAGCTACCTGGGAGGCTGAGGCAGGAGAATGGCTTGAACCCAGGAGGCAGAGGTTGCAGTGAGCTGAGATCACACCATTACACTCCAGCCTGGGCAACAGAGCAAGGCTCTGTCTCAAAAAAAAAAAAAAAAGAAAAGAAAAAGAAAAGAAAGAAAATTAGCTGGGCGTGGTGGCATGAACCTGTAGTCTGTAGTTCCAGGTACTCAGGAGGCTGAGGCGGGGGGATTGCTTGAACCCAAAGGTTGAGGCTGCAGTGAGCCATGTTTGTGCCATTGCACTCCAGCCTGGGTGACAAAGCAAGAACCTGTTAAAAAAAAAAAAAAAAAGACTGGGCACAGTGGCTCATGCCTGTAATCCCAGCACTTTGGGAGGCTGAGGTGGGTGGATCACGAGGTCAAGCAATGGAGACCATCCTGGCCAACATGGTGAAACCCCGTCTCTATGAAAAATACAAAAATTAGCTGGGCATGGTGGTGCACACTTGTGGTCCCAGCTACTCAGGAGGCTGAGGCAGGAGAATTGCTTGAACTCAGGAGGCAGAGGTTGCATTGAGCCGAGATCGTGCCACTGCACTCCAGCCTGGGCAACAGAGCAAGACTGTCTCAAAAAATAATAATAAATAAATACATAAATAAAAGAAAAAAGAAAAAAAAAGTTCTCCACCCAGCAGCAAAGCATCTTTCTTTGCAACAGTGCGGAATTTTACCGGAGCCTTGCGTGTGTGGACAACAGCGACAGTGAAGAAATCCCCCCACTTTTCCGGCCCAGGTGTAGTGGCTGACCCCTGTAATCCCTACACTTTGGGAGGCCAAAGTGGGAGGATCGTTTGAGCCCAGGAGCTTGAGAACAACCTGGGCAACATAGCACGACCCTGTCTCTACAAAAAGTTAAAAAAAACTAACAACAAAAAAGAAATCCTCCCGCTTTTTTGCATTCCAGGAGATGGCTTACTGAGAAGAACCACCCTTCCGTATATGACTTAGATAAGACTTGAGGATGAACCCCTTGTCTAAGACAAGGGCAGACATAGACCCTCCAAATTCCCATTTCGTTGTCTCGTACATGATTAACTGAACTGTTTTGTCCCCAGTGATCAATTGAAACAAAATGCTTGTTTAACCTAACTTACTCTCCTCACTGCCAGGCCTCTGAATTTCAGTCCATCCACAGCCTCAGCCAGAATACAGCCCCTCCTTAAGCACCTCTCCTGAGAAGAATAAAACATTCCCTGGTCGATTGTCCTGTACAATAGCCCTTGCATCTTATTTTCCCACAGCTGGTTCTTTCTAACCTTGTTTACTCCTCCCCATAAAAGAAAAAGTCTTTGGCTGTGCACATGGCCTGCGCCTGTGGTGCCAGCACTTTGGGAGGCTGAGGAGGATCCCTTGAGTTCTGGAATTCCAGAGCAGCCTGGGCAACATAGCAAGACCCCATCTCTACAAAAAAATTACAAATTAGCCGTGCATGATGGCACGACAGTGAGCTGAGATTGCACCACTGCACTGCAGCCTGGCGACAGAGTGAGATTCTGTCTCAAAAAAAAAAAAAAAGGAAAAAAACCTGCCCAATTCTTGTCTCACTTGCAAATCTTTTGCTTCTCCCTATTGCAATGTCCTCACCTTTATAGCAATAGTCCCTTTCCCACCTTAAAAAAATCCTTTCAAATAAAGTTTCTTTCCTCAAGGCTGCAGTGAGCCATGATTGCGTCTGGGTGACATAGCCAGACTGAGTCTCTAAATAAAGTCTCCTCACCAAGTATGATTTTTTTAATTGAGGTGAAATTCATATAATAGAAAACCATTTTACAGGGAACATTTCATAGAACAGTGGCATTTAGTACATTCGCGGTTCTGTGCAACTACTGCCTCTCTTTCCTAATCACTTCTATCACTCCAAAAGAAAACCTCATCCCCGTTAAGCAGTTACTTCCCACTTCTGCCTTCTGATGTGTTTTGTATTTGTATTCATTGAATGCTTGCAATTCCATGAAGTGGGGAAATGAGTATAAGTCTGTTTTTTTTTTTTTCAGACAGAGTCTTACTCTGTGGCCCAGGCTGGAGTGTAGTGGCGCGATCTTGGCTCACTGCAACCTCTGTCTCCCGAGTTCAAGCGATTCTCCGGCCTCAGCCTCCTGAGTAGCTGGGACCACAGGTGCACACCACCAAGTCCAGATAATTTTTGTATTTTTAGTAGAGACGGGGTTTCACCATGTTGGCCAGGCTGGTCTCGACTCCTGACCTCACGTGATCCGCCCACCTCAGCCTTCCAAACTGCTGGGACTATAGGTGTGACCCACCGCGCCGGGCGCGAAATGATTTCTTACTGTGAGTCATGGTCAGAAAAGTTTGAAAGCCACTGGTAGGCTCCCCCCAGCTTGACATACTGATTTTCAGACAATAGCCGGTTTGCAGACCCCACGCTTCCAAAACCAATCATTTCTGGCCTCTGGGCGGAGTTTGTCTTAGCAGGAGTCTGCCGCCAGGTGGCGCGCGTACCCCGCCGGGAGTGGGTTTTGCTCCATCCCAGACTCAGACCGTCCAAGCCGGTGATTTCCTTCTGGTCGGTTTACGGGGACTAGAAGCCCTGACTTCGAATACAGTTCACAAAGCAGACCCCTGCAGGGGGTTTTAGGCGGCTAAGAAGGGAATTGGCTCTCCTAAGACTCTCTTTCTCCAGAGAGCTCATTAAATGCCTCCCGCGCCAGAAGGGGTCCCCGCCCCCGGAGCTCGCATCCCAGTGGGGAGGACACACACAAACCCCATTCGCGATCCCGTCAGTGCAGGGAGGCTCCGGCCTGGGGCCGAAGAGCCGAGTCTCTCTGGTGCCTGACAGCACGGGATAGAGCCCCGCCCGGCCACCTGCTGGCTGTGTGACCTTGGGAATAGTGCTTGGCCTCGCTGTGCCTTGGTTCCCTCCACTATAAAATGGCAGTGATAACAGCAGCCACTTCATAGGGTTCCGGGCATTGCGTAAGTTAATACATGCAAAGCGCTCAGAAGGGATGGTGCATGTTTGTCGAACCCGTTGTTAAAAATTCCCATTTTAGGCTGGGCGCAGTCACTCACACCTGTAATCCCAGCACTTCGGGAGGCCGAGGCGGGCGGATCACCTAAGGTCAGGAGTTCGAGACCAGCCTGGCCAACATGGTGAAACCCCGTCTCTACTAAAAATACAAAAATTAGCCAGGCGTGGTGGCATGCGCCTGTAATCCCAGCTATTCAGGAGGCTGAGGCAGGAGAATCGCTTGAACCCGGGAGGCGGAGGTTGCAGTGAGATGAGATCACACCACTGCACTCCAGCCTGGGTGACAGAGTGAGACCCTGTCTCAAAAAAAATTTCTTATTTTACAGAAGAGAAAACCAAGGACAAGAACAGGGTAGTGAATCACCAAGCCCACATTTTTTTTTTTTTTTTCTGCAGGAAGATCTCCAAGTTGAGTCCAGTGGTCTGACTCCCAGCCCAGATGGCCTTCCCTCGGCCTTGTGCTTGCTTGCTTGGGGTGGAAGTGGAGCCAGCTCCCTTGGGATAGCTGCTCAAGCCCCGAGTGAAATCCTCCCGCAGAGGACATTGGCCCCCTGTTGGCATCAGTGCTGGGACTCGAATGAAACTCTGTTTCTGCCTGGGTCAGGAGAATAGCTAGATTAAATAAATAAGTCACTGTAATGTCACAGGGTGAACCCCCAAATTGGGATTCAGCCTGGGAGGCCACATGAGTTGTTGGCTTCGTGCAGAAAAGAATTCAAGAGTGAGCCAGCAGAGTAAAGTGAAAGCAAGTGAAGGAGGCCGGGCGCGGTGGCTCACGCCTGTAATCCCAGCACTTTGGGAGGCCAAGGTGGGAGGATCACTTGAGTCCAGGATTTCGAGACCATCTTGGGCAACATGGCGAAACCCTGTCTCTACAAACAATACAAAAATTAGCTGGGTGTGGTGGTGTATGCCTGTAATCCCAGCTACTTGGGAGGCTGAAGTAGGAGAATCACTTGAACCCAGGGGGCAGAGGTTGCAGTGAACCAAGATTGTGCCATTGCATGCTAGCCTGGGTGACAGAGCAAGACTCTGTCTTAACAAAAATAAAAAATAAAAAAAAAATTAAGGCTGGGCGCAGTGGCTCACGCCTGTAATCCCAGCACTTTGGGAGGCTGAGGTGGGCGGATCACGAGGTCAGGAGATTGAGACCATCCTTGCTAACATGGTGAAACTGTGTCTCTACTAAAATTAAAAAAAAAAAAAAGTTAGCTGGGTGTGGGGGCAGGCGCCTGTACTCCTAGCTACTCGAGAGGCGGAGGCAGGAGAATGGTGTGAACCTGGGAGGCGGAGCTTGCAGTGGGCCGAGATTGCACCACTGCACTCCAGCCTGGGCCAGAGTGAGACTCTGTCTCAAAAAAAAAAAAAAAAAAATATAGGCTAAAATAAACAAAGGACTGCCACCACGGCCACGGCCACTACCGACACCTCACCAGGGGCCAAAGCATGTATTTCCCAGAGCCTGAGAGCTGCATGCCTGGGGCTGCTGCCATTGACAGCAGTCCTGCCCCTGCACCAGCAGCAGTGCCATGCACATTTGTACATGCCCTGAGGACAGGATCTCCTTGCCGACAACTGCCACTACCACTAACACCCAAGCATGCCACATAGCAGCCAAGGGATTGCCTCAGCCTGTTCACCACCTGCACCCACGTGCACCACCACAGGGCCTGAGGACGGGCCCACCCAGTCAGGCACTGCTCCCCACAATGCCCAAGCATGCTGCCTAGGGCCCTGGCATTGCCCTGCCCATCTGCCACCACTGGTATCTATATACTCCTCCTGGGGGTCTGAGGATGGGTCTACCCAGCCTGCTGCCACCATCACCACTGGCACACACTGACATGCATCACCCACCTAGCCCATCTCAGCCACTGGTAACACCAGTGTTTGCTGCCTGGGAAGTTAAGGATTGTCCCACCATTGCCACTGCCACCATCATGCCATGCATGCAGCCCAGGGACCCAAGGACCCACTCATCATCCTTGCTGACTGCTGCCCCTGCTGGCACCAAAGTGAGCCACGTGGAGGTTCATGAATTGGCCCATCTGGACCTGTTAACACCAGTACTTGTGTATACCCCCAAAGGCCAAAGGATAGGTATGCTCAGCCTGCCTCTGTCACCACTGGAGGCCAAGGATTGACCCACCTGGCATCCCATCCCCAGCAAAGTCTCAATACAGCCTCCAGTGACAACCACATCCTAAGCCACTGAGGAAGTCAGACACTACTAATGCTGTTTGTAGCTGAAAAAATCATAGAGACTACATGACTGCACGCTAGAATCAAAGCTGAAGAGCATTACCCAGTGAACACCACAGATACGATGTCTTCATGAAAAAGTCTTCCGTTATGAAAGCCAATCCAAAAAATGGGAAGAAGTGACTGTTACACCAGACGCGCAAAAATCAATGTAGGGACATAAGAGACTTGAAAAAGCAAGAAAATATGAAACCTCCAAAGGAGTGTGATAATGCTCACACAACAAATTCCAATGAAAAGAAATTTATAAAGTGCCAGTGTGGGCGGCAAGCCACCCAGGTGCCGAGGCAAGAGACCGAGGGCACGAGCTGTTCCAGTATAGTAAAATATATAAAACAACAAGAGTTATACTAGATCTAGATCACAGACATGATTACATATGAATATCATTAATCATTAGTTTGTAGCAATTACTCCTTATTCCAATATTATAATAATCCTCGCTCTACAATCATAACCTAGGAAAAACCAGGCCATACAGAGATAGGAGCTGAGGGGACATAGTGTGAAGTGACCAGAAGACAAGAGTGCGAGCCTTCTGTTATGCCCGGACAGGGCCATTAGAGGCCTCCTTGGTCTAGCGGTAACGCCAGCGTCTGGGAACACGCCTGTTGCTAAGCGGACAGTGGTCTAGTGGTAGCCTCAGTGTCAAGGAAAACCACCCGCTACTTAGCGGACCAGGAAAGGGAGTCTCTCTTTCCCCGGGGGAGTTTAGAGAAGACTCTACTCCTCCACCTCTTGTGGAGGGCCTGACATCAGTCAGGCTCGCCTGCAGTTATCCGGAGGCCTAACCATCTCCCTGTGATGCTGTGCTTCAGCTCCTAGTCCACCTTCATGTTCCATCCTGTACACCTGGCTCTGCCTTCTAGATAGCAATAGCAAAATTAGTGAAAGTACTAAAAGTCTGATATGCAGAAATAATGGCATAAGCTGTCTCTCTCTCTTTCTCCTCTCTCTCTCTGCCTTGGCTGCCAGGCAGGGAAGGGCCCCCTGTCCAGTGGACACGTGACCCATGTGACCTTACCTATCACTGGAGATGACTCACACTCTTTACCCTGCCCCTTTTGCTTTGTATCCAATAAATAACAGCACAGCCAGACATTCGGGGCCACTACGGGTCTCCACGTCTTGGTGGTAGTGGTCCCCCGGGCCCAGCTGTCTTTTTTTTAATCTTTGTCTTGTGTCTTTATTTCTACAATCTCTTGTCTCCGCACACGGGGAGAAAAACCCACTGACCCTGTGGGGCTAGTCCCTACAGCCAGAAAAAGGATTCAAAATATTGCTATTAAAGAATTTCAGTGAGGTCTGGGCATGGTGGCTCATGCCTGTAATCCCAGCACTTTGGGAGGCCGAGGCGGGTGGATCATCTAAAGTCAGGAGTTCAACACCAGCCTGGTTAACATAGCGAAACCCTGTCTCTACTAAAAATACAAAACTTAGCCGGGCATAGTGGTGGGCGCCAGTAATCCCAGCTACTTAGGAAGCTGAGGCAGGGGAATCACTTGAACCCAGGAGGCGGAGGTTGCAGTAAGCCGAGATTGTGCCACTGCTCTCCAGCCTGAGTAACAGAGTGAGACTCTGTCTCAAAAAACAAACAAACAGCCTGGGCGTGGCGACTCATGCCTGTAATCCCAGCACTTTGGGAGGCCGAGGTGGGCGGATCACGAGGTCAGGAGGTCGAGACCATCCTGGCTAAAAATACAAAAAAATTAGCTGGGCGTGCTGGCGGGCACCTGTAGTCCCAGCTACTCAGGAGGCTGAGGCAGGAGAATGGCATGAACCCGGGAGGCGGAGCTTGCAGTGAGCCAAGATCGTGCCACTGCACTCCAGCCTGGGTGATGGAGCAAGACTGTCTCAAAAAACAAAACAAAACAAAAAAAAACCCAAAACCGAAAAACTTTCAAGTCTCTAGGCATAGAAGGAACATATCTCAACACAATAAAGGCCATCTATGACAAACTCACAACGAACGTTATACTGAATGGGGAAAAGCTGAAAACCTTTTCTCAAAGAACTAGAATAAGACAAGGAAGTCTACCTCTACCACTCCTATTAAACATAGTACCAGAAGCCCTAGCCAGAACAATCAGACAAGATAATGAAACAAAAGGTATCCAAATTGGAAAACAGGAAGTCAAATAGTCCTTATTTGCAGATTGCATGATCTTATACTTAGAAAAACTTCATCAGAAAACTTTTAGGTCTGATAAACCAATTGTGGCAGGATACAAAATCAACATACAAAAATCAGTAGCAAACCTATACACCAATAATGAACTGGCTGAAAAAGAAATCAAGAAAGCAATCCCATTTACAATAGCTACAAAAAAAAAAAAAAGAAAAAGAAGAAGAAACTTAGGAATAAATTTAACTAAGGAAATGAAAGACTTTGACAAGAAAAACTACAAAACACTGATGAAAGAAGCTGAAGATGCAAACGAATGGAAAGGCATCTTGTACTCATGGATTGGAAGAATATTGTTAAGATAACATTACTACCCAGAGCAACCTATGGATTGAATGCAATCCCTAGCAAGAAACCAATGACAATTTAGGAAAAGCAATCCTAAAATTCGTATGGAACCAAAAAAGCTTGAATAACCAGAGCAATCCTGGGCAAAAAGAACAAAGCTGGAGGCACCACACTACTTGACTTCAGAATGTATTATAAAGCTATAATAACCACAACAGCATGGTGTTGCTATAAAAACAGACACATAGACCAGGGGAACAGAACAGAGAACCCAGAAATAAACCCACATATTTACAGCCAACTGATTTTCAACGAAGGTGCCAAGAACTTACATTGGGAAAAAGACATCCTCTTCAATAGATGGTGCTGAGAAAACTGGGTATCCATATGCAGAAGAATGAAATTAGACCCCCATCTCTCACCATATACAAAAACCGACTCAAAATGGAATAGAAACTTAAGCGTGAGACCTGAAAGTATAAAACTACTAAAATGAAACATAGGAAAAATTATCCAAGACATTGGTCTAGGCAAAGATTTTATGGTTAAGACTTCAAAAGAACAGGCAACAAAAACAAAAATAGACAGATGGGACTACATTAAACCAAAAGCTTCTTCGCAGAAAAGGAAACAGCCAATGGAATGAACAGACAGTATGTTGAATGGGAGACAATACTTGCAAATTATTCATCTGACCAAGGACTAATATCCAGAATATACAAGGAATGCAAACAACTCAACAGCAAAAGAACAACCACATTAAAAAGCAGGCAAAGGACATGAATAGATATTTCTAAAAATAAAACATAATGGTCGGGCATGGTGGTTCATGCCTGTAATCCCAGCACTTTGGGAGGCCGAGGCAGGCGGATCACCTGAGGTCAGGAGTTCGAGACCAGCCTGGCCAACATGGTGAAACCCTGTCTCTACTAAAAATATATATTAAAAAATTAGCTGGGCATGGTGGTGCATGCCTGTAGTCCTAGCTACCCAGGGGGTCAAGGCAGGAGACTCGCTTGAACCTGGGAGGTGGAGGTTGCAGTGTGCCGAGATCACACCATTGCACTCCAGCCTGGGTGACAGAGTGAGACTCCATCTTAAACAAACAAAAAAAGAAGACATACAAATGGCCAACAGGAATATGAAAAAATATTCTAATCCCTAATCATCGGAGAAATGCAAATAAAAACCACAGTGAGATATCATCCTACCCTGGTTAGAATGGCTATTATAAAAAAGACAAAAAATAACATGCCTGGAAAGATTCCATCCCAGAAAAGTGAACTCTTCTTTTTTTTTTTTTTTTTTGAGACAGAGTTCACTCTTGTTGCCCAGGCTGGAGTGCAATGGCACCATCTTGGCTCACCGCAACCTTCGCCTCCCGGGTTCAAGCGCTTCTCCTGCCTCAGCCTCCTGAGTAGCTGGGATTACAGGCATGCGCCACCACGCCCGGCTAATTTTGTATTTTCAGTAGAGACAGGGTTTCTCCATATTGGTCAGGCTGGTCTCAAACTCCTGACCTCAGGTGATCTGCCTGCCTCAGCCTCCCAAAGGGCTGGGATTACAGGCGTGAGCCACCGCGACCAGCCAGAAAAGGGAACTCTTCTACACTGTTGGTGGAAATGCAAATTAGTGTAGTCATTATGAGAAGAGTATGGCGATTTCTTCAAAAACTAAACCTAGAACTACCATATGAGTCAGCAATCCCACTACTGGGTATGTATCCAAAAGAAAGGAAGTCAATATATCAAAAGGATACCTGCACCTCCATGTAGATTACACCACTATTCATAACAGTAAAGATACGGAATCAACCTAAATGTCTATCAATTTATCTATTTCTTTTATAAGAAAATCCTCTCAGGCTGGGTGCGGTGGCTCATGCCTGTAATCCCAGCACTTTGGGAGGCCCAGGCGGGTGGATCACGAGGTCAGGAGATTGAGACCATCCTGGCTAACATGGTGAAACCCCGTCTCTACTAAAGATATAAAAAATTAGCCGGGCGTGGTGGCGGGCGCCTGTAGTCCCAGCTACTAGGGAGGCTGAGGCAGGAGAATGGCGTGAACCCGGGAGGCGGAGCTTGCAGTGAGCCGAGATCGCACCACTGCACTCCAGCCTGGGCGACAGAGCGAGACTCTGTCTCAAAAAAAAAAAAAAAAAATCTTTATCCTCATTGTTTCCACATTGAGTAGGCTGAGGAGGAAGAGGAAGAGGAGAGACTCATTTTGCTGTCTCAGGGGTGGCAGAAGAGGAAGAAAATCTGTGTATAACCCAGTGTAAACTTGTGCTGTTCAAAGGTCAGCTGTACACACACATAGACACACAAAACATGCATAATACAGTTGAATACTACTCAGCCATAAGATAAAGAAATCCTGCCATTTGCAACAACAGAGTTAACTCTAAATCAGACGTAGACAAATACCGTGCTATCTCACGGATGCGTGGAATCCACAGAAGTCAAACTGTCACTAGAGAGTTGTCCAGGTTCTTGGCGTGTTGAACAAAGAATTGAACAAAATGCACAAATCAAGTAACAAAAGAAAATGCAAGGAGGGAAAAACCAGCAGAAGAATGGAGTAACAAAAGCACAGATTTTTTTTAAGTTCTGGGGTACATGTGCAGGACGTGCAGCTTTGTTACATAGGTAAACGTGTGCCATGGTGGTTTGCTGCACCTATCAACCCATCACCTAGGTATTAAGCCCAGCATGCATTAGCTGTTTTTCCTAATCCCGTCCCTCCCCCGGCCCCTTGACAGGCCCCAGTGTGGGTTTTTCCCCTTCCTGTGTCCATGTGTTCTCATTGTTCAGCTCCTACTTATAAGTGAGAACATGTGGTGTTTGGCTTTCTGTTCCTGTGTTAGTTTGCTGAGGATAATGGCTTCCGGCTCCATCCATGTCCCTGCAAAGGACATGATCATCCTTTTTTCTGGCTGCATAGTATTCCATGGTGTATATGCACCATTTTCTTTTTCTTTTTCTTTTTTTTTTTTTTTTTTTTGAGACAGAGTCTTACTCTGTTGCCCAGGCTGGAGTGCAGTGGCGTAATCTTGGCCCACTGCAACGTCTGCCTTCCGGGTTCAAGTGATTCTCCTGCCTCAGCCTCCCGAGTAGCTGGGACTACAGGCACCCGCCACCACACCCTGCTTTTTTGTATTTTTAGTAGAGACGGGGTCTCACCATGTTGGCCAGGATAATCTCCATCTCTTGACCTCGTGATCCACCTGCCTCGGCCTCCCAAAGTTCTGGGATTACAGGCGTGAGCCACTGCACCCAGCCCACCACATTTTCTTTATCCAGTCTATCATTGATGGGCATTTGGGTTGATTCCAGGTCTTTGCTATTGTGAATAGAAAAGCACAGATTTATTGAAGACAATTCAGAGTGGGAGCGGGATCGAGCCAGCAGCTCAAGAGCCTCCCCAATTAAGGTTTGTAATAAGCTAGAAGGAACCCGGCAACACCCCTAGACGCCCTTCAGAGGCTTCCAATTGGTTAGATGCTATGAAGGATTGGCTCAGGACCAATCAGTGGCCGTAGTGGAGACCCGGCCCGCAGTCAATCAGAGGCTGATGTGGCTTGTTATCACCAGGGAAGACGTGACCTGTAAGCCACACCTGCTGCTCTCCTGCCTGTAGGAACTGGCTGCACCTGCTGAACCCCTGTTCCTCTAATCCCCTATTCTCCTGCCACAAAACTCATGGAAACAAAGTAGAATTAGAACCGTGGTTGCTGGGGGCTAGGAGGGGAGAAAAACAGACAGATGTCGGTCAAAGGGTAGAAACTTGCATTTACAAGATGGGGTCAGCCCGGCATGGTGGCTCACACCTGTAATCTTAGCACTTTTGGAGGCTGAGGCGGGAGGACTGCTTGAGGCCAGGACTTTGAGACCAGCCTGGGCAACATAGTGAGATCTCGTTTCTTTCTTTTCTTTTCTTTTTTTGAGACAGAGTTTTGCTTTTGGCGTCCAGGCTGGAGTGCAATGGCGCGATCTCAGCTCACTGCAGCCTCGGCCCCCCGGGTTTAAGTATTTCTCCTGCCTCAGCCTCCCTAGTAGCTGGGATTATAGGCACCCACTACCAGGCCCTGCTAATTTTTGTATTTTTAGTAGTGATGGCATGATTACAGGCGTGAGGCACCGCACCCTGCCGTGAGATCCCGTTTCTACAAAATAAATAAATAAATAAATAATTACCTGGGTGTGATGGCATGTGCCTGTGGTTCTAGCTACTTAGGAGGCTTTAGTGGGAGGATCACTTGAGCCCAGGAGATTGAGGCTGCAGTGAGCTGCAGTGAGCTGCAGTGCCACTGCACTCCAGCCTGGGTAGCAGAGCAAGACCCTGTCTCAACAACCAACCAACCAACAATCAGTTCTGGGAGTCTACTGTACAGCATGGTGACTACAGTTAACAATACTGTATCGCATACTTGAAATTTGTTAACAGAGTACATCTTAAGTGTTTCTGCCACACACACACCCAAAGAGAACTGTGGAGGTGGCTGGGCATGGTGGCTCATGCCTGTAATCCCAGCACTTTGAGAGGCCGAAAGGGGCAGATCACCTGAGGTCAGGAGTTCGAGATTAGCCTGGCCAACATGGTGAAATCCTGACTCTACTAGAAATACAAAAATTAGCCAGGCATGCTGGCACGCGACTGTAATCCCAGCTACTCGAGAGGCTGAGGCAGGAGAATCGCTTGAAACCCGGGAGGTGGAGGTTGCAGTGAGCTGAGATCGTGCCATTGCACTCCAGCCTGGGTGACGGAGCGAGACTTGGTCTTAAAAAAAAAAAAAAAAAAGGAGAGAGACCTATGAAGGTGATGGAACAGGTAGTGCTCATTTCAGAATGTATACAAATATCAAAACATCATGATGTTCATGGTAAATATACTCAATTTTTATCTTTCAGTTATGCCTCAAAAATCTGGAAAAAGAAAAAAAAAACCCTTTAGAGTGGAGGAGAAGGAAGCAAGTGGGGCACAGGGAGAAACGAGCTGAGACACAGACCAACCCCAGCGTCAGCTGAGACTTCAGAGACTTCTGAGGCTGGAACTGCCCTGCAGAGGCCACCATCAGGGTCAGGATGGTCAGAACTTTATACCTAGTGGGCTCCCCTAAGAAAAAGTGTGACTCAGGCGAGGGACTCGCTGCACACACGCCTCTGTGGGATACTTTATTTATTTATTTTTGAGATAGAGCCTCACTCTGTTGCCCAGGCTGGAGTGCAGTGGTGCAATCTCGGCTCACTGCAACCTCTGCCTCTTGGGTTCAAGCGATTCTCCTGCCTCAGCCTCCTGAGTAGCTCAGATTACAGGTGCGCACCACCATGCCCAGCTAATTTTCTTGTATTTTTAGTAGAGATGGGGTTTCACCATGTTGGCCAAGATGGCCTCAATCTCCTGATCTCGTGATCCACCTGCCTTGGCCTCCCAAAGTGCTGGGATTACAGGTGTGAGCTACTGTGCCCGGCCTTATTTATTTATTTTTGAGACAGAGCCTCACTCTGTTGCCCAGGCTGGGGTGCAGTGGTGCAATCTCAGCTCGCTGCAACCTCTGCCTCCTGAGTTCAAGTGATTCTCGTGCCTCAGCCTCCTGAGTAGCTGGGTCTACAGGTGTGCACCACTACATCTGGCTAATTTTTGTATTTTTGGTAGAGATGGGGTTTCACCATGTTGGCCAGGCTGGTCTTGAACTCCTGACCTCATGTGATCTGCCTGCCTTGGCCTCCCAAAGTGCTGGGATTACAGGTGTGAGCCACTGCACCCAGCCTGGATGCTTTATTTTAATGATTTCCTTTCTGTCCCACTACAGCCCTGTGATTTAGGCTTATTGTGTCTATTTTACTGAGGAGTAAGATGACTTACTCAAACTCAGGCTTTATTTATTCATTTATTTATTTAGAAACAGAGTCTCACTCTGTTGCCCAGGCTGGAGTGCAGTGGGACGATCTCGGCTCACTGCAACCTCCACCTCCCGGGTTCAACCAATTCTCTGCCTAGTCTCCCGAGTAGCTGGGATTTTAGGCGCCCGCCACCATGCCCGGCTAATTTTTGTATTTTTAGTAGAGATGGGGTTTCACCATCTTGCCCAGGCTGGTCTTGAACTCCTGACTTGTGATCCACCCACTTCAGCCTCCCAAAGTGTTGAGATTACAGGCGTGAGCCACCATGCCCAGCCTTTTTTTTTTTTTTAAATGTTCAAATGGGAACCACTTGGACTTGGTCCTCTCACTCTCCCTCTTCTGAAGGAAGAGCATGGTCATCAACGGGGAATGGCAGTTGCAGCAAACAACTCCAGGAGCTGGCTTCTCGTTCTGGAGAGCACCCTGTGCCTCCTCTGCCTGGTTTCCTGTGCTTTACACATCCAGAGAAGCTTCTGTAGTAATGAACCATAGACACGATGCCTCAAAGTGTCATCTTCAAACTCGCTCTGAATTGAAAGTATAATCTTCAGCCAGCTGTGGTGGCTCACGTCTGTAATCCCAGCACTTTGGGAGGCAGAGGCGGGCAGATTGCTTGAGCCCAGGAGTCTGAGACCAGCCAGGGAAACATGGCAAAACCCTGTCTCTACTAAAAATATAACAATGAGCCTGGCATGGTGGCTCACAATTGTAGTCCCAGCTACTTGGGAGGCTGAAATGGGAGGCTCACTTCAACCTGGCAGGTTGAGGCTACAGTGAGCTGAGATTGCACCACTGGACTCTGGCCTGGAGGACAGAGTCAGACCCTGTCTCAAAAAAAGTATAATCTTCAAACTCAAGCTCTTCATTGGGGATGGGGCTGAAATCTGAGTCCAGTTCTGGCCGTCACACCAGTGCGACTCCCACACACTTGCTGGTGTCCTGTTGCCATGGAGACCTCTTCACTTTGGAACCATCCCTGACATCTCCCTCTCCAATTGAAGCCCAAAGCCTGGGCCCCTCAGGGGCTGTCCTGTGTGGATCTTGATCTCCGAGTACTCGGTGGTGCTGGGGGCCTCCTGGTCCGCAGGCTCCCAGAGCCTCAGGCCCTGGAAGCTGAGGGAGGCATAGTGGAGCTCCTGCTCTTCCCCCTTCCCCGGGGTGTAGGTGGCTGCACCTGGGGGCGGGTGGTCTTGGGAGCTGCCTGCCGAGCATTCATGCTGGTGACCCTGAATGCAGGGGAGAAAGGGGGTCAAATTAGGGTCATGGGGGCTAAGCGAGAGCAAGGAGGATGCACAAGAGGATCTGGAAATTGAGTATTTCCTGTTTCACCTACTCATTCCACAAAGGTCAGCTGGGCCCTCATTCATTCACTCATTCATTCATTCACTCATTCAGCAAATATTTGAGAACAATAACATCTAGCTCTTGGTAATTCACTGCCAGACTCATAAAATCCTCACCACAATCCAGACTCATAAAATCCTCACCACAATCCACTGGGGAGACACTATTGTCTCCATGATCAGATGGAGAAATGAAGGCTGAGTAAATACCCCAAACCCGCACATCTAAGTAGCGGTCAGGCCAGGATTCACGTCCAGGTTTCTCTGACTCCAGTGCCCGCTGCCTTATGGAACAGCTCCCCTGTGCCAGCCCCTGGATATTCCCGGGGGAACTAGGGAGACACCACCCCTGATCTCAGGCAGCTTGCAGTATGGAAGAAGAAGTAGACACATTAAAGCTATAGTCAATGAAGTTACTATCTAATTGCAAATTATAAGTGGATGCCCAGGAAGGAGGAGGTGTGAGAAAGACAGGGATTTGCTCGGACCTGGACTGACCTCAAAGACCTTGGAAGATCTACTCGGACACAATTGTGAAACTGAGCTAGGAGCTCAAGAAAGAAAGGTTACTGGAAGTAAAGGATTCCCCTTGCCCAGAGAAAGCTTCAACCGTTTGTGCCCAGGTGCTGGGAAGGAACCTCTAATGTAGGGCCTTGGAATATCCTGCTGGTAGGAGCATCCCTGTTGACCTGGGACCACAAGCCAGGCCACATAGTTTACGCCAGCACTGGGACTTACGGCGGGGCCTACGTAGCATCAGTTTGGCTCTGCAGGGGCTGAGGAACTGAAGTCAGTGGCAAGTCCCCCATGCCTGCGTGACCCACCCCCAGTGAACCCTGGACCCAGGTTTGGTGGAGCTTCCCAGGTGAGCGGTGCCCTGATGCTCCGTGCATCTGTCACACTTCCTTGCTGGGAGAATTGGGTGCTGTCCCCATGGCTCCCCTGGGAAAGGCCACCGGAAGCTGTGGGTTTGGTATCTCCTGGACCTGCCCTGAGCACCTCTTCCTGTCCATGATTTTCATCTGTATCGGTCACTATAAACCATCACCACGAGGATCACAGCTCTCAGTGAGTCCTGCGAGTCCTAGGGGGTTATCCAACCTCAGAGTGGTCGTGGGGACCCCACAACTGTGGTTGGTGTCAGAAGTGAGGATGGGGACCCTTAGCTTTGTAGTAGACAATAGTCATCTGAGGAAAGGACTCTCTGGCATCCTGTGTTGAGGAGGAGAGATAGGAGGGAGGGCAAAGGAGTCGGGGATGCAGGAGGAAATGAGGAGTGGGAGGTGGAGGGTCCACTGGATCTGAGCACAGGCAGAGTATGGACAGGCCTGGGGGGCCCTTGGTTCTGGGAGGGGATGTAGGGAGCAGTGGGGAGGGTGCCTCCCAGATCATGGGACTTGGGACTGCATTGATGGGGACCCAGGAGCAAAACCCTATTTGGGGCACAATGATTCTGCAAGTCACCAAGAGGACTACCCATGGCCATCAAGGAAAGGGGAACAGGCAGGGCCCCAGCAGACAGAGGCTGGGCTCTCACCTGGGAGATGGGTCCCAGGGTGGAGGGCACGTCCTGCTCAGCTGCTGCCCTCTTGCGAGCTTCCTTCCTGCAGATCTTCACCCTGAGGGAGGAGGCAGTGCCCTTCAGCCTCCAGGCTGGTCCAGAGCCTGGGGAAACTGCTACCCACATGGCTTAGCAGAGGCTGGAAGGCTGCAGAGCCCAGTGGGGTGGGGACATATCCACGGGGTGACTTCCATAGTGAGAACTGGGGACCCTCATAGATGGCCCAGATCAGGGCTCTGGAGCAGACCCCTGCTCTGATCCTCTTGCCCAAGGCCTAGTTCTCACACCCACTGCCCCATCTAGATTCCTGCAGCTGGGACTGTCTGGGATTCTAGAACCCTCACCCTTCCCACACCCTGCATTGCCTGCCCTCCGATGCTTACCTGAAGACGACAAGGCAGGAACAGAAAGCGAGCAGGGCAGCGACGCCAGCTCCCAGGGCAGCCCCCAGGCCAAGTCCTCCCCCATGCTCCAGCTTCCCTGCATGGGAGCAGGGTTTGGGGTGGTGCCCTCCTGGCCCTGAGACCCTCCTGCCCCTTCCTCCCACAGACCTAGAGCTCTCGGATTCTTCATCCCCAACTGAGGCAGAAATTTAAAAATAAATATGCATTCATTCACTCCAAGAAAAGTAACAGGCAAGGAAAGGGTTAAAAAAAGAACAACTTTTCCTCTGCTTAGCAAGGCTCACTTCAAGGACAGTTATAAGATAATACTGTTTAAAAAGCCAAGGCCAAAGGAATAGGCTCCAGACACACCCCCTTCCAGAGCAAGGTTGAAGGAAAACAAGAAAGAAAAACAAATTCCTTTACTGTTACTCCTTTCCCTGGCTTCTTAAGCATAACTATGTTTTACAAATGTCTGTATTTAGCCAGTTCTTTTTTTTTCCTTTTGATACAGCTACAAGGCCACCAGCTATGCAAGGCCACAAGTTATGCTATACTATAAATTATGTCACCTATCCTAAAATTAACTGCCTCTGTTTTACTTTTGTAAGTCTGCTCATAAAAACCTCGCTCTGTCTTTGTTTCATGCTCAGCTTTTTAGATGCGAGTCCACTGAGCCGGTTTGCACCTAAAATAAACAATCCTCCTGTTCTCCGTATCGGTCTCACCAGTCCTCAGTTTCCCGCAGCATTTTTGGCGACCACGAAGGGACCAGAGACGGTAGGTTTACTGCCTCCTTTGCCTCTGGGGGCTGGAGCCCCGGGCCTCAGGAGACCTGTGACCCCAGGTGCCACTGGGTGAACTTCAGCCTGGAGGAGAAATCAGCTCTCCCCTGAGCCGGCGCCCCTACCCAGCAGCACAACAAAACCTGAAAGGAGCTACAGAATGATTTCAGAAACAGTGTACGTCAGGAACCACAGTAACCTTTTGGGGACCAAGGCAGGACCCATCCCATAGGGATGGAAGGGGAGGCTGATCACTTCTTGCGGGGTGCCTAACAGTCCGACCCAGAGGGGTTGGGGGCAGCGAGAGTGGCTCGTCGATTTGGATGAAACTCACACCCCAACCATCACAGGATGTGAGAATGGTTTGCTAAGTCGATTAGGAAAAGGAAACTGGAGGTGGCGAGAGTGGCTTACCACCCTAATTAGGAACTTAGGAACTGGGAGTGGGGAAGTGTGTAACAGTGTGTAAATGAAGAAGCCTTATTAGGCTGATCAGCCACAAAATGGGAAGTCACAATTCTCTTAGTGTGGACTGGGTGCTCCGAGCAAAGTGTGGGGCCAACTAAGACTAGTGGTGATCTGCGTATGGCTAATAGGAGCTGCCCTACAGCTCAGAGTTGTAGCAGGAATAAGGAACTCTCCAAAGCCAAGTAGCTTCTGAAAACTCCCGTAATAGGAGATGGTATAGTTGGCCGAAACTAGAGGAAGAGTGAGTGTGCTGGGCCGTAAAGGAAGGAATAGAAGGAAAGTCCATCAAAACTTACTCCATTGAAGTGCATGTTACAAAACTTTAAGAAAGGTTTTGCAGGGGATTATAAAGTTAAGCTAACCCCCCAAAGGTTGAGAACTCTCTTTGAATTAGAATGACTTTCTTTTGATGTTGGATGGCTGACCGAAGAAACTGTAGACTAGGAAACAATTGGGCATGTATTAAAGATGGTGATAGGGGTCTGAGGACAGCCTGAGTATCCCGATCAATTTCCTTATATTGATTCATGGTTAAATACAGCACAGACAAGACTAACCTGGATCAAGCCCTGTTTAGCAGCTTATTGCAAAACACTTGTAGCCCGAGCCAAAAATAAAAGTAAGAGCAGCTTCACCGACTGACACGAAGTTAAAAGAAAAACCCCAGAAAGAGCAAGAGAAGCCAGTTTTGCAACAGCTGCCAGAGGAAACAGAAATTCCTCCTCCATATGTCCCAGCCTACCCCCCTTTACTGAGGCCAACAGCCCTCCAGGAACCAAATTCAGGAGCTAGCATGCCCTGAGTCTGACCCCGAAGGGAAGGACTGGAGCCTCAAAAGGCCAGGGAAGGAAGTCAAAATAGTCAAGCAGGCTGTCTCAGATCTGGCCGTGCTTGAGCTATGCAAATGCCTGCTCGAGCTATGCAAATGCCTGTCAGGGAGATGTGAGGACCCACTTATTGTAATAACCAAGGCCAGGTTCGGAGGTGGGGGGCAACGCACCTTCATCTATCAGCCCTTTCTGACTACTGAGCTACTGATCTACTGAACTGGAAACACCATACTCCCTCCTACATGGAGAAGCCTCAAGCTCTTATAGATCTGACGCAATCCGTCTTTCTGACACACAGTCCAACCTGGCCAGATTGCAGGCAGCTTTTCCTAACGTTATTTAACACTAAAAAGCGCAGGAGAGTAACATAGGCAGCTCTCCCCTGGCTAAAACCCCATGCACCAGCAGATGCAGTGAATGCTCAGGCATACACTCAAGGTCAGTTCTCATACCAAGATCCCAACTGGAACCCAGAGGATGCAACTCAGCTTCAGCATTTGCAAAGGTACCAAGAGACACTTCTGCAAGGGATAAAAGCTGGTGGAAAGAAAGCAATTAATATACGAAAAATTTCAAAAGTGCTTCAGAGAGCTGACGAGAGCCCAAGTCAGTTTTATAAAAAACTTTGTGAAGCATTCCGGCCTTACACCCTATTTGACCCTGAGGCTGCTGAAAATCAGCGCATGGTAAACACAGCATTTGTAGGGCAAGCCCAGGGTGACGTCAAGCGGCAGCTGCAGGCATGAATGCCACCCAGCTTATAAAAGTGACCACCAAGATGTACATGAACCATGACCAGAGAACAAAACGGGAAAGAGCGAAAGCAACAAGCGAGGCACCAAGCAGCTAGGCACACCAAGGGTTTAGTCCCTCTCCTCAGCCTGGCTCTATCTGGAAAAAGAGCGGGGCGGGGACTGGCCCCAGAAAAAAAGCCAAAAAAAAAAAAAAAAAGAAAGGCATAATTCTTACAACTTGCGGCAGGCATCTACCAAGCCTCTGGGCCTATAACGGCCCAGGGGTGGACTACGGCTGTGCAGATCCTACCTAGCCCAAAAAAGTAAGTGTGAAAAAGGAAAAAAGAAAAATCAGAAAGAAACAGTAAAGATAGATGGCAGTGCGTGCGTGCACAGGGGCGGGGCCCACGCCGTAGCCCAGTCCCACTGGCCAGCTGTAGGAGCAGGATAACTCAGGAAGGAAAAAGGAAGCAGAACATAGGCTTAAAAAAAAAGGCCAATCTGTTGGCAGCAGCCCTCATAAAAAGAAAAATTAGCAGGCCGGGCATGGCGGCTCACACCTGTAATCCCAGCACTTTGGGAGGCCGAGGTGGACAGATCACAGGGTCAGGAGATTGAGACCATCCTGGCTAACACTGTGAAACCCTGTCTCTAGTAAAAATACAAAAAAATTAGCCGGGCTTGGTGGCGGGCGCCTGTAGTCCCAGCTACTCGGGAGGCTGAGGCAGGAGAATGGCGTGAACCTGGGAGTTGGAGCTTGCAGTGAGCAGAGATGGCGCCACTGCACTCCAGCCAGGGCAACAGAGCGAGACTCCGTCTCAAAAAAAAAAAAAAAAAGAACTTGTACTTATGGCCGGGCGCAGTGGCTCACACCTGTAATCCTGTTACCAGAGCCCACTCCTTTAGCAGAAAACCTGTTTGCTCGGCTGCCTAAAAACATTGTCGGCAGCCTAGGCATTTCCTCATACTATGTTTGCGGAGGGACTAACACGGAAGACCAATGGCCTTGGAAAGCAAAAAAGTTAATGCCACAAAATAATTTAACTGACTCTTCTCCCGAACCGACGCCCACAAGTTCAAGCGTCTGGCTCTTAAAAACTTCTATTATCAGGAAATACTGTGTTGCTCGCTGGGGAAAAGTTTTTACAAACCCAGTAAAAGAACTAAACTGCTTAGGACAGCAATATGACGATAAAACACTAAGAAACACTTTGTGGCGGGGCAAAGATGAATGCAAATGACCTCATCCAAATCCGTTCCCTGTTTCTCTTCTTTAAATCACACCTACTATCAGCCGAAAGCTCCAAATACTTGGCAAGCACCTCCTAGTCTTTGTTGGATCTGTAGGCCATGGGCATATCAACAGTTGCCAGCTAAATGGACAGGGGCCTGTGTGCTTGAAACAATTAGACCGTCTTTCTTCCTATTCCCACTGCAACAGGGAGAAACTTTAAGGTATCCTGTCTATAATAAAGTTAAAAAAAATGCAAACACACACACAAAAATAAAAATTAAAAAAATTGAAAAGACACAAATTAACCCCCTGAAAAAATAATTCAATAGTATAGGCCAGCTACCTGGGCACAAAATGGGTCATGGGGATACCACACTCCTATTTACATGCTTAACCGCATCATAAGGTTGCAGGCAGTACTTGAAATCATCACTAATAAAACAGCAAATGCATTAGATTTACTGGCCCAGCAACCCACAAAAATGAAGAATGTTATCTATCAGAACAGGTTAGCTTTGGACTACTCCTAGCCCAGAAAAAAAAAAATGTAAAAAGTTCAATCTAACTAACTGCTGCCTAAAAATCGCTGACAATGAAAAGGCAATTATAAAAATAACTGCAAAAATAAAAAAATTAGCCCATGTTCCAGTTCAAACTTGGAAAGGGTGGTCTCCAGATTCTCTCTTTAAGGACTGGTTTTCATTTTGCAGAGGGTTCAAGACTTTAATAAAAGTGGTTCTGGCCATACTAGGAAGTTGCCGAATACTCCCTTGTCTCTTAGCTCTCCTTGTTGGAAGCATTCAATCAACTATAAAGGCAATAGCAGCTAGGCAAACTACCACTCAGCTAACGGCTCTGCATAAATATCAACCTTTGTCTAAAGAAAAAAAGTGTCTCTTCATGCAGAATTAAGTAATAGTAATGCCTTCTATTAAACTTCTTTTATAAAAAACATCAAAAGGGGGAAACTGAGGCAAAAATTTAAAAATAAATATGCATTCATTCACTCCCAAAAAAGTAACAGGCAAGGCAAGGGTTAAAAAAAAAACAAAAAAAACCCAAGTCTTTCTATGCCTAGCAAGCTCACTTCAAGGACAGGTATAAAATAACACTGTTTAAAAAGCCAAGGCCAAAGGAATGGGCTCCAGACACACCCCTTCCAGAGCAAGGTTAAAGAAAAAAAAAAAAAGACAAATTCTTTTACTGTTACTCCTTTCCCTGGCTTCTTAAGCACAATTATGTTTCACAAATGTCTGTATTTAACCAGTTCTTGTTTTTCTTTTGACACAGCTACAAGGCCACAAGTTATGCACTATATAATTAACCGCTTTTGTTTTACTTTTGTAAGTCCGCTTATAAACACACTGCTTTAGCCGGGCGCGGTGGCACACGCCTGTAATCCCAGCACTTTGGGAGGTCCAGGTGCGTGAATCACAAGGTCAGGAGTTCGAGACCAGCCTGGCCAACATAGTGAAACTAAAAATACAAAAAAATTAGCTGGGCGTGGTGGCGCATGCCTGTAATCCCAGCTACTCAGGTGGCTGAGGCAGGAGAATTGCTTGAATCCGGGAGGCAGAGGTTGCAGTGAGCCGAGATCGAGCCACTGCACTCCAGCCTTGCTGACAGAGCGAGACTCCATCTCAAAAAAAAAACCAAAAAACAAAAAAAACCCCTTCTTTGTCTTTATTTAATGCTCAGCTTTTGAAATGTAAATCCACTAAGCTGGAACTTACCTTAAATAAACAATCCTCCTGTTCTCCATATTGCTCTCTCCGTTCCTCAGTTTCCCGCAACAACTACCAGCCACAGAGCAGGGACTTTGTCCCCATCCCTTCCCACCACGCCCACACCCTCTCCCCACAACCTTGAACCTTCATCTTTCTAGGATCCTGTCTCCTTTCTCCCTGAACCTCAGCCCCCCACAGTCCCCTCACCTGGTAGCAGCTGGAAGACAGAGCCACTCTGGGCCCCGTGGACGTTCCAGGCCTTACAGCGGAGCCTGAGGCCGGAGCTGAGCCCTCCATGGAGGCTCAGGGAGCTGTTGGCCCAGGGCCCGGCTGAGCTGGGGGTGACCTCGAAGGAGCCCTGACTGCTGTTCCCCTCCAGCAGCTCCTCCCCAAGCCACCAGCGCAGAGAGGGGGCCGGGCTGGCCTGGGAGGAGCAGCTGCAGTGCAGACCCTCAGCCTCCCAGGAGCAGGAGGGGCCCAGCAGCTGTGGAGGGTCTGTGGGGAGGGAGGACAGGACTCAGCAGGGGCCCCTTCCTGGGACCCAGGTGTCCCCTTTCCCCCACTCACAGTGCACGGAGAGGCTGAGAGAGACGTGCTGGGAGCCCAGAGGGTGCTGAGCGTGGCAGGTGAACTCTCCTTCGTGCTCCATTTGAATGGGTGGCAGCTCCAGGACCCCGGGGTCTGAGGGCTGGGAGGGGCCCACGGTCTGTCCCCACCGGGTCCAGCTCAGCCTGGCTGGGGGGCTGCTGTGGGTGACACAGACCAGGCGCAGGCTTTGGCCCTCCAGGACCGGGAGGGATGTGCCGTTCCCGAGGTTTTCCAGGACTAGGGAAGGAAGAGGCAGAATCGACGTGCAGCTCAGGGCTCAGGGACCCTCCTGTGTGGGGACCCTCCAGACTCCTGGGCCCCCAGTTTGGCACTGAGAGGCCCTGGCTCCTCTGTCTCCTTTCCTACCTGTCCTGTTTGCTTGGGAAACCATCACTCTCAGGTTCTCTGGAGGATCTGAAATGGAGACAGGGGACCGGCTCTAGACAGACCAGGGGCTTCCCTCTGGGTAAAGGGAACTATCCTGGACACTGAGGTGGGGGAAGTGGGTGGGATAGAAGGGCAGGGCAGAATCACCCACTGAGTCCCAGACACAAACTGCATGAGGGTCTACACAGGTAAGAAGGTCAGTCCCCGAGGCCTGGGGTTCAAGACCCCCTCAGCTCTGGGACCCTGAGCCCAGCCCCTGTATCCCTCTGCCCTCCCAATGGACTCCAGGCCCCTGCTAGGCACACTCACACTGCACAGAGAGGTCCAGGGCTTGCTGCTGGGAGCCAAGCCTGTTCTCCGCTCGGCAGGTGTAGCGCCCTGAATCCCCGGCCCTTACCCCACGCAGCTCCAGCCCCAGGGTTCTGGGGCCCCAGGGGTGGGACGAGGAGAGGACTCTGTCCTGCAGGACCCAGCTCAGCGTGGCAGGGGGCTGGCTGTCAGCAGCACAGAGGAGCCGCAGGAACTGGCCTTTCTGAACTTCCAGATATATGACGTTTCCCTGGAGTTCCAGGGCTGAAGACAGGGAAAGAGAGAGGGTGGGGGTGGAGAGAGAGAATGGGTGGGAGGGGGGGCTGCAAAGAGGACCACATCCCCTCACCCCCCTGAAGCCTTTTCATCCCTAAAGAGGACTGGCCCAGCCCCAGCCCGAAGGCCCTCAGTACCTGACGTGTTGTCATGTGAAATGCTGATAATAAGGTCTTTGGGGGCATCTGCAACAAGATTGTGAGCTGGCTTCAGGGAGGGACAATTTGTTCCTCACACCTGGAAAAAACTCCCTCAGGGAAAAGAAAGTGGGAACATCCCAGGATGGACAAGTGACAACCAGCTCCAGGGCTCACACATGTGGACAGAGGATCAGACGCCATTCCCATCCCCCTCCCAGGGCTGAGCCGGCATCCTGGGACCCCACAGCTTCCTCTCCCTGGATGCTCCTGAGCTGGGAGCCACTCACTGTCCCGCTGGGCTCCTCCACCTCCCCACCCACCGGGGCTGTCTGCACGCCCCACCCTCCCAGGCCACACTCACAGGCCACACGGAGTCGGACGGTCCTCTGTGCGCTCACACCCTTTCTGGAGAAGTCCACATGGCAGGTGAGGTCGGTGTCGTGGTCCTGGGGGCTGGGCGTGAAGCTGAGCACTGAGAAGTGGGAGGTGCTTGGTCTGGTTCTTCTAGGGGAGAGGGCAGCCCCCGTCCAGGAGAAAGAAGGGGCTGGACATTTCTTGAAAGCCCAGTTAAACACACAGATGACCGTCACCGGCTGCCCGGGCTCCAGGGTCTCGGGGATGTAGACATCAGGCTTCTTAGTCAGGGCTGGGACAGAGACCGGGTGGGAGATTCTTGTGCTGCAGGGGTCCCTGAGAGCCCTCTCTGCTCAGCCCATAGCCTGTCCCCAGGGTCCCTCCCCAGTGTGACAGGCAGGGGTTCCCACCCCATTCCATACCTGTTACTTTTAGAAAGAACGCATTGCTCAGGAAACTATGTCTCACACGGCTTCCTCTCTCCACCCGAAAGAAGTACCATGCCTCATCCTCCCTCTGCGCGTCTCTGATCACCAAGGAGCAGCTCCCTTTGCCGGGATCCCCAGTGAGCTGGAATCGGTCCCGGGTGCTCATTTCCACCTCTCGACTCTGGTTGTTAGTGGCCACAGGAGCACCCGTCTTTGGGCTGGTCCGTCCTTTGAACCAGTAGCCATAAGCAGCAGTAGACTCGTCCCAGCCATCCCGGGGGTAGGAGAGGTTGCAAGACACGATGACACACAGGCCCTCCGGCACCGGCACCTGCCTCTGCACTTGAAGACTGTAACTGGGATCCTTGTTCAGGGACCCTGGGGAGATGCAGAGGCTCAGCGGCAGCCCCAGCCCCTGCCTGGGACCCCCAGCCACCGACCCACTCACCCGCCCCCAGCACGGGCAGCAGCAGGGGCAGCAGCAGCATCTCTGGGCTCTGGGGCTGGGCCTGTCCCGGGACCATCTGGCTTCTGGGCCGGCCTGGCTGGGAAGGAAACTCCTCCAGCAGGAAGCCTGGTGGAGGGGCAGTGACCATCCACAGAGGAGGAGCCTCGGGAACCGCTATGTCCTGAAAGCTCGCTTCCCAACTTCTCCTTTCACAGGGGAAGCAGCAGGGCAGAGGGCATGAGGACCAGCCCCAAACCAGGAAGGAGCCACCCTGGCCAGCCTCGGAGGTGGGCAGTGCTAGGAGGGGACTGTCAGGGGACACAGGTGAGTCACGGCTGCAGGTGAGGTGATGGATGCAGAGTCTCATTCATTCATTCATTCTCCAGGGGGCCATGAGACACTGGAAGAGTCTACAAGAACACAGTGATTTATGGTGGGGGCTTTGCACCACGTATTATTGCTGTATCTCCACAGAGGGTAAAAACTAGGTCAGCCACACAGGCAGTCAGCTGCATCTACGTGACCAACCCCCAGTAAAAACTCTGAATGCCGAGGCTCAGGTGAGCTTCCCTGGGTGGCAATACTTGCTGTATGTTGTCACTCATCTTTGCTTCAAGCATTAAGCGCTTTCTGTATGACTTCACTGGGAAAGGACAACTGGAATCCCACATATGGTCTCTTCTGGATCCTGTCCTATGAACCTTTCTCCTTTGTTGATTTTTATTTATTTATTTTTATTTTATTATTATTATTTTTTTGAGATGGAGTCTCGCTCTGTTCCCCAGGCTACAGTGCAGTGGTGGGATCTCAGCTCACTGCAAGCTCCACCTCCCGGGTTCACACCATTCTCCTGCCTCAGCCTCCTGAGTAGCTGGGACTACAGGCGTCCACCCCAACGCCCGGCTAATTTTTTTCTTGTATTTTTAGTAGAGACAGGGTTTTAGCGTGTTAGCCAGGATGGTCTCGATCTCCTGACCTTGTGATCCGCCCACCTTGGCCTCCCAAAGTGCTGGGATTACAGGCATAAGCCACTGCGCCTGGCCATTTTATTTTTATTTTTGAGACAGTCTCACTCTGTCACCCAGGCTGGAGGGCAGTGGTGCAATCTTGGCTCACTGCAACCTCCGCCTCCCAAGGTCAAGTGATTCTGCTGCCTCAGCCTCCCGAGTAGCTGGGACTACAGGCACCCACCCACCACCATGCCCGGATAATTTTTTGTATTTTTAGTAGAGATGGGGTTTCATCATGTTGAGCAGCCTAGTCTCGAACTCCTGACCTCAGGTGATCTGCCTGCCTCAGCCTCCCAAAATGCTGGCATTGTAGGCGTGAGCCACTGTGTCTGGCTTGTTGATTTTTTTTTTTTTAGATGAAGTTTTGCTCTTGTTGCCCAGGCTGGAGCACAATGGCATGATCTCGGCTCACTAAAACCTCCACCTCTCAGGTTCAAGCGATTCTCCTGCCTCAGCCCCCTGAGTAGCTGGGATTACTGGTGCCCACCACCATGCCCAGCTAATTTTTTGTATATTTAGTAGAGATGGGGTTTCACCATGTTGACTAGGCTGATCTTGAACTTCTGACCTCAGGTGATCCACCTGCCTCGGAGTCCCAACATCCTGGGATTACAGGCGTGAGCCACTGCGCCCAGCCCTGCCTTGTTGATTTTTAAAAAGTATTTTTATTAATATGTGATATTTGTACATATTTATGGGGTATATGTGATATTTTGTGCCATGCATAGAATATGGTATAATCAAGTCAGGGTATTTGAATATCTGTCACCTCAAACATTTATTATTTCTATTGTTGGGAACATTTCAAATCATCTTTTCTAGTTATTTTGAAAAATACAATACGTTATTATTATTTTTTAAGACAGGGTCACTCAGGCTGGGCACTGTGGCTCACGCCTGTAATCCCAGCACTTTGGGAGGCCAAGGCGGGTGGATCACAAGGTCAGGAGATCAAGACCATCCTGGCTAACACGGTGAAACCCCATCTCTATTAAAAATACAAAAAATTAGCTGGGCATGGTGGCACGTGCCTACAGTCCCAGCTACTCAGGAGGCTGAGGTGGGAGAATGGCGTGAACCCGGGAGGTGGAGCTTGCAGTGAGCTGAGATTGCACCACTGCACTCCAGCCTGGGCAACAGAGAGAGACTCCATCTCAAAAAAAAAGAAAAAAAAGAAAAAAAAGACAGGGTCTGTCTGTCACCCAGGCTGGAGTGCAGTGGTGAGATCACGGCTCACTGCAGCTTTGACCTCCCCAAGCTCAAGCAATCCTCCCACTTCAGCCTCCCGAGCAGCTGGGACTACAGGTGTGCACTACCACTTAATTTTTATACTTTGTTTTTGATAGAGATGGAGTTTTACCATGTTGATCAGGCTGGTCTCAAACTCCTAGGCTCAAGCGATCTGCCTGTCTCAGCCTCCCAAATTGTTGGGATTACAGGCATGAGCCACCACTACAATATGTTACTGTTAACTATAGTCACCCTACTCTGCTATTAAACATAAGAACTATTCCTTCTATATAACCGTATATTTGTTAGACAGACCTCTTCATTCCCCACCTACTCACCCATGCATCCTTCTAGGGTTCCGATAACTATTATTCTACTCTCTGCCTCCATGAGATCATAGTCCATGATCTCTGTATGCCTTTATGTATCCATAGCTTAGCTCCCACTTAAAAGTGAGAACATAATGGCATTTGATTTTTCATTCCTGAGTTATTTCACTTAGAAATATGGCCTCCAGCTCTGTCCGAGTTGCTGCAAAAGATATTATTTCATTCTTTTTTTATGGCTGAGTAATATTCCATGACAATGGTATACATACCGCTGCCTAGACCAATGTCCTGAAGAGTTTTTCCTAGGTTATCTTCTAGAATTTTTTGGTTTCAGGACTTAGATTTAAGTCTTTGATCCATATTGAGTTGAATTTTTTTTTTTTTTTTTGAGACAGAGTCTCACTCTGTCGCCCAGGCTGGAGTGCAGTAGCATGACCTCGGCTCACTGCAACCTCCACCTGCCAGGTTCAAGCAATTCTCCTGCCTCAGCCTCCCGAGTAGCTGGGACTACAGGTGCCCGCCACCATGCCTGGCTTGTTTTTTGTATTTTTAGTAGAGATGACGTTTCACCATGCTGGTCAGGCTGGTCTTGAACTCCTGACCTCGTGATCCTCCCGCCCCGGCCTCCCAAAGTGTTGGGATTACAGTCGTGACCCACTGCGCCTGGCCTAATTTTTGTATTTTTAATAGAGATGGATTTTCACCATGTTGGCCAGGCTGGTCTCGAACTCCTTACCTCAAGTGATCCACCTACCCTGGCCTCCCAAGGTGCTGGGATTACAGGCATGAGCCACTGCGCCTGGCCAAGGATTGATTTTTGATGTTTTTTTTTTTTGAGACAGAGTCTTGCATCTCGCTCTTTCATCCAGGCTGGAGTGCAGTGGCACGATCTTGGCTCACTGCAACCTCTGCCTCCCAGGTAGCTGGGATGACAGATGTGTGCCACCAGGCCTGGCTAATTTTTGTATTTTTAGTAGAGACGAGGTTTTACCATGTTGGCCAGGCTGGTCTCGGACTCCTGACCTCAAGTAATCTGCCCACCTCAACCTCCCAAAGTGCTGGGATTACAGGCATGAGCCACCACATCCAGCCTGATTTTAATGTTTATAGTTTATTGGCGCTTAATTCAGGTCTTGGTGCTTTCAGGGATGAAGGTTCTGTATGAGTTCCTTGGTTGTAGAGAGTCCTTGTGCGCTGGCTTCTCAGTTGCTGGCTGCAGTGGCAATGTGCTCAGTAAGATGGTGATCAAGTTCATCATCTCCTGTGGGGTTGGAATGGCAGAGGTCTTTTGAAGCTTACCTTGTTCCACTGTGGTGTGCACTTTTAAATTAATTTATTTTTTTCCCCAGTATTTTATTCACTGGGTTGAATCATTAAGGCTTCAGGTTAGTGGGGACGTGTCTCTGGGTAGAAAACAGTTGTGGCTGGCCGGTGCGGTGGCTCACGCCTGTAATCCCAGCACTTTGGGAGGCTGAGGCGGGTGGATCACGAGGTCAGGAGATCGAGACCATCCTGGCTAACACAGTGAAACCCTGTCTCTACTAAAAATACAAAAAAATTAGCCAGGCGTGGCGGCGGGCACCTGTAATCCCAGCTACTCGGGAGGCTGAGGCAGGAGAATGGCGTGAACCCAGGAGGCGGAGCTTGCAGTGAGCCGAGATCGTGCCACTGCACTCCAGCCTGAGTGACAGAGCAAGACTCCGTCTCAAAAAAAAAACAAAAAAAAGACAAAGAAAAAAAAGAGGCCGGGTGTGGTGGCTCACGCCTGTAATTCCAGCACTTTGGGAGGCCAAGGCGGGTGGATCGTGAAGTCAGGAGGTCAAGACCATCCTGGCCAACACGGTGAAACCCTGTCTCTACTAAAAATACAAAAAACTAGCCAGGCGTGGTGGCGGGCGCCTGTAGTTCCAGCTACTTGGGAGGCTGAGGCAGGAGAATGGCATGAACCCGGGAGGCGGAACTTGGAGTGAGCCAAGATCACGCCACTGCACTCCAGCCTGGGAGACAGAGCGAGACTCTGTCTCAAAAAAAAAAAAAAAAAACAAAAGAAAAGAAAAGAGTTGTGGCTAAAGCACTGGGTAAATGCAGTACCCAATGGTGAGCCAAGGCCCCCGCCTTGACAGAGGTGGCTGGGGGAGCTCTTAGCAACATGCGCTGAGGTTTGCTTTTGCTTTTTTGTTTTTGACAGGATTTCAGTCTATCACCCAGGGTGGAGTACAGTGGTGTGATCACAGATCGCTGCAGCCTTGACCTCCCTGGCTCAAGTGCTCCTCTTGCCTCAGTCTCCCAGGTACCTGGGACCACAGGCACATGACACCGTGCCTGGTCATTGTTAATTTTTGTAGAGTTGGGGTTTCCCTATGTTGCCCAGGCTAGTCTCTAACTCCTGGTCTCAAGCGATTCTCCAACCTCGGCCTCTCAAAATGCTGAGATGACAGCCGCAAGCCACCATGCCTGGCCATTTCCTTCCTTGTACTAATTTTGGTTTATTCTTGCTTTTCTGGTTCCTTGGGGTCCATTTTTTTTTTTTTTTTTCTGAGATGCAGTTTCACTCTGTTGCCCAGGCTGGAGTGCAGTGGCACAGTTTCAGCTAACTGCAACCTCCACCTCCTGGGTTCAAGCGATTCTCCTGCTTCAGCCTCCTGAGTAGCTGGGATTACAGGTGTGCCACCATACCCAGCTAATTTTTGTATGTTTAGTAGAGATGGGGTTTCACCATGTTGTCCAGGCTGGTCTTGAACCCCTGACCTCAGGTGATCCACCCACCTTGGCCTCCCAAAGTGCCAGGATTACAGGCGTGAGCCACTGCGCCCGGCCAGGGGTCCACTGTTATGTTGTGTATTTGAATTCTTCTATCTTTTTTTTTGAAAGAGGCATTTGTTGTTATAAACTTCACTCCTGGCACAGCTTTTGCAGTATCTCATAGGTTTTGGTAGGCTGTATTTCCATCTTCATTTCAATAATTTTTTTTTTTTTAAGACAGAGTCTCACTCTTGTCATCCAGGCTAGATTGCAATGGCACCATCTCAGCTCACTGCAACCTCCGCCTCCCAGGTTAAAGTGATTCTCCTGCCTCAGCCTCCTGAGTAGCTGGGATTACAGGTACATGCCACCATGCCCGGCAAATTTTTTTTTTTTTTTGTATTTTTAGTAGAGACAGGGTTTCACCATGTTGGTCAGGCTAGTCTCCAATGCCTGACCTCAGGTGATCCACCTTGGCCTCCCAAAGTGCTGGGATTACAGGCATGAGCCACCGCTCCCGGCCGCAAGAAGCGTCTTGATGTTCTTTTTAATTTCTTCCTTGACCCAGTGGTCATTCAGGAGCATGCTGTTTAATTTCCATATATTTGTACATCTTCCAAAGTTCCTCTTATTAATCATTTCTAGTTTCACTTCCATTGTGGTCTGAGAAGATGTTTAATATGATTTCAATTTCTATAAATATGTTAGATTTCTTTCATAGCCTCACATATGGTGTATCCTGGAGAATGTTTCATGTGCCAAAGAGAAGACTGCGTTCTTCAGCTGTGGGATAAGATGTTCTGCAAACATCTCTTAGGTCCCTTGGGTCTAAAATGCAGTTTAAATCCAAAGTTTCTTTGCTAATTTTCTGTCCAGATGATCTGTCTAATGCTGAGAGTGTTCAATGTGGTGTTCAAGTCTCCAACTACTATTGTATTGGAGTCTGTCTCTCCCCTTATGTGTGCTCCAGTGTGAGGTGCATATAAATTTAGTTACGTAAAGTTATATCTTCTTGCTGAATTGACCCTTTTATCATTACGCAATGACTTAAAGTCTGTTTTTTTTTTTTTAAGTCTCTTTTTTTTTTTTTTTTTGAGACGGAGTCTTGCTCTGTTGCCCAGGCTGGAGTGCAGTGGCGCGATCTCGGCTCACTGCAAGTTCTGCCTCCCAGGTTCACGCCATCCTCCTGCCTCAGCCTCCTGAGTAGCTGGGACTACAGGTGCCTGCCACCACGCCCAGCTAATTTTTTGTATTTTTAGTAGAGATGGGATCTCACCGTGTTAGCCAGGATGGTCTTGATCTCCTGACCTCGTGATCCACCCGCCTCGGCCTCCCAAAGTGCTGGGATTATAGACGTGAGCCACCGCACCTGGCCTTTTAAGTCTGTTTTATCTGGAGTAAGTATAACTACTCCTGCTTGTCTTTTTTGGTTTCTGTTTGCATGGAATATTTTTTTCAATCTCTTTGTTTTCAGTGTATATGTCTTTCCAAGTGAGTGACTTTCTTATATGTAGCATAAAGTTGGGTTATGTTTTTGTAAATCCATTTAGCAAAACATCAAATTGTATCCATAAACATATATAATTATTATTATTTGCTAATTAAAAATAATATAAATTGTAGTAAAATACCCATAACACAAACCTACTACTTTAACCACTTTATTTTTTATTTATTTATTTTTTTTGAGATGGAGTCTCACTCTCTTGCTCAGGCTGGAGTGCAGTGACGGATCTCGGCTCACTGCAACCTCTGCCTCCCGGATTTAAGCAATTCTCATGTCTCAGTCTCCTGAGTGGCTGGGACTACAAGTGAGCGCCACCATGCCCTGCTAATTTTTGTATTTTTAGTAGAGACGGGGTTTCGCCATGTTGGCTAGGCTGGTCTCGAACTCCTGACCTCAGGTGATCCACCCGCCTCAGCCTCCCAAAGTGCTGGGATTACAGGCATGAGCCACTGCATCTGGCCTACTTTCATCATTTTAAAGTGCACAATTAGCTGGGCATGGTGGTGCATGCCTGTAATCCCTGCTACTCGGGAGGCTGAGGCACGAGAACTGCTTGAAACTGGGAGGCAGAGGTTGCAGTGAGCCGAGATTGCGCCACTGCACTCAGCCTGGGTGACAAAGTGAGACTCAAAAAAAAAAAAAAGTGTACATTTCATTGGCACTAAGTACATTCACATTCTTGTGCAACCATCAGCTCCATCTAGTTGCAGAACTTTTCCATCATTGAAAAAAGAAACCAAGTACCCATTAAACAGTCACTTCCCATTCTTCCCTCCCCCCAGGCCCCCAAAATGACAAATCTACTTCCTGTCACTACATTTGCCTCTTCTGGTCATATCAGATGAACAGAATCATGCAATATTGTCTGGTTTCTTTCACTTAGTATAATGTTGTCAGGACCATCTATGCTGTGGCAGGTGTCACAATGTAATTCTTTTTTAGGGGTGAATAATACTCCATTAAATGAATAAACCACATTTTGTTCATGGAGTTTTAAATTTGCTAGTTAATGTCCAAATCCTCAGCCTTGGGGAATCGGGAGGTGCTGGGGCCCCTGCCCTTGAGTCTGCACAACCCAGACCCCCCTCTATGCCCAGGTGGTAATTGGGGCTGGGCTGAGCCACAAACTAGTCTGGGCATCAGGGTGGGGAGGTGACAGAGCTGGGACCCTGTGATGTAAGGTCCAAGTTCCCCAGTGGGGGCTCCATGAACCAATTAGACCTCATTTACAAAACACAGATCAAAAGATAAATTATTAAGAATGTCCAGGGGGCAACCTCAGAGCACTAAACCCCAAGCATGAGGCCCCCTGAGCTCACTGGGGTCTTATGTAATTGCCCCCTTCTCCCTGTGGAGCTGGGAGCCTGGTGTAAGCTGCAGAGACGGCCCCGCAACAGGCAGGGGAGCTCAGTGCCTTTGGGGAGCCCGGGGACCCTGAGTTGACATAAGTGGAGGTGAGGATCCTGTGGGCAGGGATTGGATGGTCATGTCTTCTTTGCCTCCCCCCACTGCATGGAGTAGATTTTGCCTGGAGAATGAATGAATGAATGAATGGGACTCTGCATCCATCACTTCACCTGCAGCCATGACTCACCTGTGTCCCCTGACAGTCCCCTCCTAGCACTGCCCACCTCCGAGGCTGGCCAGGGTGGCTCCTTCCTGGTTTGGGGCTGGTCCTCATGCCCTCTGCCCTGCTGCTTCCCCTGTGAAAGGAGAAGTTGGGAGGCGAGCTTTCAGGACATTGCGGTTCCCGAGGCTCCTCCTCTGTGGATGGTCACTGCCCCTCCACCAGGCTTCCTGCTGGAGGAGTTTCCTTCCCAGCCAGGCCGGCCCAGAAGCCAGATGGTCCCGGGACAGGCCCAGCCCCAGAGCCCAGAGATGCTGCTGCTGCCCCTGCTGCTGCCCGTGCTGGGGGCGGGTGAGTGGGTCGGTGGCTGGGGGTCCCAGGCAGGGGCTGGGGCTGCCGCTGAGCCTCTGCATCTCCCCAGGGTCCCTGAACAAGGATCCCAGTTACAGTCTTCAAGTGCAGAGGCAGGTGCCGGTGCCGGAGGGCCTGTGTGTCATCGTGTCTTGCAACCTCTCCTACCCCCGGGATGGCTGGGACGAGTCTACTGCTGCTTATGGCTACTGGTTCAAAGGATGGACCAGCCCAAAGACGGGTGCTCCTGTGGCCACTAACAACCAGAGTCGAGAGGTGGAAATGAGCACCCGGGACCGATTCCAGCTCACTGGGGATCCCGGCAAAGGGAGCTGCTCCTTGGTGATCAGAGACGCGCAGAGGGAGGATGAGGCATGGTACTTCTTTCGGGTGGAGAGAGGAAGCCGTGTGAGACATAGTTTCGTGAACAATTTGTTCTAAAAGTAACAGGTATGGAATGGGGTGGGAACCCCTGCCTGTCACACTGGGGAGGGACCCTGGGGACAGGCTATGGGCTGAGCAGAGAGGGCTTTCAGGGACCCCTGCAGCACAAGAATTCCCCACCCCGGTCTCTGCCCCAGCCCTGACTCAGAAGCCTGATGTCTACATCCCCGAGACCCTGGAGCCCGGGCAGCCGGTGACGGTCATCTGTGTGTTTAACTGGGCTTTCAAGAAATGTCCAGCCCCTTCTTTCTCCTGGACGGGGGCTGCCCTCTCCCCTAGAAGAACCAGACCAAGCACCTCCCACTTCTCAGTGCTCAGCTTCACGCCCAGCCCCCAGGACCACGACACCGACCTCACCTGCCATGTGGACTTCTCCAGAAAGGGTGTGAGCGCACAGAGGACCGTCCGACTCCGTGTGGCCTGTGAGTGTGGCCTGGGAGGGTGGGGCGTGCAGACAGCCCCGGTGGGTGGGGAGGTGGAGGAGCCCAGCAGGACAGTGAGTGGCTCCCAGCTCAGGAGCATCCAGGGAGAGGAAGCTGTGGGGTCCCAGGATGCCGGCTCAGCCCTGGGAGGGGGATGGGAATGGCGTCTGATCCTCTGTCCACATGTGTGAGCCCTGGAGCTGGTTGTCACTTGTCCATCCTGGGATGTTCCCACTTTCTTTTCCCTGAGGGAGTTTTTTCCAGGTGTGAGGAACAAATTGTCCCTCCCTGAAGCCAGCTCACAATCTTGTTGCAGATGCCCCCAAAGACCTTATTATCAGCATTTCACATGACAACACGTCAGGTACTGAGGGCCTTCGGGCTGGGGCTGGGCCAGTCCTCTTTAGGGATGAAAAGGCTTCAGGGGGGTGAGGGGATGTGGTCCTCTTTGCAGCCCCCCCTCCCACCCATTCTCTCTCTCCACCCCCACCCTCTCTCTTTCCCTGTCTTCAGCCCTGGAACTCCAGGGAAACGTCATATATCTGGAAGTTCAGAAAGGCCAGTTCCTGCGGCTCCTCTGTGCTGCTGACAGCCAGCCCCCTGCCACGCTGAGCTGGGTCCTGCAGGACAGAGTCCTCTCCTCGTCCCACCCCTGGGGCCCCAGAACCCTGGGGCTGGAGCTGCGTGGGGTAAGGGCCGGGGATTCAGGGCGCTACACCTGCCGAGCGGAGAACAGGCTTGGCTCCCAGCAGCGAGCCCTGGACCTCTCTGTGCAGTGTGAGTGTGCCTAGCAGGGGCCTGGAGTCCATTGGGAGGGCAGAGGGATACAGGGGCTGGGCTCAGTGTCCCAGAGCTGAGGGGGTCTTGAACCCCAGGCCTCGGGGACTGACCTTCTTACCTGTGTAGACCCTCATGCAGTTTGTGTCTGGGACTCAGTGGGTGATTCTGCCCTGCCCTTCTATCCCACCCACTTCCCCCACCTCAGTCTCCAGGACGCTTCCCTTTGCCCAGAGGGAAGTCCCTGGTCCGTCTAGAGCCGGTCCCCTGTCTCCATTTCAGATCCTCCAGAGAACCTGAGAGTGATGGTTTCCCAAGCAAACAGGACAGGTAGGAAAGGAGACAGAGGAGCCAGGGCCTCTCAGTGCCAAATTGGGGGCCCAGGTGTCTGGAGGGTCCCCATGCAGGCGGGTCCCTGAGCCCTGAGCTGCACGTCGATTCTGCCTCTTCCTTCCCTAGTCCTGGAAAACCTGAGGAACGGCACATCCCTCCGGGTCCTGGAGGGCCAAAGCCTGCGTCTGGTCTGTGTCACACACAGCAGCCCCCCAGCCAGGCTGAGCTGGACCCGGTGGGGACAGACCGTGGGCCCCTCCCAGCCCTCAGACCCTGGGGTCCTGGAGCTGCCTCGGGTTCAAATGGAGCACGAAGGAGAGTTCACCTGCCACGCTCGGCACCCGCTGGGCTCCCAGCGCGTCTCTCTCAGCTTCTCCGTGCACTGTGAGTGGGGAAAGGGGACACCTGGGTCCCAGGAAGGGGCCCCTGCTGAGTCCTGTCCTCCCTCCCACAGAGCCCCCCCAGCTGCTGGGACCCTCCTGCTCCTGGGAGGCTGAGGGTCTGCACTGCAGCTGCTCCTCCCAAGGCAGCCCGGCCCCGTCTCTGCCCTGGTGGATTGGTGGGGAGCTGCGGAGGGAAACAGCAGCCAGGACTACTTCAAGGTCACCCCCAGCTCAGCCGGGCCCTGGGCCAACAGCTCCCTGATCCTCCAAGGGGGGGCTTGGCTCCAACCTCAGGCTCACCTTTGAGGCCCAGAACGTCCATGGGGCCCAGAGCTCTCTGATTCCTGGCGGACAGTCAGGGTATAGGGTGGGGAGGCCTGGGCTCACCAGGTCCTGCATCCAGGGATGTAGGAAGGGCCTGGAGAACCAAGTTGCAATAAGAGAGGAAGGATTCGGAAGTGTGGTTTAGAAGGTGAATGGGCCTTATCCCACTTTTCCAGGCAAATCAGGGCCCATGACGGGGGTGGTTCTGGTGGCTGTTGGGGAGGTGGCTATGAAGATCCTGCTTCTCTGCCTCTGCCTCATCCTCCTCAGGTGAGCCCTGCCCCAGGGACCAAGGGGAGGGGCGGAGAGGGCAAAGGATACACCGCTGAATCCCAGAATCTCAATCCTGGGGGTACTTGGACAGTTAAAGAGGCCTGTGGCCAGGCAGAGGCTGAGTTGATCGTGATGATTCCACACGGGCCAGTGTTGTCAGTCCCCAACTCTGGACCAATGTCCAGGCTGGGGAGGTTCCTGCTTGTATCAGGGAGGTCCTGGGGGCTAGGCCTGCTCTCTCTGCCTCAGTCCCCTCCAACCCCTTAGCAGGGCACAGGGAGGTGAGTCTGCTGCCCTCTTCACCCCCATCCAGCCACACTCACAGGCCCTGGTCTCTTCACCCAGAGTGAGGTCTTGCAGGAGGAAGGCAGCAAGGGCAGCATTGGGCATGGAGGCTGCAGACGCTGTCACGGACTAATCTCCAGGTGAGTGTCGTGGGCCTCTTACCCTCCAACATCCCGCTGGACACCTCCCCCTCGATGGCCCCAAGGACTGCTCCACTCAACTTGGCCATAACTGACTCATCACCTCCCTTTCCAAGCCCACTTCTCTTGTTGAGAGCCCCATCCCTCTGATGACATGGTAGCCCCATCTCTAACGTCAGAACCCGGGTGTGGGTGTCCACCTTGACCTCCCTCCCTCCTCCAGATCCCAAAAATCACTAGCACTTGTCCCTCCTCCTAAGTACAGGTCACCTTGGAGCCCTTTTCTCCATCCTGGCCCCGGTCATGCCTGGGCCTCACCTCTTCCCTGGTCGCTGAACCCACCTCACCTCTTGCCTCCATCTCTCCCAACAGACTCCAGACTGCTTCCAGATGCCTCCTCATCCAGTTCCTCCACAGTCTGAGCGGCCGTGTTTCCTCTGCAGGCTTTGCATGGTCTGTCCCCTGCTGGACTCTCCTGATCCCTCCTTTCCCTGTCACCCAACATCTCCCCAAACCCTCCGGGCCAAGGACTCTGCGGCTCTTGACACTTTGCACGTGTAGTTTCTTCTCCTGAAACACCCTTCCCTCCTGCCAAACCACGTCTGGACCCTCCTTCAGGTTCACTTTTTTTTTTTTTTTTTGAGACACAGTCTCACTTTGTCACCCAGGCTGGAGTGCAGTGGCGCGATCTCGGCTCACTGCAACCTCTGTCTCCCAGGTTCAAGCGATTCTCATGTCTCAGCCTCCTGAGTAGCTGGGATTATAGGCGCCCGCCACCACGCCTGGCTCATTTTTGTATTTTTGGTAGAGACAGGGTTTCACCATGTCGGCCAGGCTGGTCTTGAACTCCCGACTTCAGGTGATCCGCCAGCCTCGGCCTCCCAAAGTGGTGGGGTTACATGTGTGAGCCACCGTGCCCAGCCAGCTGTGTCTTCTTTTTGCAGGATTTACTTACAAAATTCCTTGCAGCTGCAGTCTGCGTTCCACCCACATCCTAATATGGTGTTTGCGGTGGTCACATCCAACTTCCTTCCTCCTCCATCCATGGAACGTGCATTAGGGAGGAACCACACGCACCACGTGCAAGATGAGCCAGTTCCCTGAACGGCCGGCCACGGCGTTAACCGCGCTGCTCTGGGCTCTGCACGTCTCATCTGCTGAGGCGCATTACTGCATCTTTCATGCAGAACTTGCTTTCCATGCCTCACATCTCCACATGTGTGGGGATATGTCCTGAGAAATGCACGGTTAGGTGATTCTGTCGTGTGAGCATCCTTGAATGTGCTTACACAGTCATAAATGGTACAGCCTACCACACGCCGAGGCTATACGGTATAGCCCATTGCTCCTAGACTATACACCTGCACGGCATGTTCCTGTAGTGAAAGCTGTAGGCAATTATAACGCAATGGATAGGTTAAAGACAGAGTTTTAGTAAAAATATGGCATAATAGGCCAGGCGTGGTGGCTCATGCCTGTAATCCCAGCACTTTGGGAGGCCAAGGCAGGCAGATCACAAGGTCAGGAGTTTGAGACCAGCCTGGCCAATATGGTGAAACCCAGTCTCTACTAAAAATACAAAAATTAGCCGGGTGTGGTGGCGGGCGCCTGTAGTCCCAGCTACTCGGGAGGCTGAGGCAGAAGAATCATTTGAACCAGGAGGTGGAGGTTGCAGTGAGCCGAGATCGCATCACTGCACTCCAGCCTGGGCGACAGAGCAAGACTGTCTCAAAAACTAAAACAAAAAAACACCACCACCACCACCAATGTCTGATTAAATCTAAGCCACGGTTCCATTTTGGGGCAAGGGGCAGGGTGTGGGTGTGGTGGACAGAGAACGGGCTCCAGCCACCATCAGCTGCACGTCCTGGTAGCACCTGAGCCATTCCCAGTCTCCTGTGCTGGGAGATCATCATCTAATCCTGATGATGACGCCCTCCTCTCAGAGCTCGGGGGATGAGCTGCCAAAACCCATGGAGGTTCAAAACCCGGGCTCTGGAGACAGAAGACACTGGGCTCAGAGACATGGGGCCACTGTCCAGGCTTTCCCTGGGCCTGGACCTGGGCTCCTTCCACTGTCTGAGCAGGGTCAGCCTGGGCTGGCTGTGCTGGTTCAAGAGATGAGGGAGGAGGACACAGCGGTTGCCAGGACCCTGAGGCACTGGACTGGGCACTGCCCCAAGGGGCAGAGGATGGAACCCGGTGTTGATATTGTGATGCTGACCCGTCTGCTCACCTGATTTGGGTGCTGAAGGGCAGCTGACCCCCCTAATCTTTTATAGACTTGTGAAACGAAAATAAATAAAAGTCAAGCTGGGAACAGCTTAGGGCAAACCTGCCTCCCATTCTATTCAAAGCCACCCCTCTGCTCACTGAGATAGATGCATGTCTGATCACCTCAGTTGGGAAAGGCTAATCAGAAACTCCAAAGAATGCATCTGTTCATCTCTCACCCATCTGTGACCTGGAAGCCCCCTCCCCACTTCGAGTCTTCCTGCCTTTGCTTCAAGTTTTCCCGCCTTTCCAAATGGAACCAAAGTACTTCTTACATATAGTGACTCATGTCTCAAGTCTCCCTAAAACGTATAAAACTAAGCTGTGCCCCAACCACGCTGACCATGTCATCAGGACCTCCTGAGGCTGTGTCACGGCCTGTGTCCTCAACCTTGGCAAAATAAACTTTCTAAATTAACTGGACCCGTCTCAAATTTTCGGGGTTCACAGACTCATGTGCAACAAGGGGTCTAAGCAGGACAGGTTCGGGGGGGTTTCCTATTGTTAGCAGATGTCCCCTTCTGGAAAGGGGTGCAAACACCCACTTTCAGCCAGGAGATGGTAAGCGGTTCCCTGATCCCACCTGCTTCTCCTGAGCAGGGTTTATCAGTACAGGAGAGTCAGGGTATCTGAGAGCACTTCCTTCCTTACCTGGCCTCAGATTCTCCACACTCCAAAGTATGATGCATGATCTGAGTTACTCAAGACAAAATTCAGGGAGGCAGGTTTAGCTTCTCTCTTCCTTTTTTTTCTTTAGACAGGGTCTTACTCTGTCGCCCAGGCTAGAGTGCAGTGGTGCAATCATGGCTTGCTGCAGCCTCGACCTGCTGGGCTCAAGTAATCCTCCTGCTTCAGCCTCCCAAGTAGCTGGGACTACAGGCGTCCACCACCAGGCCTAGCTGATTTTTGTATTTTTTGTAGAGATGGGTTTCACCCTGTTGCCCAGGCTGGTCTCAAACTCATGGGCTTAAGTGATCCTCCAGTTTTGGCCTCCCAAAGTGCTGGGTTACAGGCATGAGCCACAGCACCTGGGCCCCAAAAGAACTTTTACAGATAACTGACTCCTCAAGCTCTGGTAAAACAATTTATTACCAAAGCACAGAGGTGTCAAGGGTAGGAGGGGTCCCCCCTGTGGGCCGGCCCAACCCCATCCAGCTTTGCTAGGACACTGGCTGAAGGGCAGGCCACCAAGATGGGGAACTTCACATTCACGGGAGGGAAACTGGGGCCCTCCGGGAGGCTAATCAGGACTGATGAGTATCCTGAAACCAGTGGCAGGAATGCACATTCCAGGGCTTGTTCTAGAAGCTTATCTGTGATTAAACAGCAGGCCTTGAGTCACATTACTTCATTTTTTTTTTTCTGTTGCACACTGCAAATGGAAAGTTCTGGAAGACAATAAAAATGCTGTTAGTGTCTCATTCATTCAAGGAACACCCTCTATGCCTTCACTTCATGCCAAGCACCTTCTAGGTTCTGGGGATGTCATCTTCTAGGTACTGGGGATGTCATCATGACCATACGGGATGAGGAGCCCCTGCTGGGCTTAGGATGAGGAGGAGGCGGGTGGAGACTACACACTAAACACACGCTTCCCTCCAGATGGGAACAAGGGCTGTGTGGAAAACAGGTGACATGATGAGCAAGTGGGTGGGGAGGCAGTGAGGATGCCTCATGGAGGATGGGGAAGGCCTCGGGTCTTGAGAAGCAGCAGGTACATAAAGCCAGGATGAGGGGAGCTTTCCAGAACTCGGGATGGCAGGTGCAAAGGTTCCGGGGTGGGGTCCAGCTTGGCCTGGTCTAGAATCAGAGGGGCGGGGGTGTGGCTGGTGCATCGTGCACGGGGGAGGAAGGGAGCTCGGCCTCGGGCCAAGGCAAGGAGCTGCTGTGGAGCACAGGCAAGATGACCTTCAAGGTGCTCGAAGATCACTGGGCTCCTTAAATGCCATCTCCTCGTTATGTTCCCAACCAAGGGGCTGAGTGAGTGGCCTCCAGGGAGCGCGTGGGTGTGAGACGGTGGAGACCCTGGGAGGTTGTCAGGTGTCAGGTTCTAAATGCCCTTTGCCCTGGGTGAGGAAGGCACTGTGAGACACAGTGGCACTGACGACGGGAAGCCTGGGCTCGCTCCATCGATAAACAGGATGAAGCCTCTGCCCTGTGCCATGCCAGAAAAGCAGAGATGACAGAGTCAGACGCGACCCTGCCCTGGAGGAGCTGGCTGCCAGCAGAAGACTGTGACAAGTGACCCCGTGGTCAGTCTCACCCGGGACCGAAGGTTTGGAGGAGGCTGCTGGGGGAGCAAGGGTGTTGGGGAGGACCCCGAGCTGTCTGGCCTGGATAACTGGGTACACGGAGGAGCTGTGTATCGAGCTGGAGAGGTGGGGGAAAGAGGGAGATTGGCACAGGTCATGACTTTACTCTCGGCACCACTGGTTGAGGCAGAGAGCCTGCTACTCCACCACGGAGAAAAGAGTCCCCACCCCTCACCACTGGCCCACTCTGTGCGCAGGTGCTCCACGAATCGCTTGACACACACGTGTCAGCTCAGGTTTCAGCCTCAGATGTAAGGAAACGTTGTGGGAATGCAGAAGCACTTGTAATCCAAGCGCCAAGAAGAACGTCGCTGCGCCGGGAGACAGGCCGTCAAAAGGAGATGCTGTTCAAGATGCCCTGCGACTAGGATCTCACAATCGTGGTGCTGCTGACCACGGGGCCGGGGGATTCTTTGTGGGGTGGTACAGGTGGGCACCGTGCTGCATGTCACAGGATGTCAGGCAGCATCCCGGCCTCCACTGTCCCGCATCCTGACAACCAAGTGTCTCCAGACACTGCCAAATGCCCCCAGGGTGGTGCCAAATCAGACAAAGCACTGAGCTTTGGTTCCAGCCAACTCCGATGAGAGAAATGACTACTCCGGGGAGAGAAAAGGAGCCTGGAGAAGCTCCTCTTCAGCACACATCTCTGCACCCTTGCCAAAATTTACTGTGTAGTCTGTCTTTGACCTTGTAAAAATTCCTGCACGTTTACACAAAGTGCTGATGGAAGTAAAGCCATCTAGTCAGCACTGTCAAGTTGATACCTCCATCCACAGACAGCGTGCGCCAGCAGCCGGGCTGTGCACACAGGCAGCACTGTTGGTAAAATAAAAATCTGGGAAACTAAGCAAACGCCCAGCTGCTGGCTGTGAGGAGTGTCCGTCATCCACAGGAAGGGGTAGTGCGCACTATGAACGAGACCCGAAGGCATGGAGCAGCTACCTTTTGTGTATGGGGGCGCCAAGGGGGCCAGGCCAAAGGAAAGTAGAGACTACAGGTGGCCGGGTGGAAGGACAGAGGGAGGCATGGATGCAAGAAGGGACAGAAGATGGCGAGAGACAAACAACGTCTTGATGCTATTTTTGAGGCCCTGAATCCCGTTGTGCCTGAAGCTCCCCCTTGTAATTTTCTAGCTACAACAGCCAATCAATCCCCACTTTTCTTAAAGCCAAGTTGAGCCGGGTTTCTGCTACTTGCCATTCCTTGAGGCTGGGAAGTTCAAGGACCGTGCGGAAAAACCCAGTGTCTCCCTGGGAAGCTGGGCCCTGGTATGAACGTGGAACAGCCTCTGGGAAGTGTCTCCTGGAGCCTGGGGCAGGGCTCGGGTGAGGGCAAGGGGTGAGAGGCTTAAGCCTCACAAGCTCTTCCCACCTGGATTCCACCTAGGGCACCATCGGGAGGCCAATGGGGTCATATGGAGACACACGCAGATCCTGCAGCAAAGCTTCTAGGTTGTTCCTCAGCATGGCGTAGGGCGGCTTCTCCTCATACGTGAGGGCCATCACCACCTTCAGGTACTTCTGCAGGGTCTCTGTGGTCAAGACAACCCCCAGCAAGGGAGAGCCTGAGAGGCATCCCCCAACCCCGATCCTGGGGGTCTCCACCCAAGGATGGAGGGGTGGGGGACTGAGGGGCATGAGGGTCTCAGCAAAAGTGCCCATTTTCTTGTTGCCTGGCATTGCCAGAGGACTTCAATTGTTTTTCAGTTTTGGAAAATGTCATACGCAGGCACCAGTAGAAGGGCATGAACACCCAAGTACCCATCACTCAGTTTCAACAAGGATCACCTCACAGCCAATCTTGTTTCATCAAGACCCCTCCCCTGGCCTGCAGTGTTTTAAAGCAAATCCCAGCTAGCAATGCAGTCTACCTGCATATAAATATTTAGCATGTATCTTTAAAGAGGGCGGGCCCTGCTTCACCTCCACCTCCAACCTCTGGCTGACCAGCTTAAAATCCTCGAGGCCCAAGGTTCACAGAGGTAGAACTGGAGGGGAGTGTCACTTGGGCAGCTGAGCCATAATCTGAACCCAGGGATTTAAAGTAATTCAGCCGGGCGCGGTGGCTCACGCCTGTAATCCCAGCACTTTGGGAGGCAGAGGCGGGTGGATCATGAAGTCAGGAGATCGAGACCATCCTGGCTAACACAGTGAAACCCCATCTCTACTAAAAAAAAAAAATACAAAAAATTAGCCACACATGGTGGCGGGTGCCTGTAGTCCCAGCTATTTGGGAGGCAGAGGCAGGAGAATGGCTTGAACCCGGGAGGCAGAGCTTGCAGTGAGCCAAGATCACGCCACCGCACTCCAGCCTGGGCGACAGAGCAAGACTCCGTCTCAAAAAAAATAATAAAATAAATTTTAAAAAAATAAATAATTAAAAAATGAGCCTTAGAGAGCCAGAGGGAACAAGCTATCTGTTTCTGTCTGTCCATTTCTGCCTCCAGCTTGGAGAAAAGCATCAAAGCTCTTCAGGAGGGGCACAAAGACAACAGGAAAAACAAACACCCCCGACACCCCAACAAGACAGTGCAAATACCCAGTAACAGGGATTGGCTTTATAAGTTACGGTGCGGACAAACCATGACCATTGTGCAGCTGTTGATAAAAGCTGTGGTGCATCTATAAGGAAGGGCATGAAGGATGGCCCCAGGGTTAAGTGAAAAAAGCAAGAGGTAGAATGAGATGTATGTAGGGTGAGCTTATTTTTTGTTCATAAAAATGGCCGGGCATGGTGGCTCTTGCCTGTAATCCCAGCACTTTGGGAGGCCGAGGTAGGTAGATCAGTTGAGGCCAGGGGTTCGAGACCAGCCTGGGCAACATGATGAAACCCCGTCTCTACTAAAAATACAAAAAACTAGCCAGGTATGGTGACGCACGCCTATAACCCCAGCTACTTGGGAGGCTGAGGCACGAGAATTGCTTGAACCTGGGAGGCGGAGACTGCAGTAAGCTGAGATCGTACCATTGCACTCTAGCCTGGATGTCAGAGCTAGACCCTGTCTTAAAAATAAAAAAAAAAAATTACCCTGTCTTCAAAAAAAAGTTGTGTTTTTGTTTTGTTTTTCAGAGGCACTAGTGAATCTTTTGACGATTTTGTCTTTCTACAATGGGTACGTATTACAAATGCAATTTGGAAAACTAAAAAAAATGAAGAGGTGTAAGGAGAAGCCACCCCAAGATGGATCTGAGCCACCAGGTCCTGCCCGAGTCCCCGCCTGTTCCCGCTCCCTTCAGGACGTACCTGAGGGCCTGATCCAGTGACCGCAGGGTCCCACGAAGGGCCCCGGCTTATCAACAAACCTGAAGGGACAGAAACACATGTGAAAGGTCTCTTAGGGAAAGGAGAGCAACCTTTTAAAACAGAATGCCTAAGATATATACACAGCCTAAGATATATACACAGTCCCCTCTGCCATCCAGGGAAGTTATGTTCTTAAAGTCACTGTGAACACTGAATCAACCAATCCACTACCATTGCTCCCAAGGGAAACAGCACTGCTTCCTGCAAGCCTCTGGCCACACGATTTTCCCCGATCAATACACCTTGTTTTGGCCGGGCACAGTGGCTCACGCCTGTAATCCCAACACTTTGGGAGGCCGAGGGGGGTGGATCACGAGGTCAGGAGATCCGAGATCATCCTGGCTAACACGGTGAAACTGTCCCTACTAAAAATATAAAAAACTAGCCGGGTGTGGTGGCGGGTGCCTGTGGTCCCAGCTACTCGGGAGGCTGAGGCAGGAGAATGGCATGAATCTGGGAGGCAGAGCTTGCAGTGAGCCTAGATTGAGCCACTGCACTCCAGCCTGGGCGACAGAGAGAGACTCCGTCTCAAAAACAAAACAAAACAAAACAATACACCTTGTTTTATGTATGTTTCTGTTGAAATACATCTTATGTAATAAGTATTGTTGATTCATTAGCATTGAACTCTTTTAATCTGTGATCCTTAAGACGGAGAGGATCCCTTTGATGATGAGGAAAGATCCAAGATGGAAATAAAGATTTTATTACTTACAGGTCCTGGGGGCACACCGCACACCCAAAGGTGACCTCCCCACCCGTCCCAAGCACACACACAGACACACACACACACACACACGCACACTGGTCAGGGAGCTCGTGGCTGTGAGGGGCCAATGGGCGGTATCCAAACATTTTGAGGAGATTTTAACTGGTAGGTTCAAAGCAAGCAGGCTCGACTTCAGGAGGTCATGCTGTGCCTGAGAGGGGGTCACTGTGGCATCCGCACAGTTCAGTGGAATGTGGGGGCCAGCGGGGCCGTCAAGTAGGCTGTCTGTGGCTGACTCAAAGGGAGGGAGGTGGTCCCCCGGAGGCGGCTGCATAACGGAGATATCTGGGTCAACCACACGGAGGAACTGGGAGGAGGTGGAAAACTGCAAACTGCTGACGGTGACCGAGCCTTGTTTCTGGCATGACAAAGTCCAGCTTACATTAAAATGAATCCCAAGGCAACCTGAAATGATAAGAATTCCCCACAGACTCATGACCAACAGCACCGTAGCTCATGCCTGAACAAAGCTGATAAAACACACGAATTATTAACCATCTCAGGCTTTGGGACATCAGACAGCCCTTCAGCATTATGCTAGGTGGCTGTTTGATTTTTTGTGGAGATGGGGTCTCACTATGTTGCCCATGCTGGTCTGATCCTCCTGTCTCGGCCTCCCAAAGTGCTGGGATTACAGATGTGAGCCACCACGCCTGGCTGAGGCCATTTTAAATGGCATAATCACTGACAAAAAGCATAAAAACAGGAAAAAATGTATCATTAACTAAACAGTGAAAAGGACACCAGCGTATATAGTGTGGAGGCTGAAATAGGGAGGCAGAATGCTGTCTGGTTCCACCCTAGGCTGGGAACATGTGTGTCAGATGATTAAAATTTTTCTCCACACTGTGTCTGTAAGTGGCCATGAAAGAACAGCAAGAATTGATTTGGGGTTACAACTACTTTTAGTGAGTAAGAGAATTCACACATATGGACTCTGAATAATCAGGACTGACTGTATATGTACATACACACACATACACATATATGTATAACACAAACACATGCATGCACGTGCAACCGTTTGTTCAGGAAAAATCCTGATTTGCCCACTGCCTTTGCTCCATCCTCCAGGCCCAGCCCCTCCACTTCTCTGCCTGGCCCATCGGGCCAGCTCCCACCACCTGCCCAGTCACTGGTCTCTGACCCTGCCTTCGCCATCCCCCAGCCCCACCCTCCAGTTTCTCAACTCTCTCTGCCCCATGTCCTCCTCTGCCCCATGGATCTGGGGCCAGCTCAGCCCTCAACCTTTCTCCCTGGACCTCAACTCCTTGCTGGCCTCCTGTGTATCCCCATGTGGACCCAGAGGGTCTCTTTACACCTGTCCCTGACCCTCCCTGCTCACAGCCCACCCTCCCTCCCATGGCTCCCCAGCACACACTGGCCACCCTCTGACTCCATCTCCCCACTCCTTCCTCCCATTGCATGTCCCAGCCACACCAAAGGACTCCTAGGCCCACGAGGCCACACATCCACGCACGTATGCCTCTGCACATATCGCTCTCGCTGCCTGGGTGGTCTTCCCCACCCTGAGCTCTGGCAGGTGGCTGTTCTCCCTTTGAGATACAGCTCGAGGGCTTGGCCTCCCAAGAAGTCTTCCCCAGACCCCTCCAGGCGGAGGAACTCTGTCCCTCCTGGGCCTGTGCGTAGGTCCACAGATGTCCCATGGCGGCCATTGACATACATGCGCAGGAAGGCCCGGTTGTGCCATCAACAGGACATTATACACTGCACAGCAACACCACTGCCACCACCTGCCATGGGCTCTCCCTGGCCAGGTGGGCAGCCCTAACAGCGGGTCCAAAGCTGGCTCTCATTTGTGCTTTGCCCAGCAAGGGGCCTTGAATGCCAGAAAGCCTCGGGGACTTCAACGGCCTCTCCTCCTTCTTTTACTCATTTTGTCTGTCGTGAACTACAATGTGCAAAAAATGAGTATCTGTTGAATGAATGGAAAAAGGCCATGTATACCAGTAAACCGTCCTAGCGCAGGGCACCTTAGGGTGCCAGGAAACGAGCATGTAGCAACATCGCCCCCTTGTGGTCCCCTTGGTTATTGTCTGGGCTAACAGACTATGGGCTGGGGGTGAGGAGGTGCATCTGGGGGACAGTGTCAACATTGCCAGCTACTCTCCAGAGAGCATTTTTGTGCGCCTGGCCCTCTATGGTTGTGGTCTGGAGCTGGGGCTGTGGAATTACTGTTATCCATGCTGCTATCATTGATATGAGATGATTACCATGACCTGTCTTAACTCACCCTGCACCATGTTGGCGAGTGCAGACCCTCTCTGTGAACCAGTCACATTCAACAAGTCTCTTTAGATGGGGGGATGTGAAAAGCATGATAAGACCGCTCTTAGGAGTTAGGAAGTGAAGTGGGGAGAAGACTCAACCGAGGGGAGCCTTGGAGACCAGTTTCCCTGACAAGACTGGAGTTCAGAGGCACCATGGGCTGATTCTAACCTGGGTGTCCAGCACAGCCACTGGCCTCAGGAACCTGGCACTGAATGCGTAAGTGGAGAGGGTTCAGAGCTGTGCTGTCCTGTCTGCCTAGGAATCTTGCCTCCCCCTTGCCCACCTGGGAGGCTCTTGTGTTCTCTAGAGACCAGGTCAGGCATCTCCCAGGTGAGGGTTTCCAGGAGCCGGTGGCGGGGTCCTGTGCCTCCCCTCTGCTCCCACAGTGCCGGGCTACCTCCACCCTCACCTGCAGCTCCTGCTTCCTGTCCGTGTCTCCTCCCAGCCCTGAACTCCCGACATTGGGGCTGCGTCTGCCCGACCTCTGTGTCCACACTGAAGCCTGGGCGGGCTCAGCATTCACTCCTTAGTTGTTCTTCATTCCACTACGATTTTTCTTTCCTTTTTCTTTTTTTGAGACAGGGTCTCACTATGTTGCCCAGGCTGGAGTGCAGTGACAATCACAGCTCACTGCAGCCTCCACCTCCTTGGACTCAAGTGATCCTTCCACCTCAGCCTCCTGAGTAGCTGGGACTACAGTCGCGTGCCACCACACCCGGCTACTTTTTTTGTAGAGATGGGGTCTCACCACGTTGCCCAGGCGGGTCTCAAACTCCTGGGCTCAAGCAATCTGCCCACCTAAGCTTCCAAACTGCTGAGATTACAGGCGTGAGCCACCGCACCAGATCTGCTGCTATTCCTTGGGCACCCACAATGTGTGCTCTCTGTTGTATCCAGAGAAGGATGTGTGTGTGTGTCACAGGGAATTGAGGCCCCCCTACTGCCCTCAGTCTCCTGCCTTGGGACTGTTAGTGAGAGGAGTGAACCCTCCCTCATGGAAGCTGCAGTGTTTTGGGGTCTCCTTGTGAGAACAGCTCAGTCTTGTCCTGAACTAACCCATTAGAGTGTGTGAGGGAGCATTTCACTACCTTCACTTACACAGGGACTCCAGCGGGCCACTCATTCTGTGACTCGTTTTCACCTGGCTTCATTTCAAAAGAAACCTGTCTCACCACTGTGAGCAGAAAACCCCAGCACCATCTGTTAAAGCTAGAGAGTAAGTGTAAAAATAAGCTCCAAGAAAATGGGGCAATGGACTTGTGTTCTAGCAGGTCCTGAGGCTGGCTTCCCATGCAGAGGTTGCCTGCGGAAGTCTGGGGGCTGAAGGCCTGTCTCTTCCTCTTTCCGCAGGGATGTTGGGGCAAATTAGCATCAAACTGTGTCATCCTTCTTGCCACTGTTTAAAGCTTCATGGTCCTTCAGGGGGCATTTTACCTGTTACCATCGCTGCGAGACCTGCCCCTGACATTAGACCTACAAGTGTGCTGCACACCCCCACCAACAGTCCCACCAGTGGACACCCAGGACCTGGCCTCATGACCCTCATCAGTCTGACCTCTGACACACCATGTGTTTCACCCTTTAGCTCCTGTCTCCCGCAATAGGATGTGAGCTCCCTGAGGGCAGGGATTTTTGTCTTACTCATTCCTGTATCCCCAGGGCCTAGAACAGAGTCTAGCACATGGCAAGGGTTCAGTATTTGTTGAGTGAAGGTAGGCTGGGTCCAGGAACCACCAGTTCACCTCATAAGCCTCCTCCACTTGGGAAGCAGCACGTAGGTGACATGGGCTGTCTCTGGAGTTGAATGGCCCAGGTTTGAGCCCAGGAGCCCCTGCTTAGTAGCTGTGTGGCCTGGACTGATTACCTAAGCTCTCTGTGCCACAGATCACGAGAGCACGCAGCTCAGAGCAGTTGTGAGGATGCAGGGGAAGCACCAGGGGCAGTGCCTGGCACAGACAAGTGTATAATAAATGTTAGCTTTGAACAGTCAGTAGAAGGAAGTCAAAATGACGACACACATCCCCTTCTCTGAAGGAGGATGAAATTCTGGGCATGGTGCCACTTATGCCAATTAAACACATACCCAAGAACATCATAGAGTTTTTAAGGACACAGATGCATCTAAACTAACACATTTAGGAGTATTCAGAAGTAGTGAACTAGGTGTATAGTTAAAGTTAAAAACATAACATTGAGTGAAAGAAGGCAAGAAACAGCATGAGGTTTAGAGCATAGTGCCATTTATACAAATTAACACACAGTACCACCATATATAGTTTAAGGACACAGACATGTCTATAGAAAATTGATTTAGAAGCCGGAGTCAGAAGCAGTGAACTCGGTCCACATGTAGGGATAGGGTTAAAGCTGAAGAGAGCCAGAGACAGATGAGACGCAGAGTGGAACATCACTTACGCAAATCACACACAGCACCACGGCCAGCATGCGATTTTGAGGGTACAAATACATCTAAGTGAACACATCAGAACACATGTTAAGTGTGCTTGAGCAGCTGTCCATGGTTGAGAGAAGGAAGTTGGGAGACACGAAGGGAGTAAAATAAAACGAGAAAGGCTTCATGTGAGGGAAGGACTGGGAAGGACTTCACGGCACACTAAGGACAGGGAAACATGAGGGACTCAACGCCATTTACTGGAGGGTTCACCCTCTTCCCACTCTATATGCCTTCCCAGATAATCTCATCCTCTCCTGGGGCTTCAGCTGATGGCTCCGGAGATATTCCCGGGGTCTGAGTCTCCCTTTAGACTTCACTCCTGCACTTCAGACGTAGATGGCCAGCTGCCTCCCAGATGACTTGGGCAACAAGTCCAAGACGGAGTCTTGCTTTGTCACCCAGGCTGGAATGCAGTGGCGAGAGCTCGGCTCACTGCAACCTCCACCTCCCGGGTTCAAGCAATTTTCCTGCCTCAGCAGGGATTACAGGTGCCCACCACTGCTTCGGCTAATTTTTGTTATTTTCAGTAGAGACAGAGTTTCACTATGTTGGCCAGGCTGGTCTCGAACTGCTGACCTCGAGATCCATCTGCCTTGGCCTCCCAAAGTGCTGGGATTAAGGCGTGAACCACCGTGCCCGGCCTGGGCAACTGATATTCATGTCTGAAGTGCATGCCTAGCACGCCCGCTAGGATCAGCTGCCCACTGTCCTTGGTGCTGAACTCATACCCACAGCGCTTCCCTTTTGTGCTCCGCTGTCCCTGGTGCTGAACCCACATCCCTAGCACTTCCCTTTTGTGTCCCGCTGCCTGCTGTTCTTGGTGCTGAACACACACCTTAGTGCCTCCCTTTTGTGCCCAGCTGCCTGCTGTCCCTAGTGCTGAACCCATACCCCTAGTGCTCCCTCTGTGTCCAGCTGCTCAATGCCCTTAGTGTTCAATCTCACCCCAGAACTTCCTCATATGTTCCGCTGTCCACCGGCTTTGGTGCTGAATGTTTAAACCAGCACTGGTAAGACCTGGTGGTTTACACAGAGGTGAAGGCACTGATCTGGCAGTGTGGACACTGCATAGGTGGTGCTACCAGTGCTGAGGCAGGGCCTGGGCCTATCCTGCTCAGATTGCCTGCATGTTTGTGATGAATGAGTCATAGTTTCCCACACACAATGAGCTTTTTTTTTTTTTTTTTTTTGAGACGGAGTCTCGCTCTGTCGCCCAGGCTGGAGTGCAGTGGTGCAATCTTGGCTCACTGCAAGCTCCCACTCCCAGGTTCACGCCATTCTCCTGCCTCAGCCTCCCAAGTAGCTGGGACTACAGGCGCCCGCCACCATGCCTGGCTAATTTTTTGTATTTTTAGTAGAGACGGGGTTTCACTGTGTTAGTCAGGATGGTCTCGATCTCCTGACCTCGTGATCCGCCCGCCTCTGCCTCCCAAAGTGCTGGGATTACAGGCGTGAGCCACCGCGCCCGGCCACAATGAGCATTTTCTCTGAGCCAGCCCCTGTGCTAAGTGCTGTGTGCACCTGACTTCCCTGAACTCTTTGCAGTCCCATAAGGTAGTAGCTAGTAGGAGACCATCTCATGGAGCAGGACACTGAGGCTCGCAGACGTTAACACCCCACAGTGGTGGTGCCAGAGTCTGAGCCCAGGCAGTGTGGCTCCGGAACACCTGCCTCGCCTGCTGTGTGGACACTGCAGCACATGCCTGTGCGGCTCAGAGGACTTGGGCTCTGCTGGATGCCACCTCCCCTTCCCTCCTGCTCCCAGTTGGGCTCTGGGCTTCTGTCCACCTGCAGGGGTTCTGCTGACCACCTGCAGGGGTTCTGCTGACCCCTAGACTCACTTCTGTTTTTGCTTCATGATGTCCTCAGTGTTGGGAAGGCAATTTGTCCATGGCAGAAACCCGTAGAGCCACTTCAGCATGCAGTAGCCCAGGCTCTGGAGGTCGCTGCGGCGGGAGGGCCCTGGGGAAGGAGGAGTAAAGGTGGCAGCTCAAGTCTGGACGCTCCACTCACTGGTGGGTCCACCCCCCTTCCTTCCCCTCTCTCTCACTGACTCAACCACACACTCATACACCCAGCCTTCCAGCCATATGGGCTGTCTCCTCCGCTCATTCACTTTCATGAGTAGGCAGAAGCTGACTCATTCTCTCTCTCACTCAACCATTCTCTCAGCCCCTTTTACCAGGTCACCCTCATCCACTCCTCTTTCATTCATGCACTCATTCAATCAAGCCTCAGCACCCGTGTGCCAGGCCCAGCTCACTTCTGAAAACCCAGACCAGGATCTCGTCGGGTCCCAGCCCGTGACAGCCTAGTGGGGAGACAGCTATAGCGTGCGACTACCTGAGTGACAAAGGACACAGAACACACGGGAGCCCAGAAGGATGGGTACCAAACCCAGCCTCAGTGGGGGAGGGCGGGGGAGACTCTGACAGTTTATTTTTCTTATGCTTCCTGAGCATAAGACAACGCTTAATTTAGACAACGCTTTGTGTAAGCACTCGACAAGCACTACTTGTCCGTGCTGGCCTTCCACCACCCGATGCTGGAGGCAGGGGTGCCATCCCTGTACTGGGGGAGCTCAGTCTGATGGGAGGATGTGGCAGGCATGTGGACGGCCATGATATAAAGGGATGTGAGAAAGAGGGGCTCAAGAAATCTGCCCTGGGCCCTCTTCCTAGTCTGTACACTTTCCCTGGATGATCCCATCCTCTCCCAGGGCTTCGGCTGATAACTTCTGAGATACTGCAGAGCCTCTGCCCAGATCTCCCTCCCACACTCCAGATGTGGTGGCCAACCACCTCCTCAACAGCCCCTCCTGGATGACTCCTAGGCAACTCCCATCTTCCAAGTCTACAACAGATCCTGAACCCCAACCTCTGGAACTCAGGCTCCCCAGTGCCCAGCCTCCCACTATGCTTAGTGCTGAACCGCTACCCCACCCACCTCCCTTGCGGTCGGGACGCTGTCTGTGGTTCCAATCCCTGTCCTGGCGCCCTTAGTGCCTCTCCTGTCTGGCCACCTGCTGTCTCTGGCTGTGAACTCCTAGAGCTGCCCTTGTATAAGAAGCATCTCTCTGCGGTCCCAAACCCATCCCTGGCCTCGTACCGCATCCCTTGTGCAGGTCCATGCTAATGAACTCAAGGTCCCCCTCGTGAGGGCTCCTGCTGCCTTCCACGTAGGCCACGTGTTTGCCACTTGGGCAATAGCGGAAGGCGAAGCCATAGCCTGCCAAAGTCACCTGTGGACACAGGGAAAAGCCATACAGATTGGAGGTTAGGAGCGTAGAAGTCAGAGATTTCCATCGTGGGTGCAAGTGACAACAAACATTCTACCAAAGATGGCATTTTTCACTTACAAAACTAAGGCATGCTCATAGTAAAAATGATGTGAAGTAAAAAGAACCCAAACCAGCCATCCATATTTCCTCCCAGCCCCTAAAACCCATCGCCCAGAAATAACCACTAGTAACAGTTTCGTATGCATCATTCCAAAATTTTTTTTTTTTTTTAAATAACCAGGTAAACATATGTGGATGGGGAGGGGGCTCTTGTTTTCCACAGAGGCCTCACACCAGACCTCCTGTTGGGCACCGGCACTTTACACTTTAATAGTGGTTCTGGGCATTAACTCTGGGGCCAGATGGCCTGGGTTCAAATGCCAACTCAGCCCGCTGGTGGCGGTACAACCTTGGGCAAGCTATACCAGTTCTCTCTGCTATGATTTCTCCATTTGTAAAATGATGATAATAATAGTCCCCACCTCAAAGGGTTCTTATAAGGCTTAACTGAGTTTAAAACAAAAGTTAAATGCTTTCTGCCTGATACATAAAGTTAACCAAATCTTCTTTCAAAAATATCTACTTATTTATTTTGAGATGGGGTTTCACTCTGTCACCCAGGCTGGAGTGCAGTGGCGCGATCACGGCTCACTGCAGCCTCCTAGGCTCCAGTGATCCTCCCACCTCAGCCTCCCGAGTAGCTGGGACTACAGGCATGCACCACCATGCCCAGCCGATTTTTTGTAAAGATGGGGTTTTGCCCTGTTGCCCAGGCTGGTCTTGAACCCCTGGGTTCAAGTGATCCTCCTGCCTTGGCCACTGTGCCCAGTCCATGTCTTCTTTTCAATGGCTGCATCTTATTCCACCATATGGATAGTGGACAACTGTTGGTTTTGTCTATGTAAGACCTATATACACTTCCCCGGCTCCCTGTTTTTCTGTTTACAGTTTGTGGTGTTCATTAAAAAAATAATTTTTTTTTTTTAAGTTTTGAGACAGGGTCTCACTGGGTCACGCAGGTTGGAGTGCAGTGGTATGATCATGGCTCACTGCAGTCTCCATCTCCTGGGCTCAGGTGATCCTTCTACCTCAGCCTCCTGAGTAGCTGGAACCACATGTGTATGCCACTACACCTGGATAGGTTATTATTTTTTATTTTGTACAGATGAGGTTCCCTATGTTTCCCAGGCTGGTCTCGAACTCCTGGGCTCAAGCGATCCGATCCTTCCACTTTGGCCTCCTAAACTGCTGGAATTACAGGTGTGAGCCACTGGGCCTGGCCATGATGGTCATTTTTATGTGGCAACTTGACTGGGCCATGGGGTGCCCAGACATTTGGCCAAACCCTATTCTGGGAGTGTCTATGAGGGTGTTCTGGATGAGATGAACATTGGGGTTTGTAGACTGAGCAAGGCAGATTATTCTCCTTAATGTGGGTGGGTCTCATTCAATCAACTCAAGATGTGAATAGAATAAAAAGCTAAGTAACCAGAAGCTCCTCCTCCCTGACTGCTTGAGCTAGAACATTGGTCTTTTCCTGCCTTTGGACTTGAACTGAAACAACCCCTCTTCTTGGGTCTCAGGCCTGCTGGCCTTTGGATTGGAACTTACATCATTGGCTCTCCTAGGTCTCCAGATTGCAAACTGAAGAATCTCAGGACTGCTTAGCTTCCATTATCAATAAGCCAATTCCTTATAATAAATCTCTACACACACACACACACGCACACACACACACACCCTGCCAGTTCTGTTTCTCTGAAGATTCCTAATGCTTAGTTCCAGGATTTTCATCTGGGATTGCTTTTCCCCAGTTCTCAGTCCACGCAGTTCAGGTCTGTTTCTGCCAGGGCTGCTAAGCTTTGGGGATTTAAGCCTAATTTGCTGGTGGCAATTTTGTCACCATGAGGAATAAGTCTGCCTGACAACGAGCAGTGCAGAAGCATGAGGAGTCCAGAGATGGGAGAGCCGGCTTCCCAATGACAGGGTTTGAGCTCCTGGATCCTGCCGTGCCCGAGACAGTGCAGTCCTGGATTGCTCCATTCTGTGGACTAATACATTGCACACAGTCCCTTTTGGTTTTTGGCTTAAGGCATGTAAAGTTGGGTTTCTGTCATTTGTAATTGTAAGAGCAATTAGAAGTTACTTTAAAATACTATTTAATCAGTATCCCGCTTAAGGTGTTTCCCATTTCACTATTACAATCAGTGTTGCCAGGAACATCTTGTACACTTATCTTTGAACAATCCTATGAATATATAGGTAGGACACCTTCCTAAGACAGGAACTTGTGGATCAAAAAACAGGTGCATTTTGGCCGGGCACGGTGGCTCAGGCCTGTAATCCCAGCACCTTGGGAGGCAAAGGCGGGCGGATCACCTGAGGTCAGGAGTTCGAGGCCAGCCTGACCAACATGGAGAAACCCCATCTCTACTAAAAATACAAAATTAGCTAGGCGTAGTGGCGCATGCCTGTAATCCCAGCTACTCAGGAGGCTGACAGAGAATCGCTTGAACCCAGGAGGTGGAGGTTGTGATGAGCCGAGATCGTGCCATTGCACTCCAGCCTGGGCAACAAGAGTGAAACTCCATCTCAAAACAAAATCAAAGACAAAAAACAGGTGCATTTAAAACTGTGACTGTTATTGCCTTCCAAAAGGGTTTCCCAATTCATGCTTCCAACAGTATATGAAGAATTCCTACTTCCTTATATCCTTATCAGCAATGAATATTATTATCATGCTTAATTTTGTTCAAAGGGTGAAAATAGTATCTTGTTTTAAGTTACATCTCTATAGTTACTAAGGAGGTTGAATATCTTTTCATATTATTTAGCTAGCCTGTGGATTTCTTTTTTTAAGAATTGCTTTTCTTATCCTTTGTCCATTTTCCTACTAAGTTGCTTATCTTATTTATTTGAAGGAGCTCTTTATATATGATGGACAGCAATCCTTTGTCTGTAATAAGCACTATGAAATAAATAGAGATTTGGAGACAGATGGGAACCTGAGCCCAGAGATCTTCCAGAGTGGGCAGGAGCTGGCTCTTACCTGACTCTGGTCCTCTGGATCCACAAAGATATTTTCAGCTGTCACATTTCCATGAACATACTCATTCTCATGGAGGAACTCCAGGGCATCCAGCTGGGGGAAGAAGCAAGTCAGTGTCTGCATGAGCAGTACGACTAACACAGAGAGGCTATGGTGCAGACCAGGAGGGAGCCCCACTATTAAGGCCTGGGGTTGTCCGACACTGTGACTGGGGGTTAAACCTGACTAAATCCGGGGTAGCATGAGGAGCCCGCTGTGACAGCACATTGAGCACGCCTCTAATCAGGCTCTCAGGAAGCTCATCAATTGAGCTAAAGCGTGGCTTCCTATCTACTCCTGTATTTCTCTCTTAGCTGATGACAAACTCAGCAGAGGGAAAAGGGGTTAATGTCTCTCTGCAAAAATGACTCAGCACCTGTGGATATCAAAGAGCTCTTCTCACCTGTCCTAGAGAGCAGAAATAAATCTTGTTAAGCAATTTATATCTTGATCTCCAGCTCCAGCTGTCCCTATGAGCTCCAGACTCTTTTTTTGCTGTGTGTATATATATATTTTTGAGACAGGGTCTTACTCCTGTTGCCCAGGCTGGAGTGCAGTGGTACAATCACTGCTCACTGTAGCCTTGATTTCCCAAGCTCAGGTGATCCTCCCACCTCAGCCTCACAAGTAGCTGGGACTACAGGTGGGTGCCACCACACCCGGCTAATTTTTTGTATTTTTATTAGAGAGGGCATTTTGCCATGTTGCCCAGGCTGGTCTTGAACTCCTGAGCTCAAGTGATCCACCTGCCTCGTCCTCCCAAAGTGCTGGGATTACTGGCATGAGCTGCTGCGCCCGGCCAATTCTTTGATTGTGTCTGCTGCCTGAGTGTCAGCTACATTCTGATCATATCCCCAACCCTCTTTGACCCCAGGGCTCTACTGTCCACCAAATTCTGCTCGTTCTCCTCCTATAGACTCTCCACCCCCGGGGCCCGGGACCCTCCTCAGCCTTGTCCTCTCCCACATGGACCCTCACTCAGATTCTTCTCCCCATTCCAGTCCCTCCCCATATGGCCCCTGAGGGCCTTTCTGTACCCAGAGCTGACCCCGCCCTCCCCTAATCCCAGCACTCTTGTGGCTCTCCAGTGCCCTCAAGACAGATCCCAGCCCCTCAGCCTGCTGTGCGAGGCCCCGTGTGATGTGGTCACCGCTGACCTCTCCAGACCAACTCCATCTCTTCCGCACTGCAGTGCCATACTGCAGATACTGAACATAAAGACCTTAGGACTCAGCATGTCGCTCCCTTGGTACGTCCATCCCTCCAGCGATGCAAACTGGGCCCTCTTACTCTCAATCACAGCAGGGGCCGCTTCTATTCAGAGCACTTGTCATAGTTTGTGCAACTGTTTGATTCACTATTGGCCCCTCCCACTAGACTGTGAGCTCTAAGACACAGAAACCATGTTTATGCTGCTCCCTGCTCTGCACCCAGCCCCGGGGACAGCGTCTGGCACCCAGCAAGTGCCTGATGAATATTTAATGGGGATGAATGAATGAACTAATGAACAAATGCCATATGCTCTCCCTTCCACACAAGCCTTGCCCCAGCTGTATCCTTGGCCGGACCATCCTCTCCTCATCTATCCTCTTCCTCTTCCACCCAGCACTTTGCTATTTCCACTCATCCTGAGAGTCTTGGCTTAGAAACACCCTCCACCAGGAAGCCTAATCTAAGCCTTCAGTTTGAGGCCGGGGCTCCTTCCTCCAATGCTCATGGCCCCCCAAGGGCCCTCCACAGGACTGACCACCCATCATCTCGGCTCTAACCGCCTGCCATGGCAGTCAGTGAGCCAGCCCCCAGTGTGCAGCGGAGGGGGGTGGGGGCCGGAAGTGTCAATGACTAAAGTGCCTGCTAAACTAGGATGTGATGTGCCCTCCCTGACGCGGCAGCTGAGCAACTTCTGGGTACGCACCAGCCGGCAGGCCACCTGCAGCACAGACCTCTCTGACAGCACATGCTTTGGGCTGACATCCAGGGCCGACTGAAGGCTCCTCCCCAGGCTGGGTAACACCAAGAACCTGGAAGACACAAGCACCCCAGGAGGTGGGAGATGAACAGGGGAGAGAGGAGTACCGGCCGCCAAGGATGGACTGTTGCGTGGGCTGCAAGGTCCTGGTCCCAGGTGAGATCAAAGGTTCTGACTGGCTGGGCAGCAAACTAGGTCAAAACTACGAGAAGGCAGGAAGCAAAGACCTGGCCCACGGCTTCGGGGTCCCAGCCATGCCTGGAGTCACAACAGGAAGAAGAGGAAAGAGGCCGGTGAGGCAAGCAGTGAGCAGAGCAGCTCACCTGTATTTGTCCTGGTGAACACCGAAACCCATGCAGGTAGGGATGGCCAGCAGTGGGGTCGAGTACAGCTTCTTCCACTTGTTGACTGCGGAAAGCAGGGGCTTGAGGTTAGAACCCACCCAGTCCCAAGCCCATGGCAGTAAGAGCTAGTTCTCAGAGAAGAAGCACAGAGTGCCCAGACCGCCTCCAAGTCTCCTTGTTGGAGGTGACAACATTGTGGGTGGGTGATGGTGGGAAGGGGCTGGTGACAGGGCAGGCATGGGTGACCATGAATGTCTGTGATCCAGGTCTGCAGGTGATGGGGTGATCATGGTGGCTCTGGAGGAAGCATATACAAGTCTGGAGTGCAGAGATGGGATAATGACAGGGTTACTTCCGAATTCACACATAGAGCTAACAAGATCAACACGTGTCTAACCTAGCCATGGCATCACCGGAATGTGCCTCTGCCTGTCTTCCAGATCTCAGTGGGGTGGACCAGAACCAATGGCGAGCTGATGCTAGTTTAACAGCTGGCTATCCAGGGAAGGCAGTCCTGATGGGTAGCATTTGCTAATTTCTTTTTTCTTTTTTTTTGAGACGAAGTTTTGCTCTGTCGCCCTGGATGGAATACAATGGCGCGATCTTGGCTCACTGCAACCTCCGCTTCCTGATTTTAAGCAATTCTCCTGCCTCAGCCTTCCATGTAGCTGGGATTGCAGGCTTCTGCCACCAGGCCCAGCTAATTTTTTTTTATTTTTTATTTTTTTTGAGATGGAGTCTTCGTCTGTCACCAGGCTGGAGAGCAGTGGCGTGATCTCGGCTCACTGCAACCTCCACCTCCCAGGTTCAAGTGATTCTCCTGCCTCAGCCTCCCGAGTAGCTGGGATCACAGGCACGTGCCACCACATCCAACTAATTTTTGTATTTTTAGTAGAGATGGAGTTTCACCATGTTGGCCAGGATGGTCTCAATCTCCTGACCTCATGATCCGCCCGCCTCGGCCTCCCAAAGTGCTGAGATTACAGGCATCAGCCACCACGCCCGGCCTTTTTTTTTTGTATTTTCAATAGAGATGGGTTTTGCCATGTTGGCCAGGCTGGTCTCGAACTCCTGACCTCAGGTGATCCACCGGCCTCCGCCTCCAAAAGTGTGGGAATTACAGGCATGAGCCACCGCGCCCGACTGCATTTGCTAATTTCTGCAGTGTAAATAAATACTCCTGCTATGGCCAACTCCAAGCTACCAACATGACATGACTGGAGGTGGGGTGGGAGAGATATACAGGGGAGGCCATCATGCAGCATTCTCACCACACAGAGACAATAGTGCACACAACCTCACTGGCAGAGATCACAGGACATGTAGGAAATAATTAGGAAGTGATGAATTTCTGAGGGTTCATTACCTTTGTTTTGAATATAATTTATTTGTAAAATTATGTAACTTATTTTATATATTTTTTGAGACTAAGTCTCACTCTATCGCCCAGACTGGAGTGCAGTGGCATGATCTCGGCTCACTGCAACCTCCACCTTCCAGGTTCGAGTGATTCTCCCACCTCAGCCTCCCATGTAGCTGAGATTACAGGCACACGCCACCACGCCTGGCTAATTTTTGTATTTTTAGTAGAGATGGGGTTTCACCATGTTGGCCAGGCTACTCTTGAACTCCTGACCTCAGGTGATCTACCCACCTCAGCCTGCCAAAGTGCTAAGACTACAGGCATGAGCCACCACGCCTGGCCTATATAATTTAATTGCTAGTACTGGCTGTCTGTAACAACCAGCTTGCCATCTTCCTAAAAATTTATTTTTATTTTTATTTTTTTTGGAGACAGGGTCTGGCTCTGTTGCTCAGGCTGGAGTGCAGTGGCACAATCACAGCTCACTGCAATCTCTGTCTCCCGGGCTCAAGCAATTCTCTCAGCTCAGCCTCTTGAGTAGCTGGGATCACAGGTGCATGCCATTACACCCGGCTAATTTTTGTATTTTCAGTAGAGATAAGGTTTTGCCACATTGCCCAGGATGGTCTCAAACTCCTGGCCTCAAGTGATCTGCCCACCTCAGCCTCCCAAAGTGCTGGGAGTATAGGCGTCAACCCACGCCCAGCCTGAAAATTTAATACTTGGCTTCCAAGAGCTGGTGTGAGCCAGTCACAACACACACTGAGGCCTGAGGGGTCACAGGAGTCAGGTTATGGACACAGATGGGAGCAAACCTGGGCCTTTAATCTAAGCCCACCCTTCTCATGCCTGCAGGTAGAAGTCAAGTGCTGTGACCAAGTTGGCGCCCCCCTCACTCTCCCCTCCTTGCCCAGTTCCCTGTCAGGTACCTTGCAGAGGCTTGGCGGCCCGCTGGAAGAAGTTCTGCTCATTGAACAAGCGCCCATCCTTGGCATCCTGGTGGGGGACAGGAGGGGCAGAAGGCTGTCACACTGAAGTCTCAGATAAGGGCCCCCAGTCCCCACTGGCAATTTGTTACTCCCTCAATGACCAGGCTCCTCATCAAGTCCCCACATCGGAGCCAAATTCCTCAGGTACTGCACACAAACACACATCAGAGACTGCGAGCTACCTTGCTGTACCCAGGTTCCTTTTCTTTCTCTTATGGTAAGAGCCACAGTGTTCCCTAGAATGTAGCCTTCAGCATAAAAACTACGTTTCCCAGCTTCCTTTGCAGTGAGGACTGACCACATGACCAAGTTCTGGCCAATGAGGATGTGAGCAGAAGAAATGTGGGCAACTTCCAGGTTATGCCCTTAGTGGGCTGGGACAGGCTCTACCTTTCCTCTTCTGTTCCAGCTGGCTGCAACGCAGATGTGATGGTGGAAGCTGAAGCAGCCACTACGGCCCAGGAGATGCAGGTTATGCGTTGAAAATGTTGGTGCAAAAAGAAGGAAACAGGGCCCCTTGTTTATAAAACCATCCTATCAGCTCTGGAAAACTGCCCCTGACTTTTAAATGAAAAAGCAATAAAACATCATCTTGCTTAAGCCACCATTAATATTAGGTATTTGTTAAAATAACACTAAATGGCCAGGTGTGGTGGCTTAGGCCTGTAATCCCAGCACTTTGGGAGGCTGAGGCAGGTGGATCACTTGAGGTTAGGAGTTCTAGACTAGCCTCGCCAACATGGTGAAACCCTGCCTCTACTAAAAATACGAAAATTAGCCAGGCATGGTGGTGCGTGCCTGTAATCCCAGCTACTCGGGAGGCTGAGGCAGGAGAATTGCTTGAACCTGGGAGGCGGAGGTTGCAGTGAGCCAAGACTGCACCTCCAGCCTGGGTGACAGAGTGAGATTTTGTAGCAAAAAAAAAAAAAAAAGCACCAAATATTTTAATTAAACACAACTCATGCAGCTGAGTTCTTAAGAGTATAGAGTCAAACAGATCTAGGTTCAAACCCCAGCTCTGCCATTCATTCATTCATTCTTCCTACAAAGCCTCCATTATATGCTGAGTATTATTCTGGGCATTGGGGATATAGCTGTGAACAAAGCAACCTGCGTGCTGGGTGCACCTGGGCAAGTGACTGAGTCTCCATTTCCTCATCTGTTAAATAGGAACATGGAAGCCATCCCATAGGCTTGCTGAAATAATTCAATGACATAGTAAACACACATACACACACACACACGCACACACAAAACCCCAAAGAAAACCAAAAGGCTGGGTGTGATGGCTCATGCCTATAATCCCAGCACTTTAGGAGGTGAAGGTGGGAGCCCAGGAGTTCCAGACCAACCTGGGCAACACAGGAAGACCCCATCTCTACCAGAAAAAAAAAAAAAAAAAAAAAAAAAAAAGCTGGACGTGGTGGTGCATGCCTGTGGTCCCAGCTACTTGGGAGGCTAAAGTGGAAGGATCACTTGAACCTAGGAGGCTGTGGCTGCAGTGAGCCTTGATTGCACCGCTGCACTCCAGCCTGGGTGACAGAGAGAGATCCTGTCTCAAACAAAAATCCAAAAGAATTAAATGACATAATGCTTGTGACACTCAGCCCAGGGACTGTCACATAATAGGTTCTCAATAAGCAGGTGCTGCTACTGGTCATTAGTGAGCCTGGCTCCCTGCCCCATCTTCTCCTCTTCTTGTCCTTTTCTCTTTTTGCGTCCTGGAGTCCTCCCCACGATGCTGGCGAAGCCCATAGTGACTGACGCGAGCGACGTGGGCACAGCCATGCAGGCCCTGAGCAATCTCATGTGGGGTATTCATGCCTGCCCCACTCCCCCAAGGGGGCAGCTCCTTCAGGGCAGGAATTGGGTCTGACCCATCTCTGCAGATGTCCCCAGCACTCAGTTCACAGGAGGTTGCAGGAAAGGCTTGGTGAATAAATGAATAAATGGATGGATGAACACCACTGGGCATTCAGCCCCTGACCTTTCGAATGCTTCAGAACAGAGCTGCCTTCCCAGTGGATGGGGAGGGTGAATGTCTTCTGGTTGGCCCAGTGCCCTGTGCTCCCCTCCCAGCCCACCCCTCTTCCCGATGGGACTGGGACATGACATGGCTCCCGCCAGACTGGGAGCCTCTCCAGGGCTGGGCCTGGGGCCAACTCATCATCACCAAGTTTTGAGCCTCAGGAAATGTTGATGAGGTCAGATGCACGAACAGAGAGCAAGGCTGTATTTCTAGGATGATGAGCATAATTACAGTAGTAATAACAGGAACAGCTCAGGTTGATGGGGTGCCTACTGTGCCAGACACACCTGAACCATGCAGAGAAGTGTTAAATGGGACACGGTAGCTGCCCTACTGGGAGGATTCAATGAAGCAGTGCTTATGAAACACAGCCCGGCTCAGGCAATGCCAGGCTCTCAAAGCAGGTGCTACCCACCACTAGTGAGCCCGGCTCCACAGCCCACGCTCTGACCCACTCTCATGGCCTCCACCTAGGGCGGAGGGAGGGCAACTGACCCAGCTGTCCCTGGTTTTCTGGGGTGTGAGACAATTCTGATAAACAAAAAGAAAATAAGAGTCACCTGTAATCCCAGCACCCAGGGATGATGGCGGGGCTATGAACCACCACGATGCCCTTCTGTTAGGCACCTCCTCTGTGTGGAAGGCGTGATTCACCCTCGTGGCCACTCTCCCTTTCTCTATTTGTTTCCTTTTAGCCCCAACCTCGAGTGCACATGTCCTGTCTGCTGAGACTCATGCTCGGCACCCGATGTGTGATTTCACTGAATCCTCAGCACAGGGACCCCATCTGCTGGGTTCTCTTTTGGACCCCACACCCAGCACGGTGATACACAGTAGGTGCTCGATACGAGCACGCTGCGAGGCCGGTGGTAGGGGGCAGATGGGCCACACCCTGTGGGTATTAGTGGCTCCATTTCACAGATGAGGAAACTGAGCTCTGAGGGGGATGGGCTTGCCCAGGTCACACAGCAGGGAAGCATCAGAGCCAGACTTGGGTGGATCCAACTGTGGGTTTCCAACACCCTGGGATGATGGAGAACTGGGCGCCTGCCCCGCCCACGGTCTTAATACTCCTTGCAGGTGGGGACCCTGGCCCCCGGCCGAGCTCTCCCAGCTGACAGACGGGCTCAGAAGTCAAGGATGTGTTTGTGAAAGTCCCTCCCCTCCAAGCTGCCCCCCACCTGCAGGGTCACTTACCAGTTTGAGTGAGAACTTTTGCTTCTGTGGTCCTGAGTCACAGGTGAGGGTGGAGGTGGGTGCAGCTGTGGGGGAACAAACAAGGGAGTGAGGTTATAACCACGCGGAAGGTCAGGGTCATCATCCCCAAACTTCCCAGCAATGAGAAGCGGCTCTGGTGCCCTGGTTCCAACAAGGTCAAGCGCACTCTTGGCTCTCACGACTTGCTGCTTCCTAGTTTTAAATAAGCTTCTTCTTCCTCTTTCTCTCTGTCACTATCCAGCCATGCAGGAAGGGCTAATGCAGCAGGCCTGAGACGGCTCTCCTGGCAAGGTCTGGGACCCTGGATTCCGGGAGGGCTCCCAGAATCCCCTAAGTGAGTGGGGCTCGCTGAGCCTAAACTGCTTGTGCAATCACTGTGGTTTCTGTGCAACACCTGCTTTCCTCTGGGGAACCTGGGATGCGGATACATGTCAGACAGAGGGGGCCACATGACTACTCCCCAATAACAGCCCCGAGCACTGAGCCTCTGAGGAACTTCCTGGTGGACAGTTCCCATGTACTGTCACAGCCTGTGGCTGGGCAATTAGGTGCGTCCTAGGCAGAGTGACTTCATCCAAGGCCACATCCCAGGGTGACCCAGGTCCAGTGACTGATTGAGGTGGACATAAAGGCCCAGCCTCTCCTGGCCCAACACGGACGCACGCTGAAGGACCACTTTTGCTCCAGAGCCCTGCAGGGTCGGCTGAGGCCATCACTGGGCTGCATCGCAGCCCACCTCCTGCTCCTTACCCCCTCCTTGGGTTCTGATCCCTGAGGCAGCTCCCCATAAGCACCCTGCATGCTTGTCCCCCGACAGAGCCTGCTCCAGTAGCCCTTACTGTTCATTTACAGACCTCACCACGTCTCTGGCCCTGTGCTAAGTGTGGGCTTCACATGCATGGTCCCATCTGACAGATGAGAAGAGGAGAGAGGCCAAGAAACGCCAGGCTGACCCAGGGTTCAAATCCCAGCTCCTCCATCTGCTCTCTGTATGACTTTGGGCCTCCATTTGCATGTCTGTAAGATGGGAGCAGTAAGGCCTACCCCGAGACTGGCTGCAAGGACTCAACAGGCTGGCAGGAGTAAGAGCAGCACCAGCGATGTGTGCAGCAAGAGTCTGCATCCCCCTTCACGCACACTGCTCAGTGAACCCACTCAGCCCAGAGCCCAGCACGGACCCTGGCACATCAGGATTGCTCCACAGGTGGTGGCCTTAAAATATCCCCATAACACCAGGGCTCCCCAGCCGGGGAGTGGCAGAGCTGGCTCAACCTGGGTCTAGCTAATCCCAAAGCCCATGAGTTGAGCTCTTGTCGCCCGCACACCTGACTCACGCTGGTGTCCCTCCTTCCTCTGTTCTCATCGTTCCCACTCTCCCTTCATCATCGAGGCTGGTATCGTCTAAGACACTGAGCTGAGGGATGGGGGGTGACAAAGTCACCCAGAAGCCATCCTTGCCCTCAAGAAGCTCCAGCTGGAACAGGGTTGGGAGCCAGCTCTACACGTTCAAGGCCAAGGGTGCTCTGAGCCCAGGGGAAGAGAGGGAGACGTATGCAGGACCCGCATCTCGGGGAAAGAAAAATCCTTTCCAGCTGTGGGGAGAGCACTGGGGGGATCATGCTGGAGCAGGCTGTGACATCATGACCAAGCATCCGCCCAGCTCTGGAACCCAGGCATAGTAACAGTGCCTGTCTCTCAGAGGCACCATGAGGTTAATGACAATGCGTACGTGCCCGGTACTCAGAGGCAAGCAGGAAAAGCTGGCAATTTGATACAATTTTATAATCTGCTTTGCAGATTATAAAAAGCTTTTCTCTTTCACTTTTCTAACTGGCCCTGCAGCCAACAGCCTGGAAAGCTAGCTGGGCAATTTTCATTGTAGAGGGAGCCAAGGGAGGCCAGAAGGGAAAAGGGGCTTGGCCAAGGGCCCCAGCAGAGACAGGCCACAAGCCCAGGGCTCTAGACTCTGTGATCTAGGGTGGCAGATCCAGGTTTCTGCTTGCCGGAAACCTGACAAATGGAAAGTCTCTACATGTGCCAAATGAAGACCAGGGCGTGGCATGCAGGCAGGTGAGCACCTCCCCTTCCCAAAGGTCAGCTGGTCCTGAACTTGGAGCAGGAGCACTGTTCTGGGACCCATCCTGACCCTAACACCAGAAAGCACATATACGGCAGTGGCCGTTTTCCCGGCATCACTCTACTCATTTCACTCTCCTGACTGCAGCCCTGTGAGGGCAGTAGCATTACCATCTCCCCTCTGCAGATGAAGAAACTGAGGCACAGGGTCATGCTGTCATTCGAAAGGTCAAGCGACAAGCGGCAAGCAGAGGCAGCCCAGCCCACCACTGAGCTCCAGGGTGCCCCATGCCTTCCACCTCCCCAGGCCCTGCTGGGGACCCTGACTGACTTCTCCCCTCCGGCCTCCAGAAGGAATCAGCAGAGCCAACACCTAAACTTCGTACCCAGTGATTTTGGACTTCTGGCCTCCAGAGCTGTAGGAGAATAAGCATGTGCTGTGTTAAACCACTCACTGTGGTAACTTGTTACAGCGGCCACAGGAAACTAACACAAGCCCCACCTTTCATCTGCAAAGGCAGAAGCTGCAGAGGGCAGCGTGGGCCCGACCCTGAGCTGCTGCTCACGGGCAGCTCTCCCAAGTGCACCGCAGTGAGCAGCCGCACGGATTCATGTGACTGATGACGGATGGTGGTTCTCCCCTATAGCTCAGCGAGGCCCGGGATATATGACATTATAGTTCAGTACTGGACAGAGACACAAGAGTTAATAAAATGCTTAGAGCATGGCGCAGAGAGTGGGGTAAAGTGTCCACTGCTCGAATAACCATAACGATTCAGCTTGTTCTTGTTGTTTTACTGTTATTGCTTTAAATTACGGGACATACAACTCCACCATCTCTTCTTGACTGGTGCAAACTGGCAGAAGAAAAGGGCGATTTGCTCTGGGGCGATGTCACCCAATGGTGGTGTGTCCCCAAATGCAAGCTCCGCATCAGCAGGGCCTTCACCAGCCCCGCTCTCCCTGCACTGTCTGTGCTGGCACCGCGGCCAGACACATGAAATGGTAGGTGCTGCTTAAGGATCCACTGAGCAACCGGGCACAGTGCTCACGCCTATAATCCCAACACTTTGGGAGGCAGAGGCAGGAGGATGGCTTGAGGCCAAGAGTTTGAGACCAGCCTGGCCAACATAGTGAGATCGTCTCTACTTTAAAAAATAAATAAATAAAGGGACTGCTGAAGGAATGGATGACTCACACAGGCTGGGCACTGGGGTTTGCTATTTTTATCAAACAACCTGAGTCATATAAGGGAAAACCAAAACCACATTGGCCCAGAGTAGCTCCTCCTGTGCTTCCACTGTGGGTTTCTGGGGGAGGTCAAGCGTGGTTTCTTCTCTCAGGAGCTCCTGGCTCTGTGTGTTTTCCTCTCCTTCTCCCTCTTCCTTCCCCGCCCTCCTGCCCTCTCCCCACCCTGCTCTCTCACCTCAATCTCTTTCTTACTGTTGGTTTTCATCCTTCTCCCTTTCTCCTCCCTCTGTGCTCCTCGGCCCCTCATTCCTTCTCATCATGATCCCTTCTCGCTCTTTCTCCCTGCCCTCTCCTTCTCCTTTCTCTCCCTTTCTTGGGAGAAGCCAGAGTGCCTGCGTTCAAATCCCAGCTCTACTACTTCCAGGCTGTGTGCCCTTGGGCAAGTAGCTTCCTCTCTCTGTACCCCAGTTGCAGGATGGGGTAATATGGGTGCCTATCTCACAGTGTGGCTGGCAGCATTACATGGGTAAGACACAGAGAGTTCCCAAAGTGTCTGGCATGGGATCCTGCCTGTAATCCCAGCACTTTAGGAGGCTGAGGCGGGAGGATCGCTTGAGCCCAGGAGTTTGGGACCAGCCTGGGCAACACAGTGAGACTGTCTCTATTTAAAAAAAATTAAAAAATTAGCCTGGCGTGGTGGCGCCTGCCTGTAGTCCAAGCTACTCGGGAGGCTGAGGGGGGAGAATCACTTGAGCCTGGGAGGTTGAGGCTGCAGTGAGCCGTGATTGCACAACCGCACTCCAGCCTGGGTGATGGAGCGAGACTCCATCTCTTAAAAATAAAAGTGCTGGCACAGGTGAGTGCTCCCTAGGTGTTAGCCACGGCCCTCTTTCTCTTGCTCCTGCTTGGTCTTGGTCACACTCTTTCCCCTCTCCCTCACCTTTCCTGGCCCTGCCTATCTGTCCCTCTGTTATTAACACTGCCTACCTCTGCCTGGGAAGGACCCTGTACAGTTTTCCAAGTGCTTGGCCTCCATCTCCTATCATCATTTGAGCCAACAGCCCCAGGAGACAGGGGACAAGGCGTCATCTCACTTTTCCAGTGGAGGACATCAAGGCACAGAGTGCCTGGGCTGTTTGCTGGGGCTCCCTCAGTGTGTCGGAGCCAAGTCAGGACTCAGATTCGGGGCTGTCTGAAACACCAGCTGTCCTGCCCACCTGCCCAGACTTCAAGGCAGGGATGGCCAACGGAAGGCTCAAAATTGTCTACGTGCCTGTCTGGCCAGCAGGCACTTCCAATTCAAAGATTTCCTATTGAAATCTAGGTTTCAAGCTTTTCCTGGAAAACTTGGAAGATTCTGGAGCCCAGAGCCTAATAATTCACATCTCTGGGATCCATGTTCCTCATGTATAAAATGGGGATAGGGATAGTACTGACATCCTAAGGCTGCGGTGAGAATTTAGCAAACCTCTGCCCATCAAATAACTTGTAAGCAAATATTCATGGCAGCGTTACTCATAACAGCCCAAAGCGGAAACTACCCAAACGCCCATCAGCTGCTAAGTGGCTAAGCCACATGGGGTGTTCCCATACAGCAGAATATCACGCAGCCATAAAAGGAGTGCGGCAGTGACGCGCCACAGCATGGATGCACCTTGAGCACACGCCGCTGGGTGAGGGATGCCAGACACAAGAGGCCACACAGCGCAGGACTCCACTTCTGTGAACACCCAGAAGGGGCAAATCCACGGAGGGAGAAAGGCGGTTAGTGGCTGCCAGTGGACTGGGGGAAGAATCAGAGTGATGGCTCAGAACTACTGGGTTTCTTTTTGGGGTGACAGAAACGTCCTGGAATTAGATAGTGACGATGGTTGCATAACACTCTGAATATCCTGAAGGCCACTCAGTTGCACCCTTTAAAAGAATGAATTTTCGTGGTGGCTCATGCCTGTAATCCCAGCACTTTGGGAGGCTGAGGTAGGTGGATCACTTGAGGTCAGCTGTTCGAGACCAGCCTGGCCAACATGGTAACACCCTGTCTCTACTAAAAATACAAAAAATAAAAATAAAAAAATAAAAAAATTTAGCCCGGTGTGGTGGCATGCGCTTGTAATCTCAGCTACTTGAGAGGCTGAGGCAGGAGAATCGCTTGAACCTAGGAGGTGGAGGTTGTTAAAAGCCGAGATCGTGCCACTGCACTCCAGCCTGGGTGACAGAGCAAGACTCTCTCTCAAAAAAATAAAAAATAATAAATAATAATAATAAAAGAATAACTTTTTGTTTGACATGGAGTCTCACTGAATAATTTTTTTTTTTGAGACGGAGTCTCGCTCTGTCACCCAGGATGGAGTGCAGTGGTGCAACCTCGGCTCACTGCAAGCTCTGCCTCCCGGGTTCACGCCATTCTCCTGCCTCAGCCTCCCAAGTAGCTGGGACTACAGGTGCCAGCCACCACACCCGGCTAATTTTTTGTATTTTTAGTAGAGACAGGGTTTCACCGCGTTAGCCAGGATGGTCTCGATCTCCTGACCTCGTGATCCGCCTGTCTCGGCCTCCCAAAGTGCTGGGATTACAGGCGTGAGCCACCGCGCCTGGCCAATAAAAGAATAACTTTTATGTGAGTTTTATCTCAATTAAAAAGTTCCAAAAAGAAAAGAAAGGAAAAGAAAAACCCATGTAAAGTGCTTAGAACAGGCCTGGCCTTGCAGAAGCACTCAATATTTATTACAGTTAATACTAATACTACTGCCATAATTATTTTCCTCATTGTAACAGAGTCTGAGCTTTTCAGCCTTGTGCCTCCCTCCTCCCCTTCCATCCCACACCTGGGTGAGCGGATGAGCAAGCTTGGGTGCTCCCTCCTTTGGGGTGTGCATCCACGAGACTCAAACCATGCATGGTGTTGGCCCCTGTGCAGAAACCCTGAGCCCAGCCCCACCCCCAAGCACGATGAAACACCTGACCAGTCTCCTTTCCTCACTCTCAAGGCATCTCAGATCTGTGTGGGAGGCCTGCCTGCTCTCCACAGAGACCCCTATTATGTAAGCAATAAACCTCTCACATCCTCTTGGTGTGTGTGTGACATCATCAGTCTCGATGTTTGAACCAAATTTTACGTGGGGATCCATCCTCTCTCTGCACACTGGCCAGAACAACCATCCTTAACATGCAGCCCCTGGGCCTGCACTCCCACGTGACAATAGCAGGTAGCAGGTGGGGTGAGGAGGGGCACACTTCACACAGGGCACATGCCAACTGGCCGCAGTCCCCGCCACTCCCAACTGCCTTACTCCAGCCTGCTGCACTCATTCCCACTATTGCCCGGCCCTGCAGGTGGGTAGGTATAGAGTCCAAGGTCTAAGAGAAAGTTGCCTAGCGACAGGTCTGCAGCTAGGGATGTGGCTTCCATTCCCATTCTCAGAACGGGGTCCCCTCCCACTGTCCTGGTGCTGAGACGACCCAGTCCCTGGCCGCCCATGGACAGAGTGTACCTTCATAGAGAATGCCCTGGTTGTCCCTGGTCTGGAAGGACTTCAGCTTCCACTGTCGCCCACTCTTGTCTGTCAGCACTGTCCCTGTGGGCAAAGCTTCAAGTGAGGTGGTCACTCGGCTCCGCTTCAGCGTCTGAGGGCTCTGCCTGGTCTTCTGAGGGCTACAGCTGGTCTTCTGAGGGCTACCCCTGGTCACCTGAGGGCTCTTCCTGGTCTTCTGAGGGCTGCTTTTGGGGGTTGGGGGTCTGCTCCCGGAGCCTGCAGGAGGATGTAAGAATAAAGTAAAAGCACCATCCAGGAGAGAAAAGTTAGATGGGGAGTGAAACAGCACGCAAAATACTGTTCCTTTACAAATTCGTTCATTCAACAAACATTTCCTGGGACCTTCTATGAGTCAGGCCTTTGTGTGATGATGTTGGGGCACCAGATAGGAGTCGGACCTGCATCCTTCCCTCAGGAGTGCCCAGTTTGGTGGGCAAGTCTGCTCTAGACACAGCTAGTCAGATGCGGGTCTGAGACAGGGCAGTACAGACAGATATTAGGGCCCAAAAGAGAAAGAGATCCTGCCTGGAGAAGTCAGGGTAGGCTTCCTGGAGGAAGGGATGTTAGAGTTGGATCTTGTTGGATGAGGAGAAGTTTGCCAGGGAATAAAGGACATTCTAGACATTTACCCAAAAACATCCTGAAAAAGGACTCAGTCCTGAGATAGAAAAGGGCCAAAAAATTTGTTAGACCAAAGCCCTGCCCTAGAAGGGCTCCTAGCCTGGCAAGAGAATGGGGTGGGTGTGGTGGGAGACAGACTTGGACACAGGAAAAGACATCGCTTACTCTGTTCCTCCCACCCACCATCCCCTAAAGGCAAGTAATGGCAAGAGGCCTCTGGGCCCAGAGGATAATGAGGAGCAAAGGGGACGCCTCACACTGCCACTGTGGCTGTGGCTTCAGATCCAGGGGCTCAGTGAACAGGAGAAGGAACATAGTCCTCAGGCCTCCCGTGTCCTGGGCACTGGCTGGGCAGAGGGTATATACACTAATTGTGCTGGGTCCCTACCTGCAAAGGGCCCCCAGCCCAGAAAGTGAGGCCGAAAGGGATGTGGAGCCTAGACTGACATGCGCTCCAATGAAGGCTGCAGCAGGCACGGGGGGGCGCCAAAGAGGCTGGAAAGAGGCTCTGGCGGACGATGAGGAGGTCTGGATGCGAGCCTATGGCACTCAAGAGAAGCTTCCTAGAGACCAGTATCGGCTGAGTGGCAGTACACAAGGCCAAGAACGAAGGTGAGAGTGCCCTGGGCTGAGGGAACAGGCTTAGCAAAGACCAAGGTTAATCCCCAAAAGTGTTTTCTGGGCAAAGACTGTGTTGAGGGCTAAAGCAGGAACCAGGCCACACAGATACCAGACTGAAGAGCTTGGTCTGAGGGCACCAGGAACAGTAGGGGTCTGTGTGCAGGGAGGGGCCGGGGCAGCTCTAGGTGCTGAAAGACCCATCTGGGGCCATATAGAGGCAGACTGGAGGGGGAGATGGGAGGCTGGGGAAGCTGCTGGAGTCAGAGTCCAGGCAGGGATGGATGATGTTTGAGCCGGGGCTGTGGCAGTTTTGTCCCAAAGATCATCAGATGACCTAACTTTGCTCCACTTAAGAGTCAGGCCAGATAGACCTTAACTCTTACCTTTGGATCTCTCAGAGGAACTCAGAGTATCTTCAGACTCAGAACTGTCACCATCTGAGAAGAGGGATAATCGGGGAGAGGTGACGGTGCTGGACCATTTCACTTTCTTAGGAGAGGTTTCAAAACTGGAGTTCAGCCCTCTCTTTGAGCCTAAAGAAAGGCAGACAAAATGCAGACTGGAGTTACAAAGGCCCCTCTGCAGGCACCATTGGACTGGGAGCCCTGAGGTTATACTCAGCTATGCTGTTCTCTTTGGCCCTCAACACCAATTCTTGCTTCTTCTATTATGTAAATATATGAGCAAACTGTTCCTTTTAGTTGTTCTCTCCTTCTTAGGTCTTTGCCTCTCTTGTATCTTCCAGCACTTTGCCACTCTGTGTCCTTTCCACATAATGTCTTTATATGTATGTATATTTGAGATGGAGTCTCACTCTGTTGCCCAGGCTGGAGTGCAGTGGTGCAATCTTGGCTCACTGCAACCTCTGCCTCCTGGGTTCAAGCAATTCTCCTGCCTCAGCCTCCCAAGTAGCTAGGATTACAGGCATGCACCAACATGCCTGTAATGTTGCTAATTTTTATAGTTTTAGTAGAGATGGGGTTTCACCATGTTGGCCAGACTGGTTTTGAACTCCTGACCTCAAGTGATCGGCCAGCCTCAGCCTTCCAAAGTGCTGGGATTACAGGCATGAGCCACCATGCCTGGCCTCTTCCATGTAATTTCTTAAAATCTATCTTCCAGTTAACTAATTCTCCCAGCTATGTCTAGTCTGCTGTTTAAACCACCCACCGAGTTTCTGATTACAATAATTATTTTATATATATATACACACACACACACATATACACACATACAATGATTGTGTGTATATATATACACACATACACATATATACATATATAGACACACACATATACATATACACACATACAATCATTAGAGTTTTTATTTGGTTCCTTCTCTTATTTGCCTGTGCAACTTTAACCTATTCCTTCATTATACTTTCAATTTGTTATTTTATTTATTTAAATGTATTAAGCATGCTTTGTAAACATTCTCATCTATTAATTCTAAAGTCTGTGGTCTTGGCAGGTCCGATTCTGCAGTTTGTTGTTTCTGCTGACTCTCCAGCTAGCTTATTTCCTGGTGTCTTTGTAAATCAACAGAGACTGGTACTCATGATCCTTGGATGTTGACCTGTGGTAATTCCCTGATGTTTGTCTTTAAAGGATGTTTTCCAAGAGAAGATTTGTTTATATCAGGCAGGGAGTGGTACCCACATCTCACCACTTTAAGTTAAATGTTCAGCTTGCATTTTGGGGGACCACACAGATCAGTGTGAATTCTGGCCCCAAACTGGTGAGAACGTGAATTCTTGGTTAGGAACTCTCCAAGAAGGCTGGGCGTGGTGGCTCATGCCTGTAATCCCAGCACTTTGGGAGGCCAGGGCGGGTGGATCGCCTGAGGTCAGGAGTTTGAGGCCAGCCTGTCCAACATGGTGAAACCCCGTCCCTACTAAAAATATAAGAATTAGCTGGGTGTGGTGGCAGGTGCCTGTAAACCCAGCTACTTGAGAAGCTGAGGCAGGAGAATCGCTTGAACACGGGAGGTGGAGGTTGCAGTGAGCCAAGATTACACCACTGCACTCTAGCCTGGATGACAGAGTGAGACTGTGTCTCAAAACAAAAACAAAAACAAAAAACAAAAAACAAAAACAAAAAAGGGAATTCTCAAAGAAGACATTCCTCCTTTATTTACCCACCACCAAGGCGACAAATGTCTCCACCAATTTTCTGTGGAACAATTGCTTTTGTTGTAGTTCACCCACTGAGGAGCCCCAGATTTGAGAGGAAATTTCCAATTGCAACTCCTGTACTGCTAAGGCCCTAAGCTTTGTCTCCTGCACCCCAATAAAACACAGGCTCAAGGCCATCAGCAAACAGCCCCAGGACAAATAACACCTATGTAACACTTGCTTAGCCCTGTGGTCTCTGTTTTCCTGTTGTTTCTCATCTCCATGGACTCCCCTTACTTTCCTACCACTTAGCTCTATATTTTAAAAGGACATTTTAATGTTTTATTCCACATATTTGGGCACACTGAACAATAAGGAGTTTTTATTATCATCTGGTCTGCCATATTGCTAAAAACAAATGTCCTTTCTTTTTAGTTGACACTGACTAACTCAGCCAGCATGGTTGGTCCCTGGGCTACTGGAATGGCCTCCTAACTGGTTTCCATGCCTCGAATCCATTTTCCACACAGAGAAGCCACAGAAATCTTTCCAAAATGCAAAGCCTATTGTGTTGCCTACTTGGTAGAAGCTCTTCCGCAGCTCTCCACGTCACCACAGTTAAAACCAAACTCCCTCCCATGGTCCTGCCTGTCTTCCCCCAGGCAGAAATGTTCCTCACTCCTCCAGCGTGTAGTTAAAACCAAACTCCCTCCCGTGGTCCTGCCTGTCTTCCCCCAGGCGGAAATGTTCCTCACTCCTCCAGTGTGTAGTTAAAACCAAACTCCCTCCCGTGGTCCTGCCTGTCTTCCCCCAGGCGGAAATGTTCCTCACTCCTCCAGTGTGTAGTTAAAACCAAACTCCCTCCCGTGGTCCTGCCTGTCTTCCCCCAGGTGGAAATGTTCCTCACTCCTCCAGTGTGTCTGGCTCCCCTCGCCTCACCTCTGCTCCCCATACCATGTCCCAGTGGCTGGAACACATGTGCCAACTCCCACCTTGCTCATTCTTTTTTTTTTTTTTTTTGAGACGGAGTTTTGCTCTTGTTGCCCAGGCTGGAGTGCAATGGCGCAATCTTGGCTCACCGCAACCTCTCCCTTCCGGGTTCAAGCGATTCTCCTGCCTCAGCCTCCCGAGTAGCTGGGATTACAGGCATGCACCACCACGCCCAGCTAATTTTGTATTTTTAGCAGAGACAGGGTTTCTCCATGTTGTTTAGGCTGGTCTCAAAACTCCCGACCTCAGGTGATCAGGCTGCCTCAGCCTCCCAAAGTGCTGGGATTACATGCGTGAGCCACTGTGCCTGGCCCATTCTTCTTCATCCCTAGCTCAGCTCAAACTTTACCCACTTAGGGAGATCTTCCCTGATTCCCTGAAAAGCATGTTCCCTTATATATGTTCCAGGGTCCATTCAGTTCCCCTCTGTTATCATGCAACCTGCTGATAATCATTTATTCAATGTCTGTTGTCTTACTGAGAGACCAGAAACCAGGGCTGTCTCATTTCTTACTATAATCCTCGGGACAAATACAGCACCTCAGCACATGGCAGGTTACCCATACATATTTGCCATCTGATGACTGATGGAGTGAATAATGAACTGGGCTCTAGGTTAGCATTAGGAAAGGCAGGGGTTGGGTTAAGAACTGACTCTGGCCGGGTGCAGTGGCTCATGCCTGTAATCCCAACACTTTGGGAGGCCAGGAGTTTAAGACCAGCCTGGCCAACATGGGGAAAGCCGGTCTCTACTAAAAATACAAAAATTAGCCAGGTGTGGTGGTGCGCGGCTGTAATACCAGCTACTACGGAGGCTGAGGCAGGAAAATCGCTTGAACCTGGGAGGCAGAGGTTGCAGTGAGCCGAGATCGTGCCACTGCACTCTAGCCTGGGCGACAGAGCAAGACTCTGTCTTAAAAAAACAAAGGCCGGGCGCAGTGGCTCACACCTATAATCCCAGCACTTTGGGAGGCCGAGGCGGGTGGATCATGAGGTCAGGAGATCGAGACCATCCTGGCTAACACGGTGAAACCCCGCCTCTACTAAAAATACAAAAAAATAGCTGGGCGTGGTGGTGGGCGCCTGTAGTCCCAGCTACTCGGGAGGCTAAGGCAGGAGGATGGAGAGAACCCGGGAGGTGGAGCTTGCAGTGAGCCAAGATCGCGTCACTGCACTCCAGCCTGGGCGACAGAGCGAGACTCCGTCTCAAAAACAAAACAAAACAAAAAAAACACTCTGACTCTCAAGTTGGGCCAAGGCAAACGCTGTTCACATTTGCCTGGAACTGTGGAGATGAAGAAGTCAACTTGAGACCTCAAGGCAGTAAGCATGGGAACAAAAGCCATATGCTAAGGATGGCTCAGTGCAAAGACAGAGGAGCCTGGGTCCCTTAGGGCATCATGGGGACACCATCCCAATACGCACTGTCCCCTTTTAGTAAGAAAAATATTGCTCTACATACTTGCCAGTGAAAGAAAAGAAGAAATAAACCTAATCATTTGTTTAAACCCTTGTCATAGCATTTTCTGTTATCTGCAGCTAAACACACTCCCAAATGATAAAATGAATGTCACTTGACTCCCCGCCATGTATGCTGACTGCCTTCTGCACAACTGTCCGATGGATAAACCTTCTTTGATTTACCAATATAGTATCTGGGCTTGGGCCTTCCAGTGAGCAAGACCTACTACTGATATTTAATTAATTCATTCAACCAGTCAGTAAGATTTCTCAGCACCCAATACCATGCCAGGCACAGACCCAGGTGCTGTGCAAACAGCAGGTTACAAAACCACAATCAACACAGGTTACAGAAACACAAAAAGTTTCTGTCCTTATGGAGCTTACAGAAGAAGCAATCCAAGCAAAATAATGTATTTAATAGGGTTGAGACAAGTACCAAAAAGAAATACACAGCAAGGAAGGGGGACAGGATCATTGCATAGAGGGAAGATGCAACTTTAATTAGTAGTGGTAGGGAAAGTGTCTCTGAGAAAGTAACAATTGAATAAATATCTGAAGGCATGGCTGGGCGCAGTGGCTCATGACTGTAATCCCAACACTTTGGGGGGCTGAGGCAGGTAGATCACTTGAGGCCAGGAGTTCAAGACCAGCCTGGCCAACGTGGTGAAACCCCATCTCTACTGAAAATATAAAAATCAGCCGGGCATGGTGGTACATACCTGTAATCCCAACTACTCGGGAGACTGAGGCACAAGAATCACTTGAACTCGGGAGGCGGAGATTGCAGTGAGCTGAGATTGGGGCCACTGCACTCCAGCCTGGGTGACAGAGCGAGACTGTTTAAAAAAAAACAAAGCTGGGCATGGTGGCTCACGTCTGTAATGCCAGTACTTTGGGAGGCCGAGGCGGGTGGATCATTTGAGGTCAGGAATTTGAGACCAGCCGGCCAACATGGTGAAACCCTGTCTCTACTAAAAATACAAAAAATCAACTGGGCTTGGTGGCAGGCGCCTGTAATCCCAGCTATTTGGGAGGCTGAGGCAGGAGAATTGCTTGAACCTGGGAGACGGAGGTTGCAGTGAGCCGAGATGTTGCAGTGAGCCAAGATTGCGCCACTGCACCCCAGCCTGGGCGAAAGAGCAAGACTCAGTCTCAAAAACAAAAACAACTAAAAACAAAACCTGAAGGCAGTGAAAGAGTGGGGCATGCAGGCCCATAAGGGAAGAGGCGTCCAGGAGGGAGCGGCAAGCGCACAGGCTGAGGCCCAGGCGTGCTGAGGTGTGGAGGGGCAGCCAGGAGGCCAGTGTGGCTGGAATAGCAGGAGGGTCGGGAGGTGGGGTCTGAGGGGAAATGGGGACCTGGTCCCTTCACCTCACTTGGGGAAGTATGAGCAGAGGAATGATGGGCTCTGACTGTATTCACAGGATCTCTCTGGTGGCTGCGTGAAGACGACTACAGGGACAAGAGAGGGGAGCAGAGGGCAAGAAGGCTTCTGCATAAGAGAGGTGAGGACCAGGGATGTGGGAGGTGCGGAGAAGGAAGTGGGCTGATACTGCACTGATTGTAAAGAGGGAGCCAACAAGATTTGCTGAAGGGGTGGGTGTGTCACGGGGTGCGAGACAAAGAGAACTCAAGGATGATCCCCAGGGTCCGGCCTGGGAAACTGGATGAATGGAGTGCTATTCATGGCAATGGGGAAGTCTAGGGCAGGCGGCAGGAACACCAGGAGCTCAGGTGAAGGCATGTTCAGACTAAGATGTGACCAGGACATCCAACACAGGCTGAGCATCCCAAATCCGGAAATCTGAAATGCAAAATGCTCCAAAATCTGAAACTTTGAGTGTCAACAGGATGCTCAAGGGAAATTTCACTGGACTACTGTGGATTTCAGATTTTTTTTTTTTGACATCGAGTCTCACTCTGTTGCCCAAGCTGCAGTGCAATGGTGCAATCTCGGCTCACTGCGACCTCCGCCTCCTGGGTTCAAGCAATTCTCCTGCCTCAGACTCCCAAGTAGGTGGGATTACAGGCATGCGCCACTATGCCCAGCTAATTTTTGTATTTTTAGTAGAGATGAGATTTCAGGATGTTGGCCAGGCTGGTCTTGAACTCCTGACCTCAAGTGCTCTGCCTGCCTCAGCCTCCCAAAGTGCTAGGATTACAGGCATGAGCCACTGTGCCCAGCCAGATTTCAGATTTTTGAATCAGGATGCTCAACCAGTAAGTATAATGCAAATATCCCAAAATCTGAAAAAATCCAAAATCAGAATACTTCCAGTCCTCATCATTTCGGATAAGGGATACTCAACCTGCAGGTGCCAAGCTGGCAGGCTGCACATATATCTCCTCCAAGCAGGGGAGTCCAGGCTGGCTGGAGATAGAAATGAAGGAGATGTTAACATGGAGACAGTGTTCAAAGCCATGAGGCCAATAAGAGGCCAAGAGACTGATGGTAGACAGAGGGGTCCAGTCCTGAGGCCTGGGCTTCTCCAGTGTCAGGACAGGGTCAGACAGGCTGCAAAGGCATCCTCCCTCCGCAGACACACACGTGTATGCACCTTATTCCCACCGCAGAAACAGGCTCAATGCTCTGGTTCTTACCTTGGAAGGATGACACATGTGGATTGACAAAGGTCTGGGACCCTACATGCTCCTCTACAGGCAAAGAATTTCCACAGTAGGGGCAGAATTTGAATGCCGCTTGGATACTTTTGCCACAGTCTGGACAGAAGGAGATCATGCTACAAAACAGAATGAACAAACACAAAGTGAAACGGGCCAGCTGAAGGTCAGTGGAAGTATTGTTGAACTGCTCTTAATCACAGGGTGAGTGGCAGGAGGCACAACCAGGGTCTTCAACTGTTTGTGATGTTCACTTCTTAAAACATGCAATGGGAATGGGAGTGACAGTCAATGTTCCCCAAATATCAATATGCTCCCCTATACTTCCCAGGTTCCCTTGCAGCAAGGTAGAGGCCACATGACTAATTCTGGCCAATGGGGTGTGAGTAGAGTCATCTCATGGCCGAGGCAGTTAGGAGTCAGAATACCTCCTCTGCCTCCCCCTCCACCTGCAGGGATGGCCCTGGAGGCCATGGCTCCCAACTGACATAGCAAGATGAAGGAGGGCTGCCTGGTCCACACTGGAACCTCATGATCAACAAATACACTTCTGCTGTATTGAGCCACCAAGATTTCAGGGTTTATTTGTCATGGCAGCACAGCCTATTCTATCCTGACTAATTTAGTAGAATGATGAGTGTTCACTAAATTACTCTCTATGCTTTGCATCTCTCTGAGCTAATTCCTGATACTTTTTAAAAGTCCAAATTACATACTGAGACTATGACAAATGAGGATATAGAAGAGTTTTAAGCCAGTTAAGTGAAGAAGGGAAATTAACAAGGATGAAGTACAACAGGCAGTTTGTATTGCCCTTCATTATGGCAGTGCTATTTGTAACGAGCATCTAACAAAGAGCAATACGCCGGGTGCGGTGGCTCAAGCCTGTAATCCCAGCGCTTTGGGAGGCCATCACAGGCAGATCACCTGAGGTTAGGAGTTTGAGACCAGTCTGTCCAACATGGTGAAACCCTGTCTATACTAAAAATACAAAAAAAAATTAGCTAGGTGTGGTGGCATGCACCTGTAATCCCAGCTACTCAGGAGGCTGAGGCAGGAAAGTTGCTTGAACCCGGGAGGTGGAGGTTGCAGTGAACCAAGATCATGCCATTGCACTCCAGCCTGGACAAGAAGAGTGAAAACTCTGTCTCAAACAAACAAAACAAACAGCAGCAACAAAAAAAGGCCATTTATTTGTTCTTATAGTCTCAGGCTTACTGTACATTAGCAATTAAAAGTGAAACTATTGGCCGGGCACGGTGGCTCGTGCCTGTAATCCCAGCACTTTGGAAGGTCGAGGTGGGCGGATCACCTGAGGTCAGGAGTCCAAGACCAACCTGACCAACATGGAGAAACCCCGTCTCTACTAAAAATATAAAATTAGCCAGGCGTGGTGGTGCACGCCTGTAATCCCAGCTACTCGGGAGGCTGAGGCAGGAGAATCACTTGAACCCGGGAGGCAGAGGTTGTGGTGAGCCGAGATCTCACCATCACACTCCAGCCTGGGTAACAAGAGTGAAACTCTGCCTCAAAAAAAAAAAAAAAAAAAAAAAAAAGTGAAACTATTGAAATAGAAGTTAATATAAACATGGGCTTGTGATTTAATTTCACCTTGAAAGAGAATATTCATTTTTAAATTTTTTTAGAGATAGGGTCTCACTCTGTCACCAGGGAGGAATGCAGTGGCATAATCATGGCTCACTGCAGCCTCAAACTCCTGGGCTCAAGCAATCTTCCCAGGTAGCTGGAACTATAGGTATGTGCCACCACAACTGACTAATTTTTTAAGTTTTTTTTTTAGAGACGGGGTCTCACTATGTTGCCCAGGCTGGTCTGGAACTCCTGGCCTCCAGCAATCCTCCGGCCTCAGCCTCCCAAACTGCTGGGATTGTAGGCATGAGCTACCACCCTGGCTGCAAGAGACCATTCTGATCAAACCCTTTTCCTTTATTCACTGTAAAGGCTGGCTTCTGTTGCAAATGCAAACAGTGGAGTCCTTAAAATCACAGGTTTGGCCCCAGGCTGCCAGATTTCAATCCCAGATCTGCTACATGCTGGGCAAGCTACTTAACCTCTCTGTGTCACAGTCTACCCCACTGTAAAATGGGGCTTCTCCCAGCTCCTATCTGATAGAATGGTCGATGAGGTCTAAATGAATACATTTATATGAGGTGCTGAGAACAGGGCCTGGCCCATAGAAAGCCTTTTATGTTAGTGCTTGCTGTGACCATATCATGCCTTGTACCCAAGTTACTATATTCCAGTCATTAATATTTCTATTCTTCCCTTTCTTCTTTGATAGGAAGTTCTGAGCTCCTCAGGCCTGTCTATTTCCTCTAGGTACTGACTTTTGAAATTATAGAGCTTGTCCTTAAAAACCACAGGCCATCCCCATCAGCTGGTGAAAGAAATCTCAGCCACATGAGGAGAGAAGGGGTCCTGGATTCCTTTTCCTCAGGCTGCAGAAGAGCAGAAACACTCTGTGGCATAAATCTGCCCTTCTGTTTTTTCAAACAAAGGAGTCATGTAAGACATCTGGACTGCAAAGGCTGTTGGTCAAGTATCTTTTACTCTCTAGAAAGCCAGTCATTCTAACTTAAGTTAGCCAGACTAACTTAGTGATTTGTTGTCCTGCTAATAATATGTAAAATAACATCTCTTTCTCAAAGGCACAAATACTGGTGAGCATTTTTGTGAAGCTAGAGGTCTCACTGCCTCTTCCCTCTCTGCCAGGCAAACCTGGGTGTTGACACTGGTGTCACAAGACCAAATTGCCTAGATGTACCCAATAAATATATACACCTACTATGTACCCAGGTAAATTAAAAATTAAAAAAAAGGCCGGGCGCGGTGGCTCATGCCTGTAATCCCAGCACTTTGGGAGGCCGAGGCGGGCGGATCACGAGGTCAGGAGATCGAGACCATCTTGGCTAACACGGTGAAACCCCATCTTTACTAAAAATACAAAAAATTAGCTGGGCGCGGTGGCAGGCGCCTGTAATCCCAGCTACTCGGGAGGCTTAGGCAGGAGAATGGCATGAACCCGGGAGGCGGAGCTTGCAGTGAGCCGAGATAGCACCACTGCAGTCCGGCCGGGGAGAAAGAGCGAGACTCCGTCTCTAAAAAAAAAAAAAAAAAAAAAAGAAAAAAAATTAAACAAAAATTTTTTCTTTTCTGAGACGGAGTCTCGCTCTGTCACCCAGGCTGGAGTGCAGTCGCGCGATCTCGGCTCACTGCAACCTCCACCTCTCGGGTTCAAGCGATTCTCCTGCCTCAGTCTCCCGAGTAGCTAGGATTACAGGCGTGGGCCACCATGCCTGGCTAATTAAAAATATATGTATTTTTAAACTGTATAGAGGCTGGTGCCTGGAAAGTTGTATTAGCGAGAAATAATGTGTGATTGTGATAAACTACTAAGATTTAGAAGTTGCTTGTTGCTGAAGCCTAGCCTAGCCAGACTGTACACTTCTTTTTTATTTTTTAGCAACAGGGTCCCACCCTGTCACTCAGGCTGGAGTGCAATGGCATGATCATGGCTCACTGCGGCCTCGAGCTCTTGGGCTCAAGCCATCCTCTCACCTCAGTCTCCCAAGTATCTGGGACTACAGGCATGTGCCACCATGCCTGGCCTTTTTTTTTTTTTTTTTTTTTTTTTTTTTTTTTTTTTTTACTTTTTGTAGAGATGGGGTCTTGCTATGTTGCCCTGGTCTCGAACTGCTGAGCTCAAGCTCAATCTTCCTGCCTTGGCTTCCCAAAGTGCTGGGATTACAGGTGTGGGCCACCATGCCTGGTCTAGACTTCTTATGTGAACAAAGCGTTTGTTTAGAAATCTGTGATGGTTTTATTTATTTTGAGACAGAGTTTCACTCTGTCACCCAGGCTGCAGTGCAGTGGCACGATCTTGGCTCACTGCAACCTCCGTCTCCTAGGTTCAAGCGATTTTCCTGTCAGTGTCCCATGTAGCTGGGACTACAGGTATGCGCTACCACACCCAGCTAATTTTTTTTTTTTTTGAGATGGACTTTTGCTCTTGTTGCCCAGGCTGGAGTGTAGTGGTGCAATCTCAGCTCACTGCAACCTCTGCCTCCCAGGTTCAAGCAATTCTCCTGCCTCAGCATCCTGAGTAGCTGGGACTACAGGTAGGCGCCACCATACCTAGCTAATTTTTATATTTTTAGTAGAGATGGGGTTTCACCATGTTGGCCAGGCTGGTCTCGAACTCCTGACCTCAAGTGATCCACCCGCCTCAGCCTCCCAAAGTGCTGGAATTATAGGCGTGAGCCTCCACACCTGGCAGAAATCTGTGATGGTTTTACACGGCTTCGTGTTAAATAGAATTTCCCCAGATGCTGACTGCCCTCCAATAAAGATGCCTCCAGGATGCAGCAAGTGCCTAACCAGGTGAGCCCTGCCATACCTATGACAACGTTCCTTCTGGGAGTAAAGCTGGCCAGCAGCAACCCAGAGGAGACAAGCAGGAGCCAGCTGCTGGTGGGAAAAAGGAAAAAGGTCTTGAGAGGCTGTGCCCAAGGGATAATACCTTTATGAGGTCACGGTCTGGCCCTTGGATTTACTGGGTTGGAAACTCCATCTTGACAGCGACCTGTAAGTGAACAAAAGTGGAGAGGCTGACTCATGCTTTCACATAGAAATGAAAGATAATGGCTAATGTTTACTGAGCACTGGCCATGTCACCAGCATGTGCCAAATCCATTCGTTTATTCATTTACTCTATAACTATTCACCGAGTTTCCTGTTTATGCCAGCCACTAGGGAAACAGCAGCAAAGGAAACAACACAGCCCCTGTCTTCAGGATGCGCACGTTCTGGTGGGGGAAGAGACACTAACAAACAAATGAGCAAGGAACCGCTGAACAGGTCAGATGGAGAAAGGGCTATGGAGGACAATAAAGTACCATAGAAGAAAACAGGATGCCACAGAGGTTGGTGGGTCACTATTCACACAGGGTGGCCAAGGAGGGCCTCGCCCAGAGGGAGGCATCTGAGCAGAGACCCAAAGGAAACCAGGGAGCGAGCTGTCAATATCTGGGAAGGAGTCCTCAGGCAGACAACTTTCTATGCATTATCCTGTTTAGTCTATACAACAGCCCAGGACGCAGGTTCCAGAATTATCACCACTTCATAGGAGAGTGTGGCATTTGTATTTTCCAAAGCAGGTCACATGACTATTTCTGGTCCTGTGTGCTCTTTGGAACCTTGTAACCCCTCCTCCCAGGAGTCAGGGTCTCTGTTCCTCCCCCTTTGGATCTCGGCAGAGCTGTGACTGCTCCTACCAATAGAGGACCGGCAGCAGTAAGGCCATGAGACTTCCCAGGCTGGGTCATAAAAAACAACTTGCACCTGGCTGGCTCGCTCAGGATGCTCACCCATGGAAGCCAGTTTCCACGGCATGAGGCAGCCTAAAGTAGCCCAGGCAGAGAAACCACATGGAGAGGCTCAGGTGGAGAGGAACTGAGGCCCCTGGCCAACAGCCACCATCAGCTGCTGGGTGAGTGGGCAAGTCCTCAGACCACTTAAACCCCAGCCTTCAAGTCTTCCTGCTAAGGCACAGGCACTGGGGAGCAGAAACAGGCCACCTCACTGTGCTCACTCTGAATTCCTGGCCCATAGGATCCATGGGCACAAGAAATGGTGGTTCTACACCAGTGAATTGTGGGACGATTTGTTCTCTAGACATAGTAACCGGGACAGGGAGTCCCTGCTGCACAGAGAGGTCAAGTCACTCACTTAAGACGGTTCTCATTTCATGACAGTTCAGTATGTGCAGACCACTGTGCTAAGTTCTCGGCAGGTATTATCTACAGAACCTTCCCAATCACCCTTTTCAAGGTAAGAATGATTTCCCCTTTGGGGAGATGAGAAGCAGAGGCTCAGAGAGCAAATGACTTGCCCAGGGCCACAAACCTCTTAAGCGGCGAGCCAGACACATGATTTTGTTTAATCTTTCCCTCCACTCTATGAGGTAGGGATGATTATCCCATCTTTGAAACCTACAAAATGATGCTCAAAGGGTGACAATTCTCCTTCCCCCAGACCTGACTCCACTCACCTAGAAAACAGTGGGGACGCAGCTGAAATCCAGAACCCAAAAGCCCATGTTCTTCACCTGGTGCCAATTTATACAACGAAAACGCAAAACCGGACTGGGTTCTTGGGGCAGCAGGTCAGAACATTCTTGTAGATTTAAATCTGGAAGCTGATGTTGGGTGTGGAACCACGGCAAGAGAGTCTTTTAACCATGTGCCACCCCCGGTTCTGACACCGTCACCAGCCTGGTCTAGGCCACCATCTCTCCCTTGTGCTACTGCAGCAGCCTCCTAACTAGACTTTCGGCTTCTACGCTTGTCCCTACAATCTATTTTCAACCCAGTAGCTTGACGGATCCACTTAAAATCTAAGTCAGACCCTGTCTGTGTCCCTGCCCTGGCCCATATGGTGGGTCGGACACGGTGGCTCACGCCTGTGATCCCAGCACTTTGGGAGGCCGAGGTGGGCGGATCACGTGAGGTTAGGAGTTCCAGACCAGCCTGGACAACATGGTGAAACCCCGTCTCTACTAAAAAAGTACAAAAAAAAAAATCAGCCGGGCGTGGTGGTGGGCACCCGTAATCCCAGCTACTTGGGAGGCTGAGGCGCAAGAGTCGCTTGAACCTGGGAGGCAGAGGTTGCAATGAGCCAAGATTGCACCGCTGCACTCCAGCCTGGGCAACAGAGCAAGACTCAGTCTCATAAATAAACAAATAAATAAATAAAATGTAAGTCAGACCCTGTCCCTCCTCTACTCAAAACCGTATGGTGGATTTCATTTTAGACAGAATAAATGCTGAAATTCCTACCATGGCCCAGGAGCCCCCTGTATGATCTGCCACTTCCCTGTTCCCTCTCTGACCTCTCCCACCTCTCCCCTTGCTCACGCTGAGTCAGCCACAACAGCTTCGGTGCTTTTCCCCAATCGTGACAAGAACGTTTCTTCCCCAAGACCTTTGCACCTGCTCTCCCATCTGCCTGGAACGCTGTCCCCCTAAGAGTGCACACAGTTAACTTCCTCATCACATTCTTTAGCTCTCTGTTCAAATGTCACCTTCTCAGAGACCTTCTTGGACACGATTTTACTGTGTTTTTTCTTTTCTTTTTTTTGAGATGGAGTTTGGCTCTTTTCGCCCAGGCTGGAGTGCAATGGCACGATCTCGGCTTACTGCAAACTCTGCCTCCCGAGTTCAAGTGATTCTCCTGCCTCAGCCTCCCATGTAGTTGGGATTACAGATGCGTGTCACCACGCCTGGCTAATTTTATATTTTTAGTAGAGATGGGGTTTCACCATGTTGGCCAGGCTGGTCTTAAACTCCTGACCTCAGGTGATCCCCCTCAGCCTCCCAAAGTCCTGGGATTACAGGCTCGAGCCACCGTGCCTGGCCCTGGACACCATTTTACTAATAGCATGTTTTATCCTCCTTACCTTGCTTTATTTTTCTTCACAGTGCTTGTCACTACCTGACATACTCTGACTTACTAGAATGTAAGCTTCATGATGGCGGGGACTTTTCCCTGCCTTGTTTGCCACAGTGTGCCCAGAGCCTCAAACAGGCCTGGCACAGAGCAAATGCTGGGTCTACGTCTGCTGAGTGAATAAATCATTGTCTCCTTTGCAAAAGAAAATGTGCCAAGAAGGTGGGTGGGGGGGGTCCCCAGCTGTGTCAGTACACATTCATCTCTCAGGCAAATCTAGACATCCAGCCAGAGACTCAAAGCTCAGGGCCGGAATTATCTAGCTGGATGGTCCCTAAAAAAGACGTGCCACTTAGAAGCAGATCAGTACAGGGGTTAAGAGGATAAACTTGGGAAATAATCTGCCTGGGTTTGGATCTTGCTTCTGCCATGTATTGCATGATGGACAGAGTTTTGCTATGTCACCCAGGTTGGAGAGCAGTGGCACGACCTCAGCTCACTTGCAACCTCCGCTTCCTGGGTTCAAGCGATTCTCCCTGCCTCAACCTCCCGAGTAGCTGGGATTACAGGCGCATGCCACCATGCCCGGCTAATTTTTTTATTTTTAGTAGAGATGGGGTTTCACCATGTTGGCCAGGCTGGTCTCGAACTCCTGAACCCAGGTGATCCGCCCACCTCGGTCTCCTAAAGTGCTGGGACTACAGGCGGGAGCCACCGTGCCCAGCCAAATTTTTTGGATTTTAGAACCTATTACATATTACAACACCGGCGAGATCCAGGGGCAACTCTCCATAAGTATATGATTTGCACAACAAAATCTTTAAAAATTCTAAATAGTCACACATCAGTTCAGAGTGGGTATTGCCAGCAAACAAGTTCAAAGCCAGGTGAGGTTGGCCTGCCAAGTAAGTTGCAAAACAGAGAAAAAGACCTTTCAGTTTTCAGAACGTTTTGGATTTTAAAGTTATAGATAAGGGACTGCAGACCTGTAAATATTCTTTAACATTTCTTTTTTAGTGTCTGGCATCCCCAACCACCCTGAGAATGTGAATTAGCTGGGCAGGATTTTTGTTTTAGACACTGCTATAATAACCTGGGCTTGAACAGTGCCTATTAGACTAGCACCGTTCAAACCCAGGTTATAGTAGTGTAATATCGGTTGCACGGAGCCTTCCATATAGTAAACGCTCAATAAAATTGGATGTGCTGAAGTCACCTATGCAATGGCCAGGTCAGGACTTGAAACCCTAAGACTCCAACCCTCAGGCCAGTCTTTATCTTAATTTATTTGACTTATTCAACAAATGTTTAGGGAACAGCTGCTATGCGTCAACTACTGTATAGTGTTCCTCCTAGAAAGTTCAGGAAACAGCACAGCAAAAAGGCTAAAAGTCAGACCCCACCTCAGCGCAGGTGGGGCGATTGCCTAGGCGACGACAGAGCCTCCCTTCGGCCGCACCTCCATAGAAACCACGGGATGACTTAGACGCCAAGTTTCACAGCGGAGGAGCTGTCGAACTTCCCACAAGTTCCGCCCATCTCCGCCTTAGCCATGCCCAACACGGAGCCCAAGGTGGCTTGGGAAGCTCAAGAGGAGGCCAGTGAACCCCGCGACCCGGAGCCGCTCTCATTCCGAACCCCGACAGCAGGGGCCTCCGCCTCCCACAAACGGTCGTGCTGACGTCACGGACGCCCCGGCCGAGCTGCGGCTAGGGGGTCGGGGGACGTCCCCTCGTTCGCCTCGCTTCCCCTCACCTCTGTACTTGGGGACTGGGGTGGGATTCTGGGCTTCTGCAGCCTGACCCTCGGATCCTCCGCAGTTACCCGGACTCACCTTCTCAGTTGCCCAGCGAAAACTTCCGCTGGGCGGAGAGCGCTGCGCGCGCATCCTGAATCTGAGGCGCCCGCGCAGGCGCCGCTGACTTCCTGACGGCCCCTGGGCTTCGCCTGCCTGGGAACTCCGTTTCCCAGATGCCTCCGCGGCAGGCCCGCCCTCTGATTCCAGACGGAATGGGGATTATTCCCTCATTGCTCATCCCCCTCCCCTCCGTTCTAGCCGCTTTGGAACGCCTTCTGGTTCTACTGCGCATGTGTCAGTGTCAGACCAATCGGAATGCACCGTGAGGTACCTCTCCACCAATCAGAGGTCACATTACCTAAACTTCTGCCTCAACTCCGCCCCTTACTTCCGCTTGTTTTCTCAGAAACCCGTCACAACGCGTTTCCATGGCAACCTACCGCTTGCTCTTCGGAAAAGGTTAACACTCCCTGACTTCTAGTAAAGGCAAGAAGCTAATTAGATGATTCTTTAACAAGGTAAAAATCTGGACTACAAACTGATGCCGCCTGGTCCTGATTCTCTTTCTACTCTACTCCCACAGTGCTAAGGCTGAAGAAGCAGGAGGAGATGGGAAGGCGAAAGAAGTCGCCCGCACAGCCCTCTGGGAAATAGAGTCCTGGCGCTGCCGCGGAGGATCCTGGGTGCAGCCGCTCAGAGAAGCTTCTCGCGCACAGGAAGTCGCTGCGAGGAGGCGCGTGTGCGGGGAGTTGAATCTCCCGCTCCCTTGAGGCTGGGGTTGCGTCTGTTGACGCGGCCGACTACAATCCCGAGGTACGGAGACGCTGGGGCTGAGGGACTTGCGGGCTCGGTCCTTCCTGAGAGGTGACGGAATGCAAGTGGGGGCGACTTCGGCAAAGGGTGCGTCGCCTTGGGCGGCGGTTGTCAGGGTGAAGGTGTGAACCGTCTTTCACAGTCTGTTATGAAAACCGCTCAAGGTCTGGGCACGGTAGATCACGCCTGTAATCCCAGCACTTTGGGAAGCCTTGGCGGGGGGGATCACTTACAGCCAGGAGTTCCTCGAACCCCCAGTCTCTACTAAAAATACAAAAATTAGTTGAGCGTGGTGGCGGGGGCCTGTAATCCCAGCTACTCAGGAGGCTGAGGCAGGAGAATCGCTTGAACCCAGGAGCTGGAGGTTGCAGTGAGCCGAGATCGCGCCATTGCACTCCAGCCTGGGTGACAGAGCGAGACTACATCTTAAAAAAAAAAAAAAAAAAAGAAAGGAAGAAAACCACCTTGGGAGGCTGAGGTGGGCGGATCGCTTGAGCCCAGGATTTCGAGGCTAGCCTGGGCCAGATGGTGAAGCCCTGTCTCCACAAAAGAAGAAAAAAATAGAAAAATTAGCCGGGCGTGGTGGTGCGCCCCTGTATTCCTAGCTAATTGGGAGGCCGAGGTGGGAGGATTGCTTGAACCCAGGAGGCAGAGGTTGCAGTGAGCTGAGAAAGAAAAGAAAAGAAAAGAAAACTGCTAAAGGGGTTTCCAGGCCTCCCTGATGGCCCTGAGAGGAGTGGTTCTGTTTTATTTTGGTTTTGGTTGGGGAAGGAGGGGAATGAGTTACCTGAAGTTGGCAAATTTAGGCAGAATCTTGCTGGACGATGGATGGGAGTTCTTCGGGAAGTTGAAGTACTTAACATTTACAGTATTTGAGTGCTTTCTGTGTGCCAGGCGCCCTGCTGGAGTTGCATTTCCTCTTCTGATCCCCGCAGCAGCACTGAGACATAAGTGCAGGTCCCCTTGGCACCAAGGCAATCTCGGGAATCAGAATTTTTCAGATTTTAGAAAGCTAATAGGGTGCATATTTTATAATTAGGCAGCACCCCCCCACACCCCGAGGAATCTGGGCCAGTTTTTGGTCATAAAATGTTTCTGTGGGGCAAGGTGTGAATATTCACACTTATGAGAACATTAAGACCCTACATGGCCTGTGGCAATCCAGGTGAAGTTTTGCGGTCAGTTTATAAATCAAGTTCTGGTTTTTGGAGCATTTAAAGGACCATAGATCTGTTGTATTTGTTCCATTTGGTACATGTGGAAACTAAGGCTTAGAGAAGGTAAATGGTCTGGAAGGAAGGGCAAGACTCTTGGGCCCAAGGTCTCTCAGCCTGATAATTGTTTGGCTTAAGTCACTCTGGGCTGGATGACCTTGGGCTCCACCTCTGGGCCCTCGTTTCTTTCCTCCCAGAGCTGAGAGTATATGAGATGTGGGCAGAATGTGATTTGGTAACTGCAGACAGGGATCTCAAGCTCAGCTGTCTGTGAGGGCCAGGCAGATGACATACAGGAAAGAAGAGAACTGGTCCAGGTGAGGCTGCGGGGCCTTGGGGAGCACTTGCCTCATCTGAAGGGGAGAATTGTGTTTTTTTTTTGATGACAGAGTCTCGCTCTGTCACCCAGGCTGGAGTTCGGTCTCACTGGAACCTCCACCTCCCCGGTTGAAGCGATTCTCCTGCCTCAGCCTCCCAAGCAGCTGGAATTACAGGCGTGCACCACCATGCCTGGCTAATTTCTGTATTTTTGGTAGATACGGGGGTTTCACCATGTTGATCAGGCTGGTCTTGGACTCCAAACTTCAGGTGATCCGCCTGCCTTGGCCTCCCAAAGTGCTGGGATGGCAGGCATGAGCCACTGCACCCAGCCGCTTTTTAAACTTAAATTTAATTTTTTTGGCCGGGTGTGGTGGCTCATGCCTGTAATCCCAGCACTTTGGAAGGCCGAGGTGGGTGGATCACGAGGTCAGGAGATCGAGACCATCCTGGCTAACACGGTGAAACTCCGTCTCTACTAAAAATACAAAAAATTCTCCGGGCGTGGTGGCAGGCGCTTGTAGTCCCAGCTACTCAGGAGGCTGAGGCAGGAGAATGGCATGAGCCCGGGAGGCAGAGCTTGCAGCGAGCTGAGATCGCGCCACTGCACTCCAGCCTGGGCGACAGAACGAGACTCCGTCTCAAAAAAAAAAAAAAAAACAAATTTAATTTTTTTTTGGAGGCAGGATCTTTCTCTGTCATTCAGGCTGGAGTACAGTGACACAATCATAGCTCACTGCAGCCTTGAACTCCTGGGCTCAAGTGATCCTCCTACCTCAGCCTCCCAAGCGATCCTCCTACCTCAGTCTCCCAAGTAGTTGGGACTACAGGCACGTGCCACCACAACTTGCTCATTTTTAATTTTTTTTTTTTAGAAACAAGGTCTTGTTACGTTGCCCAGGCTGGTCTCGAACACCTTTCAGCCTCCCAAAGTGCTGGGATTATAAGCATCCCCCACTTGCCTAGCACTGGTGGGGGAGCTTTAAATGGGCACCAGTGAACTAACTTCGTGGGATGTAGACCCAATGTTGCCAAATCCTAGGATGTTTCAGAAGTTGGAAACATAATTTTTAGGTGAAATTTCCCAATTTTCAAGTTTGAGACTAGTGAGCCATGCTTGAATTTTCTTTCAAAACATTCTGTCTGCCAACAAACATTATGGGCCAAATATCTGTCAACTGAGTTATACTCGTAGGTTGAGGCTTAACCTCTGACATGTAGAAAAACTCATTGTTCAGTAGAATTAGCATTTATTGTAGGTCTACCATATTCCCATATTTGTAGTCTCAAAAATCTGGACAACTCAGAACAACAAATTTTTTTTCATAAATTTAGTGTCCGTGCCTTACCTGAACTACTACAGGGTATTTTTTAAATATAACTTTAAATTATTCTACCTAGAATGAACGATGATACTTTTCTCTAGGGTAAAGTGTTCAATTATGAAATGCAGCCTGATCCACACTGCGCTGGGACTTTGTTTTGTTTTGTTTTTGTTTTTGTTTTTGAGACGGAGTCTCGCTCTGTCGCCCAGGCTGGAGTGCATGGCGCCATCTCGGCTCACTGCAAGCTCCACCTCCCGGGTTCACACCATTCTCTCGCCTCAGCCTCCTGAGTAACTGGGACTACAGGCGCCCACCACCATGCCTGGCTAATTTTGTTATTGTATTTTTAGTAGAGACGGGGTTTCACCGCGTTAGCCAGGATGGTCTGGATCTCCTGACCTCGTGATCCGCCTGCCTTGGCCTCCCAAAGTGCTGGGATTACAGGCATGAGCCACTGCGGCCAGCCCTGCACTGGGATTTTAATGAAATATGCCATGTATATGCCATATCACCTTTTGAAAATAAAAGTTGAATTTCAAAGCACATCTGGCCTTGGAGTTTGAAGAATTTGTGGACCTGTGTCATTGTTAAGTGATCCGTGCTGCTTTGTGATATGAAATGCTTTCAGCACTCCGCAGATATGTGCTACTTGGTCCACGCAGTGGATACAAATGGGTAAAAATGTCTGTGGTACAGTTTTGCGTATTATGGGTCATGAAAATAACTAGGTGGGCAGTGACTATGATTTTTTAATGAAGTAGAATAAAAGAGACTAGAATAGAAAACATCCCAGTGCATCTTACATTGCAGGGTAAGTATTGCTTCATGAAGCTTTTGTTTAGTTACACTGTGTGTTTGAGTAGTCATGATACTTTTTTTTTTTCTTTTTTGAGATGGAGTCTCACTGTGTTGCCCAGGCTGGAGTGCGGTGGCACCATCTCGGTTCACTGCAGCCTCTGCCTCCCGGGTTCAAGTGATTCTTTGCCTCAGCCTTCCGAGTAGCTGGGATCACAGGCACGTCCCACCAAGCCCAGCTAATTTTTGTATTCTTAGTACAGACGGGGTTTCAGCATATTGGCCAGGCTGGTCTTGAACTCCTGACCTCAAGTAATCTGCCCACCTCGGCCTCCCAAAGTACTGAGATTACAGGCGTGAGCTACTGTGCCTGGCCTATTCTACATATTGGTGGTGTTACTGTGGGTCACGGTTAAAACAAAAGTTGAAATATTTCTGTTGTAGAGATAGTGGCCAGGTGCGGTGGCTCACAACTGTAATCCCAGCACTTTGGGTGGCCCACGAGGGCGGCTTACTTGAGGTCAGGAGTTTGAGAACAACTTGGGCAACAAGTGAGATCCTGTCCCTACAAAAAGTGAAAAAGATTAGCTGGATGTGGTGGCACATGCTTGTAGTCCCAGCTGCTTGAGAGGCTGAGGTTGGAGGATTGCTTAAGCCCAGGAAATTACAGCTGCAGTGGCCCATGATTGTGCCACTGTAGTACTCCAGCCTGGCAACAGAGCAAGACCGTGTCTCCAAAAAAGAGTAACAGTTTCGGAGGCCAATTTACCTGAACTCAAATTCCAGAGATGATAATCAGAAATCCCAGAAGCATTGTTCCATTGGTTCTTTAGACACCTTCGTTCTGTCAACAACTGTAGGTACTTTTACACCTACTGTTAAAGCACCTACTGCGTACTAGGCACCATGCTGGTGCTAAGACACAGCAGTGAGCAAGACAGAAGCTCCCACTGTGGCCATAGACTTTCATCACCAAATCTCCTAAACATGTGCTGACTGACTGTTAGGTGCTAACCCACCATTGTTGGTGGCGAAGCTGTTCTGTAGGTTCTGAAGCACAGTGCAAATGTGGGGCTGAGGTGGCTTCAGTAAATATAGTTGTTGTTGTCCCCTGCAGGGAGACTCACATTGGGACTTGTCCTCCTCCTCCTGGACATTTTGGGGGCTCGTCAGCATGGACAGCGAGTCAGCCATGGGTGGAAGGGAGGCTTTCTCACAGCTCCCTTGTGCTTCCCACAGCCCTGCCAGCCGGGAACACGGAGGGGAAGGAGGAGGAGCTTAAAAGAGGCTACTGAACCCCAGTTGGCCATGGCTGAGGTGAGTTGAAGGTCGCTCTGTCCTAATCGGTCACACCCAAAGGCAGAAAAATTGGCCTTCCTTTGTGGCCGAGGCGAGTTGAAGGTCGCTCTGTGTTGATTGGTCACCCCCATGGCAGGAAAGCTGGCCTTCCTTTGTTTTGGCCTCCCTGTCCCATGGTGGCTCCCAGGCGATCTTTTTTAAAGGAAAGCTCGCATGCTGTTCTTTCCTGTTTGTACTCTTCTGGGAACCCCTATTGCTTATAGAATAAATTCCAGGTTTTTCAGCCTTCCTGTGTGTTCTGGCTTCTACCCTCTTTGCACCATCTTCTGTCATTTCTCTAGATAACAAATACTCCCTTTGGCCTAGTAGTAAAAGTTGATTCTGTACTTTCCAGCAGCTTCCTTTGCTCAGGTTGGGCCCTCTGCTGGAATTCCCTGCCCCTTTTCCATGTGGTAGTGTCTCACACAGCCTTTAAGACCCGGCTCAGTTCCCCCACCCTTCCCTAGGCAGTCAGCACTTTCCTGCTCTAGCCTTCCATAGTACCCCCTGCTGCCTCCACTGTAGCACAGATCCACCTAGATATGGATGTTCCTGCCCATATCTGTCAGCCCCACCAGACTAGATGCTCCTTGGGGACAGGAACTGATGGGGATTCATCTCTGGGTCCCCAGGGCCCAGCACAGGCCAGGAACACAGGAAGCCTCATGAGGTGTTAGTTGAATGAATGAATGAATCAATGAATGATGCATGAAACCATCTCTCTATCTGGTAAATATCTGTTCATCCTTAGTGATCCAACTTGAATGACCTTCCCTCCAGGAAGCTTTCCCTGACCTCAAGGCAATGGCCTCCCTCTCCCCCTTGGCCCACACAGTCCCCGATACCTCCCTTTGCCACAGTCCTACCTCCCTCGTGTCTCTCCGTCAGACCATGAGCTCCATGAGGCCAGGAAACAGGTCTGACACACGTCCATGTCCCCAGTGCCCACAATGTGGTCTAGCACACAGGGTAAATGATTGCCAAATATGTGCTCTGACCTTGTCACTTTCCTGTGGCTCCCCAGTGCCTCAAGGATCTAGTCTGCCCCGTCTTCCCACCTCCTTCATCACTGTGACAGGGGCCTTGTCCAGCGCAGTCTGGGAGTGTGAGGAAAGGAAGCCCCTCAAAGGTCCTCTTTGATCTGGCTCCTGCTTGGCTGCTACTCTTGACAGGATATAGACAGCAACAGTTTCTGTTATAAGTACCAGAAATTGACTTACGCAGTCAGGAGACTATTAATTATATAACCAAAAGTCCAGAGGTAGGGCTGTCATGATCTGCAGGTGTGACTGGGACTCAGTTTATTGTCCCCATCTTGAACCTCACTTAGTATGGGTTCCATCCTTCATGAGCTCCTTCCCTTGTCCCAAAACAGCTATCAGGACCATGTGCTGCTTTGCCTCATTCAACAAGTATTTACTCTGTGCCTGTCATGAGTGGGCTTTGTTGTAAGTCTGGACTAGGGAAACGGTTTAGGTGGTTCCTGCCCTCATGAAGCTTACTTTATTGCGGGTGACAGTGTATGAGCTTGCTAGGGCTGCTGTAACAAAGTACCACACACTGGGTGGCTGAAAACAACAGAAATTGGTGGTCTCCCAGTCTTGGAGGCCAGAAGTCTAAGATCAGGGTGTTGGCAGGGCTGGATCCTTCTGAGGCTGTGAGCCAGGCCTCTCCCCTGTGTTCTGGCAGATGGTGGCCAGCTTTGGTGTTCCTCGGCCTGGAGAGGCATCACCTCAATCTCTGCCTTCATCTTCACAGGATGTCCTCCCTGTATCTTCACATTGTCTTCCCTCAGCCTGTGTTTGTCTTTGTGTCCCCATTTCTCCTTTTTATAACAACTTCAGTCGTTTTGGATTAGGACCCACCCTGATGACCTCATCTCAGCTTGATCACCTCTGTAAAGACCCCATTTCCAAATAAGGGCAAATTCTGAGGTACTGGGGGTTAGAACTTCATTGTATCTTTTTAGAGGGTTACAGTTCAACCCATACCACACAGTAAAATGCATTAAGTAAATCCCATAGAATGCAGGCAGTATTAAGGATTATGGAGGAAAGGGATAGGGAGGCCCAGGGTAGATTTGCTGTTTTATACAGAGGGGTGGGAGAAGGCTTCATGGAGAAGAGGCATTTCAGCAGAGAACTGAGGGACACAATCTTGGCTCTAAGATGGGGTCTGGCAGGTGTGTTCAGGGAGCTGCAAGGAAGCTGGTGTGGCTGGAGCAGAGTGGATGAGCAGGAAAGGGGGAGAAGGTGAGCCCTGAGTGGCAGCTGGGGCCAGATCTTTAGGGCCCTGGAGATCATTGTATGGTCTCTGTCTTTAAATATGGTGAATCCGGAGGCCGTTGGAGGGTTTGGAGCAGAGGAGGGACAGGATTTGTTGTAAGCGGAAACAGGATCCCCCTTGCTCGTCCACCCAATTCCTGCTTAGCATCACCACTGGGACGACTGTTTCAGGGTCTTACTGCTGCTGTAACAAATAATACAAACTTGTGGGCTTAAAAACAACACAAATTTATTCTTTTACAGTTCTTCAGGTCTGAATCCCAAAATGATCTCACGGGGCTCAAACCAAGGTGTCAGCAGGGTGCGTTCCTTCTGGAGGCCCTAGGGAAGAATTCAGTCCTTGCCTCTCCCAGCTTCTGGAGGCTGCCTATATTCATTGGCTCCTGGCCGCATCACTCTAATCTCTGCTTCTGTCATGGCATCACCTCTTTTCTCCTGTGATTCCTTGTCTCCCTCTTATTAGGATCCTTGTGATGACATTTAGGACCAACCCAGATAATCTAGGATAATCTCCCCATTTCCAGATTCTTAATCACAGCTGCAAAGTCCCTTTCGCCATGTAAGATAATATTCATGGGTTCTGGGAATTAAGACAGGGACATCTTTGTGTGGGGTGGCGGCATTATTCGGCCATGACAATCTACAGGATATCTCAAACTTTACATGTCCCAAACCAAACTCAGACTCTGTCCTGAAAGCTGCTTCTCCTATGTCTCAGTAAGTGGCAACTTTGTCCTTCCAGCTGTTCAGGCTAAAAACGTAGAGCCATCCCAGGGTCTTCTGTCTTTCACACCCTCCATGTTATTCGTCAGGAAACCTTGTCAGCACCGTTATCTGAATATCTGGAATCTCACCACTTCTCACCCCCTCCATTGCTGCCACCATTTCTCACCTGGATTATCAAACTGGCCTTTTTCCTTTGACTCCCTGCTTCTGCCCTTCTCACCTTCTGTCTTTTCCCACGAAGCAGCAAGAGGAGGATGCTGTTTAGTATATGCCTAATTTAAAAAAGTTTTTTTATTGTAAAATCACAGGTGCAGAAATGCACACACATCAAATGCATGACCTAATGAAGGCGAACGCCACCTAGATCAAGAGTGAGAATTTTTTTTGCCATCCACCCCAGAAGTCCTTCGTGGGCTCTGTCATAGCCCTCTCGCATCCCCAATAAGTAACCTGATTTTTATGATTACCACTTGCTTTATTACTCAAATGCACAATCCCTTGCCCCTTCTTGTTTTTTAATGTCTTCTGTGTCTCTTAATCTTTGGGTTCCTCCTCCATCCCCTTCTGTTCTCAGCTGTTAGTTAGAGAACAGTTATTCGGTCCTTTGAGGAACTGGCATGGTTCGACCTGTAGAATTCCTCAGTCTGTTTTCTCTGGTTCCATCCTTGTGGTGCAGTTGAGTTTATTCCCAGTTGGCAGCTAGGTCCAGAGGCTTGATTAGACTCATGGTCAATCCTTTTACCAAGAATCTCTTGTGCCCCCTGTTTGTGGTCCTGGCAGATAGTGATGCTTTCTGCCTTATCACCTGTTCATTCATCAGGGCTTGCAAAATGGCGCTATCATTTCTTTTCATGTATTAGTTGGAACACTTTACAAGACATCCTTTGGCTGGGCATGGTGGCTCATGCCTGTAATCCCAGAACTTTGGAAGGCTGAGGTGGGCAAATTGCTTGAGCTCAGGAGTTCAAGATCAGCCTGGGCAACGTGGTGAAACCCCATCTCTACAAAAAATTTAAAAATTAGCCAGGTGTGGTGGTGTGCACCTGTAGTCCCAGCTACTCAGGAGGCTGAGGTGAGAGTATCACAGGAGCCCAAGAAGGTTGAGGCTACAGTGAGCTGTGATAGCACCACTGCACTCCAGCCTGGGTGACAGTGAGACCCTATCTCAAAAAAAAAAAAATTTATCTACTATTTGTCTAGTCGACGGTAGAGTTCATATAGGACAGGTAGGGTAAATGCTTGACTCTCCTTTTATTTGCTAGTTTTCACTATAAGGAATTGGTTTCCTTCTGTCATGTCATCCTTCAGAGGTGACCAGTTCTTTCATACGTGTGTGTGTGTGTGTGTGTGTGTGTGTGTGTGTGTGTTTGGCTGTTCTTAAGAGTTTTACAAAGCATTTTCATTGTAATTCAATGTAACACACCCAGGTTAAATCTCATAAGGACAGGAACTGGCTGCCCCCTTTTTTCCTGTACCTAGCACAGGGGCTGGCTCGTAGTAGGTGCTTGGTCATCATTGGACAGATAAGTAGACAACAAGCACCACTTATTTAGCAGCTTCTTAGTGAGTTGGGTCTCTGCTGAGCCCTGTGTAGGCATCAGCTCACTTCATCCTATAGCAGCCTTATTTTAGAGAAGAGGCAGGCTGAGCATTAGAGAGGTGGACTAACAAGGTCCCACAGTTAATAGATAGTAGAACTAGAATTTGAACTGGGACCTGTCTGACTCTAAAGCTGAGCCTCTAACAGGTCAGCCTCCTGGGGATTGTGTAGCAGATGGGAGCTCGTGCCACCCCACCACCTACTCACCGTGTGCTGTGGTTGGAATGTTTGTCCCCTTTGAAACTCTTTTTTTTTTGAGAGGGAGACTCTGTTTTCTAGGCTGGAGTGCAGTGGTGTGATCTTGGCTTGTGGAACCTCCATCTCCTGGGCTCAAGTGATCCTCCTACCTCAGCCTCCCGAGTAGCTGGGACTACAGGTGTGCACTACCACGCCCAGCTAATCTTTTTGTGTTTTTGGTAGAGATGGGGGTTTTACCATGTTGCCCAGGCTCATCTCAAACTCCTGAGCTCAAGCAGTCTGCCCGCCTCAGCCTCTCAAAGTGCTGGAATTACAGGCATGAGCCACCATGCCCCACCAATCGAAACTCCTTGAAATTTAATCCCTAATGTAGCTGTATTAAGAGGTGGGGCCTTTTTTTTTTTTTTTTTGAGATGGAGTCTCACTCTGTCACCCAGGCTGGAGTGCAGTGGCGCAATCCTGGCTCACTGCAAGCTCTGCTTCCCAGGTTCATGCCATTCTCCTGCCTCAGCCTCCCGAGTAGCTGGGACTACAGGTGCCCGCCACCATGCCCAGCTAATTTTTTTTTTTTTTTTTGCATTTTTAGTAGAGGCGGGGTTTCACTGTGTTAGCCAGGATGGTGTCGATCTCCTGACCTCATGATCCGCCTGCCTTGGCCTCCCAAAGTGCTGGGATTACAGGTTTGAGCCACTGCGCCCGGCCAAGGTGGGGCCTTTAAGAGATGATTAGGTCATGAAGGCTCTGCCTGTGTGAGTGAATTCATTTATTCATGGAATAATGGGTTATCATGAGAGTGGGTCTGTTGTAAAAGCCAGCTTGACATTGCTTCAGTTCCCTCACCATGTTATGCGTTGTGCCATTTTAGGGCTCTGTAGAGTCTCCACCAGCAGGACGACCCTCACCAGAGGCAGTCTGTTGGCCTTGGACTTCCCAGCCTCGAGAACTATAGGAAACAAATTTCTTTTCTTTATAAATTACCCAGTTATAGCAACAGAAGATGGACTAATACACTGTGTAACTTGGAGAAAGTGACTATTTGGGCCTTGATTTTGTTTTCTATAAGTTGGGGATAATCCTGCCTCAAAGAGGAGTCAGGCAGTTCAGTGACTCACTGCACCTAAAGCATTGAACCATTGCCGGCATGCAGAAAGCTGTTGGCCAAAGAAGGGCTTTTGCAGTCAGATGCCTGGAGGGTTGGGATGGGCAGTGTAAGCCAGAGTGGAATTGCCCCTTTGTCGAGCTCTTCCTGTGTGCTAAGTACTATGCAGTCACCTCCCAGCAGTATTTCAGTTGCTTCTTGTAGCAGCCCTGATGAGATGGGACTCGTTGGTCCCATTTCACTAGGGGAGCAGGAATTGGGGTCACAAGAGACATGCAGCTTACTTGCCAATAGTCACTCATAAAGGGAAGGTAATAGGGCCATACCTCAGACCCAAACTAAAGAGAGGTGGTTTTCATTCTTTCTTAAAATGTGCCTGTGCCCACACTGATGGAGATTTGGAAGAGACACATCAGTCATGGTTTCACCTAGAGATGGGGTGTGTGGGGGCAGGCTTTCACGTTTTAATGTTGGTACTTCTCAAGTATTTGAATTTTTATCCTAAACATCCATTAACTGTCCAGGTACAGTGGCTCATGCCTGTAATCCCAACACTTCAGGAGGCAGGGGCAGGAGAATCACTTGAGGCCAAGAGTTCGAGACCAGCCTGGGCAACATGGCAAGACTCCTACTCTACCAAAAAAAAAAAAAATTAGCTGGGTCTGGTGGCACAAGCCTGTAGTCCTAGCTACTTGGAAGCTGAGGCAGGAGGATTGCTTGAGCCCAGGAGGTGGAGGCTATGATCGTGGCACTGCACTCCAGCCTGGGCAACAGAGTGAGACACTCTCTCTCTCTCTCGCTCGCTCTCTCTCTCTGTATATATAATATATATAATTTATGGATTACCAGATTTATAAATTACCATAACTTACAAACGACAGAAGGAAACCAATTCCTTATAGTGAAAACTGGCAAATAAAAGGAGAGTCAAGCATTTACCCTACCTGTCCTATACGAACTCTACCGCTGACTAGCCAAATAGTAGAAAATTTTTTTTTTTTTTTTTGAGACAGGGTCTCACTGTCCCCCAGGGTGGAGTGCAGTGGTGCGATCACAGCTCACTGTAGCCTCGACCTCCTTGGGCTCCTGTGATACTCTCACCTCAGCCTCCTGAGTAGCTGGGACTACAGGTGCATATATAAATTATAAATTATAATTTTATAAATTTATAAATTTATAAATTATATATATAATTATATATAAAATAAAATTTAATATATACATGCACACACACATAAATAATAATAAACACTTATTAACTAGGAAAGTCTTAAAATGAAAGATGGCATCACTAAAAGTTGGACAACCAGATAGGAGCCTTGGGTAACCATGTGTTACCCAAGCGGACCTGGTACCTAAAGCGGACCTGGTACCACCTGTGAGTGGGTCTTTCCCCCAGAAGCTGTATTGACTCCAGTCAGGCCTCTGCTCTCCTGACCAGCTCACAGGAAATGCGTGGCCAGGGAGCAGCCAGGTGACACTGCATGGAAGCAGCTTGCCACACTCAGAACATGGGACCTCAAATCAGGAGCATGGAGGATGTAGAAGGCACAGCGGTACAGCTGTAGATTTCAAAACCTCAGAACCACATCAGTTACAGGGTATGGGCCCCCTGGATTCTGATTGAGACGAGCTAGCTATAAAGACACACCACTGAGATGTCAGACTAATCTGTATACAGATTTTGAATGTGGTCTAGGTGTTCAGTGATTAAGGAGTTACTGTTCATACTGAAGTATTCACAGGTGAAATCAGATGACCCCTGGGTGATGAGTTCATGGGTGTTAATTATATACATCTCTACTTGTATGTATGTTTGAAAGTTTACAAAATAAGTCTTGAATGAACACTTAAAGCAAAAGCGTAAAATAGATTTTTAGGATCAGGCAGACCTGGGTTCAGTCCCACCTGTGTTAACTTCGGTTGACATCCTGTCCCCTGGTCAAAGTCAAGGTCCTTTTCTTTGCCTACAAAATACAGGGGTTTCCAGTCTCTTACATCTCAAGATTCTTGTGAGGCTGAGGATGGGATGGTTTTTGCCAAAGCCCTGGCAGATTGAGGGCTGGGAGTGCCCTGAGTGAGCTGTTGGGCTCCTCCCTGACCCCAGCCTCTGAGTGACCAATAGTGTACTGTGTTTCAGGAATTTGTGACCCTCAAGGATGTCGGCATGGACTTCACCTTGGGAGACTGGGAGCAGCTCGGGCTGGAACAGGGGGACACGTTCTGGGACACAGCGTTGGACAATTGCCAGGACCTCTTCCTGCTGGGTGAGTGTTGCCTGTCCCCAGGGGCCTACTCACTGCCCTGCTTGGTGATCACCCATGCTCTCTACCACCCACAGGGTGAAGTCCTGGCTCCTGGGCTCCTCAGAATCAGCATGACCTAGCCCAGCAGTTCTCAGCTGGCCGAGGAGACATTGGCAATGTGTGGAGACATTTTTGATTGTTACTCCTTGGGCCAGCGCAGCGTGCCGCTAGCATCTAGCTGGTGGAACCAAGGGAGGCTGCCACACATCCTACAGTGCACAGCACAGCCCCACAACCAAGGATTGGCCCACGCCAGTGTCAGTAGTGCTAAGCCTGGGAAACCCTGCTCTGGCCCCTATCTGCCTCCCCAGCCTTGTCTTCACCACTTTCCTACTTGTAGTCAGTCATTCTTCAAGCTGATACTTCAAAGTCTTCCAGTTGCCCTCCCCTCTGCCTAAGCGGCTCTCAGGGCTTACATTTTTAAAGTTTAACCTGGGACCCTGTTAGAACTCCATACCTCCTCTCCTACTCATCTTGTCTGTCGCTCCCTCACGTTCTAACTACCATTGTATCATTCAGAGCGGGAGCTGTGTGAGGACAGGGCGTGTCCCCAGTGTTTGGAACGAACAGTACCTGCTCTAGGGCCCAGCAGACAGCTCTAAACTAATGAATGATTGAGTAGCAGCTCTTAGGACTTGCTTGTTCAATCCTCCAGTCACCCCATGAAGAAGCTGGGTTGTCCCTCTTTTGCCGATTGGTCTGAAACTGAGGTTAAAAGAGTGGCAGTCACCTTCCCAGCTGTGTCAGTGTCCCCAGGAGCACCCACAGATTCAGTGATTGGCTAGGATTCCCAGGACTCATCCTGTAGTCAGACTCATGGCTATGACTTACTACAGTGAAAAGATTCAGAGCACAGTCAGCAAAGGGAGGAGGTACATGGGGCAAAGTCCAAGGAAGCCAGGCACAAGCTTCCAGAATTCTCTCAGGGGAGTCACATGGGACATGCTTAATTCCCCCAGCAATACTGTAGAATGTGATATCGCGTGTGAAATGCTGTCCACCAGGGAAGCTCATCAGAGACTCAGTGCCAGGGTTTTTACTGGGGGCTGGTCATGTGGGCTCCTCTGCCTGGCACATTCCAAAATTCCAGCCCCCCAGAAGGAAAGCAGGTGTAAGCCACCGTGTTTGCACAGTTTAGGTCCAGGGAGCGTGTCTCTTCAGTTCTGGAGACACGGGGTACCCCCCTGAAATCCAGCCTTGCCAGCAGGCTTTTCCCAGGAGAGCAGCCAGCCTGCTGTGTCGCCCTCTTCTGCACACCAGTGTCACACAGTGAGACAGCAGCAGGGCCCAGACTCCAGCTAAGGTCTGTGCAGCTCCAAGGCCATATCACCCCAGCTCCCCATCAGTGTCACCTGATTAACTCATTTTCCCTCTCTGTTGCCTCAGTTCTTTCTTTTTGAAGAACCAGAAAAATAATTTACTCCAAAAGATGAAAGAAGTAAAAGATAACACACGGTGGAAACTATCATTTGATAGAATCTCATCACATTGGGGCAGACTTTCTCCAGACTGGCCAGTGTGTGCTAAGAAGCATCTCGTGGGAGGTCCTACCTCAGTGTCTTTTTGAATTTTTAAACTACAGCCCACAGTAAGAAGTGTGTTTACCTCGACTGCCCCTTCACCCATTTGTGTGAATGTATGAGTAGTGTATCCGTTTCCTATTGCTGCTGTTACACATACCACAAACACAGTGGCTTCCACCAGCACACTTTTATTATGTTACAGTCCTGGAGGCCAGGAGTTCCAAATGCATGTGGCTGGGCTGGAGGCGAGGTGTTGGCAGGGCCACCATGTTCCTTCTGGAGGCTCCAGCACGTAGATAGTCCTTCCTGGCCCGTTGCCAGCTTCTGGAGGTCACCTGTATTGCTTGACTCATGGCTTCTCAGTCTTCAAAGACAGCAGTGGCGTTTTCTCCGCTGTGGCCTGTATCCCTCCTGGATGGTGACTCTGTTCCCTTCCTTGGGGAAGCTTGTGGAGGGTATGGCTCAGGACTGCTTGGGCTCTGGGACCCTGACATTTTCTGTCCCTGGCCCATGGAGGCCTCAGGCAATGTGTGGCCCATGGGTCAGTGAATAAATCATGAATGGCTAAGGAAGTACGTGCCTCTCCACCTGGCAGATCCTGCCCATTAAAGAGCTGTCACAAGTCCTTTGTATCCCCAGCCCCAGCTGTCACAGCTTTGATCACCCTGGATTGTGATTGTTTGGCTCCCTCTCCATCACTGGACTGGGAACCCTACAGGACAGGCATCCCCAGAGTCGCCCAGTGCAGCACCTCGTCCACACACAGGAGCCACGTGCAGGATAAAGCATAGAAAAGTCAGGAGAGCCAGGAGGTTCTCACTGAGTGTCTGGATGGTCCTCCATGTCCTGGTTGGGTGACAATGCTTTTCTCTCCCTGCAGACCCCCCAAGACCCAACCTGACCTCCCACCCAGATGGCAGTGAAGATCTGGAGCCTCTGGCAGGAGGAAGCCCAGAAGCAACAAGCCCTGGTGAGTGGATGGAGAGGGGCCCCTTGTGTACCTTCTGTCTTCCAGACCTCCATCCTGAGGCTGCAGCCAGCTTTCCCACAGGTCTACCGAGACATTACAACGCTCAGCTTCAGGACTTCACTCTGCTTCTCGCTGGCTTCCATCCCCTTGTCCTGGGAGCTGGGGGGATCAGGACATTTTTATAGACCCTCACTCTGGGGTCTCTCTACCTTGCCCTTCAGCACAGGGTTATCCTGGTGCCTCTCCACAGCTCCTCCTCTTTCCTTCCAGACTCAACAAGGGTACGCCCTCCACTCTCTCAGTTGGTCTCTCTACTTTCCTGCCTTGTGCTCCCTGAGTGTGTTGACCCTCATTCTACTTCTTTTACCTCCTTTCCTTCAGGCCCATTTTTCCTTCCTATCCCTGGGGCATAGCAGATGGCCACATCAGGGAGTAACTTAAGCCCAGGCCTGAATGCTGCCAAGAGCATCTGCCCTGCCATCTCCCAAGCCGGGGTTCCTCCAGGTGGATCAGGTTAGGTGGTGAGGATTCCTGGGGTATTACCCATGGTAGAGACGTCCCCAGCATGAGAAGCAGGGCCCTGAACCAGAGACCACAGGAATCTCAGGCTGTACCCCATCCAGTCAGTCTGCAGCTCCCTTCTTGGCTCACCACGCTCAGGCTCGTGTACATGAGGCCTCTGCAGCCTCCTCTTCAGCACATCAGTGTTCCTCATAGGTGACTAACTCATGCACAGGCTCTCACAACTTCTGCTTTCTGTTTCTGTCACCTCAGCATATTGGCTGTTTCCAAACATAGGTAGCCATGCCTTTACTAACAAATATACCTCCATATCCTCTAGTAGTGACACTTGAGTTGCATAGTTACCACATAAGCGTCTTTCCCCTTTAACAGCATGCCGCTCTTGGAAGCAGGGCTTAGCTGATTCACCCTGTATTCCCAGCTCCTGACATCATGCTTGGCATATAAGGGGTGCCTATTACATGTCTGTTGGTGCATTTGAGGCCGAGGGAACAACATGAGCACAAGTGTGGTGAGGAGAGTGAGCTGGATATCTGTGGGAGAGATGAGCAGAGGCAAAGGTGACAATTCAGAACAAGATGTGGTTTCAGAAGGCTTTCATTTGCAAGTTTTAATTCCAGGCAGAGAGACTTTAAGCAGTCTCATAGATACTCAGATGGTGAGCCAAGAACTGCACAAGGGACAGGCTGGAAAAGGTATGATGATGGAGGAGAGGAGAGATGGGGAGACTGGAGGCATACAGCAGAGCAGTGACATTCATGTTTTGTGAAGGATCCCAGAGAGCATACAGCTTGGTAGTTAAGAATATGGGGGCCAGGCGTGGTGGCTCATACCTGTAATCCCAGCACTTTGGGAGGGCGAGGCAGGCCGGTCACTTGAGGTCAGGAGTTCGAGACCAGCCTGGCCAACATGCTGAAACTCTGTCTCTACTAAAAATACAAAAATTAGCTGGGCGTGGTGGAGGGCACCTGCAGTCCCAGCTACTCGGGAGGCTGAGGCAGGAGAATCACTTGAACCCAGGAGGCAGAGGTTGCGTTGAGCTGAGATCGTGCAGCACTTCAGCCTGGGCAACAGGGCAAGACTCAGTCTCCAAAAAAAAAAAAAAAAATATATATATATATATATATATATATAGTCAGAGGGGTTCAAATCCTCAGTCTTCTGCTCACTTACCTGTAAGAAAGCAGAAACGTGCCTACCTTACAGGAGGTTGTCGAGTGTAACAGAGTGCCTGAGGCACTCCTGCCTGTGAACAAGCATACCATGAATGGGAATTACTCTGTCCTGTGAATCTTTCTCGTGGCCGCCTCTGTGGCAGTGGATGGATGAGCAGTGGAAGGTCCCCATTAAAGAACTTACCTTCTGGTAAGGGTCAGGGGTCAGACCCTTTCATAACCTGTTATGGTAGAGGATGGTCAGTGCTCAGCTGGTTTTCAGAGAATACAGGGCAGGGGACTTAAAGCAGAATGGGGATGGGGTTGTCAGGGAAGCCTTTCAGAGAAGGGTGATAAGCTGGGTATTAAAAGACTTAGAGGAGTTAGTCCAGGAAGTGCCATCCAGCATGAGGGACCATTAAAGGCACAGAGGAGAAAGTCTGGTGGATTTAGGGAACCGCAAGAGTTCTATGAGGTCAGCACAAAGAACACTGGGCTAATACACTCATTTCTTTTCTCCAGGCAGGAAGCCATGGAAGGGTTTAATCAGAGGAGTGATATAGTCAGATCCATTAACTACAAAGCCCTTTAGGGCTAGTGTGGAAGACTAGAGAGAGAGAGAGACAGACAAACAGGAGACCAATGAGCAGCCTGGGGTCAGATGCTGAGTCAGTGATAAAGAGAGGAGAGGAAGGGAGTTGAGACATTTCGATAGAGACCAAATGAAAATAGTGCCAAGTTGAGGGAGGTAGGGAGGAGGTTGACTCCCAGGATTCTAGCATGGAGAACTGGATGGATGGTGGTGTGGGGAGAGCGGGGTGTTGTCTGGGATAGAGGATGCAGGATATGAGGAGGAAGATTTTGGTGACAGTACAGGATAGAGTGGAGAGTAGAAGCAGGTGAGTCCAGGCGATTTTTTAGGGAACTTGGTCAGTCACTTAGGTGTGAAGGTAATGGTAGAATCTCCCTCCTCGTTGAACCCTATGGTTTCCCAACTCCCTTCTTGACCCTCCTGGGAATGGGCTCTGTCTGTTTTCTGTGATGCCAGTTCCACATGGGTCACCCCTTTGGGTCCCTTGATGGATAGGCTGGACTCAAGATCTATCACCCCTACTTGCTCTTGTCTGTGTTCTCACCCTTAGTGAACAGGAGACATTTGCACTTGCTCTTTCAGATGTGACTGAGACCAAGAACTCTCCTCTGATGGAGGATTTCTTCGAAGAAGGATTCTCCCAGGAGATTATAGAGATGTTATCCAAGGATGGCTTCTGGAACTCCAATTTCGGAGAAGCCTGTATAGAGGACACCTGGTTAGATAGTTTGCTAGGCGATCCAGAAAGTCTTCTGAGGTCTGATATTGCCACCAACGGGGAAAGTCCCACGGAATGCAAGAGTCATGAATTAAAGAGAGGACTCAGTCCTGTGTCCACCGTTTCCACGGGAGAAGATTCCATGGTGCATAATGTTTCTGAAAAGACCCTCACACCAGCTAAGTCTAAGGAATATAGGGGTGAGTTTTTCTCCTACTCCGACCACAGCCAGCAGGATTCTGTTCAGGAAGGGGAGAAACCATATCAATGTAGTGAATGTGGGAAAAGCTTCAGTGGGAGTTACCGTCTTACCCAGCACTGGATCACTCATACTAGGGAGAAACCCACTGTCCATCAAGAGTGTGAGCAAGGTTTTGACCGGAATGCTTCCCTTTCTGTGTATCCGAAAACTCACACGGGCTACAAATTCTATGTGTGTAATGAATATGGGACAACTTTTAGTCAGAGTACATACCTGTGGCATCAGAAAACTCACACTGGAGAAAAACCATGTAAGAGTCAAGATAGTGACCACCCACCCAGTCATGACACACAGCCTGGTGAGCATCAGAAAACTCACACAGATAGTAAGTCCTACAACTGTAACGAATGCGGCAAGGCTTTTACCCGGATCTTCCACCTTACTCGGCACCAGAAGATCCACACTCGGAAACGCTATGAGTGTTCCAAGTGCCAGGCGACCTTCAACTTGAGAAAACACCTCATCCAACATCAGAAAACTCACGCTGCAAAAACTACCTCTGAGTGTCAGGAGTGTGGGAAGATTTTTAGGCACAGTTCGCTGCTCATTGAACACCAGGCTCTTCATGCTGGAGAGGAGCCTTATAAGTGTAACGAACGTGGGAAATCCTTCAGGCATAACTCTACCCTAAAGATCCATCAGAGGGTTCACAGTGGAGAGAAGCCTTACAAATGCAGTGAGTGTGGGAAGGCCTTCCACCGGCACACTCACCTTAATGAACATCGGCGAATTCATACAGGCTACAGACCCCACAAATGTCAGGAATGCGTCAGGAGTTTCAGCCGGCCCTCACATCTGATGCGACATCAGGCCATTCACACCGCAGAAAAGCCCTATAGCTGTGCTGAATGCAAGGAGACTTTCAGCGATAACAATCGCCTTGTGCAACACCAGAAAATGCACACTGTCAAAACCCCATATGAATGTCAGGAGTGCGGAGAACGCTTCATTTGCGGCTCAACCCTGAAGTGCCACGAGAGTGTTCACGCCAGAGAAAAACAAGGATTTTTTGTGAGTGGGAAGATCTTGGATCAGAACCCAGAACAGAAAGAGAAGTGCTTTAAGTGTAACAAATGTGAGAAAACCTTTAGCTGCAGCAAATACCTAACTCAGCACGAGAGGATTCACACCAGGGGAGTGAAGCCCTTTGAATGTGACCAGTGTGGGAAAGCCTTTGGCCAAAGTACTCGGCTCATTCACCATCAAAGAATCCACTCTAGAGTGAGGCTGTATAAATGGGGTGAGCAAGGGAAAGCCATCAGCAGTGCCTCCCTTATCAAACTTCAGTCCTTCCACACAAAGGAGCACCCTTTTAAATGTAACGAATGCGGAAAGACCTTCAGCCACAGTGCACACCTCTCAAAACATCAGTTAATTCACGCTGGAGAGAATCCCTTTAAATGTAGTAAGTGTGACAGAGTCTTCACCCAGAGAAACTACCTTGTTCAGCATGAGCGAACTCATGCCAGAAAGAAGCCGTTGGTGTGTAACGAATGCGGGAAAACGTTCCGTCAGAGCTCATGCCTTTCTAAGCATCAGAGAATTCACTCAGGTGAGAAGCCCTATGTATGTGATTACTGCGGGAAGGCCTTCGGCCTGAGTGCTGAGCTTGTCCGCCACCAGAGAATTCACACTGGAGAAAAGCCTTATGTTTGTCAGGAATGCGGGAAAGCCTTCACCCAGAGCTCATGCCTTTCTATTCACCGGAGAGTTCACACTGGGGAGAAGCCCTACAGATGTGGTGAATGTGGGAAAGCCTTTGCCCAGAAAGCAAATCTAACACAGCACCAGAGAATTCACACAGGGGAGAAGCCTTACTCCTGTAATGTGTGTGGCAAAGCTTTTGTCCTCAGTGCCCATCTCAACCAGCACCTGAGAGTTCACACCCAGGAGACACTTTATCAGTGTCAACGTTGCCAGAAAGCCTTTCGGTGCCACTCGAGCCTCAGCCGCCATCAGCGTGTACACAACAAGCAGCAATACTGCCTGTAGCCATTGGGTGGCAGCAGAGTCCCAGAATATGAGACCGTTACTCGGATGTTGAAAGTTGGAAACTATCCCATTGCAAGTTTCTCTCCAAATAAATGCATCTAAAGATTGATTAGAAAGTTTGTGCGCATGTTTTTCATTATAACAATGAAAACACAAAAGTGGAGAAGCTGTACAACGTCAGGATTCAGAGGTAGGCTCTGGAGCCAGTCTACCTTGAGTTAAATCCCACCTCTGCCATCTACTACCTAAGTGACCTTGGGAAGGTCAGAAAAATCTCTCAGGGCCTCGGTGTCCTTATCTGTAAAATGGGCATCACCTACCTCAGAGGGCTTTTCTGAGGATTAAATAAATAAATGTGAAGCACTTAGAACTGATGGCCAGCACATGAGGGCTCACCAAGTGTAAGCCACAAATACACATCAGCTATAGCACAAATATACTTGTGTTACAAGAAAGGAATTAGTAATCTGTGTTTACTGTAGTTAATGTTCTTACAATGTATCGCTTTTAATTTAAGTTTTCCTTTTTTACAGTTTTTCTCCAGCACTTTACTCTTCTTAAGTGCCTGGCCTTTTTTGTCCCTTTATCTCTCCTGGTTTTTTTCTTAAGCCCCAGAAAGCCAAAAAGAACATGTAAACTCTTCACCTCAACTAGCTACAACCTTCCACTCCTAACCTCCCAAGCTTCTCACTTAAAGAGGACTCCCTATCCCACAAACACATGCTCCCTCTTCCTATGACCTTCCTCCATTTAACAGTGTTGGTTATGCAATAAGACACCCAATTTTTCATGGGAGTTGACACCAAAACACAGCTGGATTCCATCAGGAAAGCTGCATTGATCAGGGTGTTAACCGCATATGAAACAACCCATATGGAAGACATACTTAGGGGTCAAACCTGTGGTGTGTGGAAGTGACCACTGGGATGTCATCATTCACCATTTATCCAGGATGGCCGCTCACCAGGCAATTTGCTAGGCTCGGGGGCGGGTAGTATCCATACACTATGCACTACTGCTCTGAAGCTTCTGGAATCAGAAATGAACCCATTTTCATCGACGATTGCTGTTAGTTGACAAGTGACATCTTGAAAATGCCACATTCCCTCATGTCACAGGAAGTTCTGGGATCACCAAGGATTGTTGGAGAGTCCAGTGAGATGGAACCACACAACCAGTTCCCTACCAGTGTCTTGTCAGCTCTGGGTGTTTGTTCCCTGCCACTAAGTGGCTCAGTCACACCTTTGCTGAAACACAGTAGTCTTATGAAAAGCACTGGACACATACTTTGAATACCTTTCATATTTTAGGTGCTGAAAATGGTGAGGGAGTGAGTGCTCTGCACCCTTGGGCTTTTCAACTCTTGCACCTGGAGTTCTGCTGGTTAAGTTTGTTAAACTTAGTTGAAACTGGGAACCTGTTGGCTAACCATTGGGGCCTTACACTGTTTTTCAAATGGTTGCAACATTTAACTTCTCGCACATGGTTCCCGTCCTCTGGAGCTCTGTCTTGTCGGGGAGATGGGCATGTTGTATACCAAAAGAGTGTACAAAGTGTTGCAGGGCTGTGACACAATAGGGACTCTATGGAAAACTGGCAGCCATTGGGTGTGGGGGCAGTCTGTAAATCAGTCACCTGTGTTGCTGCAGGCCAAGGTAGAAACGCCCTCCGTGTGTGCATATTTGTTGGTTCTCTGATTAAAGTTTTGAGTCTAAAAGCATTGGTTCCTTCTCTCAGCCTGCTGCCATGCAGCCACGCATCAGTCCCTGCCTGCCAGGCCTCACGTCTTTGCTGGGGAGGGCTTCTGGTGGCGATCAGTAAGAGGGAGCAGCTCAGTTTTCCCACTGTCTGGGCGGGGCATGCGCCACTGAGGAGGCACACAAGTTCAGCTGGTCCTCAGATGCATCATCAAACAACACTTTTCAGTCTGTGTGTGGGCCTAAGTAACCAAGGAGAGAGCACAGGCAGCCTGCAGTTCACTCTTCACAGACATGTCAGGCCCCAGGCTTGGGGAGTGTTTCTAATTAGCATCCAGTAATACATATAACTTTGTTTATACTTTAATTTTTGTCCCCACCTTTTTCCTTTAGTGACAAGTGACAAGAGATACTAGTTCCTGCTCATGGTAGTAATAGAAAGTTTTTTTTTTTTATAAACTGAGCTGATAGGGCCGAGTGTGGTGGTTCATGCCTGTAATCCCAGCACTTTGGGAGGCCTAGGTGGGAAGATGACTTGAGCCCAGGAGTTCGAGACCAGCCTCAACAACGTGATGAAACCCTGTCTCTACGAAAGAAATATGCAAATTAGCTGGGTAGTGGCCACTGATCACTTAAAAATGATTAAAATGGCAAATTTTATGTATATTTTTACAATTTAAAAACATTTAAAGTTTAAATTTAGATAAAAGTTTAAGTTTAGATAAATTTAAAACATTTTAAAGTTTGTGTGGTAGGCTGGGTGTGGTGGCTCATGCCTGTAATCCCAGCACTTTGGGAGGCTGAGGTGGGTGGATTGCTTGAGCTCAGGAGTTTGAGACCAGCCTGGGCAGCATGGTGAAATCCTGTGTCTACAAAGAATACAAACAGCCGGGTGTGGTGGTACACGCCTGCAGTCAAGCTACTAGGGAGGCTGAAGTGGGAGAATCGTGAGCCTGGGAGGTTGAGGCTACAGTAGGCTGTGATCATGCCACTGCACTCCAGCTTGGGCGACAGAACAAGACCCTGTCTCTGAATAAAGGAAAAAGATGTGATTGGAAAAAGAAATGAGCTACAGGAGCCTAAACCAAGCAAGGCTAAGATGGCAAAACCCAACACCTCTGAGGCTGATGCAAAGACAAGCTCAAACGAGGTCAAGGTATAAAGCAGCAGCAAAGTCTTCTCTAGGGCCAAGGTCTCCCCCAACATTTCAGAGATGGGGACCCCTTGTCGGAACTGATACCCCAGCTAAATTCCAGCTTGACTTCTGGAAGGGCTGGAGACTAAGGTCAGTCAGGGTGATCAGCCCTGTCAACATAACCAACCCCATAACCCTGGGTACCACGGCGTGGGTGAGCTTCTCTGGCAACACTTTGTGTGCGGTCACACATCATTGCTGAGTGCGTTAAATGCTTTCCATATGACTTTACTGGCAGAGGACACCTGGAAGCTCACGCTTGGTCTCTCCTAGACTCCATCCTATGCACCTTTTCCCATTGCTGGTTTTAATCTCTATTCTTTAGCTGTAGTAAATGCAATCAAGTATAACAGCTTTGCTGAGTTTTGTGAGCCCTTCTAATGAATTACTGAACTTAAGGGTCCACTGCCCTCTCTGAGCCTCAGTTTCTTCAGTGGACTCAAGAATGATACTCAGTGTAAGGATTCTCAAAACGAGCATCAGCAGGTTCCGCCCACGCCGGCCTCCTGGGTTCAGTTCTCTAATAACCACCTCCCTTCCCCGCCTACTCCAGCCAATCCTTGTGCTGACTCGGCTCCTGGCCACGCCCTAACCCCACCCCCGCTGCCTCTAAACCCGTCCCCACCCCTGCAGCCTCACAGGCTGCCGTCAGATTCTCAAGCCCCTATTCCTCTCGGTGGCCTAAATCCCCAACTGCTCGGGGCCACTTTTCAGGCCAAAATGGGCCCAAAATGGGGAGGGCAAGTGATGAATGTCACTAGACAGTGGGGCCCTCAAGGACCTGGCAAATGGGGGCTTGGACCTCGGATCGGCCTCCCACGCGAAGCTTGCTCCCCACCAGCATCCCCACGTTGGTGGCGACGCTGCCCCGGCCCCACGGATACTTCCGCGCCTGTCAGACTCCCTGATGAACTACCCTTCCCAGAGTACCGCGGGAGCTCGGGCTCCTGAGGGCGACGGTCCTCTGATGGCAGATGCGGGAGAAACTCTGGCGTCAGGCGGCCCTCGCGTGGAGCACACGAAGTCGTGGCTTATTCTGGCTTCAGTATGTGGGGTGGAGAAGGCGATCCACGCAGCTGCGTCTATTTCCTGTGGATCAATCGCAAAATACGTTCTGTAAGCCCCGCCCCCACTGCGTGCGGGCGGCTTTTGTCTCCACGGCAACCGTCAACTCTGGAAACGCCTGTCTTTCTCCATGGCAACTGTCTACGCCGCAGGCTGGAGCTGCCCATTACCGGAGCCCGTAAGCAGTATGGGTGCTGGACAAACAGCGTGATCGGGTCGTAAAACTTGGTGGAAAACGAATATTAGAGCACAAGGAAGGAAAAACCGGGCTGGGTGGGACTGAAATAGTTGATGTGAGGGAAGATTTCTCAAAGGGAGACTATTTTTTTATTGTTTGTTTGTTTTTTACTTTTATTTTTTCAAGACGGGGTCTCGCTCTGTTGCCCAGGCTGGAGCACAGTGGCACGATCTCGGCTCACTGCAACCTCCGCCTTCCGGGTTCAAGCGATTCTCCTGCCTCAGCCTCCCGAGTGGCTGGGATTACAGGCGCCCGCCACCATGCCTGGATAATCTTTTGTATTTTTAGTAGTGTGAAAAATGGGAAAGTTATTCTTCAAAGATTATAAAAAGTCACAATTTCTTAGTATAAGATTGCTATCCACTATTATATATTCCAAATCAGCTGTCCTAGCTTGCTCCGGCATGCCTGGACAGAACTAGACAAGCCCCAGGACATAGTGCATAGTTAAGGAAGCATCCTTAACTATCCCCTGGGCAACTTCCTTTTCTTTGTTCTGTTCCCCTTACCCAGTTAAAAAAGTTTTAAACTAATAGCCAATCGGGTAAAGTGTAAAATGTGAGGTCCTATTCCAGCCAATGGAAACTGGACACAGCAGTAGGGTAGACACATCAGGTTATAATAACTCTGTCTCCTTAGTTTGGCGGGGTCTCGTGGCTGGACAGCTATTGAGTAGCACCCTTTCTGCAGGAAGTAAAGCTCACCTTGCTGAGAGATCATTTGTTCCCGCATTAATTCTTTTTTTTTTTTTTTTTTTTTTGCGACACCAAAAACCTCGTTCCCAACAGTAGGGGTTTCACCATGCTGCCCAAGGCTGGTCGCCAACTCCTGACCTCAGGTGATCCACCTGCCTCCCCCTCAAGTGCTGGGATTATAGGCATGAGCCACTGCTCCTGTCCCATGAGGCGGCCTTTGAAAAAGGCTTTGAGGGATGAGCAGGAGGTCGCCAGGAAGAGAAGGGAAAATATACTATATCTATAGATCTGGCCAAAATTAAAAGTCTCAACGAGGGTGTGAGGAAACTGCCGTTCTCCTACCCTGCTGGTAGGGAGAGGAATGTCTTCAGCCTTTGAGGAAGTAAATCAGTCAGTCAGTTGGTGATGTTTGCTGAGAACCTTACTGTATACTGGGCAGACGCTAGGGATACAGCGGGGAAAGACAGAGGGCAGGCAGTAACCATGAGACATGATTGGAAATTATAAGTGCTGTGAAGTAGGCTGGGTGTGGTGGCTCACACCTGCAATCCCAGCACTTTGGGAGGCCAAGGCGAGTGGATCACTTAAGGCCAGGAGTTCGAGACCAGCCTGGGAAACATGGTGAAACCCCGTCTCTACTAAAAAGACAAAATTAGCCAGGCGTGGTGGCGGGCGCCTGTAATCCCAGTTACTCAGGAGGCTGAGGCAGGGGAATCACTTGAACCTGGAAGGCAGAGGTTGTAGTGAGCCGAGATCACACCACCGCACTCCAGCCTGGGCCACAGAATGAGACTCTGTCTCAAAAAAAAAAAAAAAAAAAAAGTGCTGTGAAGTAAACAGGCAGGGGCTGAGATGGGAATGAAGGAGGGACTGTGGGATCAAGAAACATAATTCTTTGAGAACATAATGTGAAATAATATAAATAATATCAACCTCAAGAGAAATGTAGAGGAATACTATGAATTGCAGCTGGAATCTGCCCTAAATGTACATTTCTTCTTCCTGGTGTTTGTGACAATTTGAGTTGGGGTTTTCTTTTAGTCACAGCTGAAGGCATCCTGATGTGCTAGCATAAACAAGATGAGTGTCTTGCTTTTGATGCTTTTAGCTACTCAAGCCAGTAAATTATCATTCTTGTTTGAACTGTGTGAGAGGTGGTCAAGTTCAACATTTGAAGGGAGAGTTGAGAGATACTGAGTGGGAGAGAGGGATAGGAAAAACATGCCTTCTTTCTGTTTAGGTTTCTAAGGTGATAGGAGATAAGCCTGGAGCTGCTCGTGGTCACCTTGCCACCATGGGGGGAGAACCTGCCAGAAAATGAAACTAACCAAAAAGGAAGCTGAGCTAAGAGGAGTGACCAGATTACTGACATGTCTCTTAAACACCTGGATCCATCTGTTCCTGAAGGCAAAACTGTTCAATTACATAGGCTAATAAATTCCCTTTCTTCCTTAAACAAACAGAATACTCTTGGCTGGAAATGAATCTCTATCTTATACCAGAAATTATTTAAAAATCCAGATGGATCAACAGCCGGGCACGGTGGCTCACGCCTGTAATCCCAGCACTTTGGGAGGTCGAGGCAGGCAGATCACGAGGTCAGGAGATTGAGACCATCCTGGCTAACACGGTGAAACCCCATCTCTACTAAAAATACAAAAAATTAGCCGGGCGTGGTGGCAGGCACCTGTAGTCCCAGCTACTTGGGGGGCTGAGGCAGGAGAATGGCGTGAACCCAGGAGGTGGAGCTTGCAGTGAGCCGAGATTGCGCCACTGCACTCCAGCCTGGGTGACAGAGCGAGACTCCGTCTCAAAAAAAAAAAAAAATCCTGATGGATCAAAGTTTTAATTGTGAAAAAAATCGTAAAAGTACTAGAATAAAATATAGCAGAACTTTTTTTTCATAATCTTCGGGGTGAAGAAGGCCTTTGTTAGCATGATAGTAGATCCAAAAACTATAAAGGAAAATACAGATAGATTAAAATACCTAAAAATTTAAAAACTCTGTATAACAAACATAAACAAAATTGAAGAGAAACTGGGAGAAAATATTAGTCACTTATATACCAAAGTGTTAATATGCGTAATATATAAGGACTTGCCGTTATAAATCAATACAAAAAGGCTTCTCAATTAAAAATGGGCAAAATACATAAATAGGCAATTCACAGAATAGAAAACATCAATAAATACATAAAAAGATAATCTCACAACCAAGAGGACATTTTTACCTATCAGATTAAAATTGCTTTAAAAAATGACTAACACCAAGTATTTGGGAAGGAAGTAAAGAACAGAGAAATAGGCACTCATATACACTTCCAGGAGTTGTGCAAATTGTTTCACCCCTTTTGGAGGACTATTTAGAAATAACTATGAAAAATTTAAATGTAGGTGTTCTGTGATCCCACAAGTATACTTGTAGGAATTCATTTTGTACATATGTCAAATAATAAATATCCAATGATGGAAAAGAAAATGAAAGCAACTTAAATATCCATTAACAGGGATTGGTTAAACAAATTAAAGAAACCCTAGCATGAAATATTACACAGCTGTGAAAAATGAAGATACCTATGCATGTATATATTTTTGTGTAATATGTACAATATGTATATATTTTGCATTATCATGGGAAAGTATCCACATTATATCAAGTGAGAAAAGTAACTTCTTAAAATTATGTTTGCATGTGGTTATGCCATATATACCATACATATGTGAATATATATACATATAAAGTCAGTTTCATAAAAACAGAAAGGGAGATTTCTTATTTATAGAAAAAGTATGAAATCTTTGGAATGAAGTTTTTTTTTTGAGATGGATTTTGCTCTCGTTGCCCAGGCTGGAGTGCAATGGCACAATCTCAGCTCACTGCAACCTCTGTCTCCCAGCTTCAAGCGATTCTCCTACCTCAGCCTCCCAAGTAGCTGAGATTACAGGTATGTGCCACCACACCCAGCTAATTTTTTATTTTTATTTTTAGTAGAGACAGAGTTTTACCATGTTAATCAGGCTGGTCTCGAACTCCTGACCTCAGGTGATCCACATGCCTCGGCCTCCCAAAGTGCTGGGATTACAGGCATGAGCCACCACACTCGGCCTGGAACAAAGATTTACAGGGCACTAAAGATTTCTTCATTTTTGTATCATCTGAGTTATTCACAATGAATATTACTTCAATCATGAAAGAAGCCACAAAAGATTAGGAGAAATACCTGGGCGATAACTTTAAAATATAATAGCACAGAAGAAGGCTAGTGAGACATAGCCCCATATATTGACAGACGTTCCAGCTGATACAGAACTTCTGGCAACCCATTGGCAACATACTCGAGGTCACAGAAATCCTCTCCCTATGACCCCATGACCTCACTGCCAGGATTTCACCTGGGAAATAGTTAGACACTCATCCCTTTCATAAAAGGGATGTTCCATACTATATATATATAAAAGTCAAAAGCGGCCAGGTGTGGTGGCTCACGCCTGTAATCCCAGCACTTTGGGAGGCTGAGGTGGGTGGATCACGAGGTCAGGAGATCGAGACTATCCTGGTTAACACAGTGAAACCCCGTCTCTACTAAAAATACAAAAATTAGCCGGGCGTGGTGGTGGGTGCCTGTTGTCCCAGCTACTCAGGAGGCTGAGGCAGGAGAATGGCGTGAACCTGGGAGGCGGAGGTTACAGTGAGCCGAGATTGCACCACTGCACTCCAGCCTGGGTGACAGTGAAACTCCTTCTCAAAAAAAAAAAAAAAAAAAAAAAAAGTCAAAAGCTAGAAACAACCAAAATGTCCAACAAGGGACTGGATAATATGCTGGCTGAATATATATAAGCTACGTGAAACTGCAAAATATCAGGTTGTTAAAGGTGACTTAATGATATGTTAAATAGCTGACACTCATTGCTATAAAAATGTAGTGCATCCATGGTCCGCATGCCCAGCCATGGCAGGTAGGTTAAGTTCAGCCCTTTGGAAAGCAATATGGCAACTTGTGTGAGTAATCAGGAAAATGGCTGGAACCTTGGTTCCCATCATTGCCACTGTGGGAATTTTACTTTGAGGAATAATCACCCCAAAGGGAGAGAGGAAGTGAGCACGGACATGTTCATTATAACATTATTTGTAATTGGGATAACTGGTGAAAAACCCATGTCAGTCAAAAGCTTAAAGAAGAATCTAAATGGAGAATGGATTTGTAAATTACACCTTCTCAGTGGCATATCATTATCCTTAATAATGATAAAAGTGTATGGGGACAATGACAATGCTCATGGCATAATGACGGCAAAAACGGTCTCTGCATTGTGATTACAATGAAATAAACTTATATTTGTTTAAAAGATTTGAAAGGAAATATAAAAAATAAAAACAATATGACTTCTAAGGATGGCCAAATTGTCAGCGATGGCTTTTATGTTTTCAACCCAAAATTTCTGACAACTAAACCTATGGATATGGGATATAGATTTAAAAAACCATAAAGAGGCCAGGTGCGGTGGCTCACGCCTGTAATCCCAACATTTTGGGAGGCCAAGGCGGGTGGATCACACAGGAGTTCAAGACCAGCCTGGCCAGGATGGTGAAACCCCATCTCTACTAAACCTACAAAAATTAGCCAGGTGTGATGGCAGGTGCCTATAATCCCAGCTACTTGGGAGGCTGAGGCAGGAGAATCACTTGAACCTGGGTGGCAGAGGTTGCAGTGAGCCGAGATCACACCACTGCACTTCAGCCTGGGCGACAGAGTGAGACTTTGTCTCAAAAAACATAAAGAAACACACCCAAGAATGACTGGTGAGTCTCTCTGAGCTGCAGAATTACAGGGAATTTGTCTTTTATTTCATACTTCTTTACACTTTCCAAATTATCCTTTATGATAAGCATATGGTATTTCACTAAATTTTTTTCTGTTATAAAAATATATGGCCGGGCACGGTGGCTCATGCCTGTAAATCCCAGCACTTTGGGAGACTGAGGTGGGTGGATCACGAGGTCAGGAGTTCGAGACCAGCTTGGCCAATATGGTGAAACCCCATCTCTACTAAAAATAGAAAAATTAGCTGGGCATGGTGGTGCACACCTGTAGTCCCATCTACTTGGGGGGCTGAGGCAGAAGAATTGCTTGAATCTGGGAGGCGGAGGTTGCAGTGAGCCGAGATCTTGCCATTGCACTCCAGCCTGGGTGACAGAGCAAGACTCTGTCTCAAAAAAAAAAAAATATATATATATAATTATTAAATGAAAAATAATACTATGTTTTAAAAATATGACTAAAAGTCTCCCCTTGGGAGGTGGGGCTTACAGTGAGCCAAGGTCACGCCACTGCACTCCAGCCTGGGCAACAGATTGAGACTCTGTCTCAAAAAAATAATAACAAAATAAAAAATCTCCCCTTGGGCGTGAATAAACAGTGATGCTTAACAACATGACGCTTAATAGAACAATCACTTTGTAGGCCGGGCACGGGAGCTCACGCCTGTAATCTCAACACTTTGGGAGGCTGACGGAGGAGGATCACATGAGGCCAGGTGTTTGAGACCAGCCTGGCCAACATGGTGTAACCCCACGTCTACTAAAAATAACAAAAATTAGCTGGGAGTGGTGGCAGGTGCCTGTAATCCCAGCTTCTTGGGAGGCTAATGTAGGAGAATCGCTTGAACCCAGGAGGTGGAGGCTGCAGTGAGCTGAGATCATGCCACTGTACTCCAGCCTGGTAACACAGCAATATTCTGTCTCAAAAAAAAAAAAAAAAAAAAAAAAAAAAATAAATAAATAAATAAAAGAACAGAACAATAGCTTTGTAAAGCATAGATCCTGGAAACATAATAAACAGAAACAATAGGACATTAAAAATGTCTATAAATATGTGAAACATTTATATTTATATCCATATTTATATGAAACATATTTATTGTTTAAGCCAACTGCAGATTCTGATATTTGTAGCTTAAAGTTTCAAAGGAAACTAAAAATGTTACTTTAAAGGGTTAATCTTTATAGCTGTCTTCCCCCATTGAATATTCAGGCTCCAGTTTAAGTTTCTTTTTTTTTTGAGACGGAGTCTCGCTCTGTTGCCCAGGCTGGAGTGCAGTGGCGCAATCTCGGTTCACTGCAAGCTCCACCTCCCGGGTTCATGCCATTCTCCTGCCTCAGCCTCCTGAGTAGCTGGGACTACAGGCGCCCACCACCACGCCTGGCTAATTTTTGTATTTTTAGTAGAGAAGGGGTTTCACCTTGTTAGCCAGGATGGTCTCGATCTCCTGACCTTGTGATCCACCCACCTCGGCCTCCCAAAGTGCTGGGATTACAGGTGTGAGCCACCGCGCCCAGCTCAGGCTCCAGTATAAGGAAGGATGAATCAGTTTAAGAAGCTTGGAGAGAGCTGTTCTTGGTGAAGGTCCCAGATGAAATGGCATCCCTTTTGGACCACTCTCTAACTATACCACGATCTAGGGACATGGCAGGGTGGAGGAAATATGCAAGGGAAGCCCCCAGAATGATCAGAACCTGTCGCAGTTAGTGAAAAACTGTGCCACCTTCCCTCTAGGGAACAAAGGAACAAACCATCTCAACATATGGCGCCAGCATCCTTCTCTGGGGAGTTCCTAGTGTTGATGAAGAGCAGATTGCTGAAAGGCCATTTATGCACCTGGATCCATCTGTTCCTGAAGGCAAAATTTTTCCTAGGGTTCCTAGTGTTGATGAAGGTGGGATGGAACCTAACAGCAGGACAGCCAGCTCATCACACACTCAGGTTGTCTAATCAGCATGGGTTCTCTGATGATCAGCAAGCTGTGTGCCCCAAGCAAAGGCTTTCTCAAAATCATCACAGATGTAGGCATTCTGGCCAGTATGAAGCCTCTGGTGTTCAGTCAGGTGTGAACTCCAGCTGAAACCCTCTCCACACTCCTCACATGTGTAGCGTTTGCTGCCAGTGTGGACCTTCTGATGTTGGAGAAGGTGTGAGATCTGGGTATAGGTTCTCCCACAGTCACTACACTTGTAAGGCTTCTCTCCAGTGTGAATCCTTTGGTGTTGGATTAAGTGGATGCTCTGGTTGAAGGCCTTCCCACATTCCTTGCAGGCGTAGGGCTTCTCGCCGGTGTGAATCTTCTGATGTTGAGTGAGGGATGAGTTGTGACTGAAGGTTTTCCCACATTCCTTACACTTATAGGGCTTCTCGCCAGTGTGGATCTTCTGGTGCTCAATGAGGTGCGTGCTCTGGCTGAAGGCTTTCCCACACTCTCTGCCCTCGTAGGGCCTCTCTCCAGTGTGAATCCTCTGGTGTTGAATGAGGTGGGAGATCTGGGTATAGGCTTTCCCACACACTTTACATTCATAGGGTTTCTCCCCTGTGTGAATCCTCTGGTGGTGTGTGAGGGAGGAGTTCTGGCTGAAGGTTTTCCCACACTCTGTACATTTGTAGGGCTTCTCACCGGTGTGGATGGTCTGGTGCTGAGTAAAGGATGAGGTGTGGCTGAAAGCCTTCCCACATTCGTTGCATACATAGGGCTTTTCCCCCACGTGAGTGCTCTGGTGCCTCATGAGGTGGGAAATCTGCGTGTAAGCCTTCCCGCACTCGTGACACGCGTAGGGCTTCTCGCCAGTGTGAATTCGCTGATGCTGGGTCAGGGACGAGCTGTGGCTGAAGGCTTTGCCACAATCAGTGCACTCATAGGGTTTTTCTCCAGTGTGGACTCGCTGGTGCTCAGTCAGGGATGAGCTGTGGCTGAACGTTTTCCCACACTTGTTACATTTGTAGGGTTTCTCCCCCGTGTGGGTGGTCTGGTGTTGGGTCAGGGAGGAGGTGTGACAGAAGGCCTTGCCGCACTCTCCACATTGGTAGGGCTTCTCCCCCGTGTGGATTTTCTGGTGGCGGGTGAGGTGGGAGACCTGCGAGTAGAACTTCCCACACTGGCCGCATTTATAGGGCTTCTCCCCGGTGTGGCACCGCTGGTGTTTGATGAGGGATGAGCTCTGTGTGAAGGCCTTCCCGCAGTCCTTGCCTTTGTAGGGCTTCTCTCCAGTGTGAATCCTCTGATGCTAGGTAAGCGAAGAGCTCTGAGTGAAGGTCTTGCCACATGCATGGCAGGCATAGGGCTTCTCGCCTGTTTGGATGATGTGGTGCTGAATGAAATATGAGCTGTTGCTGAACGCCTTCCCGCAGTCACAGCACCTGTGGGGCTTCTCCCTGGTGTGAATTCGCTGATGGAGAATATAGTCCGAATGGTAAATGAAGGCTTTCCCACATTCCGTGCAGTTAAATGGTTTCTTCTCCACGAACGTCCTTTGGCGTTTCAAGCTCTTCCAGGGCCTGCCCCACTTCCGGGGCCTGTCTCCAAAGGGCACTCGTTGCTTCCTGATGAGGGCAGAGGCCTGCCGGAGGCTTCTCCCAAGCTCGTTACACCCAAGGCCTCTCTCCCCCGAGGTGTCTCCCTTGGGAGTAGCAAATAAACACCTCAAATGCCTCTCCTGCTTTCTTGCATCCTCCGACCGATAGTGACATGCCAAGGGTTTCCCCACCTGGGCATCTCCAAGCATGGCCCTTAAAGGTCCCTCTACTGGGGAAGCTGAATCTTCAGAAATGCTCTTTTTTCGAGGTGTCTCTCGAATAGTCACAGAGCTTGTCTCCGAGTCTGAAAGAAATGGAAAATACCAATACCACCTGTCCCAGGACAAAGCAAGCTGATTACTTGGAAGTGGCAGTGTAAACCTAAAAAAAAAAAAAAAATTTCAAACTCGATGTTGCTACTTTGTTTGTTTCTTTCTTCTTTTTTCTTTTTTTTTGAGACAAAGTCTTGTTCTGTTGCCTAGGCTGGAGTGCAGTGGCACCATCTCCACCTCCCGGATTCAAGCAATTCTCCTGCCTCAGCCCCCTGAGTTGCTGGGACCACAGGCGCCCACCACCACACCTGGCTAATTTTTTTGTATTTTTAGAAGAGATGGGGTTTCACCATATTGGTCAAGCTGGTCTCAAACTCCTGACCTCGTGATCCACCCACCTCGGCCTCCCAAAGTGCTGGGATTACAGGCATGAGCCACCGTGCTTGGCCGATGTTGCTATTTTGAAAGGCATGGTGTACGTAGATAGATTCATGTTCTGACATGGAAGGATAGTCTCAATACACTCTAAAAATGAAGACAACCAAGTTCTAAACAGTTTATGTACACAGAGTTGAGTAGCTATGCTATAGAGTACATTTTTTTTACAAATCAATAAGAAAAATGATAGAAAAAAATCTAAGAAAATAGAGAGGCGAGAATATGAGTAGACAATTCACGGAAGAAAAATAAGAGGCTGATAAATACATGTATAGATGCTGAACATCAGCAATAGTTAAAAAAATCAAATCATTAGGATGCTATTTTACCCATTTTAGATTGGAAAATATTAAAGATATCCAGTGTTGCCAAGGGAGCATGGCACAGACCTTCTCACACTATGTTTGTGGGAATGTGCAAGGAAAGAGTGAACAGAAGGTCCATCTCAGTTTTTTTTGTTTGTTTGTTTTTTGTTTTTGAGATAGAGTCTCGCTGTGTTGCCCAGGCTGGAGTGCAATGGCACGATCTCAGCTCACTGCAACCTCCATCTCCTGGGTTCAAGCCATTCTCCTGCCTCAGCCTCCCAGGTAGCTGGGAGTACAGGCATGCGCCACCACACCTGGCTAATTTTTTTTTTTTTTTGTATTTTTAGTAGAGCTGGGGTTTCACCATGCTGGCCAGGCTGGTCTCGAACTCCTGACCTCAAGTCATCCGCCTGCCTTGGCCTCCCAAAGTGCTGGGATTATAGACTTGAGCCACTGCGCCCAGCCCATCTCACTCAGTCTTTGTTTATCTCTGCAGATATGGCAATGACCCTTGGCCAGTCTCTGGGAACTAAACTCCTGGGATGTTTACACAGGTGCTGGGTAAGATGTTCTTCCATATGCTCAAGACCACGGGTCAAGATGTACTAGGCTGTCAGCATTGTTGACTGTAAATATGAAGATGCATGATGGGCACCTGGTACCTGGATTGGAGTTCTCACTCTGTTCATGTAGCAGGTATGTGCATACGTGACCAGCTCTCTTCAAGAACTCTGGACTATAAGACTCCAAGTGGGCTTCCTGGGGTGGAGACACCTCATACATGTGTCTGTGGTTTTGCATTAGTGGAAAAATGCACGTCCATGTGACCCACACAGGGAAAGGGAGGGCTGGAAACCTGTGTATGACCTCTCTTGCCTTTGTTAGTTCCTACTGTTCCTGAGTTACAAACTTTGCTGTAAACCGTCAATACAACTCGCCAAGTCATGTGACTCCTTCCGGAAAATCGCCAAACCAGTGGGTGGTTGTGGGACCCCCAAAACAGAGACATGACAACTAAATGCTATGTGAGATTCCTGAAATTATCCTTTTGTCATTGGATTAGGCAATGGTATCTTAGACATGATGTCAAAAATCACAAAGCAACACAAGCAAAATAGATACATTGGACACTGTCAAAATTAAAACCTAGGCCAGGCACATTGGCTCACACCTGTAATCCCAGCACTTTGGGAGGCCAAGGTGGGTGGATCACTTGAGCTCAGGAGTTCATGAACAGCCTGGGTAACATGGCTGAACCCTGTCTCTACCAAACATACAAGAATTAGGTAGCGATGGTACACGCCTGTGGTCCCAGCTACTTGGAAGGCTGAGGTGGGAGGATCAACAAAGCCCCGGAAGTTGAGGCTGCAGTGAGCCATGATTGCGCCACTGCACTCCAGCCTGGGTGAGACCCTGTCTCAAAAATAATAATAATTAAAAATTTAAACCTTTGTGCTTCAAAGACACTAGTAAGAAGCAAAAAGACAACTAATAGAATGGGAGAAAATTTTTTCCAATCATATGTCTGATAAAGAACTTGTTTCTAGAATACATAAAGCATACTTACAACTCAGTATTTTGGTTTTTGAGACGGAGTCTCGCTCTGTCACCCAGGCTGGAGTGCAGTGGCACGATCCCGGGTCACTGCAACCTCCGCCTCCCAGGTTCAAGTGATTCTCCTGCCTCAACCTCCCAAGTAGCTGGGACTGCAGGCACGCACCACCAGGCCCAGCTAATTTTTCTATATTTAGTAGAGACAGGGTTTCACCGTGTTGGCCAGGATGGTCTCGATCTCTTGACCTCATGATCCACCCACCTCAGTCTCCCAAAGTGCTGGGATTACAGGTGTGAGCTACCACACCTGGCCACAACTCAATATTTTTAAAAACTCAATTAAAAAAGGGCAAAGTTCTCAATAGTCATTTCTTTAAAGATATACAAATGGCCAATAAGTACATGAAAAGATACTCAACATCATTAGACATCAAGGAAAATGAAATGAAAATCATGAGATTCCACTTCACACTCACTAGTTATATAATAAAAAAGACAGATAGTAACAAGCGTTGGTGAGGATGCGGAGAAATCAGAGCCCTCACACACTGCTGGTGGGAATGTAACATGGTACAGCCACTTTGGAAAATAGTCTGGCAGTTTCTCAAAAGGTTAAACATAGAATTACCCTATGATTCAACAATTCCATTCCTAGGTATCTACCCGAAATAAATGAAAACATACATTCACACAAAAACTTGTGCATGAATGTTCATAGCAGTATGATTCATAATAGCCAAAAAGAAGACATAACTCAATGTTCACCAACTGATGAATAAACCAACTGTGGTACATTCATACAACAAAATAGTATTCAGCCATAAACAGGAATGAAGCTCTCATACATACTGCAATGTGAATGACTCTTAAAAATATTATGCTAGGCTGGGCGTGGTGGCTCACGCCTGTAATCCCAGCACTTTGGGAGGCTGGGCGGGGGTGGGGGGGTGGATCACGAGGTCTGGAGTTCGAGACCAGCCTGGCCACCATGGTGAAATTCTGCCTCTACTAAAAATACAAAAATTAGCCAGGTGTGGTGGCAGGTGCCCATACCCAGCTACTTGGGAGGCTGAGGCAGGAGAATCACTTGAACCCGAGAGGCGGAGCCTGCAGTGAGCCAAGATCGTGCCACTGCACTCCAGCTTGGGTGACAGAGCGAGACTCCGTCTCAAAAAATAAATAAAAAAATAAAAAATAAATAAAAATAAATGAATAAAAAGAAATGATGAGCAGAAAGCAAAACCATCTGGAATTTGTGGAGGGAATGGATTTTTTTTTGGAGCTAGTGGGTTTGTTCATGGAATGTCCATTAATTACATATGTGCCAACCACGGTGCTGTGAGTAGGTGACCTTTTGCTAAACAAGATATCTGGTTCTTGTCCTCAGAGAGGGGGGAGAGGCAGGCTTATATTCAGACATTTTGGACATATCCTACTTATCTCTTTAGCATCCCTGTCTTTGAACAACCACTGCTCCCCTTTTCCTATAGTCTTGGTGGGGCTGTCACATATCTCCCCAACCCCCACCTCAGCAATGGGCATCAGACTTCCGACTGGCCAATCATAATACCCCGTTCCTCGGGCCATAATAATTGGTTCATCATCCAAAGGGACCCAGTCAGAGTCTTCCCCGAGATGAGTATATGGGGTTATTAGGCAGAATATAAGTTTGAGACTGTGGGTAGCCACGTTGATTGCTACTTGGAAAGGTCTGTAGACAAAACGAAGCTAGAAACAGACAGAATCAACACATGTGGAAAGCGAAGGAGGGGGAAGGTGGGGGTTGTGGGGAGAGAGAGAGAGAGAGAGAACAAGTAAGCCCTGACAATACCATTTAAGGCCTTAGATTCATGTATGCCGAAAGTCTTGCACTGCAATACTTCCTAGTTATATGGGTCAAAAAAAATCTAATTTTTCTTAAGCTATTTTGATTCTTTACATGTGGGAGTCCTGATATATCAGATAATAACAATTATTATTATTGCAATAGAGAACATTCATTAAATGCTGACTACCTGCCAGATACTGTTCTGAGCTTGTTCCGTGTATTAAGTAATTTCATCATCCAAACATTTCATTGAGGTGGGTACTATTATTCTCCCTATTTAATAGGTAAGGACGGCCGGGCGCAGTGGCTCACGCCTGTAATCCCAGCACTTTGGGAGGCTGGGGCGGGTGGATCATGAGGTCAGGAGTTCGAGACCAGCCTGGCCAACATGATGAAACCCTGTCTCTACTAAAAATACAAAAAATTAGCCAGGCACGGTGGGGGGCACCTATAATCCCAGCTACTCTGGAGGCTGAGACAGGAGAATCACTTGAACTCGAGAGGCGGAGGTTGCAGTGAGTCCAGGTTCACCACTGTACTCTAGCCTGGGCGACAGAGCAAGACTCCATCTCAAAAAAAAAAAAAAGGTAAGGAAATGGAGGCACCAATAGATTAAGTCACTTGCCCACAATCACGCAGTGGGAGAAAGGGGATTTGAACTCAGAGTCTACACTCTTAAGTACAACATGCACAAGTGCAGTAATAGCACCTTGAGCTAGGAGCTGTGAAAACGCTGAGAAGCGGTGGCCTAGTTATCACGGAAGGCCACTTGGAGGAGGTGACCTGTAAGCTTCATCGTGAAACACATGAAGGTGCTTGCCAGGCAGAAAAAGCAGGGAAGGGTATTCCAGACAGAGGGAACAGCATGTGTGAAGGCCCAAAGGTGGCAACACACATTCAGGTTGAGGTACGGACAGGTGCTTCAGTGAGGTCAGGGCATGGTGTACAATCAGGGGTGGATGGTGAAGATGAGGCCAGAGAAAGCACAGGCTGAGTGACACAGGGCACCGAGTGCCAGGCTGAGGGGCTGGGACTTCATCTTGGGGGTACTGGGGAAGCAGGGGAGGGTGTGAGCAGGGGAGGGAGGGGGTTAGCTCTCAGTATGGAAGGATCCCCTGGGGCGGTGTCAACTGGAGGGGTAAGTCTGGGGGCCAGGAGGCTGGGGTGAGGGTCCAGGGGAGAGAAGCTGAGGCCTGGCCAGGGGCAGGAGGGACAAGGCTGGGGACTGATGGGCTGTGACGGGACAAGGGGAGGGTCGGGTGAGAATTATAACGATGACAGCCATTGAAGCCACTACCGACTCTGTGCCAAGCTCTGGGCTCTGCTCTGTATCTGTTAATTCATTTATTCCTCCCAATCCTAGACACTCATGTCACCTCCTTTTCACAGATGAAAAAAATCAAAGCACAGAGAGGCTAAGTGACTTGCCCAAGGCCACACAGCCAGGAAGCAATCAGCTGGGATTTGAACCCACACAACCCGACTCCCGAGCCCACGATGATCACCCGTGTGTTCCACTGCCTCACCCCTGAGTGAACCTCACTGACCATGAGAGATGGGGTAGGAAGAGGGCTCACACCTGCTGGATATCCTCACCCACCTGGGCAGGTAACTCGCCGGGCCTCTCTCTCCTGCCTCAGCTCTTCCCCTCGATCCACACGGGAGATCACGTCGGATTTGGACCCAGGCAGCCCTGCCCCTGGGGAAAGATACAAGAGTTGGCTGTGGGTGCCAGAATCACAGGGAGGTCTACAGGGAAGGTGCACGCACTGAGCGCCTAATGATTGGACGTACAAATGGCCAACGCCAAGACTTATTTGTTGTGTGCTTAGCACACTGCAGAGAGGCTGAGCCAACTTATTTGTTGAGTGCTTAGGACACTGCAGAGAGGCTGAGCTCTGACAAAGCTGTTTAAGGCTCCGCGTCTGTGCTGTTCGAGTTAACTGCACTGTGACAGTATAAGAAACATCGTCTTCTGTGTTTCGAAGACTTACTAAAGAAAAAAACAGTAAAATCTCTCAATCATTTGTTAATTGATTATTATTTCAGTGTGTCAAGATGATAAGATTTTAGATAGCTTGAGGTGAATAAAATGTATTATTAAAATTAATTTCATTTGTTTCTTCTTATTTTTTTTAACGTGACCGCCAAAAAATGTAAAATTACCTAAGTGGGTTGCATCTTATTTCTGATGGACAACTCTGTTTAGATTCATTGATGTCCAAAGCTTCCATCTCAAGACTTCTAAATACATAAGTTAAAACATTCACTTTTTTTTTTTGAGACAGGTTCTTGCTCTGTTGCCCAGGCCGAAGTGCAGTGGCACAATCATGGCTCACTGCAGCCTCGACCTCCTGGGCTCAAGTGATCCTCCCACCTCAGCCTCCTGAATAGCTGGGACTACAGGCATGCACCACCATACCTGGCTAATTTTCAAATTTTTTATAGAGATGGGGTCTCACTATGTTGCCCAGGCTGATCTCAAATTCCTGGGCTTAAGTGATCCACCCACCCTGAACATTTCCTTTTTTCTTTTTTAGATGGAGTTTCACTCTTGTTGCCCAGGCTGGAGTGCAATGGTGTGGTCTCGGCTCACTGCAACCTCCGTCTCCTGGGTTGAAGCAATTCTCCTGCCTCAGCCTCCCAAGTAGCTGGGATTACAGGTGCCTGCCACCATGCTTGGCTAATTTTTTGTATTTTTAGTAGAAACGGGTTTCACCATGTTGGCCAGGCTGGTCTCGAACTCCTGACCTCAGGTGATCTGCCCGCCTTGGCCTCCCAAAGTGCTGGGATTGCAGGCATGAGCCACTGCACCCAGTCCAGACATTTTCGTTTTGATGAAACTGTCTTGAATCACTGTAGACAAACATACCATCCCTGATTAAAACATGAAGTAATTACAATAGTTAGGGTGATACTAAAAAGTGAATGTCTATTAAGCGCAGATTACATGCCAGGCATGTTTCTAAGCTGGTTAAATGTAGTACCTCATTTTCACCCTTCAGGCAGGAAACCGAGGCACAGTCTAGTGTTGTGTGAGCAGGAATGGAAGAAACACGCAACACTGCAGGAAGTCACAGAGGGTGCAGAAATCAAAGGAAACTTCCTGGAGGAGGTGAGCCAAGAGGTGACTAGACTAGGGGTGAGGAGGAGATGAATTTTGGTTCAACAAACATGCCTGGCCAGGCACGGTGGCTCATGCCTGTAATCCCAGCACTTTAGGAGGCCAAGGCGGGTGGATCACGAGGCCAGGAGTTCAAGACCAGCCTGGCCAAAATGGTGAAACCCTGTCTCTACTAAAAATACAAAAATTACCCGGGCGTGGTGGTGGGCACCTGTAATCCCAGCTACTCAGGAAGCTGAGGCAGAGAATTGCTTGAACCTGGGAGGTGGAGGTTGCAATGAGCCGAGATCGCGCCACTGCACTCTGGCCTGGGTGACAGAGCAAGACTCTGTCTAAAAAACAAACAAACAAACAAACAAACAAAAAAACATGCCCAAAGGCCTCCCGGTCTCCCTGTGCCACTCCCTGGCACTGCTGGAGATACAGAAATGATCTGGACACTCCCCTGTGCTTGAGGGCGTCTCAGGCTGAAGGGGGAGGCAGACCTGGACACAGTTACAATCCAGGGTGACTCCGGGACTCCTTTCCTACAAGGATCCTGTCCTCCCTCTGTCTTAGGTGCCCAGGCCTATGGTCACAGCCTTCATCTCTGATAATGACACAAATCTCCACATCTTGGTGTCAGACACCCCCTCCCACCTCCCAGCCTCCCGGGGACTTTCTCCACTATACTTTATCTTATTATTTTAATTTTATTTTTTGAGACAGGATCTTGCTCTGTTGCCCAGGCTGGAGTGAAGTTGCACAATCACAACCCACTGCAGACTTGATCTCCCTGGGCTCAAGCCATCTTCCCACCTCAGCCTCCCGAGTGGCTGGGACTACAGGTGCATGCCACCACATCCCGCTAATTTTTACGTTTTTTGTAGAGACAAGGTCTTGCTATGTTGCCCAGGCTGGTCTCGAACTCCTGACCTCAAGCAATCCTCCCACCTCAGCCTCCCCATGTGCTGGGATTACAGGCATGAACCACCGTGCCTGACCTTTCTCCAGTTCTTGACTCCAGCTATCCTTCCATGGACAAGGAGGGTGCCCTAGAGCCTGGCTTGGTGGCTGGGTGAACCATGAGGTCTGCCTCTAACTGCCACAGTCAGGGGACAGAGGAGCAGGGACCCAGGACAGCTAATCTTCTGATACTGCAGCCCCCTCACCATGTATTGCCTCCCATGATTTCACCTTCCACTCTCCAGCCTGGCATTTACCACCCATCCCTGTAACCACTCCCCTGCCTGCACCCCTACCTGCCCTGTCCCTCTTGGCCTGCACTGAGCTCACCAGGTAACAGCCCTGCTGTGGTTAGAGCCAAACAGCCTCTGACCTGGGTGCTGGTGCCCAAGAAGGCATTGCCACTAAGGTCTTTTTTTTTTTTTTTTTTGGAGACAGTCTCTCTCTGTTCCCATGCTGGAGTGCAGTGGCACGATCTCAGCTCACTGCAACCTCCGCCTCCCTAGACAAGATCGTGCCACTGCACTCCAGCCTGGGCAACAGAGCAAGACTCTATCTCCAAAAAAAAAAAGAAGAAGAAGAAGAGGATACACAGACACGGAGGGAAGAGGCCACATGGCACAGACGCAGAGAAAGAAGGGAGGCGGGTACCAGCCAAGAAATGCCAGGAGGCACCAGGTGTTGGAAGAGGTGAGGAAGGACCCTCCCCTGGAGCCTTTGGAGGCAGCGTGGCCGAGCTGTCACCTTGGTTTTAGACTCTGGTCCAGAATCATGAGAGAACTGATGGCTGTTGTCATAAGCCACCACGTTTGTGGTTGTGCATTGTGGCAGCAGCAGGATACACTCCCCCATGCCCCTACTGCTCGTGCCCGTGAGCAGACGCATGTGCTGTCACAGATGCCATCTTAAAGACAACCTTCTGGCCAGGTGCCGTGGCTCACACCTGTAAGCCCAGCGCTTTTCAAGGCCGAAGCCAGCGGATCACTTGAGATCAGGAGTTCGAGACCAGCCTGACCAACACGGTGAAACCCTGTCTCTACTAAAAATTACAAAAATTACCCAGGCGTGGTGGCATGCGCCTGTAATCCCAGCTACTCGGGAGGCTGAGGCAGGAGAGTCACTTGAACCCGGGAAGTGGAGGCTGCAGTGAGCTGAGATCGCACCACTGCACTCCAGCCTGGGCAACAGTGAGACTGTCTCAAAAAAAAAAAAAAAAAAAAAAAGGAAAAAAAGACAAGGCCAGGCGCAGTGGCTCATGCCTGTAATCCCAGCACTTTGGGAGGCCAAGGTGGGCAGATCTCTGAGATTAGGAGTTCGAGACCAGCCTGACCAACATGGAGAAACCCTGTCTCTACTAAAAATACAAAATTAGTCGGATGTGGTGGTGCATGCCTGTAATCCCAGCTACTCGGGAGGCTGAGGCAGGAGAATCGCTTGAACCCAGGAGGCGGAGGTTGTGGTGAGCCGAGATCGCGCCATTGCATTCCAGCCTGGGCAACAAGAGCAAAACTTCATCTCAAAAAAAAAAAAAAAAAAAAAAGACAACCTTCCTGTGATCACCACAGAGTGAGGCAGTGGGGGAACAGAAAGTGGTGACACTGGGGAGAGTGTCAGGGCCAGGACACATACGGGTATGAAAGAGATGGTAAAGACAGTGCCCTGGGCTGGGTGTGGTGGCTCATACCTGGAATGCCAGCACTTTGGGAGGCTGAGGTGGGCAGATCACTTGAGGTCAGGAGTTCGAGACCTGCCTGGCCAACATGGTGAAACCCCATCTCTACTAAAAATACAAAAATTAGCTGGGTGTGGTGGTGCATGCCTGTAATCCCAGCTACTCAGAAGGCTGAGGCAGGAGAATCGCTTGAACCTGGGAGGCGGAGGTTGCAGTGAGCAGAGCTCGTGCTACTATACTCCAGCCTGGGAGACAGAGCGAGACTCCGTCTCAAAAACAAAAAAACAAAAAAAGTCAGTGCCCTGGACTGGCCTGGCCTGGTCTCTGGGTGGGCAGGGGTCTGTCTCTGAGATGGGAGACCTGAAGGAGGAATGAGTTTGGGGGTGACATGACCCGCTCAGGGGAGACAGGGAGTGTGGGGTCCTGAGCCTTCCCCATGGTGGTATTGTGGAGGCCACAAGCTATACAAGGTTGAAACTCATGGGACACATTGAAGGGACACCATTGTGGATGTGTGGAAAAGGGTGAACACAGCCGGCCTGAGATGCTCCCTTTGGAAAGTCCTGATGGCCAGGTAGACCCTAGGCTGAGGTCCAGCAACCTGGACTTTAGGAGGGTTCCCAGAATTTCCTAACTGATGTGGGGCTCACTAGAGCCTCAGTTGCTTGTGGTTTTAATTTTAATTTTAATTTTTTTTAGAGATAGGGGTCTCACTATGTTGCCCAGGCTGGACTCGTAATCCTGGGCTCAAGTGATCCTCCTCTCTTGGCCTCCGAAAGTGCTGGGATTACAGGCGTGAGCCACTGTGCCCAGCCCTAAACTGTTTGTGCAAACACCATGGTTTATGCTGAACACCTGCTTTTTTCCCAGGAGTCTAAAATTTGGGTACATTTTAGTAGAGGGGGCTGTGTGAGCAACCCCCAGGAAAAACCCTGAGCACAGCCGGGCACGATGGCTCACGCTTGTAATCCCAGCTCGTAGGGAGACAGAGGCTGGAGGATAGCTTGAGCCCAGGAGTTCAAGACTTGCCTGGGCAATATAGAGAGATCCTGTTAAAAAAAAAAAATGCTGAGCCCTGAGTCTCTGGTGAGCTTCTCTGGTGATAACATTTCCCATGTGTTGTCACCTCTTGCTGCTGGGAGAATTAAACCATCCTATGTGGCTCCACTGGGAGAAGGTTCTGGAAGCTTGGCCTGGTTTCTCCTGGATGGCGCCCCGGGTGCCCTTCCCCTTTGCCAGCTGTGCTGTCTCCTTTCTCTGTAATAAACCATCACTGAGCGTTTAACTAAGGGCTGAGTCCCTGGCACCCGCTAACAAATCAGTCACCTGTGGTGGTCTTGGGGACCGACCCTGATGGAGAAGTTTGGGCCACGTTTTTAATGAGACCACATTTTTTTTTTTTTGAGACAGAGTCACTCTGTTGCCCAGGCTGGAGTGCAATGGCGAGATCTCAGCTCACTGCAACCTCCGCCTCCCAAGTTCAAGTGATTCTCCCACCTCAGCCTCCTGAGTAGCTGGGATTACAGGTGCCCACCACCATGCCCAGCTAATGTTTGTATTTTTAGTAGAGATGGGGTTTCACTGTGTTGTCCAGGCTAGTCTCAAACTCCTGACCTCAAATGATCTGGCCGCCTCGGCCTCTCAAAGTGCTGGGATTACAGATGTGAGCTACTGCGTCCAGCCTAAGCCACATTTTTGATGAGTTTGTCCAGAGAAAGTGCGTGAGTGAGGAGGGCTGAGGATGGAGACGTCACATCACCACAGCTACTTACAGGGGAACATAAAGACGGAGAACGACAGGTCCAGGAAGGTGGGAAGTGAAACCAGCAAGGGGGCTGTGCTGAGGTGCAGGGGCAAGACGAGGCCTGGGCAGGGCTGGGGCCGTGGGGATGGTAAGGAGGGTGTAGGAGGGCAGGGCTGTGGCCTGAGGGGTCCTGTGGACAAGGGGAAGTAGGGGATGTTGTGAGCAGAATTGCTGGCATCCCCCTAAAATGCATAAGTTGAAACCTAGTCCCCAGGTGATGGTGTTAGGAGCTGAGGCCTTTTGGAAGCGATTAGGTCATGGGGGTAGAGCTCTCGTGGCAGGGGTTAGTGCCCTTACAAAAGACACCCCAGAGAGCTCTCTTGCTCCTCCACTCTGTAAGGCTATAGAGAGCAGCCTCTGTCGGCCGGATGTGGTGGCTCATGCCCGTAAATCCCAGCCCTTTGGGAGGCCAAAGTGGGTGGATCACTGAGGTCAGGAGTTCAAGACCAGCCTGGCCAACATGGTGAAACCCCCTCTCTACTAAAAATACCAAAAAAATTAGCTGGGTGTGGTGGCGGGCACCAGTAATCCCAGCTATTTGGGGAGGCTGAGGCAGGAGAATCACTTGAACCCGGGAGGTGGAAGTTGCAGTGAGCCAAGATTGCGCCACTGCACTCCAGCCTGGGTGACAGAGTAAGACTCTGACTCAATTAAAAAAAAGAAAGAAAAAAAAAAAGAGAGAAGGCGCCGTCTATGAACCAGGAAGCGCCCTCACCAGACACCAAGTCTGCTGTCGCCTTCATCTTCGACTTCCCAGCCTCCAAAACTCTGACATAAATTTCTTTCTTTCTTTCTTTCTTTTTTTTTTTTGAAACGGAGTCTCACTCTGTCACCCAGGCTGGAGTGCAGTGGCGCGATCTCGGCTCACTGCAAGCTCCGCCTCCCGGGTTCACACCATTCTTCTGCCTCAGCTCCCGAGTAGCTGGGACTACAGGCACCCACCACAATGCCCGGCTAATTTTTTTTATTTTTAGTAGAGATGGGGTTTCACCGTGTTAGCCAGGATGGTCTCGATCTCCTGACCTCGTGATCTGCCCGCCTTGGCCTCCCAAAGTGCTGGGATTACAGGCATGAGCCACCGTGCCCGGCCAACTCTGACATACATTTCTGCTGTTAGAAGCTACCCAGTTTACAGCATTTTGTTAGAGCAGCTCAAACTAAGCAAGTCAGGGCCGAGGATGGTGCCCGGGGGTCTGGTCTGGAGACCTGGGGGGATGTGGGGCCAACCAGAGGTGGGGACCTGGAGGAAGAGAAGCAGGACGGTGGGTGAACTGAGCTCGGCGTGGGGTGGATGTGAGGGGTGGGAGGTGGGGAGGGCTATGCCTGGAGGCAGGAAGGTGGGCAAGTGCAGGATCTCGGAGACACACTAGGGGACAGCGTTTATATGCTCTGGGGAGAAGATGCCGAGGTCAGATTGGGACCTGTTGATTGGGAACATGTCCGGGAGGCGCTTGGAGCCTGAGATTCTGGACTGGGCGTTCCAGTGTGGAGCCTGAAGTCCGGGGACAGGGAGGTCACCATGTGTGGAAGGGAAAGCGTTAGAAGAAGCTGGATGACCAGGCACGGTGGCTGACGCCTATAATCCCAGCACTTTGGGAGTCCAAGGTGGGCACATCACCTGAGGTCAGGAGTTCCAGACCAGCCTGGCCAACACAGTGAACCCGTCTCTACTAAAAATACAAAAATTAGCCAGCATGGTGGTGTGTGCCTGTAATTCCAGCAACTCGGGAGGCTGAGACAGAGGAATTGCTTGAACCCAGGAGGTGGAGATTGCAGTCAGCTGAGATCACGCCACTGCCCTCCAGCCTGGTGACAGAGTGAGACTCCATCTCAAAAAAAAAAAAAAAAAAAAAAAAAGAAGAAGAAGAAGAAGCTGGGGACACAGGCTGAAGAGTTTGCGGGACTCACATTTTACAGGACAGGCCAAGGGACTTGGGCCCTCCTGGCTGCTGGGACTCCAGGCAGAAAGAGAGGAAGGGAGAGGCCCCCAGAAAGAGAGGAAGGGAGAGGCCAGGCGTGAGGGACCAGTGAGAGGAGCACAGAGGCCCCCAGATGGCAGGGGATGGACATGAATGAGAAGAGGGTGCCAGGAGGCATCAGAGAGAGGGCTGGGGGCATCAGAGAGGGTGCCGGGGGCATCAGGCCTCCCCCGGGGGAGGGCAGAGGGAGGGGCCTCACCCAGGGAGAGAAGGTTCCAGTAGTTCTCCAGCATCACGTCTCCAGCAAACTTTCACCACATCACCAGATTTAGTCTGGCCCTGCTGTGGGCTTTTTTCCAGTGATCATGAGGGACCCAACAGCTGGGCACAGAACTCAGATTTGAGATTGGAAAAGACGGGGACTCTACTAAGGTGGATAGGATGGAGGCTACTCCCTCCTCCTGTCATTCACTCATTTATCCATTCATTAATTCATCCCACCAACCTTCCCAGGAGTTTCTGGTGAGCCACTGCCCATGTTGGGCAACGCTGGCGGCACAGAGTCTAGGCCGAGTCCTGACACTGCCCATGAATTTCAGCCCCTCATGCTCCCTGTGGCCCCAGAAGATCCTTCTACACCCAGAGCTTCCCCTCCCCTTCCTTGCTCACAGCCCTCCCGTGGCTCCCCAGTGGCCCCAGGACAGAGTCTCAGCCCCTCTGATACCATGCAGGACTTGCCCCACTCATCCCTACAGCCTCATCTCTCCTCGCATTTGCAGAGACTCCTCTTTTTTGTGCCTCCATTTCCCCATCTGTAGAATGGAATTGTAATACCATCTGTCCGTCACTTCAGGGCCAAGTGAGAAAGCGCATCCTAAATAATGAAACAGGATTGACGTCTTCTCCTGTTGATGATTAGCATCTGTTTCAACTCTCTGTCTCTCACTCCCGAACCTTCTGCACTTTCTCCTTTAGGAAAAGACTGTGACCAGCTTCACAAAAGGCAGCAAAGGACTATCAGAGAAAGAGAACTCCGAGTGAGGGGTAAGCAGCCTGGCCACAGGGAAGGGGCTGGGGGTGGAGATGCCTGCATCTGAGGGAGGAGGGGCTGGGGGCCTGGACTCCTGGGTCTGAGGGAGGAGGGGCTGGGCCTGGGACTCCTGGGTCTCTGGGTGGTGATGGAGCTACAGGAGGTCGTGGTGCAGTTCTCTGCCATTGCTGACCCCTCCTTTCCTGCTCCATCGTGCAGGTCTGGCCTAGGCCCGGGATCGGACCAGGCTCCCTCAGGACCCCATCCTTTCCTGCCCGGACCGTGAATTCATCTCCTTGAAGCCATAACGTCCGAGCTGCTGGTGCGGGGCAGCCCTGGCCCTAGGCTTCCTACCCCTGGAAGCGAGAGGATGAGAGGAGGCCGGCCCAGCTCCTTCTTTCAGGGTGGGGGGCATTCAGCCTCCACTGTGTCTGTCTTTTCTTCCCTGGGGCTCCCCCTCGAGGCGAGGGGCCATGCATGTCTGGGGGACCCCTGCCCCCCAAAACCCTCTGTCTGTCTCTGTCTCTTTGCTGTTTGTCCAAGACTCAGTGTCCCGACCCTTGTTCTCGCCGTGAATGTCAATGGGCCAATCCTCTCTGTCCTTTCAGACACACACACACCTGTGTCCACCCCTTCTGTTCGCCACACCCTGCGTCTGGCCGGTCCCCCCACTGCTGCTGCTATCAACGCCAGAATAAACACACTCCGTGGGTCTCACTCCAACTGGGCCTCCTGTCCTCTCTGAGACTGGGAAACCGGATTGGAACATGCTGGCTCTGCAAGCAGACAAATTTGTGTTTCTTTCAATGACTGGGCAACTTAATGATCTCTCTGAGCCTCAGTTTATAAAAATGGTGTTAGTCAGGATCATTGTGAGTACAGAACACAAAATTCAACCCAAAGCCATAAACAGAATTGAAAGACCTCTGTCCATGGAAAGCCTATGAACACATTGAACACAGAGGGACTTCAGGCATGGTTAGATCCAGCTGTTCAAGGGACTCTCACTTCTGCTTTCCTCTTTTTTTTTTTTTTTAATGGAGTTTCACTCTTGTTGCCCAGGCTGGAGTGCAGTGGTGTGATCTCAGCTCACTGCAACCTCCCGGTTTCAAGCGATTCTCCTGCCTCAGCCTCCTGAGTAGCTGGGATTACAGCCGCTCGCCACCACACCTGGCTAACTTTTTGTATTAGTAGAGACGGGGTTTCACCATGTTGGCAGGCTGGTCTCGAGCTCCTGACCTCCTGTGATCTGCCCGCCTTGGCCTCCCAAAGCGCTGGGTTTACAGGCATGAGCCACCGCGCCTAGCTATTGGCTTCTCTCTCAGGTAGGTGTTTGCAGTGGCAATGAGATGGTCACTTGGAGCTCCAGGTGTATAATGCTGTATCTGTTATGATACCTTCGGCTGAAAAAAAAAAAAAACCTTCCCAACTGAAAGAGAAAGATTTTTTTGCATGTTTGCATATCAAATTTTTCAAAGACAGTCCCAGGGTTGGTTCAGCTGCTCAACAACATTAGGCTCTGGTTGGCATCTCTGAGACTGGTGTTCGTTCCCCTCCTGAGTACAAACTGTCTATAGCAGCATCATGTTCTCACACACTGGCATCTAAATCAGGCAGTGTAGACCGGGGCCTCCCCTTCTGTGTTCCCCTTTTTTCCTCCTCAGAATAATTCTCCTTATTTCTCTCTTGCCAGAACCCGGCTGTGTGGCTACCCCGAGTTGCAAAGCGGTCTGGGTAGTGAACATCTGTCATTTCCAGTTCCCATGGTGGGGTGCAGCTTTGCCTAGAGGAAGCACGGGGAGGGGAACTATTGTTGGGTAGGAAATTAACAGGATCTGCTGCCATTGCAAGAAATTAACAGGACTTGTAATTGCCTTCAGAGCAGATAACTTCAGAGGAAACAATGTGAGAATCAGCTGGCTCCCAGCTGCTGCGTCATTCAGGAACAGGATTCTGATTGGTCCAGCGCAGACCTTGGAGACACCCCGGGCCAATCATTGGGTCCAGTTTGGAGCCTACTCTTGGGCCCGCCTCCTGCCTTTGCTGACTCCTCCTCCTCCTCCCCTGCCCATCTTGCCCAGGATTGGTCCAAAGCCCCTCTGGACCTCATCCCTTTTTGCTGGAAGGATGAATTCATCTCCTGGAAGCCATATATGTAGGGGTCCCTTGACTGACAGTTCCAAATGAATCACACGGCAATGGGCAAGGGACAGTCCCTCAAAGCAGTAGGTGTCCACTACATTCTACCCTCAGCTACTTCACACTAATTCACATCTACATTCCGGGACACAACATTTCAAAAACTCCCACTGCAAAAATTGGTCCAATCACTGTGTCAGTTTGCTAGGACTGATGTAACAGGTTACAATAACCTAGCTGAAAACAACAGAAATTTATTCTCTCACAGCTCTGGAGGCCAGAAGTCTGAAGTCAATGTGGTAGTAACCACCAGGCACAGTGGCTCATGCCTGTAAATCCCAGCACTTTGGGAGGCTGAGGCAGGAGGATTGCTCAAGCCCAGGAGTTTGAGACCAGGTAATATGGTGAGATTCTCTTAAAAAAAAAAAAAAAAAATTGGCCGGGCATGGTGATGTTCACTTGTAGTTCCAGCTACTTTGGAGGTCGAGGTGGGAGTATTGCTCGAGCTCAGGAGTTCGAGACCAGCCTGGGCAGCATAGCAAGACCCTGTCTCTACAACTAATAGTAGTAATAATAATAATAGTAAAATTATCCAGGCATGATGGTGCTCACCTGTAGTCCCAGCTACTCTGGTGGCTGAGGCAGGAGGATCACTTGAGCCCAGGAGTTTGAGGCTGCAGTGAGCTGTGATGGCACTGCTGCCCTGCATCTCAAAAACATGATGCCGTGTGATACAGCCAGATACAAGGGTATATGCTGTAGGATTCCACTTTTGTGAAATTGTAGAAAGAAAACACTAATATGGGCGGGGCATGGTGGCTCACGCCTGTAATCCTAGCACTTTGGGAGGCTGAGGCAGGCGGATTACTTGAGATCAGGAGTTCAAAAGCAGCCTGGCACCTGTAATCCCAGCTACCTGGGAGGCTGAGTAGGAGAATCGGGAGGCGGAGGTTGCAGTGGGCCGATCATGCCACTGCACTCCAGCCTGGGCAACAGAGTGAGACTCCAACTCAAAAAAGAAAGAGAGAAAGAAAGAAAGAGAGAGAGAGAGAGAGAAGGAAGGAAGGAGAGAGAGACACAAAGAAAGAAAGAAAGAAAGAAAGAAAGAAAGAAAGAAAGAAAGAAAGAAAGAAAGAAAGAAAGGGGCCAGAGGCCAGGCACGGTGGCTCACCCTGTAATCCCAGCACTTTGGGAGGCCGAGGCAGGTGGATCACGAGGTCAGGAGTTCAAGACCAGCCTGGCCAACATGGTAAAACCCCATCTCTACTAAAAATACAAAAATTAACCGGGTGTGGTAGCGAGTGCCTGTAATCCCAGCTACTTGGAAGGCTGAGGCAGGAGAATGGCTTGAACCTGGGAGGCGGAGGTTGTAGTGAGCTGAGATCACACCACTGAACTCCAGCCTGGGTGACAGAGTAAAAGAAAAGAAAAGAAGAGAAGAGAAGAAAAGAGAAAAGAAAAGGCTAATACGCAGGGGCAGAAAATGGATTAGTGGTTGACTGGGGGCAGTGGCAGTGGTTATGGAGAGACTGATTACTAGTGGACACAGGAAAACTTTCCGGATGATGGAAGTGATCACACAACCGAATACATTTGTCAAAATTCATTGCGTTTAAAATTGGTTCATTTAAATTCTTGTACATTGTTGCAAAATACACATAACACAAACTTTACCATCTTAGCCAATTTTTTTTTTTTTTGAGACGGAGTCTCGCTGCAATGCCCAGGCTGGAGTGCAATGGCATGGTCTTGGCTCACTGCAACCTCTGCTTCCCCGGTTCAAGCGATTCTCCTGCCTCAGCTTCCAGAGTAGCTGAGATTACAGGCATGAGCCACTTTCCCAGGACTTAGCCAATTTTAAGTGTACAGTTGCATTGTTGTGCAATCATCACCCCTACTCATCTCCACTCTTTCCTCTTGTAGAATTGAAACTGTTCCCATCAAGCAACTCCCACTGCCTTCCCTTCCCAGCCCCTGGGAAGCACGTTCTACTCTCTGGGAAATTCCCTATGAATTTGACTACTCTAGGTACCTCATGTAAGTGGAATCATACAGCATCTGTCTTTTTGTGATGGGATTGTTTCACTTAGCATGAATGTCCTCAGGCTTCACCCATGTTGTAGCATGTGTTAGCATTTCCTTCCTTTTTAAGGTTAAATAATTTTCCATTATGGGCCTGGTGCAGTGGCTCACACCTGTAATCCCAGCACTTTGGGAGGAAGAGGCAGGCGGATCACGAGGTCAGGAAATCGAGACCATCCTGGTCAACATGGTGAAACCCCATCTCTACTAAACTACAAAAAATTAGCCGGGCGTGGTGGCAGGCGCCTGTAGTCCCAGCTACTTGGGAGGCTGAGGCAGGGGAATCACTTAAACCTGGGAGGCGGAGGTTGCAGTGAGCCAAGATCGCACCACTGCACTCTAGCCTGGGCGACAGAGCGAGACTCCATCTCAAAAAAAAAATCCATTATGTGTATATACCACATTTTGTCGAACCATTTATTTGTTGATGAACAGCTGGGTTGCCTCCTTTACCTTTTGGGTATTGTAAATAATGCTGCTATGAAAGTGGGTTGCAAATATCTTTTTGAAATATTGATCCATTTTCTTGTACACAAATTATATTTTGATAAAGTTGGCTAAAACTAATACTCCCACCTAACATAACTATCTCTAGTGCAACTGCAGAAGCTTTCACCCCTTCTGCAAAGGGAGGGATCCCAAAGCCACATCCAATCCTCAGACCAAGATTTCTGGATATTGGCTATTCCTTTCATCAAGGGCACATGGAGTCTCTCTTGATCCTGAAAATTAATGTTAAGGCTGGGCACGGTAGCTCACACCTGTAATCCCAGCACTTTGGGAGGCCAAGGCAAGTGGATCACCTGAGGTCAGGAGTTCAAGACCAGCCTGGCCAGCATGGTGAAACCCTGTCTCTACTAAAAGTACAAAAATTAGCCCGGCATGGTGGCACACACCTATAATCCCAGCTACTCGGGAGGCCGAGGCAGAAGAATCACTTGAACCTGGGAGGCGGAGGTTGCAGTCAGTGGAGATTGTGCCACTGCACTCCAGCCTGGTGACAGAGCAAGACTCCATCTAAAAAAAAAATTAATGTTAAATGAAATTGTAGCCCCCTCAGCAACCCACCCCTGTGTATAACAGTGGAGGAAAAACAAGAAAACAATCACAATTCTCACTTGAAAGGGGAGGGAAGAGAAACAAAATAGTATATGCCATTTGCTAGACTTGCCAAGACTCCTGCACTTTCAAGAGACAAAAAACCGGCCTTTTAAAAAATTATTGCCAAGCTCGGTGGCTCATGCCTGTAATTCCAGCACTTTGAGAGGCTAAGATTGGAGGATCACTAGAGCCCAGGAGTTCGAGACCCAGCCTTGGCAACATAGCAAGACTCCATCTCTTTAAAAAAAAAAAAAAAAAAATATATATATATATATATATATATATAGCCAAGTGCCATGGTGTGCACCTGTAGTCCCAGCTACTCAAGAGGCTAAGGTGGGAGGATCGCTTGAGCCCAGGAGGTCAAGGCTGCAGTGAGCCATGGTTGAGCCACTGCAGTCCAGTCTGGACGACAGAGACCCAGTTTCAAAAAAAAAATTATTGAAGTACAACATACTCACAAAGAAACTCACAAATACCCAGTAAGTATGGATCAGATGACAGACTGAGCACACCATGTAACCATGGGTAACCAGCCCTGGGTCAGGAACTAGAACATTACCAGCTCTCCAAACCCCTCATGCTCCTTGTCAGTCACTTTTTTGTGTTTTTTTTTTTTTTTTGAGACAGAGTCTCGCCTGGAGTGCAGTGGCGCTATCTCGGCTCACTGCAAGCTCCGCCTCCTGGGTTCACGCCATTCTCCTGCCTCGGCCTCCCGAGTAGCCGGGACTACAGGCGCCTGCCACTATGCCTGGCTAATTTTTTTGTATTTTTAGTAGAGACGGGGTTTCACCGTGTTAGCCAGGATGGTCTCGATCTCCTGACCTCATGATCTGCCCACCTCGGCCTCCCAAAGTGCTGGGATTACAGGCGTGAGCCACCGCGCCCGGCCCCTTGTCAGTCACTTCTTCACCTCAAAGGTAACTACTACCCTGATTTCTGACACCATAAGTCAGTTTGCCTTGTTTTTGATCTTAATCTGCTTGGAATCCTACAAGCATAGAGACTTGTGTGTTGGAATTCTTTTTTTTTTTTTTTTTTTTTTTTGAGACGGAGAGTCGCTCTGTCACCAGGCTGGAGTGCAGTGGCATGATCTCAGCTCACTGCAACCTTCGCCTCCCAGGTTCAAACGATTCTCCTGCCTCAGCCTCCTGAGTAGCTGGGATTACAGGTGCGCACTACCACACCCAGCTAATTTTTTGTATTTTTAGTAGAGACAGGGTTTCACCATGTTGGCCAGGATGGTTTCTATTTCTTGACCTCGTGATCTGCCCATCTCGGCCTCCCAAAGTGTTGGAATTACAGGCGTGAGCCATTGCACCTGGCCTGAATTGTTTTATTCATCATACGTCTATGAGATTTGTCCATGTAGTTGCTGATTGTTGGAGGTTGTTCATTATCATTGCTGTATAAGAGTGTGTTATGAGCCAGGCACGGTGGCTCATGCCTATAATCCTAGCACTTTAGGAGGGTGAGGCAAGCAGATATCTTGAGCACAGGAGTTCAAGACCAGCCTGAGCAACATAGCAAGACCCCGTCTCTACAAAAAAAATACAAAAATTAGTGGGGTGTGGTGGTGCGTGCCTATCATCTCAGCTACTTGGGAAGCTGAGGTGGGAGGATGGCTTGAGCTTGGGAGGCAGAAATTGCAGTGAGCTGAGATCACACCACTGCACTACAGCCTGGGTGACAGAGGACAATCTTGTCTCAAAAAAAAAAGTGTGTTATGGGAATACATAATAATCTATGTATCCATTCTACTGTTGATTGACATTTAGGTGCCTTCTGATTTGGCATGATCACTTACAGTACTGCTATATACATTGAATTTTGGTGAACATATGTAGGCATTTCTGTATTTCTGTTGGGTATATACCTAGAAGTGTAATTGCTGGGTCCCAGGGTGTATGCATGGTGTGGGCATGTTCCTCTTTTTTTTTTTTTTTTTGAGATGGGAGTGGCCAGGCTGGTCGTGACCTCAAGTGATCCGCCGCCTCCCAAAGTGTTGGAATTACAGGCATGAGTCACCATTCCCAGCTTCATGTTCATCCTTAATAGACACTGCCAACCAGGTTTTCAAACTAATTTTCTCCATTTATACACCCGCCAGCAGTCTCTGAGAATTTCAGCTGCTCGCCAACATTTGGTATTGTTAGTCCTTTCAATTTTAGCAATTCTGGTGGGGCTGTAGCCGTGTTTTATTATGGTTTTAATTTACCTTTAGCCCAATGCCTAAAGAAATTTAACACCGTTTTGGGCCAGGCGCAGTGGCTCATGCCTATAATCCCAGCACTTTGGGAGGCCGAGGCGGGTGGATCACGAGGTCAGGAGATCGAGACCACGGTGAAACCCCGTCTCTACTAAAAATACAAAAAATTAGCTGGGCGCAGTGGCGGGTGCCTGTAGTCCCAGCTACTCAGGAGGCTGAGGCAGGAGAATGGCGTGAACCCAGAAGGCGGAGCTTGCAGTGAGCCAAGATCACGCCACTGCACTCCAGCCTGGGAGACAGAGCGAGACTCCGTCTCAAAAAAAAAATAAGAAAGAAATTTAACACTGTTTCAAATATTTATTGGGCATATGAACATGCTACTTTGTGAAATGTCAATTCACGCCATTCGTCCATTTTTCGACTGGTTTTTCTGCCTTTTTTAAAAAACAGGTTAGTAGGAGTTATTTCTTTATTTTTCTTATGAGTCTTTTGTTAGAATACATATTCTTCTCCCACTCTCTGGCTTGTCTTTTCATTCTCTTAATGGTATTTTTTGATGAGGATCAGTTTCTATTTTAATATAGTCCAATTTATCAACATTTTCCTTTATAGTTAAGGCTCCTTTGTTTCTGGTTTAAGAAATATTTTCTGGCCAGGCACACTGGCTCATGCCTGTAATCTCAGCACTTTGGGAGGCTGAGGAGGGAGGATCATATGAGCCTAGGAGTTCGAGACCAGCCTGGGCAACATAGCGAGACCCTATCTCTATTAACACAAACAAGTAAATAAAAGAAATATTTTCTTACCCTGAAGGTTCTGAAGATACTCTATGATATTTTCTTCTAGAAGTTTTATTGTTTAAGCTTTAACATTTAGATCTACAACACATCTGGAATCAATTTTTGTGTATGGTGTGAGGTAGAGGTCATATGGTTATCAACTGGCTCAGCCCTATTTATCCAAAAAGATCATCTTTTGCTTCTCACTGCACTGAAATGTTGCTTTTGTCATAAACCAAGTTACCGTATATGTGTGAACTTTTCCTGATTTTTCCGTCTTGTTCTTTTGGTCTATTTGTTTTTCCTTGCAAGAGTATGCTGCTTTAATTATTATTATAATAAGCCTTGCTCTCTGGAAAGTACTCTGGCTTTTTTTGTTTTTGACAAAGGGAATTTGTTGACTTATAGAACCGAGCTATATAACTAGCTTCAGGCATAACTGGATCCAGGCACTAAAATGAATCTTTAGCAATACCGCTCATTTCCCATCTGGGCTTTACTTTTCTGTATCTTGACTTCCCTCTCAGGCAGAATCTCTTCCCTCACGGTGACAAACAGGGCCCACAGCAGCTCGAAGCTTCCATACTATCATTTTAACAACCTAGCTTATCATTTTAACAACCTAGCAGAAAAGGGGTACTGCCTTCCTGAATGGTGATACCAAAGTCTCAAGGTTAGCTCTCATTGGCCCAACTTGGGTCACATGTCCATTTCTATAGTAACCATGTGTCTTAGTCCATGTTGTCTTGCTATAAAGGAAAACCTGACGCTGGGTAATTTTTATTTTATTTTATTATTTTTTTTTTGAGACAGGATCTTGCTCTGTCACCTAGGCTGGAGTGCAGTGGCGCAATCTTGGCTCACTACAATGTCCGCCTCCCAGGTACAAGTGATTCTCCTGCCTCCAGTGTAGCTGGTATGACAGGTGCCCGCCACCACACCTGGCTAATTTTTTGTATTTTTAGTAGAGACAGGGTTTCACCATGTTAGCCAGGCTGGTCTCGAACTCCTGACCTAAAGTGATCCACGAGGCTGGGTAATTTATAAAGAGAAAAAGGTGTATTTGGCTTATGATTCTGCTGGCTGGAAGATTGGGCATACAGAGAAAGTCTAGAGCTACTTCCACTCTTGGTGGAAGGAGAAAGAAAGCAGGGATCATGTGACAATAGAGGAAGCAAGAGAGGCAAGTGTCAGCCTCTCTTTAACAACCAACTCTAATGGGAACTAATGGAGGAAGAACTCACTCACCCACACTCCCAGGGAGGGCATTAATCTATTTGTGAGGGGTCCACCCCTGTGACCCAAACACCTCTCATTAGGACCCCATCTCCAACATTGGGGATCCAATTTCAAGAACGAAATTTAGAAGGCAGCCTGGCCAACACGGGGAAACCCCGTCTCTCCTAAAAATACAAAAATTAGCCGGGCGTGGCATGTGCCTATAATCCCAGCTACTCAGGAGGCGGAGGCAGAAGGGTCACTTGAACCCAGGAGGTGGAGGTTGCACTGAGCCAAGATTGTGCAACTGCACTCCAGCCTGGGTGACAAAGCAAAACTCTGTCTCAAAAAAAAAAAAAAAAAATTGGATGGGACATACATCCAAACTACTGCACATCATAACCAAGGTCATGAAGTACTCAGGTTGGCCAGGTCTGACTCTTGTTCTCACTCTGAGATCCCTGGCAAGATCCAGTCAAAAAATGTATATTTTGCATGGAGAGGAGTGATAGGAAAATCAGATGTTTAAGAGAATAAAAAGAGAAGCTATAGATTGTGAGAAAATCTTTTCAAAACACCTATCAGACAAAAAGCTGGTATCCAGGCCAGGTGTGGTGGCTCACATCTGTAATCCCAGCATTTTGAGAGGCTGAGGTGGGCGGATCACCTGAGGTCAGGAGTTTGAGAGCAGCCTGGCCAACGTGGCAAAACCCTGTCTCTACTAAAAATACAAAAATTAGCCTGGCATGGTGGTGGGTGCCTGTAATCCCAGCTACTCGGGAGGCTGAAGCAAGAGAATCACTTGAACCTGGGAGGCGGAGGTGGCAGTGAGCTAAGATTGCGCCATTGCACTCCAGCCTGGGCAACAGAGCAAGACCTTGTCTGAAAAAAAAGAAAAGAAAGAAAGAAAAAGAAAAAGAGAAAAGAAAGCTGGTATACAAAGAACTAAAACTTAACAATAAGAAAACAAACAACCCGCTCCCTCTCCATCTCCCTCTCCCTCTCCCTCTCCCTCTCCCATCTCCCCACGGTCTCCCTCTCCCTCTCTTTCCACAGTCTCCCTCTCCCTCTCTTTCCACGGTCTCCCTCTGATGCCGAGCCGAAGCTGGACTGTACTGCTGCCATCTCGGCTCACGCAACCTCCCTGCCTGATTCTCCTGCCTCAGCCTGCCAAGTGCCTGCCATTGCAGGCACACGCCGCCACGCCTGACTGGTTTTCGTATTTTTTTGGTGGAGACGGGATTTCGCTGTGTTGGCCAGGCCGGTCTCCAGCTCCTAACCGCGAGTGATCCGCCAGCCTCGGCCTCCCGAGGTGCCGGGATTGCAGACGGAGTCTGGTTCACTCAGTGCTCAATGGCGCCCAGGCTGGAGTGCAGTGGCGTGATCTCGGCTCGCTACAACCTCCATCTCCCAGCCGCCTGCCTTGGCTTCCCAAAGTGCCAAGATTGCAGCCTCTGCCCGGCCACCACCCCGTCGGGGAAGTGAGGAGCATCTCTGCCTGGCCGCCCATCGTCTGGGACGTGAGGAGCCCCTCTGCCTGGCTGCCCAGTCTGGAAAGTGAGGAGCGCCTCTTCCCGGCTGCCATCCCATCTAGGAAGTGAGGAGCACCTCTTCCCGGCCGCCATCCCATCTAGGAAGTGAGGAGCGTCTCTGCCTGGCCGCCCACCGTCTGAGATGTGGGGAGCGCCTCTGCCCCGCCGCCCCGTCTGGTATGTGAGGAGCGCCTCTACCCGGCCGCGACCCCGTCTGGGAGGTGAGGAGCGTCTCTGCCCGGCCGCCCCGTCTGAGAAGTGAGGAGACCCTCCGCCTGGCAACCGCCCCGTCTGAGAAGTGAGGAGCCCCTCCGCCCGGTAGCCACCCCGTCTGGGAAGTGAGGAGAGTCTCCGCCCGGCAGCCACCCCATCCGGGAGGGAGGTGGGGGTCAGCCCCCGCCAGGCCAGCAGCCCCGTCCGGGAGGGAGGTGGGGGGGTCAGCCCCCCTCCCGGCCAGCCGCCCCGTCTGGGAGGTGAGGGGCACCTCTGCCCGACCGCCCTTACTGGGAAGTGAGGAGCCCCTCTGCCCGGCCGCCCCTACTGGGAAGTGAGGAGCCCCTCTGCCCGGCCACCACCCCGTCTGGGAGTTGTACCCAACAGCTCATTGAGAACAGGCCATGATGACAATGGCGGTTTTGTGGAATAGAAAGGGGGGAAAAGTGGGGAAAAGATTGAGAAATCGGATGGTTGCCGTGTCTGTGTAGAAAGAAGTAGACATGGGAGACTTTTCATTTTGTTCTGTACTAAGAAAAATTCTTCTGCCTTGGGATCCTGTTGATCTGTGACCTTACCCCCAACCCTGTGCTCCCTGAAACATGTGCTGTGTCCACTCAGGGTTAAATGGATTAAGGGCAGTGCAAGATGTGCTTTGTTAAACAGATGCTTGAAGGCAGCATGCTCGTTAAGAGTCATCACCACTCCCTAATCTCAAGTACCCAGGGACACAAACACTGCGGAAGGCCGCAGGGTCCTCTGCCTAAGAAAACCAGAGACCTTTGTGCACTTGTTTATCTGCTGACCTTCCCTCCACTATTGTCCTATGACCCTGCCAAATCCCCCTCTGCGAGAAACACCCAAGAATGATCAATTAAAAAAAAAAAGAAAAAAGAAAACAAACAACCCAATTTAAAAATAGGCAACAGATCTGAACAGACACTTCAACAAAGAAGATATGCAGATGGCAAATAAGTAAATAAAAAGGTGTGGTGGGGTGGCTCCTGCCTGTAATCCCAACACTTTGGGAGGCTGGGGCAGGAGGATCATTTGAGGCCAAGAGTTTCAGACCAACCTAGGCAACACATTGAGACGCCATCTCTATAAAAAATAAAAAGAAAAAGGTCAGATGTTGTGGCTCACACCTGCAATCCCAGCACTTTGGGAGGCCACAGCTGGTAATTCCCTTGAGCTCAGGAGGTCAAGACCAGCCCAGGCAACGTGGTGAAACCCCATCTCTACGAAAAATACAAAAAATTAGCCAGATGTGGTGGTGCACACCTGTGGTCTCAGCTACTTGGAAGGGTGAGGTCGGAGGATCACTTGAGTCTAGGAGGCAGAGGTTGCAGTCAGCAGAGATCGTGCCACTGCATTCCAGCCTGGATGACAGAGCGAGACCCTGTTTCTAAATAAATAAATAAATAAAATAATAAAAATAGAAATAAAAAAATAGCCAGGTGTGACAGCACACAACTGTAGTCCCAGCTACTGGGGAGGCCGAGAAGGAGGATCTAAGAGTTGGAGGCGGCAGTGAGCTATGATTGCACTGCTGTACTCCAGCCTGGGCAACAGAGACCCTGTTTCTTAAAATAAATAAATAAACAAACAAACAAATAAATAAAAGGTACTTGGGCCGGGCGTGGTGGCTCACACCTGTAATCCCAGCACTTTGGGAGGCCAAGGTGGGCAGATCACCTGAGGTCAGGCATTCGAGACCAGCCTGATCAACATGGAGAAACCCCATGTCTACTAAAAATACAAAATTAGCCAGGCGTGGTGGTGCATGCCTGTAATCCCAGCTACTTGGGAGGCTGAGACAGGAGAATCACTTGAACCTGGGAGGCAGATGTTGCAGTGAGCCGAGATCATGCCATTGCACTTCAGCCTCGGCGACAGAGCAAGACTCTGTCTCCAAAAAAAAAGGGGGCTCAACATCAAATGTCATTAGGAAATTGCAAATTAAAGCAATGATGACATACGACAACCACCTATTAGAATGGTGAAAATCCAAAACATGAATAACACCAAGTGCTGATGAGGATGAGGAACGTCAGGAACTCTTATTCATCTCTGGCAGTAATGCAAAATGGTGCAGCCACTTTAGAAGACAATTTGGCACTTCCTTACAAAACTAAACACTCTTACCATATATTGCAGCACTCATGTTCCTTGGTATTTACTCAAATGAGCTCAAAACTTATATCCCCACAAAAACCTGAAGACAAATATTCATAGCGGCTCTGTACATAATTGCCAAAACTTGGAAGCAACCAAGATGTCCTTCAGTAGATGAACAAACTGCAGTACATGCATACAATGGAATATTACTCAGTTATAATAAGCCATGAAAAGATATGGAGGAACCTAAAATGCATATTGTTAAGTGAAAGAAGCCAATACGAAATCGCTACATATGGTATGATTCCAACTATACCACATTCTGGAAAAGGAAACACTATAGAGACAGTTAAAAAAAATCATTGGTTTTTAGGGGTTTGGGAGGAGGGAAGGATGAATCAGCAGAGCCCAGAGGAGTTTTAGGACAGTGAAACTACTCTGCATAATACTATAATGGTGGACACATGTCATTATAAATTTGTTCAAACCCATAGACAATAAAACACTAAGAGAGAAACTGAATGTAAACTATGGACTTTCCTCTCAATTTTGCTGTGATTTTAAAACTGAAAAAAAAAAAAAAAAAAAAAAAAAAAGGCCTGGCGCGGTGGCTCATGCCTGTAATTCCAGCACTTTGGGAGGCCAAGGTGGGCAGATCATGAGGTCAGGAGATCGAGACCATCTTGGATAACACGGTGAAACCCCGTCTCTACTAAAAATACAAACAATTAGCCGGGCGTGATTGCGGGCACCTGTAGTCCCAGCTACTCAGGAGGCTGAGGCAGGAGAATGGTGTGAACCCAGGAGGTGGAGCTTGCGGTGAGCTGAGATCACGCCACTGCACTCCAGCCTGGGTGACACAGGAAGACTCCATCTCAAAAAAAAAAAAAAAAAAACAACACCAAAAAAATGCTTTATTAAAAAAAAAAATAGAATGTACAAGGTATCACACAAGGAGTGGACCTTAATGTAAACTGCAGATTTCAGCTAATAATAATGTATCAATATTGGCTTATTAATTGTAACAAACGTAGCACAGTAACACAAGATGTTAACAGGGAAGATGAGGGGCAATGAAGGGATGAAAGGGGATGTAGAAACTCTCGGTACTTTTCATTCGATTTTTTCCTGTAAACCTAAGACTGCTCCAAAAAAAATTATTAATGAAGAAGAAAATCAGAGATAACAGATGTCACTCAGGCAAAAATATCAGGTGTCCATTATAAGGATCCAAGTTGCCCCTAGGTATTCACTCTAATAACAGTTTGCAACTTGGGGTATGCAGTATAGAAGGGATAAAGAGGCTGGCGCAGTGGTTCACGCCTGTAAGCCCAGCAGTCTGGAAAGCGGAGGCGGGCGGATCACCTGAGGTCAGGAGTTGAAGACCAGCCTGGCCAAAATGGGGAAACCTCGTCTCTATTAAAAATACACAAAATTGCCAGACATGGTGGCACGCGCCTGTAATCCCAGCTACTGGGTCGCTGAGGCAAAGGAATTGCTTGAACCTGGGAGGCGGGGGTTGCAGTGAGCCAAAATTGCGCCACTGCACTCCAGCCTGGGCAACAGAGTAAGACTCCACCTCAAAATAAAAATAAATAAATAAATAAATAATTAAATTTAAAAAAAGGCCAGGTAGCGGTGGCTCACACCTGTAATCCCACCACTTTGGGAGGCTGAGGCGGGCAGATCACAAGGTCAGGAGATAGAGACCATCCTAACACAGTGAAACCCTTTCTCTACTAAAAATACAAAGAATTAGCTAGGCGTGGTGGCACGTGCCTGTAGTCCCAGCTACTCGGGAGGCTGAGGCAGATGAATCACTTGAACCCGGAAGGCAGAGGTTGCAGTCAGCCAAGATCGCACCACTGCCCTTGAGCCTCAGCGACGGAGCAAGACTCCATCTCAAAAAGAAGCCAAAAATACAAAAATTAGCCAAGTGTGGTAGTGTGCGCCTGTAACCTCAGGGTGAGAGAGGAGACTCTCTTCAACCCAGAAGGCAGAGGTCGAGATCATAAGACTGCACTCCACCCTAGGCAACAGAGCAAGACTCCATCTCAAAAGATATATTGCAGTAATTTAAAAACAATTCTATTGGAAACGCAATTTCTTCCTGTCGAGACCTCCCTTTATGACGGAACAATGAAAAAACAATTTTTTTCAATTTTGTCCAGGTTAGCTTCAAACACATAGCATCGCCAGCTTGTGCGCCAGGACAACCTGACGGAGCCACCGAAGCTGGTGGAAAAGTGCTCTCAATTTTTCCATTTGACCTTCTGGGGAGCGATGTAGCCAATCACGAGAGGCTCACCCCTGACATCACCCAGTCCCCAGGGACAGAGAGGGCCCTGCGTTCCATGGCGCCCCCTGGAGGGAGGAAGGGGAACTGTATCTGAGAGTTCAGTATCTGACAATAAGGAAAAGGCATAGTAGATCAGATGGTGCCTACTGTTCTGGAGAGAAGAAACAACGGGGTTGGGGAATGCGGAGTTGCAGTTTATAATACAGGCCTCATGTATAAGGCAGACCTCATGGGGAAGGTAACATCTGTGCAGAGAAATGGAGATGAGGGCTAGGAGCCATGCAAATACTGGAACATGCTTGCCAGCAGAAGTCGAGAAACATGGCCGGCGCAGTGGCCCACACCTGTAATCCCAGGACTTTGGGAGGCCGAGGCAGGTAGATCACGAGGTCAGCAGTTCGAGACCAGCCTGGCCAACATGGTGAAACCCTGTCTCTACTAAATATACAAAAATTACCCGGGCATGGGGACGGGTGCCTGTAATCCCAGCTGTTCAGGAGGCTGAGGCAGGGGAATCGCTTGAACCCGGGAGGCGGAGGTTGCAGTGAACAGAGATCGTGTCACTGCACTCCAGCCTGGGTGATAGAGTGCGACTCCGTCTGAAAAAGAAAAAAAAAAAAAAAGAATTCAAGGGCAGGCCGGTGGTTTTAGACGGCAACCTTTACCGAAGCCTCAGTGCACAGCCACAGCAGAGGGACACACACCTGTATCTTTTCTAAGACTGGGAGAATTTTACAATTGCTTGACTAATTGAACAGTGCCTCGAGGATGTTACACTAGGTTATAAATAAATTCCTGCCGTGTTTAGCTGAGGCACGAACACAATGCCCACTGACAATTCCACTTTCCTCGAGGGCCATTCTTTATGAAAGGCTGTAGGAGTTCCACGACATTGTTGATTCCTGGATTCTCCAAGTCTCTAGAACTTGAGAACTACTTTTGTGTATTTTTTTAACCTTTAAGTTCAGAGTTTCTAATGTCCGTTTTATACTACTATAAAATGGTACTATGTATTCTTTATTGATGGTACTATTTACACTTTATTTTATACAGACTCTGGCTCCACAAAAAGGTTAAAAATTAGCCAGGTGCAGTGGTGCACATCTGCGGCCGCAGCTACTCAGGAGGCTGAGGCAGAAGGATTGCTTGAGCTCGGATGGTCAGGGCTGCAATGAGCTATGATCACACATCACATCAATGCACTCCAGCCTGGGCAACGGAGTGAGACCCTGTCTCTAAAAGAATAGAAGAGGCTGGGCGCGGTGGCTCACGCCTGTCATCCTACCACTTTGGGAGACCAAGGCGAGTGGATCATTTGAGGCCAGGTGTTCAAGACCAGCCTGGTCAACATGGCGAAACCCCATCTCTTGGCAGGCGACTGTAATCCCAGCTACTCAGGAGGCTGAGATAGGAGACTCCCTTGAACCGACGAGGCGGAGGTTGCAGTGAGCGAAGATCACACCACTGCACTCCAGCCTGGGCAACAGAGCAAGGCTCGGTCTCCCAAAAAAAAAAAAAAAAAAAGACACATGGAAGTAATTTAAAAACACTTAGGAAGATGTCATTTCTTCCTATCAAGGCGTCCTCCCTTTATGTTTTGTCGTTATATTGGGAACGATAAAAAAAATCCTTTTTTCCGACCCATGTGGACCAGGCTGGCCTCGAACTCGTGCCCTGGAACCCCCGCCTCCGTGAGGGCCCGAGGGCAGGCGCAACCGGCCTGAGCCACAATGGCTCCGGGTGTCGGGGCTGTCCTTTAGTCCCTTTGATCTTACGCAGGGTGAGGGAGCCAATCACCAGAGGCTCCCCCCTGTCGTCACCCAGTCCCCAGGGCCAGTGAGGGCCCTGCGTTCCATGGCGCCCCCTGGAGGGAGGAAGGGGAACTGTATCTGAGAGTTCAGTATCTGACAATAAGGAAAAGGCATAGTAGATCAGATGGTGCCTAGTGTTCTGGGGAGAAGAAACAACGGGGTTGGGGAATGCGGAGTTGCAGTTTATAATACAGGCCTCATGTATAAGGCAGACCTCATGGGGAAGGTAACATCTGTGCAGAGAAATGGAGATGAGGGCTAGGAGCCATGCAAATACTGGAACATGCTTGCCAGCAGAAGTCGAGAAACATGGCCGGCGCAGTGGCCCACACCTGTAATCCCAGGACTTTGGGAGGCCGAGGCAGGTAGATCACGAGGTCAGCAGTTCGAGACCAGCCCGGCCAACATGGTGAAACCCTGTCTCTACTAAAAATACAAAAATTAGCTGGGTGTGGTGGCACACGCCTGTAATCCCAGCCACTTGGGAGGGTGAGGTAGGAGAATCGCTTGAACCTGGGAGGTAGAGGTTGCAGTGATGCAGTGAGCCGAGACCACGCCATTGTACTCTCGCCTGGGCGACAGAGCGAGACTCCATCTCAAAAAAAAAAAAAAAAAAAGCAAAAACAAACAGGTGAGATTCATTTTGATAAAATAGCTGATTTAACCTAATATACCTAAAACATCATAATTTTAACATAATCAATAGAAACATTTTTGCAAGATTTTATGTTATTTTTTACCATACGACGTCTTGGAAATCTTGGTTTGGACCAGCCATGTTCAACTGCTCAGTAGCCATGTGTGGCCAGAGGCGGCCGTATTGGACAGTGCAGATGGTGCATGAGGGTGTTCGGGCAGTGGGAACAGCCAGTACAGAGGCCCTGTGGGGGCACATGCCTGCTGCTACGGGAACAGTGAGGAGCCCCGTGTGGCTGCAGTGGAGTGAGAGGGAGAAGGTGGGAGATGTAACCAACAGTCTCATCATTCATTCATTAAATCCTTTTTTTTCTTTTTTTGAGACTGAGTTTCGCTCTTGTTGCCCAGGCTGGAGTGCAATGGTGCCATCTCGGCTCACCACAACCTCCACCTCTTGAGTTCAAGCGATTCTCCTGCCTCAGCCTTCCGAGTAGCTGGGATTACAGGCATGCGCCACCATGCCCGGCTAATTTTGTATTTTTAGTAGAGCTGGGGTTTCTCCCTGTTGGTCAGGCTGGTCTCGAACTCCCGACCTCAGGTGATCTGCCCGCCTTGACCTCCCAAAGTGCTGTGATTACAGGCTTGAGCCACTGCTCCCAGTCCATTGAATGTGTGTATATATAGTTGAATAAAGAAGACACCGGAGTTTGTTCTGTATCTTCTCCTTTCAAATTCTGTGCCATTTGAATTTTTTCCTATTCCTTTTATATATTTTTAATTGACAAATTGTACATATTTATCATGTACATATTGTTTTGAAATATGTATATACCGTAGAATGGCTAAATCAAGATCATTAACATATGTATTACTTTACCTATTTTCCTTTTTTCGTTGTGTCTCTGCCAGGTTTCGGTATCAGAATGACTCTGACCTCATAGAATGAGTTAGAGAGCAGTTGCTCCTCCTCAATTGTGTGGAATAATTTCAGTAGGATTGGTGCCGGCTTTTCTTTACACATCTGGTAGGATTCGACTGTGAATCCGTCTAGTCTAAGGTTTTTTGTGCTGGTTGGTAGGTTTTGTATGACTAACTCAATTTTGGAACTCATCGTTGGTTTGTTCAGGGTTTCCATTTCTTCCTGGTTCAATCTTGAGAGGTTTTATGTTTCCAGGAATTTCTCTATTTCTTCTAGTTTTCTAGTTTGTGTGCATAGACGCATGTGGAATAGTCTCAGGGTTTCTTGTATATCTCTGGGTCAGTGGAAATGTCACCTTTGTCATTTCTGATTGTGTTTATTTGGATCTTGTCTTTTTTTCTTTATTAATCTAGCTAGTGGTCTTCCCATGTTATTTATGCTTTCAAAAATATCAACTTTGTATGAATTAACAGCATTTGCCGTGACCTGGATGAGACCGGAGACTGTTATTCTAAGTGAAGTAAGTCAGGAATGGAAAACCAAACATCGTATGTTCTCACTGATATGTGGGAGCTAAGCTATGAGGACGCAAAGGCGTAAGAATGATACAATGGACTTTGGGGACTTAGGGGGACGAGTTGGCGGGGGCGAGGGATAAAATACAACAAGTAGGGTGTAGTGTATACTGCTCAGGTGATGGGTGCACCAAAATCACAAATCACCACTAAAGAGCTTATGTAACCACACACCACCTGTACCCCAATAATTTATGGAATAAATAATAAATAAATAATTTTTTTAAAAAATCAACTTTGGGTTTCATTGATCTTTTGTATGGTTTTTTACGTCTCCATTTCATTCAGGTCAGCTCCGATGTTGGTTTTTTTTTTTCTTCTGCTAGCTTTGGGGTTGATTTGCTCTTGTTTTTCTAATTCCTCTAGGTGTGATGTTAGGCGGTTCATTTGAGATCTTTCTAGCTTCTTAGTGTAGCCCTTTAGCACTAGAAACTTCCTTTGAGCACTGTTCTAGCTGTGTCCCAGAGATTCTGGGATGTTGTATGTTTGTTTTCATTAGTTTCAGATAATTTTTTTATTTCTGCCTTAATTTCAGTCTTTACCCAAAAGTCATTTGGAAGCAGGTTGTTTAATTTCCATGCCGACTCTAGGCCAGGCATGGTGGCTCATGCCTGTAATCCCAGCCACTTGGGAGGCTGAGGCAGGAGAATCGCTTGAATCCAGGAGGCAGAGGTTTCAGTGAGCCAAGATCACGCCACTGCACTCCAGCCCGGGCGACAGAGTGAGGCTGCGTCTCAAAAAAAAAAAAAAAAAAAAAATTGCCCCTTCTTAAGTTTGCATTTAGATCTCTTCTCCTTTGACCACTTTTAATTTATCTTCACTTCTGATATGACATTTAATTTTTCATTCATTTTCTGTCTATTATTGTTCCTTTTTTAACTTAAAAAAAATTCTGTACTTTATGAATTTCTGTTTCAAGGTGTTTTTCCCATCTCCAAATGCTTATTTGAAAATGTTTCCTTTCCTCTTGGTTCATTTCTTCTGGTGTGTGTGTGCGCGCGCCCGCGTGCATGTGTGTACTCGGGTCTCATTTTCTGCTTTCTTCCTGCAGTACTTCGTTTATGGGAGATGCACTTCGCTTTTCTTATTTTTTTAGTAGAGAGGGGGTTTCACTGGTTTAGCCAGAACAGTCTCGATCTCCTGACCTCGTGATCCGCCCACCTCGGGCTCCCAAAGTGCTGGGATTCCAGGAGTGAGCCACCGCGCCCGGCCGTCCACTTTGCTTCTTGCAGAGGCTGATGGTTTGAGTAATTTCCGAGATTCATAGCTCGAGCGCGCCCTGTTCTGTCTATGCAGTGAAGGGCAGCTTTTTGCATCCACGGCTTTTTGTTGGCAAGGAGGAATGTGCAGTGGCCAGATTTGTTTCTTCCCCTTTTGTTGCTGTTGTTGTTGTTGCTGCTGCTGTTATTGTTGTTGTTGTTGTATTTTATTTTGTAGCATCCTAAAGTGTCCCCTCCTTCTATTTCTTATCCTTATCCAGGTAGGGTTTAGAAAAGCTAACTTCAGGGGCAGGGGAGAGAGAGAAAGAGAGGAAGAGAAAATGAGAATGAATGACAATACATGAACCCATGGGTCAACCTTTATTTCAAGGCAGCCCAAAAGGACGGCTCTCCCTTCTCTTTCACTCTCTTCTCTAGGTGTGAAGCTGATGCAGCACAGGCGAGCCCCAAAATTGAGGCTTAGCCCGGGGGGGTTCTTGGCTTCTCCTAGAAACTAATTCAAGAAGCCGGGCGCAGTGGCTCACGCCTGTAATCCCAGCACTTTGGGAGGCTGAGGCGGATGGATCACTTGAGGTAAGGAGTTCGAGACCAGCCTGGCCAACATGGTGAAACCCCATCTCTACTAAATATACAAAAATTACCCGGGCATGGGGACGGGTGCCTGTAATCCCAGCTGTTCAGGAGGCTGAGGCAGGGGAATCGCTTGAACCCGGGAGGCGGAGGTTGCAGTGAACAGAGATCGTGTCACTGCACTCCAGCCTGGGTGATAGAGTGCGACTCCGTCTGAAAAAGAAAAAAATAATTCAAGGGCAGGCCGGTGGTTTTAGACGGCAACCTTTACCGAAGCCTCAGTGCACAGCCACAGCAGAGGGACACACACCTGTATCTTTTCTAAGACTGGGAGAATTTTACAATTGCTTGACTAATTGAACAGTGCCTCGAGGATGTTACACTAGGTTATAAATAAATTCCTGCCGTGTTTAGCTGAGGCACGAACACAATGCCCACTGACAATTCCACTTTCCTCGAGGGCCATTCTTTATGAAAGGCTGTAGGAGTTCCACGACATTGTTGATTCCTGGATTCTCCAAGTCTCTAGAACTTGAGAACTACTTTTGTGTATTTTTTTAACCTTTAAGTTCAGAGTTTCTAATGTCCGTTTTATACTACTATAAAATGGTACTATGTATTCTTTATTGATGGTACTATTTACACTTTATTTTATACAGACTCTGGCTCCACAAAAAGGTTAAAAATTAGCCAGGTGCAGTGGTGCACATCTGCGGCCCCAGCTACTCAGGAGGCTGAGGCAGAAGGATTGCTTGAGCTCGGATGGTCAGGGCTGCAATGAGCTATGATCACACATCACATCAATGCACTCCAGCCTGGGCAACAGAGTGAGACCCTGTCTCTAAAAGAATAGAAGAGGCTGGGCGCGGTGGCTCACGCCTGTCATCCTACCACTTTGGGAGACCAAGGCGAGTGGATCATTTGAGGCCAGGTGTTCAAGACCAGCCTGGTCAACATGGCGAAACCCCATCTCTTGGCAGGCGACTGTAATCCCAGCTACTCAGGAGGCTGAGATAGGAGACTCCCTTGAACCGACGAGGCGGAGGTTGCAGTGAGCGAAGATCACACCACTGCACTCCAGCCTGGGCAACAGAGCAAGGCTCGGTCTCCCAAAAAAAAAAAAAAAAAAAGACACATGGAAGTAATTTAAAAACACTTAGGAAGATGTCATTTCTTCCTATCAAGGCGTCCTCCCTTTATGTTTTGTCGTTATATTGGGAACGATAAAAAAAATCCTTTTTTCCGACCCATGTGGACCAGGCTGGCCTCGAACTCGTGCCCTGGAACCCCCGCCTCCGTGAGGGCCCGAGGGCAGGCGCAACCGGCCTGAGCCACAATGGCTCCGGGTGTCGGGGCTGTCCTTTAGTCCCTTTGATCTTACGCAGGGTGAGGGAGCCAATCACCAGAGGCTCCCCCCTGTCGTCACCCAGTCCCCAGGGCCAGTGAGGGCCCTGCGTTCCATGGCGCCCCCTGGAGGGAGGAAGGGGAACTGTATCTGAGAGTTCAGTATCTGACAATAAGGAAAAGGCATGGTAGATCAGATGGTGCCTAGTGTTCTGGGGAGAAGAAACAACGGGGTTGGGGAATGCGGAGTTGCAGTTTATAATACAGGCCTCATGTATAAGGCAGACCTCATGGGGAAGGTAACATCTGTGCAGAGAAATGGAGATGAGGGCTAGGAGCCATGCAAATACTGGAACATGCTTGCCAGCAGAAGTCGAGAAACAAGGCTGGCGCAGTGGCCCACACCTGTAATCCCAGGACTTTGGGAGGCCGAGGCAGGTAGATCACGAGGTCAGCAGTTCGAGACCAGCCTGGCCAACATGGTGAAACCCTGTCTCTACTAAAAATACAAAAATTAGCTGGGTGTGGTGGCACACGCCTGTAATCCCAGCCACTTGGGAGGCTGAGGCAGGAGAATCGCTTGAATCCAGGAGGCAGAGGTTTCAGTGAGCCAAGATCACGCCACTGCACTCCAGCCCGGGCGACACAGTGAGGCTGCGTCTCAAAAAAAAAAAAAAAAAAAAAAAAATTGCCCCTTCTTAAGTTTGCATTTAGATCTCTTCTCCTTTGACCACTTTTAATTTATCTTCACTTCTGATATGACATTTAATTTTTCATTCATTTTCTGTCTATTATTGTTCGTTTTTTAACTTAAAAAAAAATTCTGTACTTTATGAATTTCTGTTTCAAGGTGTTTTTCCCATCTCCAAATGCTTATTTGGAAATGTTTCCTTTCCTCTTGGTTCATTTCTTCTGGTGTGTGTGTGCGCGCGCCCGCGTGCATGTGTGTACTCGGGTCTCATTTTCTGCTTTCTTCCTGCAGTACCTCGTTTATGGGAGATGCACTTCGCTTTTCTTATTTTTTTAGTAGAGAGGGGGTTTCACTGGTTTAGCCAGAACAGTCTCGATCTCCTGACCTTGTGATCCGCCCACCTCGGGCTCCCAAAGTGCTGGGATTCCAGGAGTGAGCCACCGTGCCCGGCCGTCCACTTTGCTTCTTGCAGAGGCTGATGGTTTGAGTAATTTCCGAGATTCATAGCTCGAGCGCGCCCTGTTCTGTCTATGCAGTGAAGGGCAGCTTTTTGCATCCACGGCTTTTTGTTGGCAAGGAGGAATGTGCAGTGGCCAGATTTGTTTCTTCCCCTTTTGTTGCTGTTGTTGTTGTTGCTGCTGCTGTTATTGTTGTTGTTGTTGTATTTTATTTTGTAGCATCCTAAAGTGTCCCCTCCTTCTATTTCTTATCCTTATCCAGGTAGGGTTTAGAAAAGCTAACTTCAGGGGCAGGGGAGAGAGAGAAAGAGAGGAGGAGAAAATGAGAATGAATGACAATACATGAACCCATGGGTCAACCTTTATTTCAAGGCAGCCCAAAAGGACGGCTCTCCCTTCTCTTTCACTCTCTTCTCTAGGTGTGAAGCTGATGCAGCACAGGCGAGCCCCAAAATTGAGGCTTAGCCCGGGGGGGTTCTTGGCTTCTCCTAGAAACTAATTCAAGAAGCCGGGCGCAGTGGCTCACGCCTGTAATCCCAGCACTTTGGGAGGCTGAGGCGGATGGATCACTTGAGGTAAGGAGTTCGAGACCAGCCTGGCCAACATGGTGAAACCCCATCTCTACTAAATATACAAAAATTACCCGGGCATGGGGACGGGTGCCTGTAATCCCAGCTGTTCAGGAGGCTGAGGCAGGGGAATCGCTTGAACCCGGGAGGCGGAGGTTGCAGTGAACAGAGATCGTGTCACTGCACTCCAGCCTGGGTGATAGAGTGCGACTCCGTCTGAAAAAGAAAAAAAGAATTCAAGGGCAGGCCGGTGGTTTTAGACGGCAACCTTTACCGAAGCCTCAGTGCACAGCCACAGCAGAGGGACACACACCTGTATCTTTTCTAAGACTGGGAGAATTTTACAATTGCTTGACTAATTGAACAGTGCCTCGAGGATGTTACACTAGGTTATAAATAAATTCCTGCCGTGTTTAGCTGAGGCACGAACACAATGCCCACTGACAATTCCACTTTCCTCGAGGGCCATTCTTTATGAAAGGCTGTAGGAGTTCCACGACATTGTTGATTCCTGGATTCTCCAAGTCTCTAGAACTTGAGAACTACTTTTGTGTATTTTTTTAACCTTTAAGTTCAGAGTTTCTAATGTCCGTTTTATACTACTATAAAATGGTACTATGTATTCTTTATTGATGGTACTATTTACACTTTATTTTATACAGACTCTGGCTCCACAAAAAGGTTAAAAATTAGCCAGGTGCAGTGGTGCACATCTGCGGCCCCAGCTACTCAGGAGGCTGAGGCAGAAGGATTGCTTGAGCTCGGATGGTCAGGGCTGCAATGAGCTATGATCACACATCACATCAATGCACTCCAGCCTGGGCAACGGAGTGAGACCCTGTCTCTAAAAGAATAGAAGAGGCTGGGCGCGGTGGCTCACGCCTGTCATCCTACCACTTTGGGAGACCAAGGCGAGTGGATCATTTGAGGCCAGGTGTTCAAGACCAGCCTGGTCAACATGGCGAAACCCCATCTCTTGGCAGGCGACTGTAATCCCAGCTACTCAGGAGGCTGAGATAGGAGACTCCCTTGAACCGACGAGGCGGAGGTTGCAGTGAGCGAAGATCACACCACTGCACTCCAGCCTGGGCAACAGAGCAAGGCTCGGTCTCCCAAAAAAAAAAAAAAAAAAAGACACATGGAAGTAATTTAAAAACACTTAGGAAGATGTCATTTCTTCCTATCAAGGCGTCCTCCCTTTATGTTTTGTCGTTATATTGGGAACGATAAAAAAAATCCTTTTTTCCGACCCATGTGGACCAGGCTGGCCTCGAACTCGTGCCCTGGAACCCCCGCCTCCGTGAGGGCCCGAGGGCAGGCGCAACCGGCCTGAGCCACAATGGCTCCGGGTGTCGGGGCTGTCCTTTAGTCCCTTTGATCTTACGCAGGGTGAGGGAGCCAATCACCAGAGGCTCCCCCCTGTCGTCACCCAGTCCCCAGGGCCAGTGAGGGCCCTGCGTTCCATGGCGCCCCCTGGAGGGAGGAAGGGGAACTGTATCTGAGAGTTCAGTATCTGACAATAAGGAAAAGGCATGGTAGATCAGATGGTGCCTAGTGTTCTGGGGAGAAGAAACAACGGGGTTGGGGAATGCGGAGTTGCAGTTTATAATACAGGCCTCATGTATAAGGCAGACCTCATGGGGAAGGTAACATCTGTGCAGAGAAATGGAGATGAGGGCTAGGAGCCATGCAAATACTGGAACATGCTTGCCAGCAGAAGTCGAGAAACAAGGCTGGCGCAGTGGCCCACACCTGTAATCCCAGGACTTTGGGAGGCCGAGGCAGGTAGATCACGAGGTCAGCAGTTCGAGACCAGCCTGGCCAACATGGTGAAACCCTGTCTCTACTAAAAATACAAAAATTAGCTGGGTGTGGTGGCACACGCCTGTAATCCCAGCCACTTGGGAGGCTGAGGCAGGAGAATCGCTTGAATCCAGGAGGCAGAGGTTTCAGTGAGCCAAGATCACGCCACTGCACTCCAGCCCGGGCGACACAGTGAGGCTGCGTCTCAAAAAAAAAAAAAAAAAAAAAAAAATTGCCCCTTCTTAAGTTTGCATTTAGATCTCTTCTCCTTTGACCACTTTTAATTTATCTTCACTTCTGATATGACATTTAATTTTTCATTCATTTTCTGTCTATTATTGTTCGTTTTTTAACTTAAAAAAAAATTCTGTACTTTATGAATTTCTGTTTCAAGGTGTTTTTCCCATCTCCAAATGCTTATTTGGAAATGTTTCCTTTCCTCTTGGTTCATTTCTTCTGGTGTGTGTGTGCGCGCGCCCGCGTGCATGTGTGTACTCGGGTCTCATTTTCTGCTTTCTTCCTGCAGTACCTCGTTTATGGGAGATGCACTTCGCTTTTCTTATTTTTTTAGTAGAGAGGGGGTTTCACTGGTTTAGCCAGAACAGTCTCGATCTCCTGACCTCGTGATCCGCCCACCTCGGGCTCCCAAAGTGCTGGGATTCCAGGAGTGAGCCACCGCGCCCGGCCGTCCACTTTGCTTCTTGCAGAGGCTGATGGTTTGAGTAATTTCCGAGATTCATAGCTCGAGCGCGCCCTGTTCTGTCTATGCAGTGAAGGGCAGCTTTTTGCATCCACGGCTTTTTGTTGGCAAGGAGGAATGTGCAGTGGCCAGATTTGTTTCTTCCCCTTTTGTTGCTGTTGTTGTTGTTGCTGCTGCTGTTATTGTTGTTGTTGTTGTATTTTATTTTGTAGCATCCTAAAGTGTCCCCTCCTTCTATTTCTTATCCTTATCCAGGTAGGGTTTAGAAAAGCTAACTTCAGGGGCAGGGGAGAGAGAGAAAGAGAGGAAGAGAAAATGAGAATGAATGACAATACATGAACCCATGGGTCAACCTTTATTTCAAGGCAGCCCAAAAGGACGGCTCTCCCTTCTCTTTCACTCTCTTCTCTAGGTGTGAAGCTGATGCAGCACAGGCGAGCCCCAAAATTGAGGCTTAGCCCGGGGGGGTTCTTGGCTTCTCCTAGAAACTAATTCAAGAAGCCGGGCGCAGTGGCTCACGCCTGTAATCCCAGCACTTTGGGAGGCTGAGGCGGATGGATCACTTGAGGTAAGGAGTTCGAGACCAGCCTGGCCAACATGGTGAAACCCCATCTCTACTAAATATACAAAAATTACCCGGGCATGGGGACGGGTGCCTGTAATCCCAGCTGTTCAGGAGGCTGAGGCAGGGGAATCGCTTGAACCCGGGAGGCGGAGGTTGCAGTGAACAGAGATCGTGTCACTGCACTCCAGCCTGGGTGATAGAGTGCGACTCCGTCTGAAAAAAAAAAAAAGAATTCAAGGGCAGGCCGGTGGTTTTAGACGGCAACCTTTACCGAAGCCTCAGTGCACAGCCACAGCAGAGGGACACACACCTGTATCTTTTCTAAGACTGGGAGAATTTTACAATTGCTTGACTAATTGAACAGTGCCTCGAGGATGTTACACTAGGTTATAAATAAATTCCTGCCGTGTTTAGCTGAGGCACGAACACAATGCCCACTGACAATTCCACTTTCCTCGAGGGCCATTCTTTATGAAAGGCTGTAGGAGTTCCACGACATTGTTGATTCCTGGATTCTCCAAGTCTCTAGAACTTGAGAACTACTTTTGTGTATTTTTTTAACCTTTAAGTTCAGAGTTTCTAATGTCCGTTTTATACTACTATAAAATGGTACTATGTATTCTTTATTGATGGTACTATTTACACTTTATTTTATACAGACTCTGGCTCCACAAAAAGGTTAAAAATTAGCCAGGTGCAGTGGTGCACATCTGCGGCCCCAGCTACTCAGGAGGCTGAGGCAGAAGGATTGCTTGAGCTCGGATGGTCAGGGCTGCAATGAGCTATGATCACACATCACATCAATGCACTCCAGCCTGGGCAACGGAGTGAGACCCTGTCTCTAAAAGAATAGAAGAGGCTGGCCGCGGTGGCTCACGCCTGTCATCCTACCACTTTGGGAGACCAAGGCGAGTGGATCATTTGAGGCCAGGTGTTCAAGACCAGCCTGGTCAACATGGCGAAACCCCATCTCTTGGCAGGCGACTGTAATCCCAGCTACTCAGGAGGCTGAGATAGGAGACTCCCTTGAACCGACGAGGCGGAGGTTGCAGTGAGCGAAGATCACACCACTGCACTCCAGCCTGGGCAACAGAGCAAGGCTCGGTCTCCCAAAAAAAAAAAAAAAAAAGACACATGGAAGTAATTTAAAAACACTTAGGAAGATGTCATTTCTTCCTATCAAGGCGTCCTCCCTTTATGTTTTGTCGTTATATTGGGAACGATAAAAAAAATCCTTTTTTCCGACCCATGTGGACCAGGCTGGCCTCGAACTCGTGCCCTGGAACCCCCGCCTCCGTGAGGGCCCGAGGGCAGGCGCAACCGGCCTGAGCCACAATGGCTCCGGGTGTCGGGGCTGTCCTTTAGTCCCTTTGATCTTACGCAGGGTGAGGGAGCCAATCACCAGAGGCTCCCCCCTGTCGTCACCCAGTCCCCAGGGCCAGTGAGGGCCCTGCGTTCCATGGCGCCCCCTGGAGGGAGGAAGGGGAACTGTATCTGAGAGTTCAGTATCTGACAATAAGGAAAAGGCATGGTAGATCAGATGGTGCCTAGTGTTCTGGGGAGAAGAAACAACGGGGTTGGGGAATGCGGAGTTGCAGTTTATAATACAGGCCTCATGTATAAGGCAGACCTCATGGGGAAGGTAACATCTGTGCAGAGAAATGGAGATGAGGGCTAGGAGCCATGCAAATACTGGAACATGCTTGCCAGCAGAAGTCGAGAAACAAGGCTGGCGCAGTGGCCCACACCTGTAATCCCAGGACTTTGGGAGGCCGAGGCAGGTAGATCACGAGGTCAGCAGTTCGAGACCAGCCTGGCCAACATGGTGAAACCCTGTCTCTACTAAAAATACAAAAATTAGCTGGGTGTGGTGGCACACGCCTGTAATCCCAGCCACTTGGGAGGCTGAGGCAGGAGAATCGCTTGAATCCAGGAGGCAGAGGTTTCAGTGAGCCAAGATCACGCCACTGCACTCCAGCCCGGGCGACACAGTGAGGCTGCGTCTCAAAAAAAAAAAAAAAAAAAAAAAATTGCCCCTTCTTAAGTTTGCATTTAGATCTCTTCTCCTTTGACCACTTTTAATTTATCTTCACTTCTGATATGACATTTAATTTTTCATTCATTTTCTGTCTATTATTGTTCGTTTTTTAACTTAAAAAAAAATTCTGTACTTTATGAATTTCTGTTTCAAGGTGTTTTTCCCATCTCCAAATGCTTATTTGGAAATGTTTCCTTTCCTCTTGGTTCATTTCTTCTGGTGTGTGTGTGCGCGCGCCCGCGTGCATGTGTGTACTCGGGTCTCATTTTCTGCTTTCTTCCTGCAGTACCTCGTTTATGGGAGATGCACTTCGCTTTTCTTATTTTTTTAGTAGAGAGGGGGTTTCACTGGTTTAGCCAGAACAGTCTCGATCTCCTGACCTCGTGATCCGCCCACCTCGGGCTCCCAAAGTGCTGGGATTCCAGGAGTGAGCCACCGCGCCCGGCCGTCCACTTTGCTTCTTGCAGAGGCTGATGGTTTGAGTAATTTCCGAGATTCATAGCTCGAGCGCGCCCTGTTCTGTCTATGCAGTGAAGGGCAGCTTTTTGCATCCACGGCTTTTTGTTGGCAAGGAGGAATGTGCAGTGGCCAGATTTGTTTCTTCCCCTTTTGTTGCTGTTGTTGTTGTTGCTGCTGCTGTTATTGTTGTTGTTGTTGTATTTTATTTTGTAGCATCCTAAAGTGTCCCCTCCTTCTATTTCTTATCCTTATCCAGGTAGGGTTTAGAAAAGCTAACTTCAGGGGCAGGGGAGAGAGAGAAAGAGAGGAAGAGAAAATGAGAATGAATGACAATACATGAACCCATGGGTCAACCTTTATTTCAAGGCAGCCCAAAAGGACGGCTCTCCCTTCTCTTTCACTCTCTTCTCTAGGTGTGAAGCTGATGCAGCACAGGCGAGCCCCAAAATTGAGGCTTAGCCCGGGGGGGTTCTTGGCTTCTCCTAGAAACTAATTCAAGAAGCCGGGCGCAGTGGCTCACGCCTGTAATCCCAGCACTTTGGGAGGCTGAGGCGGATGGATCACTTGAGGTAAGGAGTTCGAGACCAGCCTGGCCAACATGGTGAAACCCCATCTCTACTAAATATACAAAAATTACCCGGGCATGGGGACGGGTGCCTGTAATCCCAGCTGTTCAGGAGGCTGAGGCAGGGGAATCGCTTGAACCCGGGAGGCGGAGGTTGCAGTGAACAGAGATCGTGTCACTGCACTCCAGCCTGGGTGATAGAGTGCGACTCCGTCTGAAAAAAAAAAAAAGAATTCAAGGGCAGGCCGGTGGTTTTAGACGGCAACCTTTACCGAAGCCTCAGTGCACAGCCACAGCAGAGGGACACACACCTGTATCTTTTCTAAGACTGGGAGAATTTTACAATTGCTTGACTAATTGAACAGTGCCTCGAGGATGTTACACTAGGTTATAAATAAATTCCTGCCGTGTTTAGCTGAGGCACGAACACAATGCCCACTGACAATTCCACTTTCCTCGAGGGCCATTCTTTATGAAAGGCTGTAGGAGTTCCACGACATTGTTGATTCCTGGATTCTCCAAGTCTCTAGAACTTGAGAACTACTTTTGTGTATTTTTTTAAGTTCAGAGTTTCTAATGTCCGTTTTATACTACTATAAAATGGTACTATGTATTCTTTATTGATGGTACTATTTACACTTTATTTTATACAGACTCTGGCTCCACAAAAAGGTTAAAAATTAGCCAGGTGCAGTGGTGCACATCTGCGGCCCCAGCTACTCAGGAGGCTGAGGCAGAAGGATTGCTTGAGCTCGGATGGTCAGGGCTGCAATGAGCTATGATCACACATCACATCAATGCACTCCAGCCTGGGCAACAGAGTGAGACCCTGTCTCTAAAAGAATAGAAGAGGCTGGGCGCGGTGGCTCACGCCTGTCATCCTACCACTTTGGGAGACCAAGGCGAGTGGATCATTTGAGGCCAGGTGTTCAAGACCAGCCTGGTCAACATGGCGAAACCCCATCTCTTGGCAGGCGACTGTAATCCCAGCTACTCAGGAGGCTGAGATAGGAGACTCCCTTGAACCGACGAGGCGGAGGTTGCAGTGAGCGAAGATCACACCACTGCACTCCAGCCTGGGCAACAGAGCAAGGCTCGGTCTCCCAAAAAAAAAAAAAAAAAAAAAGACACATGGAAGTAATTTAAAAACACTTAGGAAGATGTCATTTCTTCCTATCAAGGCGTCCTCCCTTTATGTTTTGTCGTTATATTGGGAACGATAAAAAAAATCCTTTTTTCCGACCCATGTGGACCAGGCTGGCCTCGAACTCGTGCCCTGGAACCCCCGCCTCCGTGAGGGCCCGAGGGCAGGCGCAACCGGCCTGAGCCACAATGGCTCCGGGTGTCGGGGCTGTCCTTTAGTCCCTTTGATCTTACGCAGGGTGAGGGAGCCAATCACCAGAGGCTCCCCCCTGTCGTCACCCAGTCCCCAGGGCCAGTGAGGGCCCTGCGTTCCATGGCGCCCCCTGGAGGGAGGAAGGGGAACTGTATCTGAGAGTTCAGTATCTGACAATAAGGAAAAGGCATAGTAGATCAGATGGTGCCTAGTGTTCTGGGGAGAAGAAACAACGGGGTTGGGGAATGCGGAGTTGCAGTTTATAATACAGGCCTCATGTATAAGGCAGACCTCATGGGGAAGGTAACATCTGTGCAGAGAAATGGAGATGAGGGCTAGGAGCCATGCAAATACTGGAACATGCTTGCCAGCAGAAGTCGAGAAACATGGCCGGCGCAGTGGCCCACACCTGTAATCCCAGGACTTTGGGAGGCCGAGGCAGGTAGATCACGAGGTCAGCAGTTCGAGACCAGCCCGGCCAACATGGTGAAACCCTGTCTCTACTAAAAATACAAAAATTAGCTGGGTGTGGTGGCACACGCCTGTAATCCCAGCCACTTGGGAGGGTGAGGTAGGAGAATCGCTTGAACCTGGGAGGTAGAGGTTGCAGTGATGCAGTGAGCCGAGACCACGCCATTGTACTCTCGCCTGGGCGACAGAGCGAGACTCCATCTCAAAAAAAAAAAAAAAAAAAAAAAAAAAAAGCAAAAACAAACAGGTGAGATTCATTTTGATAAAATAGCTGATTTAACCTAATATACCTAAAACATCATAATTTTAACATAATCAATAGAAACATTTTTGCAAGATTTTATGTTATTTTTTACCATACGACGTCTTGGAAATCTTGGTTTGGACCAGCCATGTTCAACTGCTCAGTAGCCATGTGTGGCCAGAGGCGGCCGTATTGGACAGTGCAGATGGTGCATGAGGGTGTTCGGGCAGTGGGAACAGCCAGTACAGAGGCCCTGTGGGGGCACATGCCTGCTGCTACGGGAACAGTGAGGAGCCCCGTGTGGCTGCAGTGGAGTGAGAGGGAGAAGGTGGGAGATGTAACCAACAGTCTCATCATTCATTCATTAAATCCTTTTTTTTCTTTTTTTGAGACTGAGTTTCGCTCTTGTTGCCCAGGCTGGAGTGCAATGGTGCCATCTCGGCTCACCACAACCTCCACCTCTTGAGTTCAAGCGATTCTCCTGCCTCAGCCTTCCGAGTAGCTGGGATTACAGGCATGCGCCACCATGCCCGGCTAATTTTGTATTTTTAGTAGAGCTGGGGTTTCTCCCTGTTGGTCAGGCTGGTCTCGAACTCCCGACCTCAGGTGATCTGCCCGCCTTGACCTCCCAAAGTGCTGTGATTACAGGCTTGAGCCACTGCTCCCAGTCCATTGAATGTGTGTATATATAGTTGAATAAAGAAGACACCGGAGTTTGTTCTGTATCTTCTCCTTTCAAATTCTGTGCCATTTGAATTTTTTCCTATTCCTTTTATATATTTTTAATTGACAAATTGTACATATTTATCATGTACATATTGTTTTGAAATATGTATATACCGTAGAATGGCTAAATCAAGATCATTAACATATGTATTACTTTACCTATTTTCCTTTTTTCGTTGTGTCTCTGCCAGGTTTCGGTATCAGAATGACTCTGACCTCATAGAATGAGTTAGAGAGCAGTTGCTCCTCCTCAATTGTGTGGAATAATTTCAGTAGGATTAGTGCCGCCTTTTCTTTACACGTCTGGTAGGATTCGACTGTGAATCCGTCTAGTCTAAGGTTTTTTGTGCTGGTTGGTAGGTTTTGTATGACTAACTCAATTTTGGAACTCATCGTTGGTTTGTTCAGGGTTTCCATTTCTTCCTGGTTCAATCTTGAGAGGTTTTATGTTTCCAGGAATTTCTCTATTTCTTCTAGTTTTCTAGTTTGTGTGCATAGAGGCATGTGGAATAGTCTCAGGGTTTCTTGTATATCTGTGGGTCAGTGGTAATGTCACCTTTGTCATTTCTGATTGTGTTTATTTGGATCTTGTCTTTTTTTCTTTATTAATCTAGCTAGTGGTCTTCCCATGTTATTTATGCTTTCAAAAATATCAACTTTGTATGAATTAACAGCATTTGCCGTGACCTGGATGAGACCGGAGACTGTTATTCTAAGTGAAGTAAGTCAGGAATGGAAAACCAAACATCGTATGTTCTCACTGATATGTGGGAGCTAAGCTATGAGGACGCAAAGGCGTAAGAATGATACAATGGACTTTGGGGACTTAGGGGGACGAGTTGGCGGGGGCGAGGGATAAAATACAACAAGTAGGGTGTAGTGTATACTGCTCAGGTGATGGGTGCACCAAAATCACAAATCACCACTAAAGAGCTTATGTAACCACACACCACCTGTACCCCAATAATTTATGGAATAAATAATAAATAAATAATTTTTTTAAAAAATCAACTTTGGGTTTCATTGATCTTTTGTATGGTTTTTTACGTCTCCATTTCATTCAGGTCAGCTCCGATGTTGGTTTTTTTTTTTCTTCTGCTAGCTTTGGGGTTGATTTGCTCTTGTTTTTCTAATTCCTCTAGGTGTGATGTTAGGCGGTTCATTTGAGATCTTTCTAGCTTCTTAGTGTAGCCCTTTAGCACTAGAAACTTCCTTTGAGCACTGTTCTAGCTGTGTCCCAGAGATTCTGGGATGTTGTATGTTTGTTTTCATTAGTTTCAGATAATTTTTTTATTTCTGCCTTAATTTCAGTCTTTACCCAAAAGTCATTTGGAAGCAGGTTGTTTAATTTCCATGATGACTCTAGGCCGGGCATGGTGGCTCATGCCTGTAATCCCAGCCACTTGGGAGGCTGAGGCAGGAGAATCGCTTGAATCCAGGAGGCAGAGGTTTCAGTGAGCCAAGATCACGCCACTGCACTCCAGCCCGGGCGACAGAGTGAGGCTGCGTCTCAAAAAAAAAAAAAAAAAAAAAAAATTGCCCCTTCTTAAGTTTGCATTTAGATCTCTTCTCCTTTGACCACTTTTAATTTATCTTCACTTCTGATATGACATTTAATTTTTCATTCATTTTCTGTCTATTATTGTTCCTTTTTTAACTTAAAAAAAATTCTGTACTTTATGAATTTCTGTTTCAAGGTGTTTTTCCCATCTCCAAATGCTTATTTGAAAATGTTTCCTTTCCTCTTGGTTCATTTCTTCTGGTGTGTGTGTGCGCGCGCCCGCGTGCATGTGTGTACTCGGGTCTCATTTTCTGCTTTCTTCCTGCAGTACCTCGTTTATGGGAGATGCACTTCGCTTTTGTTATTTTTTTAGTAGAGAGGGGGTTTCACTGGTTTAGCCAGAACAGTCTCGATCTCCTGACCTCGTGATCCGCCCACCTCGGGCTCCCAAAGTGCTGGGATTCCAGGAGTGAGCCACCGCGCCCGGCCGTCCACTTTGCTTCTTGCAGAGGCTGATGGTTTGAGTAATTTCCGAGATTCATAGCTCGAGCGCGCCCTGTTCTGTCTATGCAGTGAAGGGCAGCTTTTTGCATCCACGGCTTTTTGTTGGCAAGGAGGAATGTGCAGTGGCCAGATTTGTTTCTTCCCCTTTTGTTGCTGTTGTTGTTGTTGCTGCTGCTGTTATTGTTGTTGTTGTTGTATTTTATTTTGTAGCATCCTAAAGTGTCCCCTCCTTCTATTTCTTATCCTTATCCAGGTAGGGTTTAGAAAAGCTAACTTCAGGGGCAGGGGAGAGAGAGAAAGAGAGGAAGAGAAAATGAGAATGAATGACAATACATGAACCCATGGGTCAACCTTTATTTCAAGGCAGCCCAAAAGGACGGCTCTCCCTTCTCTTTCACTCTCTTCTCTAGGTGTGAAGCTGATGCAGCACAGGCGAGCCCCAAAATTGAGGCTTAGCCCGGGGGGGTTCTTGGCTTCTCCTAGAAACTAATTCAAGAAGCCGGGCGCAGTGGCTCACGCCTGTAATCCCAGCACTTTGGGAGGCTGAGGCGGATGGATCACTTGAGGTAAGGAGTTCGAGACCAGCCTGGCCAACATGCTGAAAACCCCATCTCTACTAAATATACAAAAATTACCCGGGCATGGGGACGGGTGCCTGTAATCCCAGCTGTTCAGGAGGCTGAGGCAGGGGAATCGCTTGAACCCGGGAGGCGGAGGTTGCAGTGAACAGAGATCGTGTCACTGCACTCCAGCCTGGGTGATAGAGTGCGACTCCGTCTGAAAAAAAAAAAAAAAGAATTCAAGGGCCGGCCGGTGGTTTTAGACGGCAACCTTTACCGAAGCCTCAGTGCACAGCCACAGCAGAGGGACACACACCTGTATCTTTTCTAAGACTGGGAGAATTTTACAATTGCTTGACTAATTGAACAGTGCCTCGAGGATGTTACACTAGGTTATAAATAAATTCCTGCCGTGTTTAGCTGAGGCACGAACACAATGCCCACTGACAATTCCACTTTCCTCGAGGGCCATTCTTTATGAAAGGCTGTAGGAGTTCCACGACATTGTTGATTCCTGGATTCTCCAAGTCTCTAGAACTTGAGAACTACTTTTGTGTATTTTTTTAACCTTTAAGTTCAGAGTTTCTAATGTCCGTTTTATACTACTATAAAATGGTACTATGTATTCTTTATTGATGGTACTATTTACACTTTATTTTATACAGACTCTGGCTCCACAAAAAGGTTAAAAATTAGCCAGGTGCAGTGGTGCACATCTGCGGCCCCAGCTACTCAGGAGGCTGAGGCAGAAGGATTGCTTGAGCTCGGATGGTCAGGGCTGCAATGAGCTATGATCACACATCACATCAATGCACTCCAGCCTGGGCAACAGAGTGAGACCCTGTCTCTAAAAGAATAGAAGAGGCTGGGCGCGGTGGCTCACGCCTGTCATCCTACCACTTTGGGAGACCAAGGCGAGTGGATCATTTGAGGCCAGGTGTTCAAGACCAGCCTGGTCAACATGGCGAAACCCCATCTCTTGGCAGGCGACTGTAATCCCAGCTACTCAGGAGGCTGAGATAGGAGACTCCCTTGAACCGACGAGGCGGAGGTTGCAGTGAGCGAAGATCACACCACTGCACTCCAGCCTGGGCAACAGAGCAAGGCTCGGTCTCCCAAAAAAAAAAAAAAAAAAAAAGACACATGGAAGTAATTTAAAAACACTTAGGAAGATGTCATTTCTTCCTATCAAGGCGTCCTCCCTTTATGTTTTGTCGTTATATTGGGAACGATAAAAAAAATCCTTTTTTCCGACCCATGTGGACCAGGCTGGCCTCGAACTCGTGCCCTGGAACCCCCGCCTCCGTGAGGGCCCGAGGGCAGGCGCAACCGGCCTGAGCCACAATGGCTCCGGGTGTCGGGGCTGTCCTTTAGTCCCTTTGATCTTACGCAGGGTGAGGGAGCCAATCACCAGAGGCTCCCCCCTGTCGTCACCCAGTCCCCAGGGCCAGTGAGGGCCCTGCGTTCCATGGCGCCCCCTGGAGGGAGGAAGGGGAACTGTATCTGAGAGTTCAGTATCTGACAATAAGGAAAAGGCATAGTAGATCAGATGGTGCCTAGTGTTCTGGGGAGAAGAAACAACGGGGTTGGGGAATGCGGAGTTGCAGTTTATAATACAGGCCTCATGTATAAGGCAGACCTCATGGGGAAGGTAACATCTGTGCAGAGAAATGGAGATGAGGGCTAGGAGCCATGCAAATACTGGAACATGCTTGCCAGCAGAAGTCGAGAAACATGGCCGGCGCAGTGGCCCACACCTGTAATCCCAGGACTTTGGGAGGCCGAGGCAGGTAGATCACGAGGTCAGCAGTTCGAGACCAGCCCGGCCAACATGGTGAAACCCTGTCTCTACTAAAAATACAAAAATTAGCTGGGTGTGGTGGCACACGCCTGTAATCCCAGCCACTTGGGAGGGTGAGGTAGGAGAATCGCTTGAACCTGGGAGGTAGAGGTTGCAGTGATGCAGTGAGCCGAGACCACGCCATTGTACTCTCGCCTGGGCGACAGAGCGAGACTCCATCTCAAAAAAAAAAAAAAAAAAAAAAAAAAAAAGCAAAAACAAACAGGTGAGATTCATTTTGATAAAATAGCTGATTTAACCTAATATACCTAAAACATCATAATTTTAACATAATCAATAGAAACATTTTTGCAAGATTTTATGTTATTTTTTACCATACGACGTCTTGGAAATCTTGGTTTGGACCAGCCATGTTCAACTGCTCAGTAGCCATGTGTGGCCAGAGGCGGCCGTATTGGACAGTGCAGATGGTGCATGAGGGTGTTCGGGCAGTGGGAACAGCCAGTACAGAGGCCCTGTGGGGGCACATGCCTGCTGCTACGGGAACAGTGAGGAGCCCCGTGTGGCTGCAGTGGAGTGAGAGGGAGAAGGTGGGAGATGTAACCAACAGTCTCATCATTCATTCATTAAATCCTTTTTTTTCTTTTTTTGAGACTGAGTTTCGCTCTTGTTGCCCAGGCTGGAGTGCAATGGTGCCATCTCGGCTCACCACAACCTCCACCTCTTGAGTTCAAGCGATTCTCCTGCCTCAGCCTTCCGAGTAGCTGGGATTACAGGCATGCGCCACCATGCCCGGCTAATTTTGTATTTTTAGTAGAGCTGGGGTTTCTCCCTGTTGGTCAGGCTGGTCTCGAACTCCCGACCTCAGGTGATCTGCCCGCCTTGACCTCCCAAAGTGCTGTGATTACAGGCTTGAGCCACTGCTCCCAGTCCATTGAATGTGTGTATATATAGTTGAATAAAGAAGACACCGGAGTTTGTTCTGTATCTTCTCCTTTCAAATTCTGTGCCATTTGAATTTTTTCCTATTCCTTTTATATATTTTTAATTGACAAATTGTACATATTTATCATGTACATATTGTTTTGAAATATGTATATACCGTAGAATGGCTAAATCAAGATCATTAACATATGTATTACTTTACCTATTTTCCTTTTTTCGTTGTGTCTCTGCCAGGTTTCGGTATCAGAATGACTCTGACCTCATAGAATGAGTTAGAGAGCAGTTGCTCCTCCTCAATTGTGTGGAATAATTTCAGTAGGATTGGTGCCGCCTTTTCTTTACACGTCTGGTAGGATTCGACTGTGAATCCGTCTAGTCTAAGGTTTTTTGTGCTGGTTGGTAGGTTTTGTATGACTAACTCAATTTTGGAACTCATCGTTGGTTTGTTCAGGGTTTCCATTTCTTCCTGGTTCAATCTTGAGAGGTTTTATGTTTCCAGGAATTTCTCTATTTCTTCTAGTTTTCTAGTTTGTGTGCATAGAGGCATGTGGAATAGTCTCAGGGTTTCTTGTATATCTGTGGGTCAGTGGTAATGTCACCTTTGTCATTTCTGATTGTGTTTATTTGGATCTTGTCTTTTTTTCTTTATTAATCTAGCTAGTGGTCTTCCCATGTTATTTATGCTTTCAAAAATATCAACTTTGTATGAATTAACAGCATTTGCCGTGACCTGGATGAGACCGGAGACTGTTATTCTAAGTGAAGTAAGTCAGGAATGGAAAACCAAACATCGTATGTTCTCACTGATATGTGGGAGCTAAGCTATGAGGACGCAAAGGCGTAAGAATGATACAATGGACTTTGGGGACTTAGGGGGACGAGTTGGCGGGGGCGAGGGATAAAATACAACAAGTAGGGTGTAGTGTATACTGCTCAGGTGATGGGTGCACCAAAATCACAAATCACCACTAAAGAGCTTATGTAACCACACACCACCTGTACCCCAATAATTTATGGAATAAATAATAAATAAATAATTTTTTTAAAAAATCAACTTTGGGTTTCATTGATCTTTTGTATGGTTTTTTACGTCTCCATTTCATTCAGGTCAGCTCCGATGTTGGTTTTTTTTTTTCTTCTGCTAGCTTTGGGGTTGATTTGCTCTTGTTTTTCTAATTCCTCTAGGTGTGATGTTAGGCGGTTCATTTGAGATCTTTCTAGCTTCTTAGTGTAGCCCTTTAGCACTAGAAACTTCCTTTGAGCACTGTTCTAGCTGTGTCCCAGAGATTCTGGGATGTTGTATGTTTGTTTTCATTAGTTTCAGATAATTTTTTTATTTCTGCCTTAATTTCAGTCTTTACCCAAAAGTCATTTGGAAGCAGGTTGTTTAATTTCCATGATGACTCTAGGCCGGGCATGGTGGCTCATGCCTGTAATCCCAGCCACTTGGGAGGCTGAGGCAGGAGAATCGCTTGAATCCAGGAGGCAGAGGTTTCAGTGAGCCAAGATCACGCCACTGCACTCCAGCCCGGGCGACAGAGTGAGGCTGCGTCTCAAAAAAAAAAAAAAAAAAAAAAATTGCCCCTTCTTAAGTTTGCATTTAGATCTCTTCTCCTTTGACCACTTTTAATTTATCTTCACTTCTGATATGACATTTAATTTTTCATTCATTTTCTGTCTATTATTGTTCCTTTTTTAACTTAAAAAAAATTCTGTACTTTATGAATTTCTGTTTCAAGGTGTTTTTCCCATCTCCAAATGCTTATTTGAAAATGTTTCCTTTCCTCTTGGTTCATTTCTTCTGGTGTGTGTGTGCACGCGCCCGCGTGCATGTGTGTACTCGGGTCTCATTTTCTGCTTTCTTCCTGCAGTACCTCGTTTATGGGAGATGCACTTCGCTTTTGTTATTTTTTTAGTAGAGAGGGGGTTTCACTGGTTTAGCCAGAACAGTCTCGATCTCCTGACCTCGTGATCCGCCCACCTCGGGCTCCCAAAGTGCTGGGATTCCAGGAGTGAGCCACCGCGCCCGGCCGTCCACTTTGCTTCTTGCAGAGGCTGATGGTTTGAGTAATTTCCGAGATTCATAGCTCGAGCGCGCCCTGTTCTGTCTATGCAGTGAAGGGCAGCTTTTTGCATCCACGGCTTTTTGTTGGCAAGGAGGAATGTGCAGTGGCCAGATTTGTTTCTTCCCCTTTTGTTGCTGTTGTTGTTGTTGCTGCTGCTGTTATTGTTGTTGTTGTTGTATTTTATTTTGTAGCATCCTAAAGTGTCCCCTCCTTCTATTTCTTATCCTTATCCAGGTAGGGTTTAGAAAAGCTAACTTCAGGGGCAGGGGAGAGAGAGAAAGAGAGGAAGAGAAAATGAGAATGAATGACAATACATGAACCCATGGGTCAACCTTTATTTCAAGGCAGCCCAAAAGGACGGCTCTCCCTTCTCTTTCACTCTCTTCTCTAGGTGTGAAGCTGATGCAGCACAGGCGAGCCCCAAAATTGAGGCTTAGCCCGGGGGGGTTCTTGGCTTCTCCTAGAAACTAATTCAAGAAGCCGGGCGCAGTGGCTCACGCCTGTAATCCCAGCACTTTGGGAGGCTGAGGCGGATGGATCACTTGAGGTAAGGAGTTCGAGACCAGCCTGGCCAACATGCTGAAAACCCCATCTCTACTAAATATACAAAAATTACCCGGGCATGGGGACGGGTGCCTGTAATCCCAGCTGTTCAGGAGGCTGAGGCAGGGGAATCGCTTGAACCCGGGAGGCGGAGGTTGCAGTGAACAGAGATCGTGTCACTGCACTCCAGCCTGGGTGATAGAGTGCGACTCCGTCTGAAAAAAAAAAAAAAAGAATTCAAGGGCCGGCCGGTGGTTTTAGACGGCAACCTTTACCGAAGCCTCAGTGCACAGCCACAGCAGAGGGACACACACCTGTATCTTTTCTAAGACTGGGAGAATTTTACAATTGCTTGACTAATTGAACAGTGCCTCGAGGATGTTACACTAGGTTATAAATAAATTCCTGCCGTGTTTAGCTGAGGCACGAACACAATGCCCACTGACAATTCCACTTTCCTCGAGGGCCATTCTTTATGAAAGGCTGTAGGAGTTCCACGACATTGTTGATTCCTGGATTCTCCAAGTCTCTAGAACTTGAGAACTACTTTTGTGTATTTTTTTAACCTTTAAGTTCAGAGTTTCTAATGTCCGTTTTATACTACTATAAAATGGTACTATGTATTCTTTATTGATGGTACTATTTACACTTTATTTTATACAGACTCTGGCTCCACAAAAAGGTTAAAAATTAGCCAGGTGCAGTGGTGCACATCTGCGGCCCCAGCTACTCAGGAGGCTGAGGCAGAAGGATTGCTTGAGCTCGGATGGTCAGGGCTGCAATGAGCTATGATCACACATCACATCAATGCACTCCAGCCTGGGCAACAGAGTGAGACCCTGTCTCTAAAAGAATAGAAGAGGCTGGGCGCGGTGGCTCACGCCTGTCATCCTACCACTTTGGGAGACCAAGGCGAGTGGATCATTTGAGGCCAGGTGTTCAAGACCAGCCTGGTCAACATGGCGAAACCCCATCTCTTGGCAGGCGACTGTAATCCCAGCTACTCAGGAGGCTGAGATAGGAGACTCCCTTGAACCGACGAGGCGGAGGTTGCAGTGAGCGAAGATCACACCACTGCACTCCAGCCTGGGCAACAGAGCAAGGCTCGGTCTCCCAAAAAAAAAAAAAAAAAAAAGACACATGGAAGTAATTTAAAAACACTTAGGAAGATGTCATTTCTTCCTATCAAGGCGTCCTCCCTTTATGTTTTGTCGTTATATTGGGAACGATAAAAAAAATCCTTTTTTCCGACCCATGTGGACCAGGCTGGCCTCGAACTCGTGCCCTGGAACCCCCGCCTCCGTGAGGGCCCGAGGGCAGGCGCAACCGGCCTGAGCCACAATGGCTCCGGGTGTCGGGGCTGTCCTTTAGTCCCTTTGATCTTACGCAGGGTGAGGGAGCCAATCACCAGAGGCTCCCCCCTGTCGTCACCCAGTCCCCAGGGCCAGTGAGGGCCCTGCGTTCCATGGCGCCCCCTGGAGGGAGGAAGGGGAACTGTATCTGAGAGTTCAGTATCTGACAATAAGGAAAAGGCATAGTAGATCAGATGGTGCCTAGTGTTCTGGGGAGAAGAAACAACGGGGTTGGGGAATGCGGAGTTGCAGTTTATAATACAGGCCTCATGTATAAGGCAGACCTCATGGGGAAGGTAACATCTGTGCAGAGAAATGGAGATGAGGGCTAGGAGCCATGCAAATACTGGAACATGCTTGCCAGCAGAAGTCGAGAAACATGGCCGGCGCAGTGGCCCACACCTGTAATCCCAGGACTTTGGGAGGCCGAGGCAGGTAGATCACGAGGTCAGCAGTTCGAGACCAGCCCGGCCAACATGGTGAAACCCTGTCTCTACTAAAAATACAAAAATTAGCTGGGTGTGGTGGCACACGCCTGTAATCCCAGCCACTTGGGAGGGTGAGGTAGGAGAATCGCTTGAACCTGGGAGGTAGAGGTTGCAGTGATGCAGTGAGCCGAGACCACGCCATTGTACTCTCGCCTGGGCGACAGAGCGAGACTCCATCTCAAAAAAAAAAAAAAAAAAAAAAAAAAAGCAAAAACAAACAGGTGAGATTCATTTTGATAAAATAGCTGATTTAACCTAATATACCTAAAACATCATAATTTTAACATAATCAATAGAAACATTTTTGCAAGATTTTATGTTATTTTTTACCATACGACGTCTTGGAAATCTTGGTTTGGACCAGCCATGTTCAACTGCTCAGTAGCCATGTGTGGCCAGAGGCGGCCGTATTGGACAGTGCAGATGGTGCATGAGGGTGTTCGGGCAGTGGGAACAGCCAGTACAGAGGCCCTGTGGGGGCACATGCCTGCTGCTACGGGAACAGTGAGGAGCCCCGTGTGGCTGCAGTGGAGTGAGAGGGAGAAGGTGGGAGATGTAACCAACAGTCTCATCATTCATTCATTAAATCCTTTTTTTTCTTTTTTTGAGACTGAGTTTCGCTCTTGTTGCCCAGGCTGGAGTGCAATGGTGCCATCTCGGCTCACCACAACCTCCACCTCTTGAGTTCAAGCGATTCTCCTGCCTCAGCCTTCCGAGTAGCTGGGATTACAGGCATGCGCCACCATGCCCGGCTAATTTTGTATTTTTAGTAGAGCTGGGGTTTCTCCCTGTTGGTCAGGCTGGTCTCGAACTCCCGACCTCAGGTGATCTGCCCGCCTTGACCTCCCAAAGTGCTGTGATTACAGGCTTGAGCCACTGCTCCCAGTCCATTGAATGTGTGTATATATAGTTGAATAAAGAAGACACCGGAGTTTGTTCTGTATCTTCTCCTTTCAAATTCTGTGCCATTTGAATTTTTTCCTATTCCTTTTATATATTTTTAATTGACAAATTGTACATATTTATCATGTACATATTGTTTTGAAATATGTATATACCGTAGAATGGCTAAATCAAGATCATTAACATATGTATTACTTTACCTATTTTCCTTTTTTCGTTGTGTCTCTGCCAGGTTTCGGTATCAGAATGACTCTGACCTCATAGAATGAGTTAGAGAGCAGTTGCTCCTCCTCAATTGTGTGGAATAATTTCAGTAGGATTGGTGCCGCCTTTTCTTTACACGTCTGGTAGGATTCGACTGTGAATCCGTCTAGTCTAAGGTTTTTTGTGCTGGTTGGTAGGTTTTGTATGACTAACTCAATTTTGGAACTCATCGTTGGTTTGTTCAGGGTTTCCATTTCTTCCTGGTTCAATCTTGAGAGGTTTTATGTTTCCAGGAATTTCTCTATTTCTTCTAGTTTTCTAGTTTGTGTGCATAGAGGCATGTGGAATAGTCTCAGGGTTTCTTGTATATCTGTGGGTCAGTGGTAATGTCACCTTTGTCATTTCTGATTGTGTTTATTTGGATCTTGTCTTTTTTTCTTTATTAATCTAGCTAGTGGTCTTCCCATGTTATTTATGCTTTCAAAAATATCAACTTTGTATGAATTAACAGCATTTGCCGTGACCTGGATGAGACCGGAGACTGTTATTCTAAGTGAAGTAAGTCAGGAATGGAAAACCAAACATCGTATGTTCTCACTGATATGTGGGAGCTAAGCTATGAGGACGCAAAGGCGTAAGAACGATACAATGGACTTTGGGGACTTAGGGGGACGAGTTGGCGGGGGCGAGGGATAAAATACAACAAGTAGGGTGTAGTGTATACTGCTCAGGTGATGGGTGCACCAAAATCACAAATCACCACTAAAGAGCTTATGTAACCACACACCACCTGTACCCCAATAATTTATGGAATAAATAATAAATAAATAATTTTTTTAAAAAATCAACTTTGGGTTTCATTGATCTTTTGTATGGTTTTTTACGTCTCCATTTCATTCAGGTCAGCTCCGATGTTGGTTTTTTTTTTTCTTCTGCTAGCTTTGGGGTTGATTTGCTCTTGTTTTTCTAATTCCTCTAGGTGTGATGTTAGGCGGTTCATTTGAGATCTTTCTAGCTTCTTAGTGTAGCCCTTTAGCACTAGAAACTTCCTTTGAGCACTGTTCTAGCTGTGTCCCAGAGATTCTGGGATGTTGTATGTTTGTTTTCATTAGTTTCAGATAATTTTTTTATTTCTGCCTTAATTTCAGTCTTTACCCAAAAGTCATTTGGAAGCAGGTTGTTTAATTTCCATGATGACTCTAGGCCGGGCATGGTGGCTCATGCCTGTAATCCCAGCCACTTGGGAGGCTGAGGCAGGAGAATCGCTTGAATCCAGGAGGCAGAGGTTTCAGTGAGCCAAGATCACGCCACTGCACTCCAGCCCGGGCGACAGAGTGAGGCTGCGTCTCAAAAAAAAAAAAAAAAAAAAAAAATTGCCCCTTCTTAAGTTTGCATTTAGATCTCTTCTCCTTTGACCACTTTTAATTTATCTTCACTTCTGATATGACATTTAATTTTTCATTCATTTTCTGTCTATTATTGTTCCTTTTTTAACTTAAAAAAAAATTATGTACTTTATGAATTTCTGTTTCAAGGTGTTTTTCCCATCTCCAAATGCTTATTTGAAAATGTTTCCTTTCCTCTTGGTTCATTTCTTCTGGTGTGTGTGTGCGCGCGCCCGCGTGCATGTGTGTACTCGGGTCTCATTTTCTGCTTTCTTCCTGCAGTACCTCGTTTATGGGAGATGCACTTCGCTTTTGTTATTTTTTTAGTAGAGAGGGGGTTTCACTGGTTTAGCCAGAACAGTCTCGATCTCCTGACCTCGTGATCCGCCCACCTCGGGCTCCCAAAGTGCTGGGATTCCAGGAGTGAGCCACCGCGCCCGGCCGTCCACTTTGCTTCTTGCAGAGGCTGATGGTTTGAGTAATTTCCGAGATTCATAGCTCGAGCGCGCCCTGTTCTGTCTATGCAGTGAAGGGCAGCTTTTTGCATCCACGGCTTTTTGTTGGCAAGGAGGAATGTGCAGTGGCCAGATTTGTTTCTTCCCCTTTTGTTGCTGTTGTTGTTGTTGCTGCTGCTGTTATTGTTGTTGTTGTTGTATTTTATTTTGTAGCATCCTAAAGTGTCCCCTCCTTCTATTTCTTATCCTTATCCAGGTAGGGTTTAGAAAAGCTAACTTCAGGGGCAGGGGAGAGAGAGAAAGAGAGGAAGAGAAAATGAGAATGAATGACAATACATGAACCCATGGGTCAACCTTTATTTCAAGGCAGCCCAAAAGGACGGCTCTCCCTTCTCTTTCACTCTCTTCTCTAGGTGTGAAGCTGATGCAGCACAGGCGAGCCCCAAAATTGAGGCTTAGCCCGGGGGGGTTCTTGGCTTCTCCTAGAAACTAATTCAAGAAGCCGGGCGCAGTGGCTCACGCCTGTAATCCCAGCACTTTGGGAGGCTGAGGCGGATGGATCACTTGAGGTAAGGAGTTCGAGACCAGCCTGGCCAACATGCTGAAAACCCCATCTCTACTAAATATACAAAAATTACCCGGGCATGGGGACGGGTGCCTGTAATCCCAGCTGTTCAGGAGGCTGAGGCAGGGGAATCGCTTGAACCCGGGAGGCGGAGGTTGCAGTGAACAGAGATCGTGTCACTGCACTCCAGCCTGGGTGATAGAGTGCGACTCCGTCTGAAAAAAAAAAAAAAGAATTCAAGGGCCGGCCGGTGGTTTTAGACGGCAACCTTTACCGAAGCCTCAGTGCACAGCCACAGCAGAGGGACACACACCTGTATCTTTTCTAAGACTGGGAGAATTTTACAATTGCTTGAATAATTGAACAGTGCCTCGAGGATGTTACACTAGGTTATAAATAAATTCCTGCCGTGTTTAGCTGAGGCACGAACACAATGCCCACTGACAATTCCACTTTCCTCGAGGGCCATTCTTTATGAAAGGCTGTAGGAGTTCCACGACATTGTTGATTCCTGGATTCTCCAAGTCTCTAGAACTTGAGAACTACTTTTGTGTATTTTTTTAACCTTTAAGTCCAGAGTTTCTAATGTCCGTTTTATACTACTATAAAATGGTACTATGTATTCTTTATTTATGGTACTATTTACACTTTATTTTATACAGACTCTGGCTCCACAAAAAGGTTAAAAATTAGCCAGGTGCAGTGGTGCACATCTGCGGCCCCAGCTACTCAGGAGGCTGAGGCAGAAGGATTGCTTGAGCTCGGATGGTCAGGGCTGCAATGAGCTATGATCACACATCACATCAATGCACTCCAGCCTGGGCAACAGAGTGAGACCCTGTCTCTAAAAGAATAGAAGAGGCTGGGCGCGGTGGCTCACGCCTGTCATCCTACCACTTTGGGAGACCAAGGCGAGTGGATCATTTGAGGCCAGGTGTTCAAGACCAGCCTGGTCAACATGGCGAAACCCCATCTCTTGGCAGGCGACTGTAATCCCAGCTACTCAGGAGGCTGAGATAGGAGACTCCCTTGAACCGACGAGGCGGAGGTTGCAGTGAGCGAAGATCACACCACTGCACTCCAGCCTGGGCAACAGAGCAAGGCTCGGTCTCCCCAAAAAAAAAAAAAAAAAAAAAAGACACATGGAAGTAATTTAAAAACACTTAGGAAGATGTCATTTCTTCCTATCAAGGCGTCCTCCCTTTATGTTTTGTCGTTATATTGGGAACGATAAAAAAAATCCTTTTTTCCGACCCATGTGGACCAGGCTGGCCTCGAACTCGTGCCCTGGAACCCCCGCCTCCGTGAGGGCCCGAGGGCAGGCGCAACCGGCCTGAGCCACAATGGCTCCGGGTGTCGGGGCTGTCCTTTAGTCCCTTTGATCTTACGCAGGGTGAGGGAGCCAATCACCAGAGGCTCCCCCCTGTCGTCACCCAGTCCCCAGGGCCAGTGAGGGCCCTGCGTTCCATGGCGCCCCCTGGAGGGAGGAAGGGGAACTGTATCTGAGAGTTCAGTATCTGACAATAAGGAAAAGGCATAGTAGATCAGATGGTGCCTAGTGTTCTGGGGAGAAGAAACAACGGGGTTGGGGAATGCGGAGTTGCAGTTTATAATACAGGCCTCATGTATAAGGCAGACCTCATGGGGAAGGTAACATCTGTGCAGAGAAATGGAGATGAGGGCTAGGAGCCATGCAAATACTGGAACATGCTTGCCAGCAGAAGTCGAGAAACATGGCCGGCGCAGTGGCCCACACCTGTAATCCCAGGACTTTGGGAGGCCGAGGCAGGTAGATCACGAGGTCAGCAGTTCGAGACCAGCCCGGCCAACATGGTGAAACCCTGTCTCTACTAAAAATACAAAAATTAGCTGGGTGTGGTGGCACACGCCTGTAATCCCAGCCACTTGGGAGGGTGAGGTAGGAGAATCGCTTGAACCTGGGAGGTAGAGGTTGCAGTGATGCAGTGAGCCGAGACCACGCCATTGTACTCTCGCCTGGGCGACAGAGCGAGACTCCATCTCAAAAACAAACAAACAAAAAAAAAAAGCAAAAACAAACAGGTGAGATTCATTTTGATAAAATAGCTGATTTAACCTAATATACCTAAAACATCATAATTTTAACATAATCAATAGAAACGTTTTTGCAAGATTTTATGTTATTTTTTACCGTACGACGTCTTGGAAATCTTGGTTTGGACCAGCCATGTTCAACTGCTCAGTAGCCATGTGTGGCCAGAGGCGGCCGTATTGGACAGTGCAGATGGTGCATGAGGGTGTTCGGGCAGTGGGAACAGCCAGTACAGAGGCCCTGTGGGGGCACATGCCTGCTGCTACGGGAACAGTGAGGAGCCCCGTGTGGCTGCAGTGGAGTGAGAGGGAGAAGGTGGGAGATGTAACCAACAGTCTCATCATTCATTCATTAAATCCTTTTTTTTCTTTTTTTGAGACTGAGTTTCGCTCTTGTTGCCCAGGCTGGAGTGCAATGGTGCCATCTCGGCTCACCACAACCTCCACCTCTTGAGTTCAAGCGATTCTCCTGCCTCAGCCTTCCGAGTAGCTGGGATTACAGGCATGCGCCACCATGCCCGGCTAATTTTGTATTTTTAGTAGAGCTGGGGTTTCTCCCTGTTGGTCAGGCTGGTCTCGAACTCCCGACCTCAGGTGATCTGCCCGCCTTGACCTCCCAAAGTGCTGTGATTACAGGCTTGAGCCACTGCTCCCAGTCCATTGAATGTGTGTATATATAGTTGAATAAAGAAGACACCGGAGTTTGTTCTGTATCTTCTCCTTTCAAATTCTGTGCCATTTGAATTTTTTCCTATTCCTTTTATATATTTTTAATTGACAAATTGTACATATTTATCATGTACATATTGTTTTGAAATATGTATATACCGTAGAATGGCTAAATCAAGATCATTAACATATGTATTACTTTACCTATTTTCCTTTTTTCGTTGTGTCTCTGCCAGGTTTCGGTATCAGAATGACTCTGACCTCATAGAATGAGTTAGAGAGCAGTTGCTCCTCCTCAATTGTGTGGAATAATTTCAGTAGGATTGGTGCCGCCTTTTCTTTACACATCTGGTAGGATTCGACTGTGAATCCGTCTAGTCTAAGGTTTTTTGTGCTGGTTGGTAGGTTTTGTATGACTAACTCAATTTTGGAACTCATCGTTGGTTTGTTCAGGGTTTCCATTTCTTCCTGGTTCAATCTTGAGAGGTTTTATGTTTCCAGGAATTTCTCTATTTCTTCTAGTTTTCTAGTTTGTGTGCATAGAGGCATGTGGAATAGTCTCAGGGTTTCTTGTATATCTCTGGGTCAGTGGAAATGTCACCTTTGTCATTTCTGATTGTGTTTATTTGGATCTTGTCTTTTTTTCTTTATTAATCTAGCTAGTGGTCTTCCCATGTTATTTATGCTTTCAAAAATATCAACTTTGTATGAATTAACAGCATTTGCCGTGACCTGGATGAGACCGGAGACTGTTATTCTAAGTGAAGTAACTCAGGAATGGAAAACCAAACATCGTATGTTCTCACTGATATGTGGGAGCTAAGCTATGAGGACGCAAAGGCGTAAGAATGATACAATGGACTTTGGGGACTTAGGGGGACGAGTTGGCGGGGGCGAGGGATAAAATACAACAAGTAGGGTGTAGTGTATACTGCTCAGGTGATGGGTGCACCAAAATCACAAATCACCACTAAAGAGCTTATGTAACCACACACCACCTGTACCCCAATAATTTATGGAATAAATAATAAATAAATAATTTTTTTAAAAAATCAACTTTGGGTTTCATTGATCTTTTGTATGGTTTTTTACGTCTCCATTTCATTCAGGTCAGCTCCGATGTTGGTTTTTTTTTTTTCTTCTGCTAGCTTTGGGGTTGATTTGCTCTTGTTTTTCTAATTCCTCTAGGTGTGATGTTAGGCGGTTCATTTGAGATCTTTCTAGCTTCTTAGTGTAGCCCTTTAGCACTAGAAACTTCCTTTGAGCACTGTTCTAGCTGTGTCCCAGAGATTCTGGGATGTTGTATGTTTGTTTTCATTAGTTTCAGATAATTTTTTTATTTCTGCCTTAATTTCAGTCTTTACCCAAAAGTCATTTGGAAGCAGGTTGTTTAATTTCCATGATGACTCTAGGCCGGGCATGGTGGCTCATGCCTGTAATCCCAGCCACTTGGGAGGCTGAGGCAGGAGAATCGCTTGAATCCAGGAGGCAGAGGTTTCAGTGAGCCAAGATCACGCCACTGCACTCCAGCCCGGGCGACAGAGTGAGGCTGCGTCTCAAAAAAAAAAAAAAAAAAAAAAAAAATTGCCCCTTCTTAAGTTTGCATTTAGATCTCTTCTCCTTTGACCACTTTTAATTTATCTTCACTTCTGATATGACATTTAATTTTTCATTCATTTTCTGTCTATTATTGTTCCTTTTTTAACTTAAAAAAAAATTCTGTACTTTATGAATTTCTGTTTCAAGGTGTTTTTCCCATCTCCAAATGCTTATTTGAAAATGTTTCCTTTCCTCTTGGTTCATTTCTTCTGGTGTGTGTGTGCGCGCGCCCGCGTGCATGTGTGTACTCGGGTCTCATTTTCTGCTTTCTTCCTGCAGTACCTCGTTTATGGGAGATGCACTTCGCTTTTGTTATTTTTTTAGTAGAGAGGGGGTTTCACTGGTTTAGCCAGAACAGTCTCGATCTCCTGACCTCGTGATCCGCCCACCTCGGGCTCCCAAAGTGCTGGGATTCCAGGAGTGAGCCACCGCGCCCGGCCGTCCACTTTGCTTCTTGCAGAGGCTGATGGTTTGAGTAATTTCCGAGATTCATAGCTCGAGCGCGCCCTGTTCTGTCTATGCAGTGAAGGGCAGCTTTTTGCATCCACGGCTTTTTGTTGGCAAGGAGGAATGTGCAGTGGCCAGATTTGTTTCTTCCCCTTTTGTTGCTGTTGTTGTTGTTGTATTTTATTTTGTAGCATCCTAAAGTGTCCCCTCCTTCTATTTCTTATCCTTATCCAGGTAGGGTTTAGAAAAGCTAACTTCAGGGGCAGGGGAGAGAGAGAAAGAGAGGAAGAGAAAATGAGAATGAATGACAATACATGAACCCATGGGTCAACCTTTATTTCAAGGCAGCCCAAAAGGACGGCTCTCCCTTCTCTTTCACTCTCTTCTCTGCGTGTGAAGCTGATGCAGCACAGGCGAGCCCCAAAATTGAGGCTTAGCCCGGGGGGGTTCTTGGCTTCTCCTAGAAACTAATTCAAGAAGCCGGGCGCAGTGGCTCACGCCTGTAATCCCAGCACTTTGGGAGGCTGAGGCGGATGGATCACTTGAGGTAAGGAGTTCGAGACCAGCCTGGCCAACATGGTGAAACCCCATCTCTACTAAATATACAAAAATTACCCGGGCATGGGGACGGGTGCCTGTAATCCCAGCTGTTCAGGAGGCTGAGGCAGGGGAATCGCTTGAACCCGGGAGGCGGAGGTTGCAGTGAACAGAGATCGTGTCACTGCACTCCAGCCTGGGTGATAGAGTGCGACTCCGTCTGAAAAAAAAAAAAAAAGAATTCAAGGGCCGGCCGGTGGTTTTAGACGGCAACCTTTACCGAAGCCTCAGTGCACAGCCACAGCAGAGGGACACACACCTGTATCTTTTCTAAGACTGGGAGAATTTTACAATTGCTTGACTAATTGAACAGTGCCTCGAGGATGTTACACTAGGTTATAAATAAATTCCTGCCGTGTTTAGCTGAGGCACGAACACAATGCCCACTGACAATTCCACTTTCCTCGAGGGCCATTCTTTATGAAAGGCTGTAGGAGTTCCACGACATTGTTGATTCCTGGATTCTCCAAGTCTCTAGAACTTGAGAACTACTTTTGTGTATTTTTTTAACCTTTAAGTCCAGAGTTTCTAATGTCCGTTTTATACTACTATAAAATGGTACTATGTATTCTTTATTTATGGTACTATTTACACTTTATTTTATACAGACTCTGGCTCCACAAAAAGGTTAAAAATTAGCCAGGTGCAGTGGTGCACATCTGCGGCCCCAGCTACTCAGGAGGCTGAGGCAGAAGGATTGCTTGAGCTCGGATGGTCAGGGCTGCAATGAGCTATGATCACACATCACATCAATGCACTCCAGCCTGGGCAACAGAGTGAGACCCTGTCTCTAAAAGAATAGAAGAGGCTGGGCGCGGTGGCTCACGCCTGTCATCCTACCACTTTGGGAGACCAAGGCGAGTGGATCATTTGAGGCCAGGTGTTCAAGACCAGCCTGGTCAACATGGCGAAACCCCATCTCTTGGCAGGCGACTGTAATCCCAGCTACTCAGGAGGCTGAGATAGGAGACTCCCTTGAACCGACGAGGCGGAGGTTGCAGTGAGCGAAGATCACACCACTGCACTCCAGCCTGGGCAACAGAGCAAGGCTCGGTCTCCCCAAAAAAAAAAAAAAAAAAAAAAGACACATGGAAGTAATTTAAAAACACTTAGGAAGATGTCATTTCTTCCTATCAAGGCGTCCTCCCTTTATGTTTTGTCGTTATATTGGGAACGATAAAAAAAATCCTTTTTTCCGACCCATGTGGACCAGGCTGGCCTCGAACTCGTGCCCTGGAACCCCCGCCTCCGTGAGGGCCCGAGGGCAGGCGCAACCGGCCTGAGCCACAATGGCTCCGGGTGTCGGGGCTGTCCTTTAGTCCCTTTGATCTTACGCAGGGTGAGGGAGCCAATCACCAGAGGCTCCCCCCTGTCGTCACCCAGTCCCCAGGGCCAGTGAGGGCCCTGCGTTCCATGGCGCCCCCTGGAGGGAGGAAGGGGAACTGTATCTGAGAGTTCAGTATCTGACAATAAGGAAAAGGCATAGTAGATCAGATGGTGCCTAGTGTTCTGGGGAGAAGAAACAACGGGGTTGGGGAATGCGGAGTTGCAGTTTATAATACAGGCCTCATGTATAAGGCAGACCTCATGGGGAAGGTAACATCTGTGCAGAGAAATGGAGATGAGGGCTAGGAGCCATGCAAATACTGGAACATGCTTGCCAGCAGAAGTCGAGAAACATGGCCGGCGCAGTGGCCCACACCTGTAATCCCAGGACTTTGGGAGGCCGAGGCAGGTAGATCACGAGGTCAGCAGTTCGAGACCAGCCCGGCCAACATGGTGAAACCCTGTCTCTACTAAAAATACAAAAATTAGCTGGGTGTGGTGGCACACGCCTGTAATCCCAGCCACTTGGGAGGGTGAGGTAGGAGAATCGCTTGAACCTGGGAGGTAGAGGTTGCAGTGATGCAGTGAGCCGAGACCACGCCATTGTACTCTCGCCTGGGCGACAGAGCGAGACTCCATCTCAAAAAAAAAAAAAAAAAAAAAAAAAAAAAAAAGCAAAAACAAACAGGTGAGATTCATTTTGATAAAATAGCTGATTTAACCTAATATACCTAAAACATCATAATTTTAACATAATCAATAGAAACGTTTTTGCAAGATTTTATGTTATTTTTTACCGTACGACGTCTTGGAAATCTTGGTTTGGACCAGCCATGTTCAACTGCTCAGTAGCCATGTGTGGCCAGAGGCGGCCGTATTGGACAGTGCAGATGGTGCATGAGGGTGTTCGGGCAGTGGGAACAGCCAGTACAGAGGCCCTGTGGGGGCACATGCCTGCTGCTACGGGAACAGTGAGGAGCCCCGTGTGGCTGCAGTGGAGTGAGAGGGAGAAGGTGGGAGATGTAACCAACAGTCTCATCATTCATTCATTAAATCCTTTTTTTTCTTTTTTTGAGACTGAGTTTCGCTCTTGTTGCCCAGGCTGGAGTGCAATGGTGCCATCTCGGCTCACCACAACCTCCACCTCTTGAGTTCAAGCGATTCTCCTGCCTCAGCCTTCCGAGTAGCTGGGATTACAGGCATGCGCCACCATGCCCGGCTAATTTTGTATTTTTAGTAGAGCTGGGGTTTCTCCCTGTTGGTCAGGCTGGTCTCGAACTCCCGACCTCAGGTGATCTGCCCGCCTTGACCTCCCAAAGTGCTGTGATTACAGGCTTGAGCCACTGCTCCCAGTCCATTGAATGTGTGTATATATAGTTGAATAAAGAAGACACCGGAGTTTGTTCTGTATCTTCTCCTTTCAAATTCTGTGCCATTTGAATTTTTTCCTATTCCTTTTATATATTTTTAATTGACAAATTGTACATATTTATCATGTACATATTGTTTTGAAATATGTATATACCGTAGAATGGCTAAATCAAGATCATTAACATATGTATTACTTTACCTATTTTCCTTTTTTCGTTGTGTCTCTGCCAGGTTTCGGTATCAGAATGACTCTGACCTCATAGAATGAGTTAGAGAGCAGTTGCTCCTCCTCAATTGTGTGGAATAATTTCAGTAGGATTGGTGCCGCCTTTTCTTTACACATCTGGTAGGATTCGACTGTGAATCCGTCTAGTCTAAGGTTTTTTGTGCTGGTTGGTAGGTTTTGTATGACTAACTCAATTTTGGAACTCATCGTTGGTTTGTTCAGGGTTTCCATTTCTTCCTGGTTCAATCTTGAGAGGTTTTATGTTTCCAGGAATTTCTCTATTTCTTCTAGTTTTCTAGTTTGTGTGCATAGAGGCATGTGGAATAGTCTCAGGGTTTCTTGTATATCTCTGGGTCAGTGGAAATGTCACCTTTGTCATTTCTGATTGTGTTTATTTGGATCTTGTCTTTTTTTCTTTATTAATCTAGCTAGTGGTCTTCCCATGTTATTTATGCTTTCAAAAATATCAACTTTGTATGAATTAACAGCATTTGCCGTGACCTGGATGAGACCGGAGACTGTTATTCTAAGTGAAGTAACTCAGGAATGGAAAACCAAACATCGTATGTTCTCACTGATATGTGGGAGCTAAGCTATGAGGACGCAAAGGCGTAAGAATGATACAATGGACTTTGGGGACTTAGGGGGACGAGTTGGCGGGGGCGAGGGATAAAATACAACAAGTAGGGTGTAGTGTATACTGCTCAGGTGATGGGTGCACCAAAATCACAAATCACCACTAAAGAGCTTATGTAACCACACACCACCTGTACCCCAATAATTTATGGAATAAATAATAAATAAATAATTTTTTTAAAAAATCAACTTTGGGTTTCATTGATCTTTTGTATGGTTTTTTACGTCTCCATTTCATTCAGGTCAGCTCCGATGTTGGTTTTTTTTTTTTCTTCTGCTAGCTTTGGGGTTGATTTGCTCTTGTTTTTCTAATTCCTCTAGGTGTGATGTTAGGCGGTTCATTTGAGATCTTTCTAGCTTCTTAGTGTAGCCCTTTAGCACTAGAAACTTCCTTTGAGCACTGTTCTAGCTGTGTCCCAGAGATTCTGGGATGTTGTATGTTTGTTTTCATTAGTTTCAGATAATTTTTTTATTTCTGCCTTAATTTCAGTCTTTACCCAAAAGTCATTTGGAAGCAGGTTGTTTAATTTCCATGATGACTCTAGGCCGGGCATGGTGGCTCATGCCTGTAATCCCAGCCACTTGGGAGGCTGAGGCAGGAGAATCGCTTGAATCCAGGAGGCAGAGGTTTCAGTGAGCCAAGATCACGCCACTGCACTCCAGCCCGGGCGACAGAGTGAGGCTGCGTCTCAAAAAAAAAAAAAAAAAAAAAAAAAATTGCCCCTTCTTAAGTTTGCATTTAGATCTCTTCTCCTTTGACCACTTTTAATTTATCTTCACTTCTGATATGACATTTAATTTTTCATTCATTTTCTGTCTATTATTGTTCCTTTTTTAACTTAAAAAAAAATTCTGTACTTTATGAATTTCTGTTTCAAGGTGTTTTTCCCATCTCCAAATGCTTATTTGAAAATGTTTCCTTTCCTCTTGGTTCATTTCTTCTGGTGTGTGTGTGCGCGCGCCCGCGTGCATGTGTGTACTCGGGTCTCATTTTCTGCTTTCTTCCTGCAGTACCTCGTTTATGGGAGATGCACTTCGCTTTTGTTATTTTTTTAGTAGAGAGGGGGTTTCACTGGTTTAGCCAGAACAGTCTCGATCTCCTGACCTCGTGATCCGCCCACCTCGGGCTCCCAAAGTGCTGGGATTCCAGGAGTGAGCCACCGCGCCCGGCCGTCCACTTTGCTTCTTGCAGAGGCTGATGGTTTGAGTAATTTCCGAGATTCATAGCTCGAGCGCGCCCTGTTCTGTCTATGCAGTGAAGGGCAGCTTTTTGCATCCACGGCTTTTTGTTGGCAAGGAGGAATGTGCAGTGGCCAGATTTGTTTCTTCCCCTTTTGTTGCTGTTGTTGTTGTTGTATTTTATTTTGTAGCATCCTAAAGTGTCCCCTCCTTCTATTTCTTATCCTTATCCAGGTAGGGTTTAGAAAAGCTAACTTCAGGGGCAGGGGAGAGAGAGAAAGAGAGGAAGAGAAAATGAGAATGAATGACAATACATGAACCCATGGGTCAACCTTTATTTCAAGGCAGCCCAAAAGGACGGCTCTCCCTTCTCTTTCACTCTCTTCTCTGCGTGTGAAGCTGATGCAGCACAGGCGAGCCCCAAAATTGAGGCTTAGCCCGGGGGGGTTCTTGGCTTCTCCTAGAAACTAATTCAAGAAGCCGGGCGCAGTGGCTCACGCCTGTAATCCCAGCACTTTGGGAGGCTGAGGCGGATGGATCACTTGAGGTAAGGAGTTCGAGACCAGCCTGGCCAACATGGTGAAACCCCATCTCTACTAAATATACAAAAATTACCCGGGCATGGGGACGGGTGCCTGTAATCCCAGCTATTCAGGAGGCTGAGGCAGGGGAACCGCTTGAACCCGGGAGGCGGAGGTTGCAGTGAGCAGAGATCGTGTCACTGCACTCCAGCCTGGGTGATAGAGTGAGGCTGAGAATCAAAAGAAGAAAAAAAAAAAAAAAAAAACAATTCAAGGGCAGGCCGGTGGTTTTAGACGGCAACTTTTACTGAAGCGTCAGTGCACAGCCACAGCAGAGGGACACACACCTGTATCTTTTCTAAGACTGGGAGAATTTTACAATTGCTTGAATAATTGAACAGTGCCTCGAGGATGTTACACTAGGTTATAAATAAATTCCTGCCGTGTTTAGCTGAGGCACGAACACAATGCCCACTGACAATTCCACTTTCCTCGAGGGCCATTCTTTATGAAAGGCTGTAGGAGTTCCACGACATTGTTGATTCCTGGATTCTCCAAGTCTCTAGAACTTGAGAACTACTTTTGTGTATTTTTTTAACCTTTAAGTCCAGAGTTTCTAATGTCCGTTTTATACTACTATAAAATGGTACTATGTATTCTTTATTTATGGTACTATTTACACTTTATTTTATACAGACTCTGGCTCCACAAAAAGGTTAAAAATTAGCCAGGTGCAGTGGTGCACATCTGCGGCCCCAGCTACTCAGGAGGCTGAGGCAGAAGGATTGCTTGAGCTCGGATGGTCAGGGCTGCAATGAGCTATGATCACACATCACATCAATGCACTCCAGCCTGGGCAACAGAGTGAGACCCTGTCTCTAAAAGAATAGAAGAGGCTGGGCGCGGTGGCTCACGCCTGTCATCCTACCACTTTGGGAGACCAAGGCGAGTGGATCATTTGAGGCCAGGTGTTCAAGACCAGCCTGGTCAACATGGCGAAACCCCATCTCTTGGCAGGCGACTGTAATCCCAGCTACTCAGGAGGCTGAGATAGGAGACTCCCTTGAACCGACGAGGCGGAGGTTGCAGTGAGCCAAGATCACACCACTGCACTCCAGCCTGGGCAACAGAGCAAGCCTCGGTCTCCCAACAAAAAAAAAAAAGAAAGATACATTGAAGTAATTTAAAAACACTTAGGAAGATGTCATTTCTTCCTATCAAGGCGTCCTCCCTTTCTGTTTTGTTGTTATATTGGGAACGATAAAAAAATTTTTTTTTCAACCCATGTGGACCAGGTTGGCCTCGAACTCGTGCCCTCGAACCCTCGCCTACCCTGAGGGTCCGAGGGCCCGCGCAACCGGCCGGAGCCACAATGGCTCCGGGTGTCGGGGCTGTCCTGTAGGCCCTTTGATCTTACGCAGGGTGAGGGAGCCAATCACCAGAGGCTCACCCCTGACGTCACCCAGTCCCCAGGGCCAGTGAGGGCCCTGCGTTCCATGGCGCCCCCTGGAGGGAGGAAGGGGAACTGTAGCTGAGAGTTCAGTATCTGACAATAAGGAAAAGGCATAGTAGATCAGATGGTGCCTAGTGTTCTGGAGAGAAGAAACAACGGGGTTGGCGAATTGGCAGTTGCACTTTATAATACAGGCCTCATGTATAAGGCAGACCTCATGGGGAAGGTAACATCTGTGCAGAGAAATGGAGATGAGGGCTAGGAGCCATGCAAATACTGGAACATGCTTGCCAGCAGAAGTCGAGAAACATGGCCGGCACAGTGGCCCACACCTGTAATCCCAGGACTTTGGGAGGCCGAGGCAGGTAGATCACGAGGTCAGCAGTTCGAGACCAGCCTGGCCAACATGGTGAAACACTGTCTCTACAAAAATACAAAAATTAGCTGGGTGTGGTGGCACACGCCTATAATCCCAGTCACTTGGGAGGGTGAGGTAGGAGAATCGCTTGAACCTGGGAGGTAGAGGTTGCAGTGATGCAGTGAGCTGAGACCACGCCATTGTACTCTAGCCTGGGCGACAGAGCGAGACTCCATCTCAAAAAAAAAAAAAAAAAAAAAAAAGCAAAAACAAACAGGTGACATTCATTTTGATAAAATAGCTGATTTAACCTAATATACCTAAAACATCATAATTTTAACATAATCAATAGAAACATTTTTGCAAGATTTTATGTTATTTTTTTACCATACGACGTCTTGGAAATCTTGGTTTGGACCAGCCATGTTCAACTGCTCAGTAGCCATGTGTGGCCAGAGGCGGCCGTATTGGACAGTGCAGATGGTGCATGAGGGTGTTCGGGCAGTGGGAACAGCCAGTACAGAGGCCCTGTGGGGGCACATGCCTGCTGCTACGGGAACAGTGAGGAGCCCCGTGTGGCTGCAGTGGAGTGAGAGGGAGAAGGTGGGAGATGTCACCAACGGTCTCATCATTCATTCATTAAATCCTTTTTTTTTTTTTTTTTTTTTTTTGAGACTGAGTTTCGTTCTTGTTTCCCAGGCTGGAGTGCAATGGTGCCATCTCGGCTCACCACAACCTCCACCTCTTGAGTTCAAGCGATTCTCCTGCCTCACCCTCCCGAGTAGCTGGGATTACAGGCATGCGTCACCATGCCCGGCTAATTTTGTATTTTTAGTAGAGCTGGGGTTTCTCTCTGTTGGTCAGGCTGGTCTCGAACTCCCGACCTCAGGTGATCTGCCCGCCTTGACCTCCCAAAGTGCTGTGATTACAGGCTTGAGCCACTGCTCCTGGTCCATTGAATGTGTGTATATATAGTTGAATAAAGAAGAGACTGGAGTTTGTTCTGTATCTTCTCCTTTCAAATTCTGCGCCAGTTGAATTTTTTCCTCTTCCTTTTATATATTTTTAATTGACAAATTGTACATATTTATCATGTACATATTGTTTTGAAATATGTATATACCGTAGAATGGCTAAATCAAGATCATTAACATATGTATTACTTTACCTATTTTCCTTTTTTCGTTGTGTCTCTGCCAGGTTTCGGTATCAGAATGACTCTGACTTCATAGAATGAGTTAGAGAGCAGTTGCTCCTCCTCAATTGTGTGGAATAATTTCAGTAGGATTGGTGCCGGCTTTTCTTTACACATCTGGTAGAATTCGACTGTGAATCCGTCTAGTCTAAGGTTTTTTGTGCTGGTTGGTAGGTCTTGTATGACTAACTCAATTTTGGAACTCATCGTTGGTTTGTTCAGGGTTTCCATTTCTTCCTGGTTCAATCTTGAGAGGTTTTATGTTTCCAGGAATTTATCTATTTCTTCTAGTTTTCTAGTTTGTGTGCATAGAGGCATGTGGAATAGTCTCAGGGTTTCTTGTATGTCTGTGGGTCAGTGGTAATGTCACCTCTGTCATTTCTGATTGTGTTTATTTGGATCTTGTCTTTTTTCCTTTATTAATCTAGCTAGTGGTCTTTCCATGTTATTTGTGCTTTCGAAAATATCAACTTTGTATGAATTAACAGCATTTGCCGTGACCTGGATGAGACCGGAGACTATTATTCTAAGTGAAGTAACTCAGGAATGGAAAGCCAAACATCGTATGTTCTCACTGATATGTGGGAGCTAAGCTATGAGGACGCAAAGGCGTAACAATGATACAATGGACTTTGGGGACGTAGGGGGACGAGTTGGCGGGGGCGAGGGATAACAGACAACAAATAGGGTGTAGTGTATACTGCTCAGGTGATGGGTGCACCAAAATCACAAATCACCACTAAAGAGCTTATGTTACCAAATACCACCTGTACCCCATAATTTATGGAAGAAATAATAAATAAATAATTTTTTTAAAAAATCAACTTTGGGTTTCATTGATCTTTTCTATGATTTTTTACATCTCAATTTCATTCAGCTCAGCTCTGATTTTGGTGTTTTTTTTTCTTCTGCTAGCTTTGGGGTTGATTTGCTCTTGTTTTTCTAATTCCTCTAGGTGTGATGTTAGGCTGTTCATTTGAGATCTTTCTAGCTTCTTGATGTAGCCACTTAGCACTATAAACTTCCTTTGAGCACTGTTCTAGCTGTGTCCCAGAGATTCTGGGATGTTGTATGTTTGTTTTCATTAGTTTCAAATAATTTTTTTATTTCTGCCTTAATTTCAGTCTTTACCCAAAAGTCATTTGGAAGCAGGTTGTTTAATTTCCATGTTGACTCTAGGCCGGGCATGGTGGCTCATGCCTGTAATCCCAGCCACTTGGGAGGCTGAGGCAGGAGAATCGCTTGACTCCAGGAGGCAGAGGTGTCAGTGAGCCAAGATCACGCCACTGCACTCCAGCCCGGGCAACAGAGTGAGGCTGCGAGCCCGGGCGGCAGAGTGAGGCTGCGTCTCAAAAAAAAAAAAAAAAAAAAAAAATTGCCCCTTCTTAAGTTTGCATTTAGATCTCTTCTCCTTTGATCACTTTTAATTTATCTTCACTTCTGATATGACATTTTATTTTTTATTCATTTTCTGCCTGTTTATTATTGTTCCTCTTTTAACTTAAAAAAAAAAACATGTCTGTACTTTATGAATTTCTGTTTCAAGGTGTTTTTCCCATCTCCAAATGCTTACTTGAAAATATTTCCTTTCCTCTTGGTTCATTTCTTCTGGTGTGTGTGTGCGCACGCCCGCGTGCATGTGTGTACTCGGGTCTCATTTTCTGCTTTCTTCCTGCAGTACCTCGTTTATGGGAGATCCACTTCGCTTTTGTTATTTTTTTAGTAGAGAGGGGGTTTCACTGGTTTAGCCAGAACAGTCTCGATCTCCTGACCTCGTGATCCGCCCACCTCGGGCTCCCAAAGTGCTGGGATTCCAGGAGTGAGCCACCGCGCCCGGCCGTCCACTTTGCTTCTTGCAGAGGCTGATGGTTTGAGTAATTTCCGAGATTCATAGCTCGAGCGCGCCCTGTTCTGTCTATGCAGTGAAGGGCAGCTTTTTGCATCCACGGCTTTTTGTTGGCAAGGAGGAATGTGCAGTGGCCAGATTTGTTTCTTCCCCTTTTGTTGCTGTTGTTGTTGTTGTATTTTATTTTGTAGCATCCTAAAGTGTCCCCTCCTTCTATTTCTTATCCTTATCCAGGTAGGGTTTAGAAAAGCTAACTTCAGGGGCAGGGGAGAGAGAGAAAGAGAGGAAGAGAAAATGAGAATGAATGACAATACATGAACCCATGGGTCAACCTTTATTTCAAGGCAGCCCAAAAGGACGGCTCTCCCTTCTCTTTCACTCTCTTCTCTGCGTGTGAAGCTGATGCAGCACAGGCGAGCCCCAAAATTGAGGCTTAGCCCGGGGGGGTTCTTGGCTTCTCCTAGAAACTAATTCAAGAAGCCGGGCGCAGTGGCTCACGCCTGTAATCCCAGCACTTTGGGAGGCTGAGGCGGATGGATCACTTGAGGTAAGGAGTTCGAGACCAGCCTGGCCAACATGGTGAAACCCCATCTCTACTAAATATACAAAAATTACCCGGGCATGGGGACGGGTGCCTGTAATCCCAGCTATTCAGGAGGCTGAGGCAGGGGAACCGCTTGAACCCGGGAGGCGGAGGTTGCAGTGAGCAGAGATCGTGTCACTGCACTCCAGCCTGGGTGATAGAGTGAGGCTGAGAATCAAAAGAAGAAAAAAAAAAAAAAAAAACAATTCAAGGGCAGGCCGGTGGTTTTAGACGGCAACTTTTACTGAAGCGTCAGTGCACAGCCACAGCAGAGGGACACACACCTGTATCTTTTCTAAGACTGGGAGAATTTTACAATTGCTTGAATAATTGAACAGTGCCTCGAGGATGTTACACTAGGTTATAAATAAATTCCTGCCGTGTTTAGCTGAGGCACGAACACAATGCCCACTGACAATTCCACTTTCCTCGAGGGCCATTCTTTATGAAAGGCTGTAGGAGTTCCACGACATTGTTGATTCCTGGATTCTCCAAGTCTCTAGAACTTGAGAACTACTTTTGTGTATTTTTTTAACCTTTAAGTCCAGAGTTTCTAATGTCCGTTTTATACTACTATAAAATGGTACTATGTATTCTTTATTTATGGTACTATTTACACTTTATTTTATACAGACTCTGGCTCCACAAAAAGGTTAAAAATTAGCCAGGTGCAGTGGTGCACATCTGCGGCCCCAGCTACTCAGGAGGCTGAGGCAGAAGGATTGCTTGAGCTCGGATGGTCAGGGCTGCAATGAGCTATGATCACACATCACATCAATGCACTCCAGCCTGGGCAACAGAGTGAGACCCTGTCTCTAAAAGAATAGAAGAGGCTGGGCGCGGTGGCTCACGCCTGTCATCCTACCACTTTGGGAGACCAAGGCGAGTGGATCATTTGAGGCCAGGTGTTCAAGACCAGCCTGGTCAACATGGCGAAACCCCATCTCTTGGCAGGCGACTGTAATCCCAGCTACTCAGGAGGCTGAGATAGGAGACTCCCTTGAACCGACGAGGCAGAGGTTGCAGTGAGCCAAGATCACACCACTGCACTCCAGCCTGGGCAACAGAGCAAGCCTCGGTCTCCCAAAAAAAAAAAAAAAAGAAAGATACATTGAAGTAATTTAAAAACACTTAGGAAGATGTCATTTCTTCCTATCAAGGCGTCCTCCCTTTCTGTTTTGTTGTTATATTGGGAACGATAAAAAAATTTTTTTTTCAACCCATGTGGACCAGGTTGGCCTCGAACTCGTGCCCTCGAACCCTCGCCTACCCTGAGGGTCCGAGGGCCCGCGCAACCGGCCGGAGCCACAATGGCTCCGGGTGTCGGGGCTGTCCTGTAGGCCCTTTGATCTTACGCAGGGTGAGGGAGCCAATCACCAGAGGCTCCCCCCTGTCGTCACCCAGTCCCCAGGGCCAGTGAGGGCCCTGCGTTCCATGGCGCCCCCTGGAGGGAGGAAGGGGAACTGTAGCTGAGAGTTCAGTATCTGACAATAAGGAAAAGGCATAGTAGATCAGATGGTGCCTAGTGTTCTGGAGAGAAGAAACAACGGGGTTGGCGAATTGGCAGTTGCACTTTATAATACAGGCCTCATGTATAAGGCAGACCTCATGGGGAAGGTAACATCTGTGCAGAGAAATGGAGATGAGGGCTAGGAGCCATGCAAATACTGGAACATGCTTGCCAGCAGAAGTCGAGAAACATGGCCGGCACAGTGGCCCACACCTGTAATCCCAGCACTTTGGGAGGCCGAGGCAGGCAGATCACGAGGTCAGCAGTTCGAGACCAGCCTGGCCAACATGGTGAAACCCTGTCTCTACTAAAAATACAAAAATTAGCTGGGTGTGGTGGCACACTCCTGTAATCCCAGCCACTTGGGAGGGTGAGGTAGGAGAATGGCTTGAACCTGGGAGGTAGAGGTTGCAGTGATGCAGTGAGCTGAGACCACACCATTGTACTCTAGCCTGGGCGACAGAGCGAGACTCCATCTCAAAAAAAAAAAAAAAAAAAAGCAAAAACAAACAGGTGAGATTCATTTTGATAAAATAGCTGATTTAACCTAATATACCTAAAACATCATAATTTTAACATAATATAAACATTTTTGCAAGATTTTATGTTATTTTTTACCATACGACGTCTTGGAAATCAAGAAACAGAGCAAGCCTCGGTCTCCCAAAAAAAAAAAAAAGATACATTGAAGTAATTTAAAAACACATAGGAAGATGTCATTTCTTCCTATCAAGGCGTCCTCCCTTTATGTTTTGTTGTTATATTGGGAACGATAAAAAAATTTTTTTTTCAACCCATGTGGACCAGGTTGGCCTTGAACTCGTACCCTCGAACCCCTGCCTCCCTGAGGGCCCGAGGGCAGGCGCATCCAGCCGGAGCCACAGTGGCTCCGGGTGTCGGGGCTGTCCTTTCTTCCCTTTCTCCCTCTCGTCTCCTGTCTCCCGTCTCCCTCTCCCCACGGTCTCCCTCTCCCTCTCCCTCTCCTGTCTCCCGTCTCCCGTCTCCCTCTCCACATGGTCTCCCTCTCCCTCTCTTTCCACGGTCTCCGTCTGATGCCCAGCCGAAGCTGCACTGTACTGCTGCCATCTCACTGCATCCTCCCTGCCTGATTCTCGTGCCTCAGCCTGCCGAGTGCCTGCCATTGCAGGCACACGCCGCCACACCTGACTGGTTTTCGTATTTTTTTGGTGGAGACGGGGTTTCGCTGTGTTGGCCGGGCTGGTCTCCAGCTCCTAACTGCGAGTGATCCGCCAGCCTCGGCCTCCCCAGGTGCGGGGATTGCAGATGGAGTCTCGTTCACTCAGTGCTCAATGGTGCCCAGGCTGGAGTGCAGTGGCGTGATCTCGGCTCGCTACAACCTCCACCTCCCAGCCGCCTGCCTTGGCCTCCCAAAGTGCCGAGATTGCAGCCTCTGCCCGGCCGCCACCCCGTCTGGGAAGTGAGGAGCGTCTCTGCCTGGCCGCCCATCGTCTGGGATGTGAGGAATCCCTCTGCCTGGCTGCCCAGTCTGGAAAGTGAGGAGCGTCTCTGCCCGGCCGCCATCCCATCTAGGAAGTGAGGAGCGCCTCTGCCCGGCCGCGACCCTGTCTGGGAGGTGAGGAGCGTCTCTGCCCAGCCGCCCCGTCTGAGAAGTGAGGAGCCCCTCTGCCCGGCAGCCGCCCCGTCTGAGAAGTGAGGAGCCCCTCCGCCCGGCAGCCACCCCATCTGGGAAGTGAGGAGCGTCTCCGCCCGGCAGCCACCCCGTCCGGGAGGGAGGTGGGGGGGGGGTGGTCAGCCCCCCGCCCGGCCAGCCGCCCCGTCCGGGAGGGAGGTGGGGGGGTCAGCCCCCTGCCCGTCCAGCCGCCCCGTCCGGGAGGTGAGGGGCGCCTCTGCCTGGCCGCCCCTACTGGGAAGTGAGGGGCCCCTCTGCCCGGCCACCACCCCGTCTGGGAGGTGTACCCAACAGCTCATTGAGAACGGGCCATGATGACAATGGCGGTTTTGTGGAATAGAAAGGGGGGAAAGGTGGGGAAAAGATTAAGAAATCGCATGGTTGCCGTGTCTGTGTAGAAAGAAGTAGACATGGGAGACTTTTCATTTTGTTCTGTACTAAGAAAAATTCTTCTGCCTTGGGATCCTGTTGATCTGTGACCTTACCCCCAACCGTGTGCTCTCTCAAACATGTGCTGTGTCCACTCAGGGTTAAATGGATTAAGGGCGGAGCAAGATGTGCTTTGTTAAACAGATGCTTGAAGGCAGCATGCTCCTTAAGAGTCATCACCACTCCCTAATCGCAAGTTCCCAGGGACACAAACACTGCGGAAGGCCACAGGGTCCTCTGCCTAGGAAAACCAGAGACCTTTGTTCACTTGTTTATCTGCTGACCTTCCCTCCACTATTGTCCTATGACCCTGCCAAATCCCCCTCTGCGAGAAACACCCAAGAATGATTAAAAAAAAAAAAGAAAGTGTTAATGACAGATTTGCCTCCATTAAAAGCCAAGAAAGTCAAATTATTCAAATTCTGTCTAGGGTATATATGAAAGATTTAAATGTAAAATAATGTTGTGAATTTCAACACATTTACTTCATTTTTCAGTATTTTTCAACTAGTTTAGCATTCCAGGAAAAATAAATTTAGAAAAAATATATAAAAACTTGCGCAGGGCACAGTGGCTCATGCCTGTAATCCCAGCACAGGCCTTTGGGAGGCCAAGGTGGGTGGATCACTTGAGCCTGGGAGTTTAAGACTAGCCTGAGCAACATGGGGAGAGCCTGTCTCTACAAAAATAATTTAGGAATTAGCTAGGCATGGTAGTGTGTGCTTGTAGTCCCAGCTACTCAGGAGGCTGAGGCAGGAGGATCCCTTGAGCCCAGGAGTTTGTTACTGCAGTGAGCTATGATCTCACCACCACACTCCAGCCTGGGCAATGGAGCAAGAACCCCTCTCCTTAAAAAAAAAAAAAGCAAGTATATGGGGGCACATACATTTCCTTTGAAATAGCAGTCTGATGTGGCATGAGACTGGCCTTTTTAAAAAATTTGATATTTTGTTCATCATTGATTTTTTTTGCATTGATTTTGATTTTTAAAAAATGTTGCATTATTATTGTTATTGTTATTATTGTCACTCTGTCACCCAGGCTGGAGTGCAGAGTCTCCCTGAGTTCAAGTGATTCTCCTGCTTCAGCCTCCCAAGTAGCTGGAACTACAGGCGTGTGCCACCTCACCCTAATTTTATTTTTTATTTTTATTTTTTTTGTAGAGACAGGGTTTCGCCATGTTGGCCAGGCTGGTCTCAAACTTCCGACCTCAAGTGATCCACCCACCTTGGGCTCCCAAAGTGCTGGGATTACAGGCGTGAACCACCGCGCCTGGCCAATATTGCATTAAATATTCTTTTATCTTGATTGCTGCATTTGGGGCACACATTTACATTTGGTACTGGGTGAATACAGCTCCCTCTGGCCAGGCTCCAGCCAGCCCCACTCCTCCAGGGTGAAGTCCACCGCCACATCCTTGAAGGTCACTGATTCCTGCAAGGGCCAGTTTCATTCTGTGGAGTGGCACGTCCTTCTGGAACTTGGGGGCAGAAGTGTCAGGGGTCAAGAGCCCACAACAGCCCCCTGGGCTGGAACATTCTGATTGTGCAGAATTGGGATGCCTGAATCCAACTGGCCTATGGGAACCTATCTAAGGCAGAAACTCGCCCATAGGCACCTTGGTAGAAAGTAGAACAAGGAGCCCTTTCACATGACTCTTTACTGCCATCTGTTGGGAAGTCATTGTAATATACCAATTAATTTAGTATATGACAGTTTATCAAACTGCCTGCAAACTGCCACCAATGTATGAGGTATAAGGTGGGAGTCCTGCCTGGGATGAGGCACACTTGTGCAGTGCATAACCTGCACAGCTCTAAGTGACAGCCCTAAAAAATGCTTTTTTTTTGAGATGGAGTCTCGCTCTATCCCCCAGGCTGGAGTGCAGTGGCGCAATCTCGGCTCACTGCAAGCTCCACCTCCCGGGTTCACGCCATTCTCCTGCCTCAGCCTCCCGAGTAGCTGGGACCACAGGCGCCCGCCACCACGCCCGGCTAATTTTTTGTATTTTTAGTAGAGACGGGGTTTCAACGTATTAGCCAGGATGGTCTCGATCTGACCTCGTGATCCGCCTGCCTCAGCCTCCCAAAGTGCTGGGATTACAGGCATGAGCCACCGCGCTCAGCCTAAGAAACACTTAAAGAAAAATCCGTCAAGCCGTTTTGTGCAGGAGATATTCGCAAGTCCCATTCTATCCCAGACCCCATCCCTGATCCTCACCCCCATTCCTGACTCCAGAGATGAGGCTCAGGGATGAAGCAAAACCATCCATTGCCCACTTTGCCTGGTAACTGAAAGGCTGCAGTGTTCGATGAAAAATGTTTAGACTGCGCGACATGGTCCCAGCTCAGAGCATTCTGCCTCTGCCTCCTGCCCCTGGGCACTGCCCGGCTCCCCTCTCCTCATACCCCCTTTCCCAGTATTGGAAGAGTCAGGAGACCTTGAGATCATGCACAGGGATGAAGAGGGCCCACTGGAGTCCACAAAGTTATCCTGGGGAAGAGGAAGCCCAGACTCACCTGGCCCTCGGCCATCAAGGTCCCATTGGCCATTGCTGGGTTCTGGGCATGTGCCTCTGGGAGAAGGGTTCACGCCAGGGCCCGAAGAGCTGGAGGAGGAGACCACAGCAGAAAAAGGGTCATTTGTGACCCTGACAGACAGATGCTTTCCCCAAGACTCCTGGTCACGGAAGGGGCCATGGTCCCCTAAGAGTCAAAGCAAAGTCCCAGGACAGGCCACCTGAGGCCCCCATTCCATACCAGTGACAACAGCCAGCAACCATGAGGCTGTCTCACCTCCCCGACACAACAGCTCTCGGACGTGGGAACGATGGTTACCCCTAGATGAGGACATTGAGGCACAAGAGGTCAAGACTTGCTCAAGTTCATGGAGACAAAAAGTTTCAGAGAAGTCTAGCCACAGGGCCACCCCTATCTTTTATATATATATATATATATATTGTTTTTTTTTTTTTTAGATGGATTCTCACTCAGTGTCCCAGGCTGGCTGGAGTGCAGTGGCGCCATCTCGGCTCACTGCAACCTCCGCCTCCCAGGATCAAGCAATTCTCTTGCCTCAGCTTCCTGAATAGCTGGGATTACAAGCACCTGCCACCATGCCTGGCTAATATTTACATTTTTAGTAGAGATGGGGTTTCACCATGTTGGCAAGGCTGGTCTCGAACTCCTGACCTCAGGTGATCTACCCACCTCGGGCTCCAAAATTGCTGGGATTTTAGGCCTGAGCCACTGTGCCTGGGCCAGGGGTTCTTATTTATTTATATAATTTATTATTTTTTAATAATACAGACAGGGTCTCTCTATGTTGCCCAGGCTGGTCGCGTACTCCTGGGCTCAAGCAATCCTCCCACCTCGGCCTCCCAAAGTGCTGGGATTACAGGCATGAGCCACCACACCCAGCCTTGGCAAAGATTCTTAAAACTTTATTCCATAAACTGGGACTTCCTGCCTGGTGGGGTAGACAGGCTGTATAACAGCCCCCAGAGATATCCCTGGAACCTACAGATCTTATCTTATATGGAAAAGAGACTTTGCGGAAGGGATTAAGTGAAGGATCTTTAGATGGGGGGAATTATCCTGGATTATCTGGGCGGGCACTAAATGCCTTCACAAGTGTCCTTATAAGAGGGGGCAGAGGAGAGTCTGACACAGGGCAGAAGAAGGCCATGCACCAGAAGCAGAGAGCAGCAGAGGCTGAGAGAGAGGACGCTACACTGCTGGCTTTGATGACAGAGGAAAGGGCTACAAGCCAAGGAAAGCAGGCCCCTGGAAACTGGCAACGAGGCAGCGAAACAGATCCATCCCTGGAGCCTCTGGAGGGAGCATGGCCGTGCTGACCCCTTGATCCCTTTGAATCCCGCTTCCAACTTCTGGCCTCCAGGATTGTAATATAATAAAATTGTGTCATTTTAAGTGTGTGGCAATTTGTTACAGCACCATGGGAAACTAATACAGTCCACAGAATGAAAAGATGCAGCACCTCACACACATTTCCCAGGCGAGAAGCCATACACATCCCCGGCTACACAGAACACACACACCTGAATGCTGAAACTAGTGCATGAGGTGTTTTTTTTTTTTGAGACAGAGTCTCTATCTGTTGCCCAGGCTGGAGTGCAATGGCGTGATCTCGGCTTACTGCAAGCTCCACCTCCCAGGTTCACACCATTCTCCTGCCTCAGCCTCCTGAGTAGCTGGGACTACAGGAACCTGCCATCACTCCTGGCTAATTTTTTTTTTTTTTAGGAGAGACAGGGTTTCACCATGTTAGCCAGGATGGTCTCAATCTCCTGACCTCATGATTCACCTGCTTCAGCCTCCCAAATTGCTGGGATTACAGGTGTGAGCCACCACACCTGGCCTAGTGCACGAGGTTTTGATGAGAAAATGAGGAAGAGAGTCTTAACTTTATCCCCATGAATCACTTGTTAATTACAAAAAGAACAGGGTAACTTTTTTATCTTATTTAAATAATTAATTTATTAATTTGGAGACAGGGTTTCGCTCTTGTTGCCCAGGCTGGAGTGCAGTGACTCAATCTCAGCTCACTGCAACCTCCACTTCCTGGGTTCACACAATTCTCCTGCCTCAGCCTCCCGAATAGCTGGGATTACAGGTATCCACCATGACACCTGGCTAATTTTTTGTATTTTTAGTAGAGATGGGGTTTCACCATGTTGGCCAGACTGGTCTCGAACTCCTGACCTCAGGTGATCCACCCGCCTCAGCCTCCCAAAGTGCTGGGATTACAGGCGTGAGCCACCACACCTGGCCTTATTTTATTTTTGAGACAGAGTCTTGCTCTGTCACCCAGGCTGGAGTGCAGTGAGGCGATCTTGGTTCACTGAAACTTCCACCTCCCGGGTTTCAAGTGATTCTCAGGCCTCAGCTTCCTGAGTAGCTGGGGTTACAGGAGCCCGCCACCACGCCCAGCTGATTTTTGTATTATTATTATTATTATTATTATTTGAGATGGAGTCTCGCTCTGCCACCTAGGCTGGAGTGCAGTGGCGTGATCTCGGCTCACTGCAACCTCCACCTCCCAGCTTCAAGCGATTCTCCTGCCTCAGCCTCCCAAGTAGCTGGGATTACAGGTGTGTGCCACCACACCAGGCTAATTTTTTTGTATTTTTAGTAGAGATGGGGTTTCACCATGTTGGCCAGGCTGGTCTCGAACTCCTGACCTGGGGTTATCCGCCCCCCTCGGCCTCCCAAAGTGCTGGGATTACAGGTGTGAGCCACCGCGCCCAGACCAGGGAAACTAGAGAGGAGAAACTTGGCAGATGCCACCTTACCCATGTGAGTGAGGCTGATGTGGTGTGTGGTGGGACAAGCCGAGCCCAGGGTCCCCAGTCTGATGAGGAGACAGCATCACTCCTAGGGCATCCCTGCCAAAAGCGTGTGACCTAAATCTAACTATGAAGAAGCACCAGACAAACCCAAACTGAGGGACATGCAAGTACATGGTCTGTAATCTTCGGAACTTCCAAAAGAAGACTGAAAACCGGTTCCAGACTGAAGGAGACCCAACAAAGCGAGCAATGTGTGACCTAGGATTTCCTTTGGCCATTAAGGACATTATTGGAGCCAGCTGTAATCCCAGCACTTTGGGAGGCTGAGGTGGGAGGATCGCTTGAGCCCAAGAGTTTGAGACCAGCCCGGGCAACACAGTGAGACCCCGTTTCTACAAAAAAAAATTAAAAAAATTAGCCGGGCATGGTGGTGTGTGCTTGTAATCCCGACTACTCAGAAGACTGAAGTGGGAGGATCTCTTGAGCCCAGGAGGTCGAGGCTGCATGAGCTATGATTGTGCCACTGCACTCCAGCCTGGGTGACAGAGCAAGACTCTGTCTCCAAAAAAAGAAAAAGAAAAAGAAAGACAAAAAGACATTATTGGAAGAATCATCAAAAATTTGAATAAAGTCTATAGATTAGCTATTAGTATTACATCAATATTAATTTCCTCATTGTGATCGTGGTGCTATGGTTATGTAAGAAAATGACCTTGTCTTTGGAAAACACAGAGATTCGCTAGAAGGACTGGGGAGTGGGAGGGCGCAGAGACCGAGAGAGGGCGACAGAGACCCACAGAGAGGGGGAGAGAGACGCAGAGAGAGGGGGTACAGAGACCCAGCGAGAGGGGGACAGGACCTGGGGCGGCGAGGGTGAGGGGAAGATCAGAGAGAGCTGGGAGACCCAGAGAGGGAAGAACAGATGCTCAGGATAAGGGGAGCCGAGACCGAGTCTGTGCCTGTGCAGTGCTGCTTTCGGGTTCTGGGGTCAGAATCTGGGTTGCAGCTCTGCCAGCCTGAGAGAAATCGCGGAGTCTCCCCGACTCTCAGTTTCTTCAACTGCAAAGTGAGGAAAGGTAGGTTCCCCTTCCTAGGGATCGCAGCAGTCCCACGCTCCGCCGGACTCCTGGCAAACAGCAGACGCCCAATTCCTGCGCGCCGAGTCGTCTGAGCCGCACTGATACTAGGTGGGACTCAGGGAATGACAAGAGGGGGCGGGGCGTCACCCACAGCGCCCTCCCCACTCCCAACCAGACCCAACTTGGGCCCGCCCCCGGAGCTTCTGCTAGCCTGTCTGGCCCGGCCTGCACCCACCTGCTCCGGTCGGGTCCGCGAGTTCCGTGCGTCCAGGCGGATTCCGCTGGACAGCCAGGCCTTCCCTTCCTCCGCCGGGTCCCGGAACGCGCCTGAGCAGTCCCTGTCTCGGAACTGTAAGTCCCGGTACCTTAAACGCGGCATCGCAGCTGGACTACATTTCCCAGAAACCATTGAGGCTCTTGCTCCTCCCGGCCTAAGGGCTCTGACTGCGAGGGAATGCTGGGAAATGGAGTCTGGGAGCAGGATACGGGGCAGGAGTAAGACTGTATTTAGATACATACACAACAGCTTTTGGAGGAAAACTGGTATTTGGGACATGCCTGACTGTACTGGCACGCGAATATCCCTGTTTTAGGCAGAGGCGATGCCATTGTCCATTTAATCCAAATTTCTCATACCATGGCTGAAGTCTTCAGGACAGATAAAATTTGGCCCTGTGTAAACTGATGGTGAATGAATTGAACCACTGTTACTCAATTTCCCTAGGCATCTGCCTTCCTATTTGCCTCAGTTTCACCCACCACTTCTTAAAGGGCAGTGTGATACAGGCAATGGAGCCTGTTCTGGGAGCTGGGAGATGTGTGTTCAGGAGTGTAAGGATGGTTTGATATTAGGACATTATGCAATTTATCTTTTGACCTTTCTGAATATATCAATATGCAAGCATATCTATAGATACACTAAAAAGACTTTTAATAACATCCAGTAACCCTAGATGCTGAGAAAGCTTACAAAAAAATTCTGTAACCAGTCATTTCTAGATAAGCTTAATAAATTAAGCATATATTCATATTGAACAACAATAGCGACAATGTTAAAGAATTACTGGCTTCTTATTGTGTTTATGTATGTCCATATAATCAAAACCTCATATCAAGCTTAATCGTAAAACACTAAAAGAATTGCCAGGCTGGGTGCAGTGGTTCACACCTGAAATCCCAGCACTTTGGGATTTCAAAGAGGGAAGCTAAAGAGGGAGGATCACTTGCACTCAGAAGTTTGAGACCAGCCTGGGCAACATAGCTAGACCCCCATCTCTACAGAAAATATAAAAGTTAGCCAAGCATAGTGGTGAGCACCTGTAGACCCAGCTACTCGGCAGGCTAAGGCAGGAGGATCAGTTGAGCCCAGGAGGGCAAGGCTGCAGTGAGCTGTGATGGTGCCAGCCTGGGCAAGAGAGCAAGACTCTGTCTCAAAAAAAAAAAAAAGTGTAAACCGTATATGTCCTCATGAGAAAAAGCTAGATGGCTCATTGCCAGAATGAAATAATAATAGGTGTTACTTATTGACAACACGTTGTGAGCTTTACTAGTTGACTGAGCTGACACCACCACCCTATGAAGAAGGCATTGCTCTCCCTATTTTACAGACAAGGACACTGAGATAGAGGATTTATGTCATCCCCCCAAGCTCCCAGAGCTAGTCGAGGACAGAGGCAGGACTTGAATCCAGGTTCAGCCCATATTTGCAACCACTTAATTTTACTGCTGCCAAGTTTGCTCCTTTTTCCTTGTGTTCCGATAACCAAATGCTCCAAGCACAGGTTGTACTGTCAGCTGAGGCTCTAGAGTCAGGGTGGCATGGAGCAGAACCTCAGCTAATCTATAATAGGCATGTCACACTGGAGACAAAGGTGACTCCATCTTGGATGGTTATCCGCCATGTTGACTTCTGATTAATCCCAGTCCTGGGAATTCCTTCTGATTTCTACTTTACTTACTGTCCCTAGTGTAAGAACATGTCAACCTTGATGTTATCACACAAATTATAGGCTACGACACAGCATACAGAACATTGCCTGTTCTGTAGGCTTAATTGTCTTAACCCTTAATTGTCTTGCTAAAGCAAGTATTGCCCTTCCCTATGTGAGATAAGCCTTAGGATTAGGGAGTAACTGTGTGGAGATAGACCTGTCTTGCTGCCACCCAAGACCATGCTTCCCTTTGTAAGTTCCCCAAATAAATCACCCCTTACCAATGAACTGGGTTTGTCTCCCTCTTTTTTGGTTTATTGTCTCCTTCCACACTTGGGGGTTATTTTGCATAAAGTCCTTATATGGAACACACGTGAACAAGGAGTAAGTCTTCATTGCTACAAGCCATGAAGGAGGTTGGGGGGGTGTTTGTTACTGAAGCATAACTACTTATCCTGGCTGATACAACTGTCTTCAAAGGTTTTGAGGAAGCTGAAATTTGATATTAAATACAAGTTATTATCAGAGCTTTGCAAGTCATTAACCTCTCTGTGCCTCAGTTTCCTCATTGTACATGGGGCGATAATAAGTACATGGGGCAATAATAAGTACCCTTTTTATCAGGTTATGAGATTTGAATAGGTAGATAGAAGTAAAGCCATTAGAACAGTATGTGACAGATAGAAAACACCATATAAGTGTTTGCTATTATTAAAAAACGCGTTAGGCCAGGCGCGGTGGCTCATGCCTATAATCCCAGCACTTTGGGAGGCCAAGGCAGGTGGATCACTTGAGGTCAGGAGTTCAAAACCAGCCTGGCCAATATGGTGAAACCCTGTGTCTACTAAAAATACAAAAAAATTAGCCGGACGTGGTGGCTGGGGCTTGTAATCTCAGCTACTCGGGAGGCTGAGGCAGGAGAATCACTTGACCCGGGAGGCAGAGGTTGTGGTGAGCCAAGATAGCACCACTGCACTCCAGCCTGTGAGACTCTGTCTCAAAAAATAAAAAACGTGTTAATAGTTCCCGCCGGTGACTTATATTTTTTCCTTATTTATTTATTTTTTGAGACGGAGTCTCACTCTGTTGCCAGGCTGGAGTGCAGTGGCATGATCTCGACTCACTGCAACCTCTGCCTCCCGGGTTCAAGCGATTTTCCTGCCTCAGCCTCCCAAGTAGCTGAGACTACAGGCGCCCGCCACCACACCCAGCTAATTTTTGTATTTTTAGTAGAGACGGGGTTTCACTGTGTTGGCCAGGATGGTCTCGATCTCTTGACCTCGTGATCCGCCCGCCTCGGCCTCCCAAAGTGCTGGGATTACAGGCGTGAGCCACTGCACCTGGCCCCAACTGTGACTTGCTATTTGCTCTTCCTTCTACCTTTTCCCCACTACTGCTTTCAGAAAACACCTACTTTTCTTGCAAGAACAAGTTCTTACAGCCTCTCCTGCAGTAAACGTTCTCCGATTTCCACCGAGCTGAGCCGGAGCTGGCAATTCGCTCTGTGGGGTTCCCACAGGAACATCCCAGTATCTTATAGGGTTATGTGCTAACCGCTGTGTTGTAATTCTTTGTAACTGTCTGTCTCTCTCGCTCCAGTCTCATCACACTATAATTTATGTACGACTTAATTATCTGTTTATTCTGCACTTCTCCCAGGAAATTTCCATGAAGTTGAGGAAGTGTCTGGACCTGCAGCATTAAGACGTTAAAACAAACAAACCCTGGCCAGGCGCGGTGGCTCACGCCTGTAATCCCAGCACTTTGCGAGGCTGAGGCTGGCGGATCACTTGAGGTCAGGAGTTCGAAACCAGCCTGGCCAACATAGTGAAACCCCGTCTCTACTAAAAATTCAAAAATTAAGCCGGGCGCGGTGGCTTACGCCCGTAATCCCAGCACTTTGGGAGGCCGAGGCAGACGCATCACAAGGTCAGGAGATCAAGACCATCCTGGCTAATACAGTGAAAACCCGTCTCTACTAAAAGTACAAAAAATTAGCTGGGCGCGGTGGTGGGCACCTGTAGTCCCAGCTACTCGGGAGGCTGAGGCAGGAGAATGGCGTGAACCTGGGAGGCGGAGCTTGCAGTGAGACCAGATAGCGTCACTGCAAGTCCGGCCTGGGCAAAAGAGCAAGACTCCGTCTCAAAAAAAAAAAAAAAAAAAAAAAAAATTAGCTGGGCATGGTGGCGCACACCTGTAATCCCAGCTACTTAGGAGGCTGAGGCAGGAGAATCGCTTGAAACCGGGAGGCAGCAGTGAGCTGAGATCATGGCACTGCACTCCAACCTGGGTGGCAGAGCAGGACTCTGTCTCAAAAAAAAAAAAAAAAAAGAAAAGAAAAAGAAAGAAAATGTATTCGAATCTAGTATTCAGGTGCACAGAGGGTGAAGAATTGTAGTTCAGATAGAGAAGAAAACCTGTACCTTCCACATTGACCACTGCTCTTCCTCTATTTAACCATCCTCGAGGGTTGCACTGAGTCATGTCCTTTCGGATGCATTTCCTTCCCAGAGGATAAGTGGTTGTCACTTCAAACCCTTACAATATGCTGTCCATCCTTTTTGAAGGTCCAAGTCACTTCTACCTTGAATTAGGATAATGGGTGTCTACAGATGAGTGGGATCTGGTCCCAGCCTTTGAGGAGCACCCAGTCAGGTAGAGAAACAGAGTTGGACACCAACTAGGGGGAGGGTCCCCAGGAAATGGACAGAGACATTGATGGATTTGTCACCAATTTTATTAAATTTATTTTCCTTTCTCCTTACCCCCAAACCACCGTCCTACTGCAGCAGGAGTTTTCGGTTTTGTCTGTATGTACAAGCCCTGGTCAGAGAGAAAAAGCCTGTAGATTAGAATGAGAATTTCAAGCTTTTCCAGATCAAGAGACCCATAACTTCCCTCCCCATAACTTTCCTACAATCTTTGGCCTGATTTGGCTCATCCAGTGACGTCATGGGCATCTGGGCAGATTTTCAGGGTTCTCTGCCAACCGGAGTTGGTGAGGAGAGAGGAGAGAAGAGCTGGGACCAGGGGTGATGGTCAAATGTGGGAACAGAAAGAGTCCAAAAAGACAAGAGGAGACACAGGCAGAAATGGAGAGAGATAAGGTAGAGACAGGGTATAGTGGAAGCAGGTATAGTGGGTTACAGCGTGTCCCCCACCCCAAAGATATATCCAAGTCCCAACTCCTAGGACCTGGGAATGTGACCTTAATTGGAAACACGGTCTTTGCAGATGTAATTAAGTTAAGGTGACATGAGATTTAGGATGGGCCCTACATCTAAAGACAGGTGTCCTTAGAAGAGAAAGGAGAGGGAGATTTGAGATGGACACACAGAAAACAAAACCATGTGAAGACAGAGGAAGGGATTAGAAGGGAGCTAAGGAATGCCAGCAGCCACCAGCAGCTAGGACACAGGCATGGGGTGGATTCACTCTCAGAGGCTCTGGAAGGAACCAACTTTGCCAACCTCTTGATTTCAGACTTCTGCTTTCAGAACCCAGAGAATACATTTCTTTTGCTTTAAGTCACCCAATTTGTGGTGATGTTACAGCAGCAATAGGAAATGAATACACAGGGAGACAGAGAAATGAGGAGAGAGAGTTGGAAGAGAGGCTGAGCAAGTTCACAGTGAGAGGTAGCCTGCACGGAGCACTCCCCATGCGCTAAGTGTTATTAACAGCGTTCACTGGCCAGGCGCGGTGACTCATGACTGTAATCCCAGCACTTTGGGAGGATGAGGCAGGTGGATCACCTGAAGTCAGGAGTTTGAGACCAGCCTGGCCAACATGGCGAAACCCCGTCTCTAATGAAAATATAACAATTAGCCAGGCTTGGTGGTGGGCACCTGTAGTCCCAGCTACTCAGGAGGCTGAGGCAGAAGAATCGCTTGAACCTGAGAGGCAGCGGTTGCAGTGAGCCAAGGTCGCAAGATCGCGCCATTGCACTCCAGCTTGGGCCACAGAGCGAGACTCCATCTCAAGAAAAAAAAAAAAAAGAGCGTTCACTGATTCAGTTATCACCACCCCCGCCAGTGGGAGGTGATGGCATTACTCCCTTTTTGCATATGAAGAAACTGAGGCGTTAGGGAAAGGAGATTAATTGGGTACTTGGAGGAGGCAGAGAGAGAGAGAGAGAAATTGAGACGGAGAGGGGAAGAGAGGGGCCGGAGAAGGGGCTGGGGGGGAGGGGGAGGGCACAAGCATAAAGAGGCAGCGAGATAAGCTTAGAGGGGGAGAGGAAGGTGAGGGCCACTTCCTCCCTAGGCACAGGGCCTGGGGTCCATGGAAATGTTTTCACTGTAGTATCTTTAAAAGCCAGAAGAAGATAAATGAATATAACAACAGTAATTATGATGATGCATAGAACATAATGAAGCCAACTTGGATGATATTTGTCTTTCTACCAATGCATCCACCAAATATAACTTTTAGCGTTTTTTTTTTTTTTTTTTTTTTTTTTTTTTTTTAATGTAAGAAGAGGCCCACAAAGGCAAAAGTGCTGAGGACCCGGGAAAGTTGTAATGTGGCCCAGAGGTGGAGAAAAAGGAAAATGAGGAAGAAAGACAGAAATAAGATGAGAGAAAGGTACGGGGCAGGGGGCGGGAGGGAGAAGAGGGAGGAGAGAGACAGAGAGAAAAAGAGAGACAGAGACTAAAGTGACTGAAGAGGAGACTCCCAAAGTACACAGTGACCCATCCAGGGGAGTCGCCATTTTTGAGGGGCCCAGTGGGTTCCACGGGGGACTGAGGAGGGGGCAAGGATGACTCACGAGACCACGATGACCACGAAGACAAAGACAGCCAGAGACACAGAAATGAGGATGCCCAACAGCGCCTGGTTCCTCGGGTATTTGCTGTCCATCTGGTACTGCAGGGCCACGCGGGGTTGCCGGTCGACTGGGGCGGGTGGGGAAACAGCCCCGACCTCCACGTCACCACCCCTCCTTAGCCCCATACCCACCCCACCTGTTCATTCAGCAGCCTGGGGCAGGGGTGGGGGTGGGGCGCTCTCTCTTCTTCTCTTCCTGCTTGTTCCCTGCCCTCTCCTGGGGTCTGAGTCTCCATTTATCCATTCCTCTAGTGCTCTGTCTCAGGCGCCATTGTAGGCATTTGGGATATAGCCGGGAACCAAACTGGCAAACTGGACTCATGGAGTTGACAGTCCACCCCGCATATCACAGTTATCACAGTTACAGTGAGGAGCTAGTTCTAAAAGCATTTCATTTGATGGGATGGGGTGGGGTGAGGAGGACTTGGGAAGTTTGACTCAAAACCAAAAGATACGATACAATGGTCAGGCATGGTGAGCTTGCGCCTATAATCCCAGTACTTTGGGAAGCTGAGGCAGGGGGATCACTTCAGCCCAGGAGTTCAAGTCAGCATGGGCTGTGAGATCCTATCTCTACAAAAAAGAAAAAATTAGCTAGGTATGGTGGCACGAGCCTGTAGTCCTAGCAACTCAGGAGGCTGAGGTGGGAGGATTGCTTGAGCACAGGAGGTTGAGGCTGCCGTGAGCCGTGACTGTGCCACTGCACCCCAGCCTGGGGGACGGAGCAAGACCCTGTCTCAGAAAACAAAACAAAACAAAAACCAGAGACACCATGCACATGAGAGGGAGGTGCAAAATGCGAACAGTTTCACAAGATGAAAGTCTTAGTTGCTGCATCTTAGCTATTGGCCCTGAAGGTGGCCTTGGGAGTTGCTTTCTGCGTCTTCCACTTGCCTCCCACCACCAACTCTTTCCTTCCATCAGCAAAGCCTCTTGGCTTGACCTTCAAACTGTAGGCAGAATCCAATCCACTTCCATGGCTACCAAGCAGGTCCAACCCCAGCCCACTGCTTCTCTTAGGAGGCTCCCTTGACCCCTCCTCCCACAGTTCCTCACATGGCCTCCGGGAGGCGCTGTTAAAACCTAAGTCGGCTCCCTCTGCTCAGTGTCTTCCTGCTACTCCATGGCCCCCCATCTCAGAATAAAAGCTCAAGTTCTCACCATGCTCTTGCAAGCCCTGCACCATCTGGTTCCCACGTGACCCGGCCATTGTTCTAGCCACCCTACTATTCTCTTTCATTCACTCGGCTCTGGCCACACTGGCCTTCTCCTCCTTGTTGCTTAATCATGTTGGATCTTTGCATGTGCTGTTCCCTCTGTCATTGACACTGTTCCCATCACTCACTTACTTCCTTCAGCTTTCAAAAGTCACCTCTTTAGAGGTGCCCTACATCCGTATTTTCTAAAGTAGCAGCCTCCCCCAGGCACTATCTACCAAACCATTCTATTTTCATTAGAACACCATTGCCATCTGGATCAAGCCTGTTTATTTGTTCATGCAATTACCATCTAACCCAGTGGTTCTCAATCTGGGATAATTTTGTCACTCAAGGGACATTTGGAAATGTCTGGGGACATTTCTGATTGTCATAATGGGGAGGGAGATGCTACTGGCATCTGGTGGATCGAAGCTAGGGATGTTGCTAAACATCCTACAATGACCAGGACAGCCTCCCTAACAAAGAATGATCCAGCTCCAAATCTCAACAGTGCTGAGGTTGAGAAACCCTAGTCTAACCTCTGGCCCCATTAAAATGTGGGCTCCATGAGGGCAGGAACTACATCTGTCTCCCATTCCACTGTTCCTCAGTTTGGGACATCGTAGGGTGCTCAAAATATTTGTTGTCACCAAATACCAGCCAAAGGAAGCAAACAGGCAAATCCAAAAGTGGGACACTCTATAGGACACACTCCCTTCTTTTTCAATGCCAATGTCATGGAGGGAAAAAAAAAAACCCAAAAACTGATAAGAGAAACTGTTCTAGGCCGGGTGCAGTGACTCATGCCTGTAATCCCAGCACTTTGGGAGGCTGAGGTGGGCGAATCATTTGAGCCCAGGAGTTCGAGACCAGCCTGGCCAACATGGCAAGAATCAGTCTAAAAAAACAAAACAAAACAAAACAAAACAAAAACTGTTCTAGATTTTAAAAAGAAGAGAAAAACCTAACAATTGAATGATATAAGAAGTCCTTTCATTGAACACTGGTTTGAACAAATCAACTGTGAAAAATATTCTGGGGACAATTAAGGAAGTTGACAGTGGGACCTGGAATTATTTGACATTGAGGAATCATTGCTAGGTTTGGAGGGTGTGGGAACGACATTGTGGCTACTTAGGAAAATGTCATTATTTTTAGAGGTACATGCTATGTATGGGGCATGGTGTCTGTGGTTTCTTTTAAGATACTATGGCAAAGAATAAAGTAGGTGAAATAAATATGGAAGAATGTTAATTGTTAACATAATTTGATAGTAAGTGCTACTTTTGAGATTATGATCAGAGAGGCCTGTCTGAGGAAGTGACCTTTGAGACCCAAATGAAGTGAAGGAGTGATTGGAACAGTGTGACAGAGAGAGGGAACAGCATGTGAAAAGATCCAGCATGACTATTCAACCCGGATAGATAGATGTGGATTCATTATACTTTTTTTTTTTTTTTTTTGAGATGGAGTCTCGCATTGTCACCCAAGCTGGAGTGCAATGGTGCGATCTTGGCTCACTGCAGCCTCCACCTCCTATATTCAAGCGATTCTCCTGCCCCAGCCTCCTGAGTAGCTGGGATTACAGGTGCCTGCCACCACGCTAGGGTAGTTTTTTGTATTTTTAGTAGAGACGGGGTTTCACTATGTTGGCCAGGCTGGTCTCAAACTCCTGACCTTGTGATCTGCCTGCCTCGGACTCCCAAAGTGCTGGGATTACAGGCGTGAGCCACTGCATGTTCGGTCTCGTTGTACTATTCTTTCTGCTATGAGAATACGTTTTTTAGGCTGGGCATGGTGGCTCACGCCTGTAATCCCAGCACTTTGGGAGCCGAGTGGATCACCTGAGGTCAAGAGTTTGAGACCAGCCTGGCCAACATGGTCAAACCCCATCTCTACTAAAAATACAAAACTTATCAGGGTATGGTGGTGCACACTTGTAGTCCCAGCTACTTGGGAGGCTGAGGCAGGAGAATCACTTGAACCTGGGAGGCAGAGGTTGCAGTGAGCCAAGATCCTGCCATTGTACTCCAGCCTGGGCGAGAATCCATATAAAAAAAAAAAAAAAAGAATGTATGTTTTTTAGATTTATGAATGAATGAATGAGTGAATTCAGCACATCCTTCCAAATTCCCCAGGTATAGCAATGGCTAAGAATAAAATCTTTTTCTAGCACCTGCCATTCTGGAGCTAGGGGCATTCTAAAGTTCCAGGGAGTCTTTCCATTTAACAGATGGAGGAAAGTGAATTTCAGAATACAGGAGCAACTTCTGGGCCACACTCTAAGCAAATGGTTAGGGCAGGATTCGAGGCTGCATGTGGGAGCCTCGAAACCCATATCTAGTGGGTCATGGCTGTCTTCATCTCTTGCACGCCTGTCCCATGTCTTCCCCCACCCCCAGAAGCTTACCAAAGCAGTACTTTTTGTGGATACACTTGGGAGTGATCCTCTGGCAATGTAAACAGTCCAACACCTCTTCTTTTAGCAAGCCTAGGCAAGGGGAAAGGGAGAAGTAAGACAAGGGCAGATATCAGAGGACCGGCAAGGGTGGAAAGGAAGAAGGAGAAAGAGGAGATGGGGTCCCTTGGCTTCTCCTAAATTTCATAGGTCCCACTGCCCAGCAGAGGAACTAAGCAAAATGCACTGACAATTCACATAAAAAATAATTGTTATATAATCATTGAAGAACTAAATTCATCCAGTAGATTCAGCATTCTGCTTGTGGACATTTAATTAAACATTTGTTAATTCTGAGTTTGCACTTTTCTTTTTCTAATTTGGAGCCTCTTTTGCAGACACTGGTGAGATGTCTCCTCTTTGGGCACACTGCCTCCTCCTCTACTGGTGCATACAGGAGGGCTACATTTCCCAGGGTGCCTTTCAGTAAACTGTGACCATGTGACCTAGTCCTGGCCAATGGAAAGTGAGCAGGATCATGTGTGTCCCTTCCAGGCTTGGCTATACAACTCAGTGTGATTGCTATTGCTTTTCCTTTTGAAGCATGCTTAGAAGCTGCCATGTGTGTATAGCCTGGATCCCTGAGTCACCACCTGGACTGCCACTCAACTGTCAATGAAATTTGGGTGAAAGAAAAATAAACCTTTGTTGTGTTAAACCACCAAGATGTGAGGGTTTATTTGTTAATACAACATAGCCTATTTTATTGTGACTTACGTACCTTCAAAATGTTGTTTTGCAGATAGTCATTATTTTCATAAACCTTTAAAAAGCAAATCTCCCTAGGTACCATGGCTTTGGGGTAAGGGAACTGCCAAATGGAGTAAGGAGTGGTAGCCAGGCTTGATTTGGGGAGACAGGGTGAAGGGGGTTAGGAGGGTAGAGAAGGGAGAGATAGACGATCCAGAACTCACGGCAAAGTTTGGGGTTGCAGGCTGCAAGAGAAAATTGCTGAGGTGAGTTAAATTGGGATGGCAACTTGATAATTTAATTGGAAAGGGATCAGGAGAGCAGGTAAGGGGTGAGGCTGGGAAAGGAGAGAAGGGAAGATTGGGGAGAGATGAAGAAGGCTGAGCTATAGGGGAGGTGAAGAAGGAGTTTGGGAGAAAAAGTGGTAAAAGGGGATCAAGAGGTCAAGGGAGAAGAGGAGAGGGGATTGGTGGAGAGATATGCTGCACCTTTTAATTCATATGAAATTAAAACTTTCTTGAATTCCTTGATCACATTCGCCCTGAGGGTCACCAGCTCTTCCAGCAGAGGCTCATCTGAGGAGAGAAAGAGATCTCTGTGGGGTGGGAGGCACCCAGAAAGCCCACCCCACTACCTGAAGCTTCCAGGAGAAGAGATGAGGAAGCTCCTCTTCATTTATAAAGGGTAACCAAGACCAGGATTACTAAGGGTCCCCCAGGCAAATCTATGGCCAGGGAGATCCTGCATCTATATTCTGATTCACCGTGGGGCCTAGGCAAAGCCACCCTTCCTTGGCCTCACTTTCCTCATCTGGCAAGTGGATTTGATCTCTCTTCTCCTCTTCTTTTTTTTTTCTTTTTGAGACGGAGTCTCACTCTGTTGCCCAGGCTGGAGTGCAGTGGTGTGATCTCGGCTCACTGCAACCTCGGCCTCCCAAGTTCAAGCGATTCTCCTGCCTCAGCCTCCCAAATAGCTGGGATTACGGGCACGTGCCATCACACCTGGCTAATTTTTTGTATTTTTAGTAGAGACAGGGTTTCGCCATGTTGGCCAGGCTGGTTTCAAACTCCTGACCTCAGGTGATCCTCCCACCTCGGCCTCCCAAAGTGCTGGGATTACAGACGTGAGCCACCGCACCCGACCTCTTCTTTTTTGTGTCTACACTCACTCCTTCATGATTTCAATCCATATGGCTTTATATATTACCTAGACGTGCACTGTCCAGTGTGGTAGCCACTAGCCACACATGGCTACTGAACACTTGAAATAGGCTAGTCTGAATTGAGATGTGCTGTAGGTATAAAATGTACACTGGATTTTAAAGACATTGTGCAAAAAACCTGTAAAATATATTGATAATTCCTATGTGGATTGCATGCTGAAATGGTGATATTTTATATATTGGGTTAACTAAAATATATTATTAAAATTAATTTCACCTGTTTCTATTTACCTTTTTAAAAATGTGACTACTAGAATTTTTTTTTTTTTTTTCAAACGGAGTTTTGCTCTTGTCGCCCAGGCTGGAGTGCAATGGCGTGATCTTTGCTCACTGCAACCTCTGCCTCCTAGGTTCAAGTGATTCTCCTGCCTCAGCCTGAGTAGCTGGGATTACAGGTGCCCGCCACCACACCTGGCTAATTTTTGTATTTTTAGTAGAGACGGGGTTTTACCATGTTGGCCAGGCTAGTCTTGAATTCCTGACCTCAGGCGATCCACCTGTCTCGGCATCCCAAAGTGCTGGGATTACAGGCATGAGCCACCGTGCCCGGCTGCTACTAGAAAATTTAAAATTGCATATGTGACTCCTATTTGTGGCTGACATTCTATTTCTATTGGATGGTGCTGTTCTATACACAGATGCCCCCCACGTTTATATTACTAGCCCAGAGGGCTCACTGAAGGTGGGATTTATATACCCAACTATCTGGTCAAGATATCCAATTGGATGTCTAAGAGGCATCTCAAACCCACTAAGTCCAAAACTGAACCCTCGTTATTCTCCTCCAGACCTACTCCCAACCTCCCAGTCTACTCCATCTTAGTAAATAGATGTGTCATGATTCTAATTGCTCAATTCAAAATCCTTGGTGCTTTGACGCCTTTTTCTTTTCCTTTTTCTTTTTTTTTTTTTTTGAGACGTAGTTTTGCTCTTGTTGCCCAGGCTGGAGTGCAATGGCGCAATCTCAGCTCACCGCAACCTCCGCCTCCTGGGTTCAAGCAATTCTCCTGCCTCAGCCTCCTGAGTAGCTGGGATTACAGGAGTGCCACCATAGCTGGCTAATTTTGTATTTTTAGTAGAGACAGGGTTTCTCCATGTTGGTCAGGCTGGTCTTGAACTCCCAACCTCAGGTGACCCACCGTCCTCAGCCTCCCAAAGTGCTGGGATTACAGGCGTGAGCCACTGTGCCCGGCTGACGCCTTTCTTTTTTTTATATCCCTGTGCAATTCGTCAGCATGACTGGCAACAAATCCTGTTTGTTCAATATTCAAAATACCCATTCCCTCCCCTTAACTCTAAGATCTCATCTTCCATAGAGACAATGTCGCCGTCTCACTCCACTCTGGCCTTCTTGGATGTTCTGTGACTATGCCAAACATAGTCCCATCTCAGGGATTCCACCAGCTGTTCTTTCTGCCTGCACCCTTCTACCCCTAGACCCCCTCATGGCTGCTTCCCTCTCCCCTTCAGGTCTTTTCTCACATGCTCCTTTTTAAGGGACATCTTTTTTGGATGCCCTACTTTAAGCTGCAATCCCCACCCCTACTCACAGCACTTGCTATTCCGTGGTCCCTGCTTTATTTTTTTCCTCCTTAGCATCTCCCTCCATTTGACATATTTTATCGGGCAATAAAGGATTAACTGAGCAGGCCTGGGTTGTCCCAATCCTGCACATCCCCCGCTCCCCCCCAAAAAAATTTGGCTCTTGCCTGGCTCACAGAAGGTAACCTCTATTTCCTTGGAATATCCTGCCTGTTAAGAGTATCTTGGTTTGGCCAGGCATGGTGGCTTACGCCTATAATCCCAGCACTTTGGGAGGCCTAGGCGGGCAGATCACTTGAGGTCAGAAGTTTGAGAACAGCCTGGCCAACATGGTGAAACCTCGTCTCTACTAAAAATACAAAAATTAGCCGGGCATGGTGGTGGGTGCCTGTAATCCCAGCTACTCGGGAGGCTGAGGCAGGAAAATCGCTTGAACCCGGCAGGCGGAAGCTCCAGTGAGCAGAGATTGTGGCACTGCACTCGAGCCTGGGTGACAGGGCGAGACCGTCTCAAAAAATAAAAATAAATAAATAAATAAAAGAGTATCTTGGTTTATGACCAGGTGCAGTGGCTCACACCTGTAATCCCAGCACTTTGGGAGGCTGAGACACAAGGATTTATTGAGGCCAGAAGTTTGAGACCAGCCTGGGCAATATAATGAGACCCAGTCTCTACAAAAAATTAAAAAGTAGAAAATTAGCCAGGTGTGGTGGCACATGCCTGTGGTCCCAGCTACTTGGGAGGCTGAGGCGGCAGGATCGCTGGAGCCCTGGAGGTCGAGGCTGCAGTGAGCTGTGATGGCGCTACTGCACTCCAGCCGGAGCGACAGTGAGGCTCTGTCTCTTAAAAAAGAAAAAAAAAAGGCTACATTGCATGCGTGTTTGCTCTTATTTTTATATTCAAGGGAGGTGGGGCAGACCGGCGGAAAGAAGAGGGGTGCTGGAGAAGGCGTTCCCTCGTCTCTCCTACCTTTCAGAGAGTTACCCATTAAGTGCTGCGTTTGGTTCTTGACAAAGGACGCCACAAGGTCCAGTTGATTTGTCTCTGGGGGGAGAAGGGAGAGGACACTCCAGTGAGCCCCCCAGAGAGCCAAGTGACCTCACCCCCTCCAGGCCTGGCCCCGACCCCTCTTGGGGGCGTGGTCTCCGGCATCCCTCGCCCAGCCCCGCTGCCCAATTTCTCCCAACACGCACCCACTTTCCCCACAAACACGTTCAGCGCGTAGTCCCGGAAGAAAGGCCCCTCCATGCCCATCAGCACGGCCCCGGCGCGCGCCTGCAGCTGCTCCAACTGGAAGCGACTGGGGATGAGGGCGGAGCGCAGGTGACCCAGGGCCTCCAGCACCAAGGGGTCGCACTGCAGGCAGCCCCAGCCTCCGGGGGCGCCCAAGCCCGAGAGCAGCAGAAGGGTCAAAGCCAGAGGCATGGCGGGGCCTTTGTGACGTCACAGAGAGAACCCGGCCCGCCCCGCCTCCCAGGCGAGGGCGCGGTCAGGAGGCCCAGGGAGCATCACGGTGTTACAGGCACGTGTTCGCTGAGCACCTGCTATGTGCCAGGCATGGTTCTAGAACCTAGAGAGAAAGTCAAGAAAAACAGAAAGCCTCTGCTCAACCCCTCTTGGAACTTACTAATTCCTCTTAAATTTATTCATTCAACACATATTGTTTTATTTTATTTATTTATTTATTTTTTCCCGAGATGGAGTCTCAACTCTGTCACCCAGGCTGGCGTGCAGTGGTGTGATCTCGGTTAACTGCAACCTCCGCCTCCCGGGTTCAAGTGATTCTCCTGCCTCAGCCTCCCAAGTAGCTGGGACTACAGGCGTGCGCCACCACGTCCGGCTAATTTTTTATTTTTAGTAGAGACGGGGTTTCATCATGTTGGCCAGGCTGGTCTCAAACTCCTGACCTCAGGTGATCTGCCCGCCTCGGCCTCCCAAAGTGCTGGGATTATAGGTGTGAGTCACCACGCCCGGCCCACATATTGTTTTTTTTTTTTTTTTTTTTTTTTTTTTTTGAGACAGAGTCTTGCTCTGTCACCCAGGCTGGAGTGCAGTGAGGCGATCCCGGGTCACGGCAAGCTCTACCTCCCAGGTTCAACCTATTTTTGTGCCTCAGCCAACCGAGTAGCTGGGGTTACCATGCCACCACACCCAGATAATTTATATATATATATATATATATATATATATATATATATATATAGAGAGAGAGAGAGAGAGAGAGAGAGAGAGAGAGAGAGAGAGAGAGAGAGATGGAGTCTCACTCTGTGTCACAGGCTGGAGCTCAGTGGTGCGATCTCAGCTCACTGCAATCTTTGCCTCCCAGGTTCAAGAGATTCTCCTACCTCAGCCTCCTGTGTAGCTGGGATTACAGGCACGCACCACCACACCCAGCTGATTTGTGTATTTTTAGTAGAAACGGGTTTTCACCCTGTTGTTCAGGCTGGTCTGGAACTCCTGACCTCAAGTAATTCACCCGCCTCAGCCTCCCAAAGTGCTGGGATTACAGGCCACTGCGTTCAACCTTACATGCAACACATATTTATTTATTGAACACCTACTATGTGCCAGGTGCTGTTCAAGGCCCCCAGAGCTAGAGCTGAGAAAAACAAGAGGTTCTTGTGCTTGCAGTACTTAAATTAATTAACTCAACAAATATTTATTGAGCACCTACTATGTGCCAGGCTCCAGAGATAGACTGACATAAGACGAACACAATCTCTGCTCATAGAGTTCAGGCTAGCAGGGATGGGAGGGAGTGGCAGGAAGAGAAACGTAAAACCTGGTACACAGATGAGTAACTGAAATACTGACAAACTGCATTACCTGCTGGGAAGCAAATACACAGTGTGATACAGTTAAGAGAGTTCCCTGAGGCCAGGAGGTAGGGTCTGGTTCCCTGCTGTTGTCCAGCGCCTAGCGTGTACTAGTTGTTCAACAGATATTTAGCAAATCAATGAATCCACAAGGGAGGGTATACTGAGGGAAGGGCACTTTGTTTTTCCCTGCAATTTTCATCTTGAAAGTTTTAAAATCTGGAGAACAGTTGCAAGGATGACCCAATAAACACTCAGATATGACTTCACATTTTGCATTCGCTGTATCTCTCTATATATGTAGATGAATTTAATATCAATTAAATCATAGAAATTCAACTAAAAGACATTATAATAGTATACACAGAGATATAGCAAATGTCAAAATAATATGATATATTAATATATAGTTAAATATTAATTCAGAGAGATTAAATTAATTAAGACTAAATATTACTACGTTGAGGGAGAGAGGAGGAGAGAGAGGCAGAGTAGGAGAGGGCAGTTGTCTTATTAATAGTTTAGGTTCTACAACAAAACTCCATAGACTGGGTGGCTTATAAACAACAGAATTTATTTCTTCCAGCTCTGGAGGCTGGAAATCCAAGAGCAGAGCACCAGCAAGGTCAGGTTCTGGTGGAGCTCTCTTCTTGTATCCTCACATGGCAAAAAGAGGGTGAGAGGACTCTTTGGGTTCCCTTTTTTATTTTTTAATTTTTGAGATGGGGTCTTGCTCTTGTCACCCAGGCTGGAGTGCAGTGGCACGATCTCAGCTCACTGCAACCTCCACTTCCCAGGTTCAAGCGATTCTCCTGCTTCAGCCTCCTGAGTAGCTGGGACTACAGGCGTGTGCCACCACGCCCGGCTAATTTCTGAATTTTTAGTAGAGATGGGGTTTTGCCATGTTGGCCAGGCTGGTCTCAAACTCCCGACCTCAAGTGATCCGCAACCCCCCTCGGCCTCAAAAAGTGCTGGGATTACAAAGTGTGAGATCAGGCCACAAGGAGGTGCTCACACCCAAGTGAAATTCTCTCTGCTCCCGGACTGAGAGTCAGGCCTTGCCACCCACGCCTACCTTTCTTAGGATCACCCAGTTGTCTACCTAATGCCGTGCTGGCCATAATTTGAGAAATCAACCTGAGATATTAACGTGTGCGTCCTTTTCCTCATCCCCTATTACCATCTGCCTTTCAGGCAGGGAGTCAAGGGGCTGTTGTTTGACTGAAGAAGGGGTGGCCAGAATGGGATGGGAAGGCCACTCATTCCTCAGCTTCAAGCCCCAAACCCTCAGGCCTGGGTGTGAGGCAGGAAGGCTTGGGATGCAGAACCGGTTTTGTTTATCGGGTTCAGCCATGCTAATTTGGTAAAACATAAGTTAGATGAACTATCATCAGATTTCACACCCCAGCAAAAGTGGCTGAGGAAGTTCCCACACTCGCTCTCCAGGCGCACAGACGTCCATCACTGTGTTGTTGACGGCACTGGGAGGCAAAGGCAAGCTGGGTGTCCTCACTGGGGAGGTGGGTCGCCTGTGGTACAGGACCCTGCAAGCAGCTAGAAGAACAGATGAGCCTGTCCACACCATGCCATGAATGGATCCAAGTGAAAACAGCAAAGAGCAAAACAAAGCAAGCAAACAAACAAAAAACCCACAGTGAAACCTACAACTCAATACCATTGACATAATTTTTTTTTTTTTTTTTTTTTCTGGAGTCAAGGTTCTCCCTCTGTCGCTCAAGCTGGAGTGCAGTGGCACGATCTCGGCTCATTGCAGCCTCAACCTCCTGGGCTCAAGTGATCGTCCTGCCTCAGGCTCCCACACAGAATAGAAAAAAAATACCCGGGTATGGTGGCATGCGCCTGTAGTCCTAGCTACTTGGGAGACTTAAGTGGGAGGATCGCCTAAACCTGGGAAATCGAGGCTGAAGCGAGCCATGATCTCGCGACTGCACTCCAGCCTGGGGCAGAGAGCAAGACCCTGTTTCAAGAAATAAAAAGGAAAAGAAAAGGATGATATGTTTGTTCGTTTGTTTATTTTGAGACAGAGTTTTTCTCTGTCGCCCAGGCTGGAGTGCAGTGGCACGATCTCGACTCACTGTAATCTCTGCCTCCTGGGTTCAAGCGATTCTCCTGCTTCAGCCTCCCGAGTAGCTGGCACTACAGGTGTGCACAACCACACCGGCTAACTTTTGTATTTTTTTTTTTTTTGAGACCGAGTCTCACTCTGTCACCCAGGCTGCAGTGCAACGACATGGTCTCAGCTCACTGCAACCTCTGCCTCCCGGGTTCAAGCGATTCTCTTGCCTCAGCGTCCTGAGTAGCTGGGACTACAAGCGCGCGCCACCACACACAGCTAATTTTTGTATTTTTAGTGGAGATGGGGTTTAACTGTGTTGGCCAGGCTGTTCTTGAACTCCTGACCTCGTGATCCACCCACCCCGGCCTCCCAAAGTGCTGGGATTACAGGCGTGAGCCACTGCGCCAGGCCAATTCTTGTATTTTTAGTAGAGGCGGGGTTTCACCATGTTGGCCAGGCTGTTCTCAAACTCCTGGCTTCAAGTGATCTGCCACCTTGCCTCCCAAAGTGCTGGGATTACAGTCGTGAGCCACCACGCCCAGCTGAAAAGGACTATATGTTTTATGCTCATCTGAGTTTGTGACTGTTCAAAGCTGTGCCTGCTGCTCTCATATTTCCAGAGGGTTTGGGGGGCTTTGTGAATCTCATGAAGTAATGTACATACCCATGTGTGTATTGCCAGAATGAAGGCATGCCTTATCTCATTTCGTCCACACGAAATTTGGCTGATGTGGATGCGGAGGCAGAGCAGGGACAGTCTACTCGTGTGAGGTCACGCAGGTAGAGACAGAGACAGATGTGGGGCCAGGCAGGCAGCCAGAGGTCCCCAGGCTGCAAAGCCCTGCTGAGTGACACTAATGGCCTGATGTGGCGATGGTGTGCAGCAGGCGGAAAAGAATGTCTGGGAAATGGTTACAGGGATTTGGCTTCAAGCCTAGCGGAGGCGGGGAATTAGAGGAGGTGGTTCCAGCGTAGCGGGGTGGGGTGAGGGGCGTTTTCTCATCATCCACTTCCCATGTCCAGCCCCCTCCCTAGTACACATTGTGTGGCTACAAAAACGGTGACCTGTTCTCATGCACAGCTGTGGGAGGGCAGACAGGGACAGCCACGTTGGAAAACCGTCAGGCTCTATGCAGGCTGGCCACGTGCGCATCCCTTCCTCCACATGCACACACGGGAAATGGGTGCACACACCCGCCAGGGGCACGCAGACACGAATCCCCTTGGCAGCGTCCTTTGTAAGGAACTCAAGGTGGAGACGGCCCAAATATCCGTCAACGGGAAGACTCGCTAGATAAACCCACTGTGGCGTGTTCCTCGGATGGAATCCCGCACGGCAGTGGGATGATGATCTAGCTGCCCGCAAACCTCTCTGGGCCATCGTTCAAACATGATGTTGAGCAAAAGCAGAAACAAAGGACGACGTGATCTGCAATTCCTTTTTTATTTTTATTTTTTGACAGAGTCTCGCGCTGTCCCCCAGGCTGGAGTGTAGTGGTGCGATCTCCGCTCACTGCAAGTGATCCGCCTCCCGGGTTCAAGCGATTCTTCCGCCTCAGCCTCCCCAGTAGCTGGGACTACAGGCGCCCGCCACCACGCCCGGCTAATTTTTTGCATTTTTAGTAGAGACGGAGTTTCACTGTGTTAGCCAGGATGGTCTCGATCTCCTGACCTCGTGATCTGCTTGCCTCGGCCTCCCAAAGTGCTGGGATTACAGGCGTGAGCCACCGTGCCCGGCCAATCTGCAATTCCGTTGATGGAAAGTTCAGAACAGGCAAAGGCACGGGATGGAGCCACAGCTGCACGCTCATCTGACCTGCGGTCCCTGTAAGGACAGTGATGATGGGAAAGTGAGGAGAGAGGTTTTCTCTGCAGGGACAAGGGGGCTCCAACTGGGCCACCTTCTGAGGGGCCTCACTGCAACCTCTGCCTCCCAGGTTCAAGTGATTCTCCTGCCTCAGCCTCCTGAGTAGCTGGGACTACAGGCATGTGCCACCACACCTGGCTAATTTTTGTATTTTTAGTAGAGACGAGGTTTTACCATGTTGGCCAGCATGGTCTCGATCTCTTGATCTGATGATACGCCTGCCTCGGCCTCCCAAAGTGTTGGGATTACAGGCGTGAGTCACCACGCCTGGCCTACAGCCTCCTTTTTTAAGGCTGAATAATATTCCATTGTATGGATGGGCCACATTGCGTGCATTCATTCATCAGTCGATAGATACGTCAGTTGCTTGCACATTGTGTTCTGCATTCTTTTCTGGATGTGTGTTATATTTCACACACACAAAAACTTTAAAATAACATGCTTTGTTATTTGCATGGCCTGGGATTGAATGGCAGGCACCCCAAGGCAGAGGCGGGGCCCGTGACCTGCCCCGTGGGGCACTTCTCACCTAGTTCAGTGACTCTCACACCCACGGGTGGGGCACGGTCACACCCACAGTTCCTCTCATTCCATCACCAGCACTGAGGGGTGACATGGGCTCTGCTCACACACTGGGCCTGGAGGCTGCCCCTCAGGCCAGAGTCCCCACACCCTCCCGAGGCCCAGGGGTTCTCTGTACACTGCCTGTCTCCACTGCCTGCTCTCTGGACAGGAAACTGGGGTGTGAGGTGACCACAGGCTGTCTGCCCCCAGCCAATCCTAACTGTCCCTCTTGTTCCTCAAACTCTATCACTCGCTCCTTTTTCTCTTATGCCTCCCTTTCTGCCTCTTTCTCTCTCTCTCTAGGTCTCTGTCTCCTCCCTGGGTCTCTGTCTCTCTCTCTCTCTCTCTCTCTCTCTGGGTCTCTGTACTCCCCTGTCTCTGGGTCTCTGTCCCCTCCCCCTTCTGGGTCTCTGTTCCTCTCTCTCTCTCTGAGTCTCTGTCCCCCTCTCTTTGGGTCTCTGTACCAACTCTCTCTGGGTCTCTGTACCACCTCTCTCTGGGTCTCTGCCCTCACAGTCTCTCTGGGTCTCTTTTTTTTCCTCTCTCTCTCTCTCTGTCCCTCTTTCTCTGGGTCTCTGTCCCTATCTCTCTGGGTGTTTGTCCCCTTCCTCTCTGAGTCTCTATCCCCTTTCTCTGGGTCTCTGTCCCCCCAACCCTCTGGGTCTCTGTCCCTCTCTGTCTGGGTCTCTGTCCCCCCCTCTCTCTCTGGGTCTCTATCCCTCTCTCTCTGAGTCTCTGTCCCCCTCTCTCTGGTTCTCTGTCCCCCTCTCTCTCTCTGGGTCTCTATCCCTCTCTCTCTGAGTCTCTGTCCCCCTCTCTCTGGTTCTCTGTCCCCCTCTCTCTGGGTCTCTATCCCCTGTCTCCTATCTCTGCCCCTCTCCCTGTGTCTCAGTGCTTTGTCTCCTTTTTCCTGTCTTGCTCCTCCCTCCCTCCCTCCCTCTGTCTGTCCCTCCCTCCCTCCCTTCATTTCTTCCTTCCTTCCCTCCCTCCCTCTCTCCCTCCCTTCTTTCCCTCCCTCCCTCCCTTCTCTCCTCCCTTCCTTCCTTTCCTCTTGCCTGCCTGCCTTTCAGACTCTGTTTGAGAACCCCATGTTCTGTGTGACATTGGGCAGGAGGCTTCCTCTCTTTGTCCCTCAGTTTCCTCACTGCACCATGGCACTCACTGGGCTGACCTGAAACTGAAGGGAATCACTGTGTGTCCTGGACACCTGGTATTAGTGGACGCTGAACCAAACCCACGGCCCACATGGGTTGAGAGTGTGGACTCTGTGCCAGGCCACATGCCAAGGCCTAGCGCCTCCTTTCATCCTCACGGTGTGCTGTAAGGGAAGCAATGGCATTGTCCCCATCTACAGATGAGGATGATGAGGTTGTACAACTTGCCCCAAATCGGACAGTGAGTAGGAGGCAGGGCGAGAACTTGAACTCGGGCTGCCCGGCCTCAGAGCCTGTGCTCTAACCCTACGCTGTGAGGGTTTCATATTGGCTGTTACGTGTATCGGTAATCGGGATTTCCCAACGTCAGCGCTACTGACGTTTGGGGCTGGATGATCCGTCCTTGTAGGCCCCGACCTGTGCACGGTATAGGATGTGGGCAGCATCTCTGGCCTTTACTCACTAAATGCCAGCAGCACCCGCACTCCCAGCTGTGACAACCATAGATGTCCGTAGATAATGCCAAAAGTCCCCCACCTGTGAATCACTGTATTCAACACAGTGTGCAGGATCAAGAATACACGGTACTGGCCGGGCGCGTGGCTCACGCCTGTAATCCCAGCACTTTGGGAGGCTGAGGCGGGCGGATCACGAGGTCAGGAGATCGAGACCATCCTGGCTAACAAGGTGAAACTCCGTCTCTACTAAAAATACAAAAAAAAAAAAAAAAAAATAGCCGTGTGTGGTGGCGGGCGCGTGTAGTCCCAGCTACTCGGGAGGCTGAGGCAGGAGAATGGTGTAAACCCGGGATCGCGCCACAGTACTCCAGCCAGGGGGACAGAGCAAGACTCCATCTCAAAAAAAAACAACAAAAAACAAACAAACAAAAAATACATAGGCCAGCGAGGACTCAACCAAAATAAAAAAATCTGAAGTCCTTTGGGCTTCAGAAAACACCATCCAGAAAGTGAATGGACAGCAATATAATATAAAAATATATTTACAACCGGGTGCTCATGCCTGTAATCCCAGCACTTTAGGAGGCCGAGGTGGGTGGATCATTTGAGGTCAGGAGTTCAGGAACAGCCTGGCCAACATGGCAAAACCCTGTCTCTACTAAAAATACAAAAATTAGCTGGGTGTGGTGGTGCGTGCCTGTCATCTCGGCTACTTGGGAGGCTGAGGCAGGAGAATTGCTTGAACCCAGGAGGCGGAGGTTGCAGTGAGCTGAGATTGCACCATTGCACTCCAGCCTGGGCGAGAAAGCAAGACTCTGTCTCAAAAAAAAGAAAAATTAAAAAAAAAAAAGAAAATGCTCTGGAATTAGATAGTGGTGATAGTTGTGCAAACATGAATATACTAAAACCCACCGAATTGCACGTTAAAATGGTGAATTTTATGGCATGTGAATTATATTTTTAAAAAAGTTTAAAAGGTAGTTTTTTTTTTTAAAGAGTGTGGGCTGTAGTGTCAGGATCCCAGCTTTGCCCCTTATGAACTGTGTGACCTGTGCATATCCCCCCGTACCTCAGCGTCCTTGTCTGTAAAATGAAGACAACATTAGCATCTCTACAATAGTTTCGCTGTGAGGGGCAAATGGGATGATGAATTTAAAATCCTTGTACACAGACATCGTTCTGTAAATGTGAGCTGGGAGCACAGAGGTATGGCCTGTGAGTCACCTGAAAATTCTGTTTGGTGAGAACTCAGCTCACATCCTCTCTCCCACTAGCCCCTGGCCCCAACCTGCCTCCAGTCCACCTCCCAGCCAGGAAAGTTTTATACTGTATGCATGCACTACTTTGGACCAAAATCTAGGGCCTTTCTTTCTTTTTTTTTTTCTTTTCTTTCTTTCTTTTTCTTTGGAGACAGTCTGGCTCTGTCGCCCAGGCTGGAGTGCAGTGGCATGATCTCGGCTCACTGGAATCTCTGTCTCCCAGGTTCAAGCGATTCTCCTGCCTCAGCCTCCCAAGTAGCTGGGACTATAGGCATGTGGCACCATGCCCGGCTAATTTTCTGTATTTTTAGTAGAAATGGGGTTTTACCACATTGACCAGGCTGGTCTCGAACTCCTGACCTCAGGTGATCCACCCGCCTTGGCCTTCTAAAGTGCTGGGATTACAGGTGTGAGCCACTGAGGCCGGCCTCTAGAGCTTTAATTTTTATTTTTAGAGATGGGGTCTCACTATGTTGCCCAGGCTGGTCTTGAACTCATGGCCTCAGGCGATCCTCCCACCTCGGCCTCCCAAAGTGCTAGGATTACAGGTTCGAGCCACTGTGCCTGGCCAGGGCTTATTTTATGCCACAACACTGCATAGGAAAGAAAAATCTTAAAGATTGTAAGGCATCATGCAATCATGAAAAGCTAATTATTTTCTGTACCTCCAAGACCAAAGGTTTTAATCTCAACCTAAAAAAACCCCAGTCATGGAACATGCATTAAATATTTGACATAATGAGTGCCTAGATGTGCTTTTGAGTTGTAGAGCTATTTGGCTATTAAAAGTACATTCAGCCTGGTGGCTCCTGCCTGTAATCCCAGCCCTTTGGGAGGCTGAGGTGGGCAGACCTTGAATCTAGGAGTTTGAGACAAGCCTGGGCAACACAGGGAGACCCTGTTTCTACCAAAAAAAAAGAAAAAGAAAAAAAAAAAGCTGGATGTGGTGGCTCACAGCTGTGTTCCCAGCTACTTGGGATGCTGAGGTGGGAGAATCCCTTGGGCCTGGGAGGTCAAGGCTGCAGTGAGCCATGATCACACCACTGCACTCCAGCCTGGGTGACTGGGTGAGATCCTATCTCAAAAAGCAAGAAAAGAGAAAAGGAAAAAAGGGAGGAAGGAAGGAAAGAAGGAAAGAAGGAAGGAAGTGAGGGAGGGAGGGAGGGAGGGAGGGAGAGGGAGGGAGGGAGGGGAAATAATCCAGCCTCAGGGGCATTTCCAAGGAAAATGCTGTCCTGGTCACAGGACACTGCTCCACCCATGGCTGAGGCAATTGTCCCTCCCTCACAGATCTTATCAGACTGCAGGATGGTATCGGTTTCTCTTTCCCTTGAGGACTCAGCCCTCCCCACCTCAGACAGCGACCGCTCTAGGCCGGAACCTTATCTGAGCTCCCTAGGCCTCCAGAACCCACCCGTTTCTAGCCACACGGTAGACATGCCTGTTTCATGCGCACACTCATTCATAGACACAGCACATGCACCACCTCTATGCCAGGCACAGTTCTAGACACGGGGGCTACACCAGTGACCAGCTCAGACTCAAACCCCTGGAGCTATGTTCTAATAAAATAAGCACATGAAATATATAGTATATTTCATGGTCTTCGGCACTAAGGGGAAATAAATAAAGCAGATAGGGAGGGTGGGAGGAGGTGGCAGGAGGTGCTGTTAATTTCCAGGGTTCTGCAGAGGAGAGGAGACCTCACCAAGAAGGTGATATTCAGGTAAAGTCCGGAAGGAAATGAGGAGCAAATCACAAGGTCATCCCAGGGAAGAGCCTTCTGGGCAGAGGAAACAGCAAATGCAAAGGCCCTGGGGTGAGAACGTGCCTGGCCTTTTTTTTTTTTTTTTTTTTTTTCTGAGACAGAGTCTCACTCTGTCGCCCAGGCTAGAGGGCAATGGTGCAATCTTGGCTTACTGCAACCTGCGCCTCCTGGATTCAGGCGATTCTCCTGCCTCAGCCTCCCAAGTAGCTGGAATTACAGGCATGGCCACCATACCCGACTAATTTTTGTATTTTTAGTAGAGACGGGGTTTTGCCATGTTGGCTAGGCTGGTCTCGAACTGCTGACCTCAGGTGATCCACCCACCTTGGCCTCCCAAAGTGCTGGGATTACAGGTGGAAGGATCGCTTAAGCCCAGGAGTTCAAGACCAGCCTGGGCCACATAGAGAGATCCCATCTTCACAAAAAATACAAAAATTAGCCAGGGGTGGTGCATGCCTATAGTCCCACTTACTTGGGAGGCTGAAGTGGGAGGATTGCTTGAGGCTGAAAGTTCGAGTGTAGCACCTGTTCTGTGCATACACTTTGTGTCCTTCTGCCACAGGACCTTTGCACATGCTGACTCTTCTGCCTGGACCACCTTACTCTCCCATTCTACCTAATAACCCCTACTCATCTTTCAACTTAAAGCTCAATGAGGACACCTTCTAAGGGAACACCTTGGGATGGTCCTGACAAGGTCAAATTCCTCTGTTAGATGTTCTCAGAACACTATGCATTTTTCCATGGTAGCCCTCAGCAGGGAGGGGAGTTTACATTTTTGGGTGTGACTGCCTGATTAATGATGGTCTTCCCCACCTGAACGTAAGCTCCACGTGGACATGAACTTGCTCCCTGCTGTGTCCCCAGCCCCTCGAACAATACCTGGTACACAGTAGGGGCTCAATAAATATTTGTCAGATGAATGAGTGAATGTATGAATGAGAAAAATAACAAGAATGCAGGCTAACAACTAATGAGCTCAGACAGGAAGGGATAAATACAAGCCACGTTGCAAAGGAAGAATGGGTGAGAGATGGATTTGGAGAGAGAATAATAATGACCTGGCTGGGGCCGGCTGTGGTGGCTTACGCCTGTAATCTCAGCACTTTGGGAGGCCAAGGCGGTGGATCACGAGGTCAGGAGATCGAGACCATCCTGACTAACATGGTGAAACCCTGTCTCTACCAAAAACACAAAAAATTAGCCAAGCGTTGTGGCGGGCGCATGTAGTCCCAGCTACTTGGGAGGCTGAGGCAGGAGAATGGCGTGAACCCGGGAGGCGGAGCTTGCAGTGAGCCGAGATGGCGCCATTGCACTCCAGCCGGGGTGACAGAGCAAGACTCCATCTCAAAGAAAAAAAAAAAAGACTAAACTAAGCTGTGCCTGTGTGCAAGGAATGTGCATGACTGGCAAGAAATGTGCCTTGTCAGTCCCAAGATGGAGCAGAACTGAAAATGGGGTTATTCTGGCTCTCCTGGGCTCCTGTTTCCTTAATGCTTCTGGTCCACGGATCACATCTCAGGAGTAAGGCTCCAGGGCTGGGTTTCTCAGCCGGCGCTGTTGACATTTGGGGCCATACAATTCTTTGTTGCTGGGGGCTGTGCTGTGTGTTGAAGGATGTTGAGCAGCATCTTTGGACTCCACTTTTGTTTTTTTTTGTTGTTGTTGTTGTTTTTGAGACAAGAGTCTTGCTCTGTCGCCCAGGCTGGAGTGCAGTGGCCTGATCTCAGCTTACTGTAACCTCCATCTCCTGGGTTCAAGAGATTCTCATGCTTCAGCCTCCCCAGTAGCTAGGATTACAGGCATGCACCACCAAACCCGGCTAATTTTTTTTGTATTTTTAGTAGAGACGGGGTTTCACCATGTTACCCAGGCTGATCTCCATCTCCTGACCTCAGGTAATCCGCCCACCTCGGCCTCCCAGAGTGCTGGGATTACAGGTGTTAACCAACGCATCCAGTCTTGGCCATTTTAGATGTCAGGGGACCTCCCCACCAGCCAGGAAAATCAATCAAAACTGTCTCCAGACATTGCAACGTCCCCTGAGGGACACTATTTCTCCTGTTTGAGAATCACTGATCTGATATGATCATACCTATAGCAGTCAGAATGAAATGTGTTGTGTTGTGTTGCAGGAATAAACCAACCCCAAATCTCAGAGACATGAAACAGCAGAGATATGCTTCTTACTCATGCTAATGCCCATCACAGCCAGCTGAGGACTCTACCTCCACAGCTTCAGAGTTCTGACTATCGAACCCAGGCTAACAAATCAGCCACTCGTGGGACATTGCTTCCAGTTACTAAGGCTGAGAAGCCAACGTGCCTAAATCCTCCAGTGCCAATGAAATGACACGTATTCCTGGTCTCATTTCATTGGCTCAAGCAAGTCACATGACAGGAAGTACAATCTTATATGCTCAGAGGAGCAAACAACAAAATATCTGTGAACGGTCTATTGCAATGTACCAACATTTGCATATAAGTATTCACACTATCTGCCGGACGCGTTGGCTCACGCCTATAATCCCAACACTTTGGGAGGACGAGGCAGGTGGACCATTTGAGGCCAGGAGTTTGAAACCAGCTTGGCCAACATGGTGAAACTCCATCTCTTCTAAAAATAGAAAAAAAAACTTAGCCGGGTGTGGTGCAGACGCCCGTAACCCCAGCTACTCGGGAGGCTGAGGCAGGAGAATCGCTTGAACTTGGGAGACGGAGGTTGCAGTGAGCCGAGATCGTGCCATTGCAGTCCAGCCTGGGCGACAAGAGTGAAACTCTGTCTCAAAGAAAAAAAAAAAAAAGAATTCATATTATCTTATTAAAGTTATTTTACCTTATTTCTCCTTTATCTTACGGTTATTTGATTTTTTTTTCTTTTTGAGACGGAATCTTGCTGTGTCACCCAGGTTGGAGTGTAGTGGCATGATCTCGGCTCACTGCAACCTCCGGCTCCCGGGTTCAAGCAATTCTCCTGCCTCAGCCTCCCGAGTAGCTGGGACTACAGGCGCCTGCCACCACGCCCAGCTAATTTTTTTTTCTTTTTTTTCAGTAGAGATGGGGTTTCACGTGTTAGCCAGGATGGTCTCGATCTCTGACCTCACGATCTGCCCGCCTCGGCCTCCCAAATTGCTGGAATTACAGGCTTGAGCCACTGCGCCCAGCCTATTTCTCCTTTATCTTAAAGTTATTTGATTTTTTAAAGTTATGTGTGTAAATAGTTTAGATTACCCATGGACTTTATTCCAGCAGAGTACAGAGGAAAAACAGGACATTTGTAATAAAAGGGGGACCTTGGCATACCCAACCATGATGCACATGTATGTTCACCAAAATCCACGTACTAAAACACGGATTGGCTAACTACAGGGGCTAAATTCAGTCTACAGCCCGTTCTTTTATGAGCCAGAGCTAAGAATGGTTTTTGTTTTTAAAGGGTTGTAGGCTGGGCACGGTGGCTCACGCCTCTAATCCCAGCACTTTGGGAGGCCGAGGCAGGCGGATCACGAGGTCAGGAGTTCGAGACCAGTGCGGCCAACATGATGAAACCCCGTCTCTACTAAAAATAGGAAAATTAGCAGGGCATGGTGGCGGGCACCTGTAATCCCAGCTACTCGGGAGGCTGAGGCAGAATTGCTTGAAACCAGAAGGCAGAGGTTGCAGTGAGCCGAGATCGCGCCACTGCACTCCAGCCTGGGCAAAAGAGCGAAACTCCGTCTCAAAAAAAAAAAAAAAAAAAAAAAAAAAGGGTTGTTTAAAAAAAAAAAAAAAGAATATGTGACAAAGTTTTTTTGTTTTTGAGACGGAGTCTTGCTCTGTCGCCCAGGCTGGAGTGCAGTGGCATGATCTCGGCTCACTGCAATCTCCACCTCCTGGGTTCACGCCATTCTCCCGCCTCAGCCTCCCCAGCAGCTGGGACTACAGGCGCCCACCACCATGCCCGGCTAATATTTTGTATTTTTAGTAGAGACGGGGTTTCACCGTGTTAGCAATCTCCTGACCTTGTGATCCGCCTGCCTCGGCCTCCCAAAGTGCTGGGATTACAGGCTTGAGCCACCGTGCCCGGCCTGTGACAAAGATCTTATATGATTCCCTAAGTTTAAAATATTTCCTCTCTGGGCCGGGCATGGTGGCTCACACCTGTAATCTCAGCACTTTGGGAGGCCGAGGTGGGTGGATCACCTGAGGTCAGGAGTTCGAGACCAGCCTGGCCAACATGGTGATACCTCGTCTCTACCAAAAATGCAAAAATTAGCCCAGTGTGGTGGCGCACCCCTGTAATCCCAGCTACTCAGGAGGCTGATGTGGGAGAATTGCTTGAATCCGGGAGGTGGAGGGTGCAGTGAGCCGAGATCGCGCGACTGCACTCCAGACTGAGTGACAGAGAGAGACCCCGCCTCAAAATAAAATAAAAAATAAAATAAAATAAAATATTTCCTCTCTGGCTCTTTGTAGAGAAAGTTTCACAACTCCATAAAAGACTGCCCTTAGAAACCCTATTGTAATAACCCCAAACTGGAAACTACACAAACATCCATCCGTCCACCATTGAATGGATAAATAGATTGTGTTATATTTGTACAATGGAATGCCATCTAGTAGGGGTTGACAAACTTTTTCTGTTAAGGACCAGATAGTAAATATTTTCAGTTTTCTGGGCCATGTGGTCTCTGCTGCAGCCATTGCCAGGCTTACACAGCTATAGACCACAGTGAATGAATGGGCGTGGCTTTGTTCCAATAAAACTTTATTTACACAAACAGGCAACAGTCTAGAGCTGACTCCAGGTTGTAGGTTTCCAGCCTGTGCCATTCAGCAATGAGAGTCAACAATCAACATACAACCTATGTTAAATGGAGGAAGACAGACTCAAAGGAGTACAGACTGTACTGTTCCATTTCTATAAAGTTCAAGAACAGGAAGAAGTAATCTATGGTGTTAGAAGTCAGAATAGTGGTGACCCTTGGGAGAAGAAGAGGGACAAGAGGGCTTGGGGATGTTCTGATTTTAAAATCTGGGTGCTGGCTTCCTGGGCTTGTTCACTTTGTGATAATTTGTTGAGCTGTACATTCACAATGTTTGCACCATTTTTGTGTGCATTTATTCTAAATAAAGCTGGGCAAGGGTGCTGCCTGTGACAGTCTGATACCTGGCACAGCAGCTGCACAGCGGAAACCCCCAGCTTCTCACCGGAATTGGGATCTGACAGCTTCTCAGCCTCACAGCTGTTGGAGCTTCTCAGATCCACTGATTTAGTGAATTTGACACGGCGGAAAAATTCTCAGGTTCTTACAAGAACCACGCCTCAGTGACTCTCCTCTTTCTTAATCTCACCACTTTCAAACCAGGAAATGAGCAGAGAGAAAAAAAAAACAAAAACCAACAATAAACCCATTTAAATACCTCTGAGACACCAAGGGAAATGTCCTAAACGCCAGGTAATGAAGTCCATGTTCTTTACTCCTGGGAAAGCGTTGCTAATTCATCTCCTTCATGCTGTGACTCACGCATCTCTGGTGAAGAGAGGCCTCCCCAGACCACCTGATCTAAGGGAGCAGCCCCTCACCCCAGCGTTTCCTGGCAGTCTTCTCTGCTTTCTGTTTTGCCTTCATGAGTGTAAGAAACTGAATTTTGTCTCCTCCTAAAAAAGAATTGTTGACATCCTAACCCCCAATACCTCAGAATGTGACCATATTTAGAAACAGGGTCATTGCTGATGTAATTAGTCAAGATGAGGTCATCCTGGAGCAGAGTGAACCTCTAAACCAATTTGACTGGTGTCCTTATAAAAATAATGCCATGTGGGCTGGGTGCGGTGCCTCATGCATGTAATCCCACACTTTAGGAGGCCAAGGTGGGCAGATCACCTGAGGTCAGGAGTTCGACACCAGCCTGGACAACACGGTGAAAGCCCGTCTCTACTAAAAATACAAAAATTAGCCAGGTGTGGTGGCACACACCTGTAGTCCCATCTACTCGGGAGGCTGAGGCTAGGACAGAGGACTGGGACAGATTCTCCCTCGTGGACTTCAGCAGGAACCAGCTCAGGCAACACTGCAAATTTCTGGCCTCTGGAATTGTGAGACAATAAATTTCTACCATTTAAGCCACACAGTTTCTGGTGCTTGGTTACGGCTAATACAGATGGATAAAATTCAGATATGGGGGAAGGGGAGGATGGGCATTCAAGGTGAAGGGAACAGCCTGGGCAAAGGTTAGGAACCAGGACACCACTAGGCTTCCACAGAGAAGGATGCGAAGTTTAGTGTCATGGGGTTGTGGTGTGCATTACTATAGGATGCTGCATCTCAGGGACACTTGACCCATGCTCACTGTCCCCTTCTCAGTTCCAGACGTGTGTCTCTGACAGGGTCTGGCCAGGCAATCGAAAATCACCTTAGGTCTTTCAACAGGAGGTAATTTAATAGAGGGGATTGATCACACAGAGCATGAAAGGACTAAAGAGTTATATGCTGCACAGGGAGGCATTCTAGAGAGTCTGTACGTAGAGTACGGCTATCTGTCTATCTATCTTTTTAAATTTTTATTTTTGAGACAGAGTTTCACTCTTGTCGCCCAGGCTGGAGTGCAGTGGCACTGTCTCAGCTCACTGCAACCTCCGCCTCCCGGGTTCAAGCGATTCTCCTGCTTCAGCCTCCTGAGTAGCTGGGATTACAGGTGCCCACCACCATGCCTGGCTAATTTTTGTGTTTTTAGTAGAGACAGGGTTTTGACATGTTGGCCAGGCTGGCCTTGAACTCCTGACCTTAGGTGATCTCCCCGCCTTGGCCTCCCAAAGTGGTGGGATTACAGGCGTAAGCCACTGTGCCAGCCTATCTATCTATCCGTCGGTCTGTCTGTCTATCTATCTATCTACCTTTTCAGAGACAAGGTCTCACTCTGTCACCCAGGCTGGAGTGCAGTGGCTCAATCACAGTTCACTGCAGCCTCAAACTCCTGGGCCCAAGTGATTCTCCCACTTCAGCCTCCTGAGTAGCTGGACTACAGGTGCATGTCACTACACCTGGTTAATTTTAATTTTTTTAAAATAGAGATGAGGGTCTTGCTATGTTGCCCAGGCCGGTCTTGAACTCCTGGCCTCAAGCAATTCTCCTGCGTTGGCCTCCCAAAGTGCTGGGATTACAGGCACGAGCCACCGTGCAATCTATACAATCTGGATTTTACCAAGTCCTAGAGGTGGTTTCAGCTTTGCTCAAGTTTAAGCAGCTCCAGCTTTGCTGCTTAAAATGTGGTCCATGAAGTAGCAGCATCAGCATCACCTGGAGTTTATATTAAAAATACAGAACCTCCACCCCACCCTGGACCTGCTGAATCAGAATTTTAAGATCCCTCACAACATTAACTGCGGGAGGGATGCTGTGTCCTTGATGCATGACATCAAGAGGTCTCTGATGTCAGCAGGTCCCACAACGGGTGATACTAACTTTGATCCCATGCTTAAGATGCTGTCTACCCAGTTTCTCCTCTGTAAAGTTACTCTTTCTCACACAGAGCTCATTTGATGGCTTTTACCAACGCACATTTTTAGAGCATATGAAACTGTGAGAATCCCTGATCTAGAGAGTATTGCTCAATAACCATAGGTGTAATGACCCATGTTTGTAATAACAGCCCTGAGTCAAGGAAAGAGCTGATTAATTACGGCATCTGTGGGAGGTAATTTAGCTTAATGGGTAAGAGTTCAGACTTGGAGGCACCAAATTAGGGACGCAGGTAGCCAAAGCGCAGAGGTTTAAAACTTCTACCTTCACTGTACTTTTGTTTCCTATTCTCAGTATTCAGCTCCTTACTATGTTCTCTCTATCCCCCTGTTGCCTTGTTTTGTTGTATTTTTTTTGAAACAGGGTCTCTCTCTGTCACCCAGGCTGCAGTGCAGTGGCGCGATCTTGGCTCACTGCAACCTCTGCCTCCTGGGTTCAAGTGATTCTCCTGTCTCAGCCTCCCAAATAGTTGGGATTACGGGCATGTGCCACCACACCTGGCTAATTTTTGTAGTTTTGTAGTAGAGATGGGGTTTCACTATGTTGGCCAGGCTGGTCTCGAACTCCTGACCTCAGGTGATCCACCCTCCAGGGTCTTTCTCTGTTGCCCACGCTGCAGTGCAGTGGTGCAATCATAGCTCACTGCAGCCTTGAACTCCTGGGCTCATGCGATCCTCCTGCCTCAGCCTCCAGAGTAGTTGGGACTACAGGCATGTGCTACCATGCCCGGCTAACTTTTTGATTCTCGGTAGAGACAGGAGTAGAGGCTGGCCTCGAACTCCTGACCTCAAATGATCCGCCCGCCTTAGCCACCCAAAGTGCTGGGATTACAGGCATGAGCCATTACGCTCAGCCTTGTTCAGCATTTTTAAAAGCTTCACTGCCTGCCCAGCGTGATGGCTCACACCTGTAATCCCAGCACTTTGGGAGGCCGAGTGGGGCAGATCATGAGGTCAGCGATTTGAGACCAGCCTGACCAACATGGTGAAACCCCGTCTCTACTAAAAATACAAAAACCAGCCAAGTGTGGTGGCAGGCACCTGTAGTCCCAGCTACTTGGGAAGCTGAGGCAGGAGAATCGCTTGAACCCGGGGTGGGGGGGCAGAGGTTGCAGTGAGCTGAGATCGTGCCACTGCACTCTAGCCTGGTGACAGAGCGAGACACCATCTAAAAAATAAAAATAAATAAAAATAAAATAAATAAATAAATAAATAAAAGCTTCACCGCCTGACATTATGTCAAACATTTTATTGTTTACTTGTTCATTGTCTCTTCCATGAGAAGTTGAGATCCAGGAGGACAGACACTCTGGCTTGTCTATGGGGGTATTCTCAGTTCACAGCACAGTGCCCAGCATACGGTAGGTGCTTAAAAAATTGTGTTGAATTTTTAAAAATGTGAGCACTGGAATCAGACTCACATGAGTTCAAATCCCAGCTCTGCCCCTTACTTATCTGTCTCTAAGTCTGTTTCTGTGTTGGTGAAATTGAGATAATGGTGCTGAAAGGGTTAAAGAAATATGATGCATGTGAAGGTTTTGCCATATATGGCTTTTGAAAACCTTTTTATTTTGAAATAATTTCAGACTTAACAAAAAAGTTGCAAAAATAATGCAAAGAATTCTCATACAAAATAATGCAAAGAATTCTCACTCTTCACCCAAGCTTCTCCAAAGGTTGAAACTTTTCATAACCACAGTAAAATATTATGAAATAAACATGGTAACATTTCTGTGGACTAATCTACGAACCCTTTCCCTCCCTCCCTCCCTCCCTCCCTCCCTTCCTTCTTTCCTTCCTTCCTTCCTTCCTTCCTCCTCCTTCCCCTCCTTCCCTCCCTCCTTCCCTTCTTTCTCTCTCTCTTTCTCTTTCTTTCCCTCCCCTCCCTTCCCCTCCCCTCCCCTCCCTTCCCTTCCTTCCTTCCTTCCTTCTTTCCTTCCTTCCATCCTTCCTTCCTTCCTTCCTTCCGACAGAGTCTCACTGTGTTGCCCAGGCTGGAGTGTGGTGGCACAGTCACAGCCACTGCAGGCTTGACCTCCCAGGCTCAAGCAATCCTTGAGCCAAGACCTGGGTCACCTACTGATTTCTTTTTGTTACAGGCGTGTGCCACCATGTCTGGCAATTTTTTTTTTTTAATTTTGTAGAGATAGGGGTCTCTCGGCTGGGCGTGGTGGCTCGTGCCTGTAATCCCAGCACTTTGGGAAGCCGAGGCAGGCAGATCACCTGAGGTCAGGAGTTCGAGACCAGCCTTGCCAACATGGTGAAACCCTGTCTCTACTAAAAATACAAAAATTAGCCGGGCGTGGTGGCACGTGCCTGTAATCCCTGCTACTCCGGAGGCTGAGGCAGGAGAATCGCTTGAACCCAGGAAGCGGAGTTTGCTGTGAGCCAAGATCATGCCACTGCACTCCAGCCTGGGCGACAGAAAAAGACTCCGTCTCAAAAATACAAAAATTAGCCGGGCGTGGTGGTGGGCGCCTGTAATCCCAGCTACTTGGGAGGCTGAGGCAGGAGAATCGCTTGAACCCGGGAGGTGGAGGTTGCGGTGAGCCGAGACTGTGCCACTGCACTCCAGCTTGGGCAACAAGAGCAAAACCTCGTCTCAAAAAAAAAATAATAATAATAAATAAAAATAAAGAGAGAAATGACTGATTCATATAACAACATGGATGAATATCAAAAGCTTTACGTGGAGTGAAAGAAACACAAAAGATCATCTACTATAGGATTCTATTTATAAAAAGCTCTAGAACAGACAAAACTAATCTGTGGTGATAAAAAGCAGAACATTAGTTGCCTGGGGGTGGGTGGAGGTGCGAGTTGGCTGGGGAGAGTGTCAGGTAACTTTCTAGGACATGGAAATGTTCTATTTTTTTCTAGTTGGGTGTATACGTTTGTCAAAACTCATTGAATGGTATACTTAGCAATTGTACATTTAACTGTCTGTAAATTTTACCTAAATAAAAGGAACCCTAAACAAATATTGAAATTGAATTAATGATGTGTGCAATGAAGTGTTTATGGCTGAAGCCTACTGACGTCTGCAGATTATTCTAATGAATGGATAAGCTGCAGTTTCTCAACTCCAGCACTATTGACATTTGAGGCCAGAGAATTATTTGTTGTGGGAGGCTGTCCTGTGCATTGTAGGATGTGGTTGACATCCTGGCCTCTACCCACTAAATGCCAGCAGCACTCCCACACACACAGGTTGACAGTAATAAATGTTTCCAGACATTGCCAATGTCCCTGGGGGGACAAATTTGTCCTTGGTTTAGAATTGCTTAAATAGAGAGAAGGATGAATGGATACATATTTATCCAATGCAGCTAATACAGCATATATATATATATATATACTCATATACATATACTCATATATATATTCATATATATATACTCGTATATATATACAAGTATATATATATGAGTATATATATATATATATGAGTGTGTATATATATATATATATATATATATATATATTTTTTTTTTTTTTTGAGATGGAGTCTCACTCTGTTACCCAGGCAGGAGTGCAGTGACACGATCACAGCTTGTTGCATCCTCAACCTGCTGGACTCAAGCGATCCTCCCGCCTCATTTTTTGATTTTTTATAGAGAGGAGATCTCATTCTGTTGGCCAGGCTGGTCTTGAACTCCTGGCCTCAAGCGATTCTCCTGCTTCGGCCTCCCAAAGTGCTGAGATTACAGGCGTGAGCCATTGTGCCCAGCCTAATGCAGCAGAATATTAACAGCTGTAGAATCTAGCCAGTGGCTACTTGGAGGTTCATTGTACACTTTTTCCCCCCAAATTTTCTGTATCTTTGAAATGTTCCGTAAGTATTAGGGGAAAAATGCATACACCCTAAGATCCAGCAGTACCACTTACTAGTGACTGCCCTAGGGAAAAATAATTGGCCTGCATTCACAAAGAGGCATGTATAAAAAGATCCTTTAAAAAAAATTCCCTTGTCTAAAATAGCAAAACACTGAAACAATGTAAATGCGTATCAACTCATCAACTGTGGAATTTTTTTTTTTTGAGACGGAGTCTTGCTCTGTTGCCCAGGCTGGAGTGCAGTGGCGTGATCTCGGCTCACTGCAAGCTCTGCCTCCCAAGTTCACGCCATTCTCCTGCCTCAGCCTCCTGAGTAGCTGGGACTACAGGTGCCTGCCACCACACCCAGTTAATTTTTTATATTTTTAGTAGAGACGGGGTTTCACCATGTTAGCCAGGATGGTCTTGATCTCCTGACCTCGTGATCTGCCCGCCTAGGCCTCCAAAAGTGCTGGGATTACAGGCGTGAGCCACTGCACCTGGCCCAACTGTGGAATGTTTAAAATGAACTATGGGCCAGGCATGGTGGCCAATGCCTATAATCCCAGCAGTTTGGGAGGTGGAGGCAAGAGGATTGCTTGAGGCCAGGAGCTTGAGACCAGCCTGTGCAAACAGAGAGACTCCATCTCTACAAAAAAAATTTAAAAAATTAGCTGGGTGTGGTGGTGCATGCCTGTAGTCCCAGCTACTCAGGAGGCTGAAGCAGAAGGATCGCTTGAGCCCAGCAGTTCAAGGTTGCAGTGAGCCCTGATTGCACCATTGCCCTCCAGCTTGAGTGACAGAGTGAGATTCTGTCACACACATACACACACAAAAAAAAGAAAGAAAAGAAAAGAAAAGAAAAAAGATCCTTAATTACATCTGCAAAGTTCCTTTTGCCATGTAAAGTAGCATATTCACAGGCTTCAAGGATTAGGATGCAGACATCTTTGGGAAGCCATTATTCATCCTATAACAGTGATTGTACTATTTTACATTCCCACTATCAGTATAAAAGAATTCCAGTTGCTCCACATCCTCACCAACAGTTGGTGTTGTCAATCTTGTTTATTTTAGCCATTCTGGTACATTTCATTATGATAAATAATATACATTAATTTTACACATTTAAAAACATTGGGCTGGGTGCAGTGGCTCACGTCTGTAATTCCAGCACTTTGGGAGGCCAAGGTGGAAGGATCACTTGAGCTCAGGAGTTTGAGACCAGCCTGGGCAACACAGCAAGACACCATCTCTATGTTTAAATAACAACAAAAATAAAAACATTATTCTATATTCATTATTGCCACACCGAAGAATTATACAGGCTAAATATCCTCTGACTAGTGAATGTATAGACAAACTGTGGTATATTTGTACAATAGAGTACTACTCAGCAATGAAAAAGCATACACTACTGATACATGCCACAACATGGGTGAATCTCACATGCATCATGCTAAATGGAAGATGCCAGACTCAGAGGCTATACACTCTGTGATTCTATTTATATAACATCCTGCAAAAGACACACCACAGGGACCAAAAACAGAGCAGTGATTGTCAGGAGCAAGAAAGGAGTTGACTGGGCCGGGTGTGGTGGCTCAAGCCTGTAATCCTAGCACTTTCGGAGGCCGAGGCGGGTGGATCACGAGGTCAGGAGTTTGAGACCATCCTGGCCAACATGGTGAAACCCCGTCTCTACTAAAAATACAAAAAAATTAGCCAGGCGTGGTGGCGGGCACCTGTAGTCCCAGCTACTCGGGAGGCTGAGGCAGGAGAATGGAGTAAACCTGGGAGGCGGAGCTTGCAGTGAGCCCAGATAGCGTCACTGCAAGTCCGGCCTGGGGGACAGAGCCAGGCTCCATCTCAAAAAAAAAAAAAGAAAGGAGTTGACTGCAAAGAGGCACAAGGGAATTTTCAAGGGTGACAGATTTGTTGCGTCTTAATTTTGTTGGTGGTTACACAGGTGTAAGCATTTGTCAAAAAGCATAGAACTGAGGCTGGGCACAGTGACTCAAGCCTGTAATACCACCACTTTGGGAGGCCAAGGTGGGAGGATCTTTTGAGTCCAGGAGTTCGAGACCAGCCTGAGCAATATAGTGAGAACCACCCCCATCTCTATAAAAATTAAAAAAAAAATTATCTGGGTGTGGTGGTGCAAGGCTGTGGTGGTAGTTACTTGGGAGGCTGAGGCAGGAGGATTCTTTGAGCCCAGGAGATTGAGGCTGCAGTGAACTGTGATTGCACCATTGTACTCCAGCCTAGGTGACAGAGTGAGACTCCATCTCAAAAAAAAAAAAAGTTGTACACTAAAAAGGGTGAATTTTACCTCATAGGTATACACATATAAATTATATATGTATCTATATTATGTAAAACTGTGTGCAAATATGGCTGGGTATGGTGGCTCATGCCTATAATCCCAGCACTTTGGGAGGCCGAGGCGGGCAGATCACGGGGTCAGGAGTTCGAGACCAGCCTGGCTAATATGGTGAAATCCTGTCTCTACTAAAAATACAAAAATTAGCCGGGGGTGGTGGTGCGCACTTGTAGTCCCAGCTACTCGGGAGGCTGAGGCAGAAGAATCTCTTGAACCCAGGAGGTGGAGGTTATGGTGAGCCGAGATTGCAGCACTGCACTCCAGCCTGGGCGACAGACTGAGACTCCATCTCAAAAAAAAAAATTGTGCAAATATACACAAAAATTATAAATTTGTACATATATTTAATAAGCCTGACTTTAAAAAGACAATTCTGGAGGAAGGGTCTGTAAGTTTTATCGGATGCCAAGGGACCCACCGCACGTGCACAAAGACTAAGACTCCTGCGGGGGTTGACTGTGCATACCTGTGTCACCTGCCACGATGGGAATGAAGGGAGAGGAAGGAAGGACATTCCAAGGAAAGGACCCTTCCCAGGCTCAGATTCAGGACAGGGGTGGCCCCTGGGCCAGGAGCCCGGAGTGCAGGGAGCTTGCAGAGGAGTGGTAGGGAGGAGGAAGGGGGTGGGTTGAAACCAGATGGGGACTCGGTTTCTACCTTTGTCACCGGGCTATTATCATCTACACCTCTCCATATATTCGTTAATCATACACCTGCTTTATCTGCCCTCCCAGCCTGCATTCCATTCGGGCGGACAGATGTCCCTGAAGGCCCGAGGGACACCAGCCGCTATGCCAGGCTCCAAAGAACCCGAGGCAAACCAACGCTGGTCCCGGTCTTTGAGGACTCCCCGGCCCAGTGAGGGAGACCGACAGGTAAGCAGGCAGTGTCCAAGCCTGGGGAAGAGGCTGTAAGGCAGACACCGCAGGCACTGGCAGGGCTCCCTATGGAACAATCAGGGAAGACATCCTGAAGAAGGGGGCATTGGGGTGAGGCCTTTCCCCCATGTAATGAGGCCAAGCCCAATAATAATAATGATATTAATAATAATGGCCACTGGCCGGGTGCAGCGGCTCACACCTGTAATCCCAGCTCTTTGGTTTTGTCATTTGTTTGTTTTGAGACTGAGTCTTGCTCTATCGCCCAGGCTGGAGGGCAGTGGCACGATCTCGGCTCACTGCAACCCCGGGTTCATGTGATTCTCCTGCCTCAGCCTCCCGAGTAGCTGGGATTACAGGCACCTGCCAGCTCTTTGGGAGGCTGAGGCGGGAGGATTGCCTGAGGAAGGGAGTTCAAGACCAGACTGGCCAACATGGCGGAACCACATCTCTGCCAACAATACAAAAATTAGCTGGGCGCGGTGGCGCGTGCTTGTAGTCACAGCTACTCGGGAGACTGAGGCAGGAGAATCACCTGAACTGGGGAGGCAGAGGATGCAGTGAGGAGAGAGCACACCACTGCACTCCAGCCTGGTTGGCAGAGCGAGACTGTCTCAAAAACAAAAAGTAAATAATAATAATAATAATAGTAGCCACCAGCATTTATCGAGGGCTTGCAATGGGCCAAAATCACTACGCTAAGCACAGGACGTGAACTAATTAATTTAACCCTTCAACAGCTGTAAATCTTTTCCCATCCTGCCTTCCTGCCTTGCCCTCCCTCCCTCCCTCCCTCCCTCCCTCCCTCCCTCCCTTCCTTCCTTCCTTCCTTCCTTCCTTTCTTCCTTCCCTCCTTCGAGACAGGATCTTGCTCCGTTGCCCAGACTGGAATGTGCAGTCGTGCAATCACGGCTCACTGCAGCCTCAACCTCCTGGGCTCAAGTGATCTGCCCACTTCAACCTCCCAAAGTGCTGGGGTTACAGGCGTGAGCCACTGCACCTGGCCAGCAGATACTTTTATCACTATCCCCCTTCTTACAGATCCAGGAACATTGAGGCACACACTTGTTTCCTTCCCTCAAAATGTTCCTGCTGTGGCTAGGGAGATGGTCATGGACACAGTGTCAGTCTGGTGAAGCTGTGCTTTGACGGTAGCAGCAGAAGGCATTGAAAGGAAGTGAGAGGAGAGAGGGACTGATTCTGGCTGGGGAAGGAACGGAGGGTTGGGGATGCCGCTTGCAGAAGGCTTCTGAGAAGCGATTGCCCTCCAGGACAGATCCTTTTATAGGGCGTGGACTTTGGTGCATAGAATTCCGTCATATTTTCCGTTCCTGTTTCTCTATCATTTGTCCATATCCCGATTTTGCTTTCTTTCTTATTTTTCTCTTTAATGCTCCAGCCTCACTCCTGTTACCTCCTCTGGTGCCCCATAAACAAACCCTAACACCTTTAACATTCACGCAATCTTGGGTATGTAGAAATGCTTACAGACCAGACAGCATTGCTTCGTGTAATTATATCTTCTAAATTGACACAAAGGATAAATGCTATCTTTTAAATTGTGCTATAGACTGTTTTATTTCCTACTGTTTCAATTCAACATTAATTTTTTTTTGTTACGTTGTTTTTTGTTTTTTAAAACAGAGCTGGTGCCTTAGCCTCCCAAGTAGCTGGGATCACAGGTGCGCACCACCACGCCCAGTTAATTCTTATATTTTTAGTGGAGACGGGGTTTCGCCATGTTGCCCAGGGTGGTCTCAAACTCTCGGCCTCAAGCGATCTGCCCACCTCAGCTTCCCAAAGTGCTGGGATTACAGGCCTGAGCCACCATGCCCGGCCCAGTATTATGTTTTTATGATCTCTCCACGTTACCAAGTGAAACTGATTTATTGCTTCCAGGACAACATGGAGGAATCCACTCCCTTTTGCTTACCAGCTCCCCACGAAACAGACCTCATGGTGTTCTCTACCTCCCTATTCCCACCCGTAATGCTGCCCTGGTCATCCTGGGGTATGTCCTTGTATGTTACCTGTGCATGCTTCTCTATGGTACCTACTTGGAAGTGGGATCGCTGGATCCCGGGAGAAATGCACAGTGAATGTCACAAAATTCTGCCCCATTATCTAAGGTGGGTCTTGAAGCTCTAGCAGCATGTCACCAGGCAGAGAAGGGCGGAGAAGGGACCAACCAGTTCAAAGGACTGAGAGTCCACAGCATGTCCAGGGTTCAGTGAATTATAGGTGACCCACCCGAGGGGTGGAACCTTTCAGGGAACAGCCGTGTAATAAACACTTGACTGCACTGGTTTCTTTTTCATTTTTTTTTTTTCCTAAAAAGGAAAATAGTCTTGTTGTGGGTGGCAGCTTGGCAACGTCTATGAAAATCTTAACTGCATATACTCTTTGACCTAGCAATATCACTACTCATGCATGAGGAAGTAGGAAGAAGGAGGCTCAGTGTGTTGCGGTCTGTAAAGGTGGAACAAGGAAAACCACCAGCAGCCCCACCAATCGGCGAGGAGTCAAAGGAACCATAGATAGGCTGCGGCTATTGGATACTGTGTGGTGTAGACAAGATAAAGGTGAATTAAAACATAGGAGCACAGGCTGCGCGCGGTGGCTCACGTCTGTAATCCCAACACTTTGGGAGGCTGAGGCGGGTGGATCATGAGGTCAAGAGATCGATACCATCCTGGCCAATATGGTGAAACCCTGTCTCTACTAAAAATACAAAAATTAGCCGGGTGTGGTGGTGGGCGCCTATAATCCTAGCTACTGGGGAGGCTGAGGCAGGAGAATCGCGTGAACCGAGGAGGTGGAGGTTGCAGTGAGCTGAGATCGCGCCACTGCACTCCAGCCTGGGCAACAGAGTGCAGCTCCGTCTCAAAAAGGAAAAAAAAAAAAAAGGCGAGCCAGATTTCCCTATATCAAGTATCATCCTATATCCCTGAACTCAAGAGATCATAATATTTCTCAGTTCTGAATCTATATATGTAAACCAGGAGTTGGCAAGCTTTTTCTGTAAGGGCTCAGATTGTAAATATTTTCAGCTTTGAACATATGGTCTCTGTCACAATTGCTTAACTGCGTCCTTATAGCATGAAAGCAGCCACAGCCACAGACAATACTAAACCAACAAGCATGGCTGTGTTCCAATAAAAGTTTATTTATAAACCCAGGCAGTAGGCCAGTGTGGCCTGTGGGCTGTCATTTGCTGACCCCAATGTAAATAAATAGTAAATGTTAGATCCGGCTCAGTGGCTCATGCCACTGAGCACTTTGGGGAGCCAAGGCAGGACGATCACTTGAACCCAGGAGTTCAAGACCAGCCTGGGCAACATAGTGACACCTCATCTCTACAAAACAATAAAAAAATTAGCCAGACGTGGTGGTGAGTGCCTGTGGTCTCAGCTACTCTAGAGGCTGAGATGGGCAGACAGCTTAAGCCTGGGGTGGCAAGTTTAGGCTGCAGTGAACTGTGATTGCACCACTGCACTCCAGGCTGAGCGACACAGTGAGACCCTGTCTCAAAAAAAAATATTTGTGGAAGAAATTACAACAAAATACCAGGGGTACATCTGGAAGGCAGAGTGAAAAGGAAGGGCCTGGTCAAGGGAAATATTACCCTCGTGTTTACATTTTTTCTACTTTGTGTAATTAAAATTGCTTTAAATTAAAAAGAAAAAAGTGTTTTAAAAATAGCTTTGGTGACCTTCTTCTTTCTGATCAGCATCTTAGAAATGCCAGCAGCAGCAGGGCCTAGTGGGTCACACCTATAATCTCAGCACTTTGGGAGGCCAAGAAGGGAGGATCAGTGGAGGCCAGGAGTTTGAGACCAGCCCGGGCAACGTAACGAGACCCTGTCTCTATTTATTTTATTATTACTATTTTTTATTTTTTGAGACAGAGTCTTGCTCTGTCACCCAGGCTGGAGTGCAGTGGCACGATCTTGATTCATTGCAACCTCCACCTCCCAGGTTCAAGCGATTCTCCTGCCTCAGCCTCCCAAGTAGCTGGGATTACAGGCGCCTGCCAACACACCCAGCTAATTTTTGTATTTTTATTAGAGACAGGGGTTTCACCATGTTGACCAGGCTGGTCTTGAACTCCTGACTTCAGGTGATCTGCCAGCCTTGGCCTCCCAAAGTGCTGGGATTACAGGTGTGAGCCGCAGCGCTTGGGCCCCATCTCTATTTGAAAGAAAGAAAGAAAGACAATGCCGGCAGTACATGAAAGCAATGAGGAAGCAAAGTTCTCTAGCACCCTACCAGCTAGAGGAGAATTTCTCAGAGAGTTTCTTTTATTCACTTAGCAGGTATTTACCCGGCACTTACCATGTGCAAGGAACTGTCCTAGGTGCTAGGGATAGAACAGTAAATGAAACCGAGTCCCTCCCCTCTATAGGGTGGATATTCTGCAGTCAGAGAGACAGGCAACAAATAACAAACACAACAAATAAATAAATGGTATAGCAGGTGAGAAGGTCAGAAGTGCTATGGAAAGGCAGAAACAAGGGGCAAGTAAAGGGGATGGAGGTGCCTGGTGCCAGGTGAGGCATTAAACAGAGTGACCAGAGAAGGCTTCATTGCGAAGGTGACATTTAAACAATGGCCTGAATGAATGAGGCGAGAGCTAGGGGGATGTCTGGGAGGAAGAGTGTTCCAGGCAGAGGCAGCAGCCGTGCAAAGGCCCTGAGGTGGGAACGTGTCGGTTGCATTTGAGGAACAGCAAGGGAGCAAGTTGGCTGTAGTGGCATGAGCCAGGGGGAGAGGGTGAGAGGTGAAGAGAAATGAAGGACAAAGCAGGTCACAGCCTGCACAGCCCCGTGGTCCATGGTGAGGACTTTGGTTTTACTCTGGGCCACGGTGAGGTGGGGGCGGTGTCTGAGCAGAGGAGGGACAGGAGCTAACTTGAGGTCTAAGAGGGTCCTCTGACTGCCCTGTGGGAGCAGACGCAGTGGGAAGTGGGGAGACCAGAGAGGAGGCACCTGCAGTGGTCCAGAAAGGAGATGATGGTGGATTTGACCAGAGTGAGGCAGTGGGGGTGGCAAGAAGGGGTCGGATTCTGGAGCTAGAGCTAGAGATTATATAGATATAGATTTTTTTTTGAGATGAGGTCTCACTCTGTCACCCAGGCTGGAGTGCAGTGGCGCGATCTCAGCTCACTGCAACCTCTGCCTCCTAGATTCAAGTGATCCTCTCGCCTCAGCCTCCCAAGTAGCTGAAACTACAGGCATACAGGCATGCGCTACCATACCCAGCTAGCTTTTTTTTTTTTTTTTTTTGAGATGGAGTTTTGCTCTTGTCACGCAGGCTGGAGTGTAATGGCACAATCTCAGCTCACTGCAACCTCTGTTTCCCAGGTTCAAGCGATTCTCCTGCCTCAGCCTCCTGAGTAGCTGGGATTACAGGCATCCACTACCACGCCTAGCTAATTTTCGTGTTTTTAGTAGAGACAGGGTTTCACCGTGTTGGCCAGGATGGTCTCAATCTCCTGACCTTGTGATCCACCCGCCTCAGCCTCCCAAAGTGCTGGGATTACAGGCGTGAGCCACCATTCCCGACCTTTTTTTTTTTTTTTTGAGTTGGAGTTTTCGCTCTTGTCGCCCAGGCTGGAGTGCAACGGCATGATCTCAGCTCACTGCAACTTCCACCTCCTGGGTTCAAACGATGCTCCTGCCTCAGTCTCTGAGTAGCTGGGATTACAGGCGTCTGCCACCACGCCCAGCTAATTTTTGTATTTTCAGTAGAGATGGGGTTTCACCAAGTTGGCCAGGCTGGTCTTGAACTCCTGGGTTCAAGGGATCTGCCTGCCTCAGCCTCCCAAAATGCTGGGATTACATGGCATGAGCCGCCACATCCGATCAGATTCTGGATATATTTTGAAGGTCACATTGACATTTGCTGATAAACTGGATGTAGAGGTAAGAAGGAAAGAGGAATCAAGGATGGCGCTAAGTGTTTTGGCTCAAGTACGATCAAGAGCCATCTGCCACAGATCACCTGGGGACTCGTAAAAATGCAAGTCCCTGTCCCCGCCTGGATCTACTCAGCTGGCAACTCTGGGTGGGACCCAGGAAACTGCTTTCTGAGTAAGCTGCCCAGGAAAAGACTAGAAACCCAGAGGCAACCATGATCCTCTTGGGGTGGGGGGGGGTGGTCGTCTCAGGGTAGAACATTAGAGTGGTTGCAAGACTCCCCAGGTTCAAATCCTGGCCCTGCCATTCCACCTATGTGAGCTGGAATGATACCTTAAATTCTCCCAGCCACAGTTTCTTCATCTGTAACAAGACTATCGATGGTGCCTGCCTCACAGGGCTGACTTAGGGCCTGAATGAGTTCATGTGTATAAAATATATAAAATGGTGCCACCACATACAACTTCCCAATAAGGGCAGCTAGAATTAGCATCCAGTTCCAAAGATGATGAATTCTTCTTTTTTTTTTTTTTTTTGGACAGTCTTGCTCTGTTGAGGTTGGAGTGCAGTGGCGCAATCTCAACTCACTGCAACTTCTGCCTCCCAGGTTCAAGCAATTCTCCTGCCTCAGCCTCTCAAGTAGCTGGGATTACAGGAGCCTGCTACCATGCCTGGCTAAAAGATGATGAATTCTAATAATAAAATCCACACCAAAATATTATCAGGTGTCAGAGGTACATTTTGTTGGTTAAGTGAAACAGAGGATATTGGTCAAGGGAAACATTTCTCTATCCCTTGATTTTTTCCATCTTGTGTAATTAATTAAAATTGTTTTAATTCAAAAATAAAATAATGTTTTAAAAATAGCTGTAGTGGGCCAGTCTTGGTGGCTCACACCTGTAATGAGCACTTTGGTTGGCAAAGGCAGGAAGATCACTTGAGCTCAGGAGTTCAAGACCAGCCTGAGCAACATAGGGATACCCCCATCTCTACAAAAAAATCTCAAAAAAAATTAGCTGGGCATGGTAGCACATGCCTGTGGTTCCAGATACTCGGGAGGTTAGATGATTCAATATGTATATATAAGTAAGCCCAAGCATCATAAAAGTATTATCTATTATTATTTGGCCAAACATGAGGAGTCAGACGTTTTCTCAAAGGGGGAACTTTTAGTTGGGTTTTGAAGTATGAGTAGGAGCTCACCGGGTGACAAAAAGTCATACTTCCTTTCATTATCTTAGTCAAGACACTCCCTTGAGGCATGCTGTGTTCCAGATCTTGTGCTGGGAGATCCCAGGGACCTAACATGAGTCTGACTCTGACCTACGCGGAGCTACTAGTCCCAGGGATGGATCAGACCTAAGCCCTGTCCTCTAGTGCCTCCAAGCTGGTAGGAGAGGCAGAGAGGGATACAATTCAGGGTGACCAGGGCAAGCAGAGAGAGGAACAGAGTGAGTCATGGACTCCGAGCAGGTCAGCACTGAGCAAAAGCTTTGAAATGGCTAGTCTGACCCCCCTCTCCCATTTACTAAAGCCTGGAGAGGGACAGGGTTTGCTCAAGATTACACAGAATGAATAAATATCCTGATCTTGGAGTCTGGGGATTTCAAGGACCAAACGAGATGCCAGAGATGCAGACCTGCCCCCTCGCAGACCCTTCACCCAGATGCCCAACACACCCCAAATCCCCACTCAAATCTGCAGACTAACCCCTGGCCCCGCAGACAATGATGCTGTCAGAGATATCTGCCTCCCCAGCCCTCAGGCTCAGAGACCCACTTCATCCCTCACCCACATGCACAGCACACATCCCTGCAAGCCCTTATCATCCTATGTGCCCTGTGCTGGGTCAGGCTGGACACAGACGTGACTCAGATGCAGGTTGAGCCCTGGAAGGGCTGCTAGTGTGGAAAGGTACCAGGAGACAGAGCATCCCAACCCAGTGTGAAGAGTGTGTGGAAGCCGTGGCAGGGCATGGGATGGGAGGAGGGTGAGATGAGATGAGGGAACCCTTAACACGCTTTGAACCTTGGGAAGTTCACCTGGAGTTTCCTGGCATGGGGAGATGGAAAGAGGGAGTAACAGGCAGAAAGCACAGCATATGTGAAGCCACAAAAGCATGAAACACTATTTATTCCTTCATCCATCCATCCATTTATCCATTATCCATCATCCATCCATCCATCCATCCATCCATCCATCCATCCATCCATCCATTTATCCATCCATCTATCCATTTATCCATCCATCTGTCCATTTATCCATTCAACCGTCCATTTATCCATCCATCCACCCATCCATTTATCCACCCATCTATCCATCCATCCATTTATCCATCCATCCATCCATCCATCCATCCATCCATCCATCCATCCATCCACCCATCCATTTATCCATCCATCCATCTGCCCATCTGTCTGTCCCTCTGTCCATCTGTATGTTTATCTGTTCATGTACTTATGCATTAATCGATTCTTCCATCCATCTTATTTATTTATTCATTGTGTATATCATTCATTCATTCATTCATGTATCCATCTATTCAAATGATCATCTGCCCCCTCATTCATCCATTTATTTATCCACTCATTGGTCACACATGCATCCGTTCATATAGTTATCAGCATCAGCTGTCATATGATCCTTCCCCAGCAACACCTCCTCAGAGAGCCTTTCCGAACCCTTTCTAAAATAATACCCAGCCACCTTGCCTCTATTACCCTCCTTTTTATTTTCATCACAGCCCTGAACGAGACTTGCCATTTTGCCCTGTAATTGTATGTTTACTTGTTCGGTGTCTGTGGCTACCATGAGAACATGATCATTTATTCAATGAGTGTTTCTCTCTTTTTAAAATTTAACTTTTAGGGGTACCTGTGCAGGTTTGTTATTAGGTAAATTGTGTGTCACAGGGGTTTGGTGTATGGATTATTTCATCACCCCAGTAATAAGCATGGTAGCCCAGACAAATATTTCTTGAGCATCACTGTGTGCCAGGCTCTGTTGTAGACACTGGGGATAACAGAGACAAAATCCCCTTCTGCATGAAGCTGACATTCTAGTGGTGATGTCAGACAATAAACATAAACATAAATAAACATAAAGGTAGTAAATAAATTATAAGGCATGTTGGAAGGAGGGTGCTGCGGCAAAAGAAAGCATAGAGCCAAATGAGGGTGTCAGGGGTCCAGGGGGATGGGTGCTCAAGGAAGACCTCACCAAGGAGGTGATAGCTGAACAAACGCTGTGGGGGAGAGAAGGAGCCCAAGCGGTTATCCAGGGGAAGAGCATTGCAGTTAGAGAATGGCACATGCAAAGGCCCTGAGGCAGGACTGAGCCTGGTGTGTTTTGGGGACATTAAGAAAGCCATTGTGGCTGGAATGGAATGAGGAAGGAGGAGAGAGCAAGAGGTGGGGGCAGAGAGGGCAGAGAGGGGACAGAGGGGACCAGATGGAGCAGGGCCATGTGGGGGAAGACTCTGTTTTCACTCTGAGTATGACCAGAGCCAGAGGAGGATTCTGAGCCAGGAAGAAACAGGATCCAACTGCCTGCAGGATGTGGTTCCCTCTGCCTGCCATATAGGGAGTAGATTAATACCTGAGTTTTGTGAGAGCCAGGATCATGTCTTTGCACCTGTCGCCTCCTCTGTGTCTGGGTGAAGTCTGGGTGGGGCACAGTGGCTCACATCTGTAATCCCAACGGTTTTGGAGGCCAAAGTGGGAGGGTCGCTTAGGCCCAGAAGTTCCAGACCAGCCTGGACAACACAGCGAGACCCTGTCTCTACAAAATCTTAAAAAAAAAAATTAGCCAGGGCCAGGCACGGTGACTCACGCCTGTAATCCCAGCACTTTGGGAGGCCGGGTTGGGTGGATCACGGGGTCAGGAGTTCAAGACCAGCCTGGCCAACATGGTGAAACCCCTTCTCTACTAAAAATACAAAAAAAAAAAAAAAAAGCTGGGCGTGGTGGAGCGCATCTGTAATCCCAGCTACTCGGAGGGCTGAGGCAGGAGAATCGCTTGTACCGGGAGGCAGAGGTTGCAGTGAGCCAAGATCACACCACTGCACTCCAGCCTGGGGGACAGAGCAACACTCTGTCTCAAAAAAAAAAAAAAAAAAAAATTAGCTGGGCATGGTGGCAAGTGCCTGTAGTCCCAGCTACTCAGGAGGCTTAGTTGGAAGGATCGCTCGAGCCCAGGAGGTTGAGGCCGCAGTGAGCCATGATTGTGCCACTGCACTCTGGCCTGGGTGACAGAGTGAGACCCCATCTCAAAACAAACAAACAAAAACAACAACAACAACAAAAACAAACGAAATAACAATAAACAGGAGTCTGCAAACTACAGACTATAGCCCACTGGCCAAATTCCTCCTGTCTGCATAAATAAAGTTTTATTGGAACACTACCTCACCTATTCATTTGCATATTGTCTCTGGCTGCTTTTATACTGCAAGGACAGTGTGGCACAATTGGAGCCAAGGCTTCTGTCCCGCAAAGCTGAAACTATCTACTGTCTGGCCTTTTACATGAAGAAGTTTGCTGACCCCTGGTCTAGAACAATTCTTGGCACACAGTAGGCACTCAAAAAATAATTGTTGCAGAACTGAACCTGTCACTCATCTGTGACCCACACGGGGTTGCTAGCTTGCTCTTGTCTCAGAGCCAGTTCCAGCTCCGAGTCACATGCAGGAAAACAACAGCCCAGCGACCAAAAATAAAATACTGGAACCATTCCAGTCTTTGCTGCAGAGAAAATGCCCAGGCAGGATTGCAGTCAGGACCCATGGCAAAACTTAGCACCCTCTTCCTCCTTTTGCTCTAGTAAGACTCAGGCCCCTTTCCCTCCATCAGGCATGGAAACTGCTCCCTAATTTTTTTTGCTCAAAATTTCCCCCCAAACTCTCTTCCACAAAGCTGCCCTGTCCTTGGTTCTCCCGTCTCTTCCCCTTTCAGCTCCAACTTTTTATCTTCTTTTTCTTTTTTTCTCACCCTGTCTTTTGGTGCTGACAGCTTTTTGTTTTCATCAGCTTAGTTCCTTGCTGGCTTTCCCCACACCTGTGCTGCTCCTTACTCAGATTCTGCATAACGAGGTCACGTCTGGGGGCTGTGCCAGCTGGTGGGAATCCAGCTTCCCTGGAGGCTCAGAATGCCCCCATATTCCCCTTTCCTTTTCCCCGGCACACACCCGTCGTGGTATTCCATCCCCCTTCACTGTCTGGGTTCCCTCTCTGCTGCAGCTGATACCCACAGGACCCACAGAGGGGTCAGCCCTGGACAGCCAAGGACTCACAATTTAATGTGAATGATCCCAGTGCCTGGAGTTCAGAGAGGGATGGCTGACGGGGTGGCCTTGATCCCTGAGATAATGAGTTTGGGGCTTTATCCTGAGGACCTTCTCTGGCAGGCCTGGATGGAGGACAGATGGAGAACTTAGAGGCAGTGGAGTGCCTCCTTTGGACTTGATTTTCTGGGTCTCAGCCTCCCTCTGCTGGCTTTGTGCAGCCCAAGCTCTACAGCCAGACTACATTGATTCGAATTCAGGCTCTGCCACCTTTAAACTGTGCAGACTACATTGATTTGAATGCAGGCTCTGCCACCTTTAAACTGTGCAACCTTGGTCAGCTGTGCCTCAGTGTCCTCATCTGTAAAATGGGTTTGACATTAGAACTTACCACTTAGCGTTATCAGGAGGATTATAGGATTTAGCACACAGAAGGGGCTTAGAACTGTGCCTGGAACACAGTAAGCACTCAATAAATACCAGCAACTTTCAAAATGCTGATACAGCCGTCCACCACATAGAATGCCCTCCGCAAAAGAAAGCTCATTACTATCACTCAGTGATGTCATCAATTACCTCATAGACTGAGCAGAATTGATGACATCTCCAATTATGAGGTCAATTTAGAACCTGGTGGGCATGATGATATCACAAGTTGCCAGGTAAATCTACCTGGGTAATCCCAGGCTAAATCTAGCCCTGGGTAGTGTTGATGACATCACCAGTTACCAGGCAGATTATAGTTAAAATGTGGGTGCCCAGTGCCTTCTTTCCTGTTTGAAATTCTGTTGTGTCCCAGTCCATACTCTTTCCTAGCACCGTTGGGAACAGGACTTTCATGTCTCTGGACCTCAATTTTTCTTTCTTTCTCTTTCTTTCTTTCTTTCTTCTCTCTCTTTTTTTTTTTTTTTTTTTTGAGTTTTTTGTGATAGAGTCTCAGTCTGTCACCCAGGCTGGAGTGCAATGGCACAATCTTGGCTCACTGCAAACTCCACCTCCCGAGCTCAAGCAATTCTCCTGCCTCAGCCTCCCAAGTAGCTGGGACTACAGGCGCCCACTGTCATGCCTGGCTTATTTTTGTATTTTTAGTAGAGATAGGGTTTCACCATGTTGGGTAGGCTGGTCTCAAACTCCTGGCCTCAGGTGATCCTCCCACCTCAGCCCCAAAAATTGCTGGGATTACAGGGGTGAGCCACTGTGCCTGGCGTGGACCTCAGTTTTCTATCCATCAAATGGGGATAATAAAAGCACCAGCCTCGTAGGGTTGTGGAGAGAATCCAATGAGTTAATACATAAAAGGGCAAAATGTCCAGCACACAGTCAGCACTCCATACACAGCAGCACTCATTATCTTTACTGTAGGATGTTTCCATGGAGCACGCTCCAGCCAGAGTGACAGGAGCCCTCAGCTCTGTCTTGGTTAAGACAGATGCCTGCAGGGGCCTGTTTCCTAGGAGTTGGAGCCCAGATCCGCCATTAGCAGTAGTCAGGAGACCCTGGACATGTTGCTAGCCTATAAAGTGGGGTAATGACCATGCCAGCCTCACGGGGCTGGCATGAGGATGCACTGACATAATGACAGTCATGTTTCCAGCACACAATCAGACCTCACAACTGTGAGCTGTGTTATCACTGCGAGTACTCTCAGAAAGGTCCTTTTCTCCCCAGGATGTTGTTTCCCCATCTGCAAAGAAGTGGAAGGTGGCTGTGGCAATCTCAAAGCCATGGCAATCTTGACACTATGACCACAGGGATGGTCCTGTGATTCACCTTTGCTGTTGCTGAGCAAGTGCATTGGGAGTTGGATGCTTGAATCTGTGTCTGCCCTCAGCACCCAACTCCAGCTTCTCTTGTCTCTTTTCTGCCCATCTCTTATCTCCCAACATTTCCTTTCATATTTCTTTGGCTTCTTGCTCGTACGCTAGACTTCGTATGTATATAGTTTCTCTCCTGCATGCTGTTTGTAGGACAATAAATGGCAATAGTCATGATAATCAGTATTTTCTTTTTCTTTTCTTTCTTTTTTTTTTGAGATGGAATCACTCTGCCACCCAGGCTGGAGTGCAGTGGTGCTATCTCCGCTCACTGCAACCTCCGCCTCCTGGGTTCCAGTGATTCTCCTGCCTCAGCCTCCCGAAAAGCTGGGATTACAGGCGTGGGCCACTATGCCTGGATAATTTTTGTATTTTTAGTAGAGACGGGGTTTCACCATGTTGGCCAGGCTGCTCTCGAACTCCTGACTTCAAGTGATCTGCCTGCCTCAGCTTCCCAAAGTGCTGGAATTAGAGGCGTGAGCCACCGCTCCTGGCCAGTACTTTCTTATTCAGCCTTTTCCCTGGTGCCAGGACTGTACTAAGAGCTTTGTAGGCACTAATTCACTTAATCCACTCAATACAAGCACTCATTACCATTTACTCAACAAACACTTATTAAACACCTACTGTGTGCCAGGCACTGAGGATTCGGCACTGAACAAAATAAAGATCTTTGTCCTCGTGGGACTTAAATTCTAGTGAGGAGACAGATGATAAACAGATAAATTAGCAAACACTCCCAGTGCTATGAGAAAAAGCAAAGCGGGGTTAAACGAGAGAGAGTGATGAGAGGAACTGTCTTATATAGGATGGCCAGGAAAGGCCTCTTGGAAGAGGTGATATTGGAGCAGAACGGATGATGTGGGAGAGAGGTTGTCATGCAAAACCTGGGGAAGAGCATTCCTGGTGGACCCAACAGAGAATGCAAAGGCCTTGGGGCAGCACCAGGCCTCCTGGTTTGAGAAATTGAGCCAGTGTAGCTGGAGCAGTATGAAGGGGAGGGCCTGGGGGTGAGATCAGAGAGAGCAAAAGGGCCAGCCACATCCCGCAGGACCTCATTGGCCATGGTGAGTTCTTAGACTTTTACTGAGTGAAATGGGAGCCATGGAAGGCTCTGAACAGAGGAAAGGCCCCATCTGAATAGAGTAGACTGTAGGGAGAGCAAGGGTGAAGGCAGACAGTCCATCACTCCCATTTTACGAGTGCAGAAATAAATGGAATCTCAAAAAAGTCCAGCAACTGGCCTGAGCCCACACAGCTGCTGAGCAGCCGAGCCAAGCTGGCAGGCCTCCTTGGGTTCAGTGGAGCCATTCCTTTGTGCCCTTGGCTCTTTTTATTTTCCTTTTAAATAGAGATGGGGCCTATGTTGCCCAGGCTGGTCTTGACCTCCTGGGCTCAAGTGATCCTCCCACCCTGGCCTCCCAAAGTGTTGGGATTACAGGTGTGAGCCACGGCACCCTTCCAACCTTGGGAAGTCTTTTGGCTCTCCTGAGCCTCAGTTTTCCCATCTGTAAATTGTAAATGGGGAATCATTACCACGTTTGGGCATAGCATGGCGGTTAAAAGCACAACTTCTGGTTGGATCTGAGTCCTTGCTCTGCCATCGGCCAGCTCTGTGACTTTCTGCAATTAACACCCTCTTTCTAAGCTTGGGGTTACCTCATCTAGAAGATGAAGATCTTAATAGCACCAATTTCAAGGGCTTCGTTGTAAGGATTAAATGAGATCATGCAGGTAAGGCGCTTAGCACAGCTCCCGGTCTACATCGAAGTGCTTGATAAACGATCATTGTTATTCCGATAGTATCACGGCCCACACCTCCCCGGTGGGTGAGAGCCTGGGAGGGTGCCTGGTACATGGTCTACGTTCGACAAAAGTGAATTCTGTCTCCTGTCTCTCCTGCCCGCCGGGTCCCGGGGGACCCAGGCATTCCGGCCTTCGGTCGGCCCCCCCACGCCGGCCCTTACAAAGGCCCCCATTCATGCCTTGCGCACAAAGCGGCCCATTCACCCTGGCCCCTTGGGCCTCCCGCCCCCGGCCGCCCCCCGCGCCTCGCTATTGGTGGCGCCCCGTGCCCATCAGGCCTCGGCTTCCACCCCCGACCGCGCCGCCTAGCTCCGCGCCCGGGCCGCGTTCTTTTCCCACGGCTGGCACCCTTCGACAACTTCTGATTGGCCCAGCCCGCCAGCCGCTCTTTTTGATTGGCGGCTCCCGTCCCCCAGGGGCGGGGCCGTAGCTTGCCGCAGCGGGCGCCGATTGGCCTCTGCTGCTCTCTTGGGGGCGGGGCTGTCCTGGCGGACACGCCCCTCTTTCTCCCCAGGCCGAAGCCTCGGGACGGCCCTGGAAGCCGGTGAGTGCCCGGGGCCGGCAGCCCTCCGGGGGCGGCGGAACGGGACTGAGCCAGGGGAAGCTGGAGCCTGGGGGCTGCGATCGGGGCCCGGGAGCCCGGGCAGGCGGCCGGGGACGGCGGGGAGGTGACGCGGACACTCACCTTGGGCGCGCAGCGGGACGGCGGCGAGGGAGGTGGGGGGGCGGGACGTCTACACTCCCCCAACTCCAGTTGCCGCCGTGTGCGAGGCCCGGTCGGGGTCCTCGTTGTCAGCCCCGGGCCTGTTCCGCAGAAGGGGAAACTGAGGCTGTCTTTGGAACCTCGGCCGCTTTAATACCTGAGTCATCGCCTCCAGTCCCCCGCCCCCAGCATGACATGTCTCTGTTCTCACGTGTCAGAATCGGAGGCCAGAGAGAGGGGTCGTGACTGGAAGAGGCGGAGGGGTAGGGAAGGACATATTTGAGAACCTATGATGTACTTGGACGCTTTTATTTTTTATAACTAAATAATTTCCTTTCCTTATCGTGTTGACTCGAGGTGAGTTATATTGTACCCATTATACAGAGAGGGGAAGGCTGAGACTGGGCCGAATTGGTGACTGCAGGGGGACCTGGTGGAGAAGAACACTCCAGAGACCAACTGTGTGCTGGGTCCTTTAACCTTTTCAGTCCCACAGGAGTCCCCTAAGGAAAGCGGTGGTCCCTGTGGCATAGATGGGGAAGCAGGTTGGTAGTAATCACCAACTGGGACGCAGAAATTCATGTCTTTAGGGACCTGCTACAAGTTCTTTCCAGACCCCCTCCTTTAGAATGGCAGAAAACGGTATAGGCTTGAATTCCAGACCTCCCTCTTACGCTGTGTGATCTTGAGTGCCTTACTTTGACCCTTCCTGCCTCAGTTTCCACATCAGAGAAATGGACATGCTGATCACCCCTATGTCATTGGTTGTTGAGGTTATTCTAGGCCGGGCGCAGTGGCTCAGGCCTGTAATCCCAGCACTTTGGGAGGTGGAAGCGAAAGAATCGCTTGAGCCCAGGAGTTCGAGACCAGCTTGGGCAACACAGCGAGACTTCGTCTCTACAAAAAGTAAAAGAGTTAGCCGGGCGTGGTGGCGTGACCCTGCTGTCCCAGCTACTCGGGAGGCTGAGCAGGGAGGATCGGTTGAGCCCAGGAGGTCAAGGCTGCAGTGAGCCATGATCGTGGCATTGCACTCCAAGCTGGGCAACAGAGAGAGACCCTGTCTCTCCCTCTTTTTTTTTTTTTAAATCATTTTATGATCTCAAAGAGCTGTTCTAAGAGGAGAAAATACCCGACACATAGTAGGTACTCTTATCACCATGTAGTCTTTATTTCACTCCCGAGACTGAAGCTCAGGACAGAATACCATTGTCCTCTTCTTTGGTACTCTTACTGTCTATAGATTTTGTTGTTCCCTTCCCGCAGTTGGGAAACTGAGGCTCAGGGAGATTAATGATGAAGCACTGGGCTGGGGAACTTTCTGAACGTCGTTTTATTAATTTCACTGGCCGCAATGCACAGCAGGGAAAGCTGAGGCCCAGGAAGCTCCAGCGGGGTTTGAATCCCGGGAATCCTCAGCCTTCTCCGCGGCGGGCCCTCGACCTTTGCCCTCCATAAGGGGGAGGAGCCCCTGGCGCCGCCGCCGCCGCCGCCCACCTGGCAACAGGCTCAACCCCCGCCTTCCCCCGGCCCCCGTCAGAGGCCCTGAAGCTCCAGGCCCGCCCCGTTCCCAGCCGGGCAGGTGCTGGGTGACATCAGAGCCGGGCTCCCGCCCTGTGACGCGACGGGGCCCCGCCCTGCGCTGGACCGCGGAGGTCGCTGCACCTGAAGAGAACGGGGATTCCCGCGCCCTCACCCCATCTCCCCGCTCCGGTCGGCGCCCCCAGGTAGCCCCGAGGATCTGCGAGTTGAGGGGGCGGCGACACAGGCGCTTGGGTCCAGGGGAATGGGTACGGGGCTCTCAGACTCCTGGATCTGAGAAGGGGCCTTGGGGGCCGGCTGTCCCAGGTCTGAGGAAGGACTGCGCCGCGAGCCCGAACTTCTGGGTCCTGGGGGAGGAAAGGACTGGGGCCAGGACTGCAGAGCTGGGGTCTTAGGGGAGGAGGGGGCTGCAAGCCCGGATTCTGGGGTCTGTAGGAGCAGGGGCTGGGGGCCTGAACTCCTGGGTCTGAGACAGGAGGGCATTGAGTACTGGGACTCCGGAAACCCAGCGCTAGAAGCCAGGGTCAGACGGCTGGATGCCAAGGGCCCCAACCTCTGCCCCAGGGCGGATCCCTGGCTGCTTTTCTTTTTCAAGCCCAGCAGTCTCGGCCCCTCCCAGGGCAGGTGCTTTCACCTGCCCAGGTGACAGTAATTAGCCCTGGCAGAGTGTTCCTGCTGGTTGAGGAAGGGTAGGGCAGTCAGAGAGGCTCGGCCACTTGGAGCCAAGGCCTGCAGGCCCTGCCCGCCCCATCAGGGCTGTGATCCATCTTCAGAACTCAGCATCCTCACCTCTAGCCCGGCTGCAGTGAGGTGAGGGGGCCTGCACTTCCCAATCCATAGGAGGAGGGGGCTGGGGGCTCAGACTCCTGGGTCCTGGGAGAGGAGGAGGCTGGGAGCTCGGACTCCTCAGCCTGGGGAAGGAAAGGGCTGGGGGCTTGGACTCTTGGCTCCAGGGAGGAGAGGCATAGGGCATAGGGTGATTGCAAAAACTCCGAAACCCTTCCTGGTCAAAGGCCACAGGGCTGGTGAGGAAGTGGATGGGGTGGGGTGGGGTGGGTGGGGGTGAGGGTAAAGTCCCAGGGATGGAGTTTGGGTCCGGTGTATCCAGGTCACACTGGAGATATGGGGTGAGCCTTGACGATTTGGGGGCCACGGGGTGGAGAAACTCCCTGCTGCCTTCAGAGTGCAAGGGTCCAGCGTTTGAGGCCTGAGAGCCTCAGGGCCAAGAGTCACTGGAAGCTGGAGCTGCTGGGCTTGGGGATGGGAGGAGAGGGTCTGGGAGGAAGTGGGTCCTCTCAGCGGAGCTGGGATTCCCGTGGGAGAGGCTTGAGGGAAAGGCAGGAGTCTGTTGGGACCAGATCCAGGGGGGCCTCCAGGGCAGCTGGGCGTTTAGAAGGACTTCTCCAGGGGTATGTGGGAGCGAGGTGGGGACGGCAGTTGCATATAGGTCTATCGGGCAGAGGTGAAGTCCTGCTGTTGGGGAGACAGAAATCTCCCACTGTTTCTGTGACTGATGTGGTGGGGCAGTGATGGGGACATTTGAGGCAGTGGATGAGAGTAGGGGCCGGGCGTAGTGGCTCATGTCTGTAATCCCAGCACTGTGGAGGCCAAAGCAGGAGGATCACTTGAGCCCAGGAGTTTGAGATCAGCCTGGGTAACATAGGGAGACCCTGTTTCTACCAGAAAAAAAAAAAAAAAAAAAAAAAAAGGCTGGGCCTGATGGTGCGCACCTGTGGTCCCAGCTACTGAGGAGGCTGAAGTGAGAGGATCACTTGAACACAGGAGTTGAGGCTGCAGTGAGCTGTGATTGTGCCACTGCACTCCAACTCCAGCCTGGGCAATAGAGCGAGACCTATCTCTAAGAAAAAAGAGAGAGAGAGAGAGAGAAAGAGAGAGAGAGACAGAGAGAGAGAGAGAGAGAGAGAGAGAGAGAGAGAGAGAGAGACTAGGGGCAGACTTCTTTAGCAGGAGGGGGCCACGCAGCAGGATAGGGAGAATATTTTTCCTGCCTGGTGCTTGGACCGCGTTGGAATTGCCACTACTGCCCATGGCCCGCTGGATGGTGGGAGGGGCCTAACACATTCTAGTTCCCCCAGCACCTGGTTGCCTCCGAGATAGCTGGAGCTGGATCCACCCCTAGGCCAGGAGCTCCTCCAGGCAGGGCTCCCAGCCTACTCTTCTCTGGGTCCTCAGGCCCACTCGGGGCGGAGTCTCGTACTTGAAAGTCCTCAGAGAGTTGAATGAATGGGTCCAGTCTCCCCATTTTATGGAGAAGGAGTCAGGTTCCAGAGAAGGAAGGAATTGTTCACTGAAGCAGTGAGATTCGAGTCTATTCTGCAGGCATGAGATAGGCGTGACCAGAGGTGGTCAGGGAACCTGAATGACAAAAATCAGGTCAATTCCCACCCTGGGCTCATATCTTAGAGTAAAAGCAAGGTTGTACCTTTTGTCCCCTCTCTTACATCCCCTCCCACCCTCTGCCCCTCGATCATTTGGCTCTAGCCATGCTGCCTACCTCACAGTGACACAGCCACACAGATGCATTGTGGCCCCAGGACCTTTGCACTGCTGTCTGGAATGATTTTTCTCCCAACAACCCCCTTCCTCGCTCCTGTCATCTCCCTTGGGTCTTCATTTAAATGCCACACCAGAGAGGCCCTCCCTGGCCACCCTAATGAAAACTTCAACATCCTCAACCCTAACATTTCCTGTCCCCTGGTTTATTCCTCCCCTTGGTATTTATCACCATTTAATGTACTATCTGGCCGGGCATGGTGGCTCGTGCCTGTAATCCCAGCACTTTGGGAGGCCCAGGCGGGCGGATCACCTGAGGTTAGGAGTTTGAGACCAGCCTGGCCAACATGGTGAAACCCCATCTCTACTAAAAATACAAAAATTAGCCAGGCATAGAGGCATGCGCCTGTAATCCCAGCTACTTGGGAGGCTGAGGCAGGAGAATCTCTTGAAACCGGGAGGCAGAGGTTGCAGTGAGCCAAGATCAAGCCACTGCACTCCAGCCTGGGTGACAGAGCAAGACTCTGTCTCAAAAAACAAAAACAAACAAACAAACAAACAAACAAACAAACAAAAAAACCCAACAAACCCACCAAACATACCATATTTGGTTTCTGTAAAAAAATAAAAAAGAGAGAGAGAATTTTTAAAAAACAAAAACCATACTATCTAATTTACATTTTTAATCTTTTTATCTGTCTCCTGGGATTACAGCAGCTCTGTCAAATAGCAATATAATACAGGCCAGATGTGTAATGTAACATTTTCTAGTAGCCACATTTAATGATAAAAGTAAAAAAGGAACGGGTAACATTAATTTAATGATATATTTTATTTAACCCAGTAGATTGAAAATATTATCATTTCAGCATGTCATCAAATATTTAAAATCTCAGCAAACTATCTTTTTGTTGTACTAAGTCTTGGAAATCTGGTGTGTATCTTACACTTAGAACTCCAGATGGGGATATTTATATTTAAATTTTAAGATGGGGCTCGGTGGCTCACACCTGTAATCCCAGTACTTTGGGGAGCCAAGGCAGGAGGATCGCTTGAGCCCAGGAGTTTGAGACCAGTCTGGGCAACATAGAAGACCCTGTCTCTACAAAACAAATTTAAAAATTAGTAGGCATGGTGGCATGCCTGTTAATACATTTATTTTTTAATTAATAAATTTCAGACATGAATCACCTGAGGCTGGGAAGTCAAGGATGTGGTGAGCCGTGGTTGTACCACTGCACTCCAGCCTGAGCAACGGAGTGAAACCTCATCTCAAAATAAAATAAAATAGATTGAATTTAAATGAATGAAATTGAAAATGTGTTTCCTCAGTGACACATGCCACATTGCAAGTACCCGGTAGTGCACAGGTGGTGGTGGCTTCTGCAGTGGACAGCCCGGGGCTAGAAAGTAAACTTTTGGAGGCAGGCGTCTTCTTCCAGCTTGTCTGTTGCTCCATTGTCAGTGCCCAGAACTGAGCCTGGCCAGGAGTGGTGGCTCACGCCTGCAATCCCAGCACTTTGGGAGGCTGAAGAGGGTGGATCACCTGAGGTCAGGAGTTCAAGACCTGCCTGGACAACATAGTGAGACCCTAATTTCTACAAAAATTGAAAATAATTGGCCAGGCGCGGTGGCTCACACCTGTAATCCCAGCACTTTGGGAGGCCGAGGCGGGCAGATCACCAGGTCAGGGGATCGAGACCAACCTGGATAACACAGTGAAACGCTGTCTCTACTAAAAATAGAAAACAATAGCCGGGTATGGTGGCAGGCGCCTGTAGTCCCAGCTACTCAGGAGGCTGAGGCAGGAGAATGGCGTGAACCCAGGAGGCGGAGCTTGCAGTGAGCCGAGATCGTGCCACTGCACTCCAGCCTGGGCGACACAGTGAGACTCCATCTCAAAAAAAAAAAAAAAAGAAAATAATTAGCCGGGGCCGGGTGTGGTAGCTCATGCCTATAATCCCAGCACTTTGGGAGGCCGAGGCAGGCAGATCACCTGAGGTCAGGAGTTCGAGACCAGCCTGGCCAACATGGTGAAACCCTGTCTCTACTAAAAATACAAAAATTAGCTGGGCGTGGTGGCAGACGCCTGTAATCCCAGCTACTTGGGAGGCTGAGGCAGGAGAATCACTTGAACCCTGGATGCCGAGGTTGCAGTGAGCTGAGATCACGCCATTGCACTCCAGCCTGGGCAACAAGCGAGACTCCGTCTCAAAAAAAAAAAAAAAAAAAAAAAAAAAAAAAAGAACTGACCCTCTGAGCCTGGTTCACAGCCTAGCTTATTAAAGAATGAATGAGTGCCTAGAGAGGTGAATGAATGAAATGAGTAAGCTGGGTCTGTTAACCCACTTTGCAGAAGTATGGCAAGAGGTCTGGTAAAGGAAGGCAGAGGTGGCTGCCTGGGGAATTTGGGGTAGGGAAGGGAGGCCCGGGGGACGGAGCCCCATCTGACCCCCACCCTCTTTCTTTGCCCCTGCAGACCATGGCAGCCGTGACCATGTCGGTGCCCGGGCGGAAGGCGCCCCCCAGGCCGGGCCCAGTGCCCGAGGCGGCCCAGCCGTTCCTGTTCACGCCCCGCGGGCCCAGCGCGGGTGGCGGGCCTGGCTCGGGCACCTCCCCGCAGGTGGAGTGGACGGCCCGGCGTCTCGTGTGGGTGCCTTCGGAGCTTCACGGGTTCGAGGCGGCGGCGCTGCGGGACGAAGGCGAGGAGGAGGCGGAGGTGGAGCTGGCGGAGAGCGGGAGGCGGCTGCGACTGCCGCGGGACCAGATCCAGCGCATGAACCCGCCCAAGTTCAGCAAGGCCGAGGACATGGCCGAGCTGACCTGCCTCAACGAGGCCTCGGTCCTGCACAACCTCCGGGAGCGGTACTACTCCGGCCTCATCTACGTGAGTGGGCTCCTGCTGGGGGGCGCGTGCGGCGGAGTTGCTGCCGGTTGGGGAACCAGGTCCACCACCCGGCTCCCCTGCATTAACTTGAGGCTGTTTATCATCTGTATCCCATGTCCCGTGACTGTTCCTACACTTACATGGTTGCCAAATTATGAATTGTTGGATTACTAGGACAGCCTCGGAACCTACTGGGGACATTGCATGATACATATGGTAGATAAACTGTATTATTTTCCTAAAGTATAAAACGTTCCAATTTCTCAGATATAGCTCATCCCGAGTTTTAAGGAACGGAAACAGATGTGTGACAATCATTAATGTGAATCACTGAGTATAGAAATGTGTTGCTTGAGGTTCAAGACCAGCCTGGGCAACAAAACGAGACCCTATCTCTTAAAAAAAGATAAATTAGCCAGGTGTGGTGGTGGCCCGTGCCTTTAGTCTCACCTTCTAGGAAGACTGAGGCAGGAGGATCACTTGAGCCCGGGAGGTCAAGGCTGCAGTGAGCTATGATGATACCACTGCACTCCAGCCTGGGTGACAGCACAAGACCCTGTCTCAAAAAAAGACAAAAAGCAAAAACCTTATGCTAGGCTCTGTGCTAAATGCCTATCTATTAATTCATTCAATCTCACCATAGGAAAGATAGAGTCTATTATTATTACCATTTTACCTAAGAGGCAAATGAGGCCCAGAGAGAGTTAATAACAATAAAAATGAACATTTATTAAACATTTACCAACCATTCTTCCAAGCTTTCTAAAATACATTGCCTCTGTACATTTTCAGAATTATAAAGCATCTGATCCTCATTTTACAGGTAAGAAAACTGAGGCACAGAGAGTTCAAGGTCACACAATTAGACCTGACAGAGCCAGGTAGTCTGTCTTCTCACTTTGCTGTGGTGCCTCTTAAGATTGAGATGGGGCTGGGAATGGTGGTTCATGCCTGTAATCTCAGTACTTTGAGAGGCTGAGGTGGGTGGATTGCTTGAGCCCAGGAGTTCGGGACCATCCTGGGCATGGCAAAACCCCATCCCTGCAAAAAAAAAAAAAATACAATAAATTAGCTGGGCATGGTGGCACACTCTTGTAGTCCCAGTTACTTGGGAGGCTGAGGTGGGAGAATCACCTGAGCCCTGAAGGTGGAGGCTGCAGTGAGCTGTGATGGCGCTACTGTACTCCAGCCTGGGTAACAAATCAAGACCCTGTCTCAAACAAAACGAAACAATACAAAAACCCATTGAGAAGAGATTGATGATACTTAGGTTGACTATGGTAGTCTTCCCACGTCTGTGCTAAGCATTGGAGGTTCGTTGCATTTTTAAAACTCTTTACAGCAAACGGATGGGGTAGAGCAGTGGTTCTTAACCCCACCTCTATGGTAGAATCATTTGGGGAATTCTTAGAAAATACCAGTGACGGAGCCCCACCCCAGAACTTTCAGTCGAGCTCTCTGGGGCTGTGACATGAACATTGGTATTTTTAATAAGCTTCCAAGGAGGTTCTAATGGGCAGCCAAGGGGTTATTAATTTCATTGAACAAAAGAGCAAACAGGATTAGAGAGATTGACAAGGAATATGGACAATCATAATGAAAAATAATAATAAGAGGAGGCTAGCAAATATTTAATCGAGCACTCGTGATGTGCCAAGCACTGTTCTAAGTGTGGCGTGTGAGTTATCAGCTTCCCTCTGGGCCAGGGACTGCTGATATCACCTGATGTTCAGGATGTTAAGTGACCCACAGCCATGAAGGAATCACGCCAGGATTTGAACCCAGGCAGCTGGTTCCAGAGTCATGCTCCAAACTCTAGCTTAGACTGGTGGGGTCTCACAGCTTTGCTCCAACATCCACCCCTCTGAGGTTCACAAAGCGGAAGATTAGAATATTTTTGTGAAGTCCCACTCCTACTTGGAGATCGAGGCTCTGAGATAAGCAGTGGCTGGCTCAGGGTCCCTCAGCTTGTGGTGGCAGGTGTGGAATTTGAATCGAGGGCTGTCGGACCCTGCATGGGGTTGGTGTCTTCTCCAGTCTGCACTGGCCCTTTCCAAATCCTCAAACACCTTTACTAGCCCTGGAAAAGAGGCCTCTACATGATCCACTCCCCCACATCTCACCCAAGGCCACAGACATCAGGATGACATCCAAAACATGGATCCACTAGTTGCCTTTTATTCATTTATATATATTTTTTGAGACAGGGTCTCACTCTGTTGCCCAGGCTGCAGTGCAGCAGCATGATCTTGGCTTACTGCAGCCTTCACCTCCTGGGATCAAGCAACTCTCTTGCCTCAGCCTCCTGAGTAGCTGGGACTACAGGCGCCTGCCACCAGGCCCAGCTAATTTTTGTATTTTTAGTAGAGTTGGGGTTTCACCATGTTTGTCAGAGCTCGAACCTCTGAGCTCAAGTGATCTGCCCAACTCAGCCTCTCAAAGTGCTGGGATTACAGGGGTGAGCCACTGCATCCGGCCACTCTTTGCCTTTTAATAAATACTCTGAGCGCTCCCAGCAACCTTGTAAGGTATCTGCTGTCATCCCCGCTCTGCAGGTGGGGAAGCTGAGCCTCAGACTAGGGGGCAGGATTTGAACATAAGCCCCACAACTAGGAACCAGCTAAGCTAGAACTTGAAACCAGGTCACTGTGACTGCAGACCCCAGGTCCTAGCCATTGCACTAGGAAGATTATTCAGAAAGTTCAGGAGAAAAAGTGGTAGGGCCTGAGCTAAGGTGGTGGCCAGGGAGCCAGACTTTTGGGGCCTAAGAAATGAATGTGAGAGAGAAGATTCTAGAATTCCAGACAGGAAGCACATTGGGCCTTAATAAAGATCATTAGCACTTAGTGAGTACCTGCTTTCTCTGCTGGGTGCTGTTCTAAATTTCTTTCCAATATGATCTTATTGACCCCCTCCCCATCCACATAAGGTTGTGAGGTAGGGATTATCACCCTCTTTTTCCCACAGCTTGGAGAGGGGAAGCCATTTGCCCAACAGAAGCTGATAGTGGCTAAAATATTGAGCATGCAGTGTTTCAAGGTCCATGTTCTGTTTTTTGTTTGTTTGTTTGTTTTAGACATAGCCTTGCTCTGTCACACAGGCTGGAGTGCAATGGCATGCTTACAGCTCACTGCAGCTCAACCTCCTGGGCTCAAGTGATCCTCCTGCCTCAGCCTCCTAAGTAGCTGGGACTACAGGCACATACCACCAAGCCTGGCTGATTTTTTAATTTGTTGTAGAGACAGTGTTTCACAATGTTACCCAGGCTAGTCTCAAACTCCTGGACTCAAGTGATCCTCTTGCCTGGGCCTCTCAAACTGCTGGATTTACAGGCTTGAGCCACTGCTGTGCCCAGCTGGGGTTCACATTAAACCCTCTGCATGCCACATGAACTTGTGGATGACTCCCAGGCACCTTATGTAGGAAGCACTATTTCTGTCCCCGTTAGCTAAAGACACTGAGACCCTGAAAGGTTGCTTGCTGGAGCCACCTGGCCTGAAAATGTTACAGGTGTGATTCAAACTCTGCCCTATTTAAGACCTGTGCTTAATACATGTTTGTTGACTGACCAACTGATGATGGGGATGGTGGTGTTGTCCAGTGAAAAGTGGGACATCCAGGGCTCCAGAAACCCAGTTTCTGCCACTAATAGGCTGTTTGGCTTTGAGTTGCTAAGAGTCTCAGTCCCTTTCCTGGGACCCTTGGGGCAGGGAGGGAACCCCTTCGTAGAACACCCCGCTCTGAGAAACACGGAAGATGCATTATGTGATTTCACACTCAGAACACTTCTAGGTGATGGGTTAAAAGCCGCATTTTCCAGGGCTGGAAACTGAGGTTTAGAGAGGACACATCCTTCATTCAAATTCACACACAGCTCAAAAATGCTGCATCTGAATTTGAACACTGGATGGCTTCAAAGTCTGAGTGATGAGCCTGAGAGTTTGAGGCTGCAGTGAGCCAGGATCGTGCCACTACACTCCAGCCTGGGCGACAGAGCCAGACTCTGTCCCACCCGCCCCCGTCCAAAAAATTCCGAGTTAGCCTAGGGCTCCCAGGTAGGATGAGTGATGTAAGAGTCTCCAGACCCATATCTGGCGTGTGTTGCATGGGCCCCGCCTCGGCCTGGCTGGTTTTTATCCATGATCTCCCCTAATCCCCACAGCCTTTGTAATGAGGTGGGGAGTGTCGCCCTCGGTTTCCCAAGGAGGAAACTGAGACTATGGGGAAAGTCACCAGGCTGAGGGGAGCGGGGGGGCAGGTCTGTCTTCAGAGCCCCGAGGGCTGGAGCAGCCATTCCTGACCCTTCCAGGAGGGCTTCCCCAGCTGTCTCCCACCCTGTGGGGGTGCACCAGCCTTTGTTCTTCCCCCCAGCCTTGTTGACCAGCTCAGGTTTCCGTTCCCAGGGTGTCGCCCTGGAAACAAGGTGTGGCTGGCAGGAGGGGCCAGGGTGGGAGGGTGGCGTGGGGAGTGGGTTCCTCCGCCAGCCAGGAGTGGGGGCCGGGGCGCCGGCAGCCATGAGATACCCTCCCAGGGAATGTGGTCCGGCCGCCCCACCCTCTGAGAGCTGGGGGGAGCTCCCGGAGCAGCCCTTTCAGGCAGGGAGGGCAGACACCCAGCAAACCGGTTGTTCTGCTCCTGGCTGGCCACCCAGGCCACCCACCCTCCCACCGTTAGAAGGTTGGCACCTGGGACCAGGCAGCCTGTGGTGGCCACACCCTACTGTGCTTGAGAAGCTCAAGCTCCCTGGGAGCTTAAAACAGTTCTGCTGGCCGGGCACAGTGGCTCATGCCTGTAATCCCAGGCATGCCGGGGTGGGAAGATCACTTGAGCCAGGGGTTCAAGACCAGCCTGGGCAACATAGTGAGACCTGATCTCTACAAAAAGTAAAAATTTTAAAAATTGGCCAAGCATGGTGGTGCATACCTGTGGTCCCATCTGCTTGGGAGGCTGAGGTGGGAGGATTGTTTGAGCCCAGGAGGTAGAGGCTGCAGTGAGCTGTGTTCATGCCACTGCACTCCAGCCTGGGTGACAAAGTGAGATCCTGTTTCTAAAAAACAAAAGAAAAAGATAGTCCTGCTGCTAACCAGCTTAGAAACCAGCTAGCTGGGTGACTAGCAGAGTAGGTTACCCTACTTTATCACACACAGCTAGAAAACACATCTGAATTTGAATCCCGGGTGGCTTCAAAGTCAAGCGACAAGCCCAGAGTAGCTAACTAGCTAAGCCACTAAGCAGGTAATTCTCTGGCTAGTTTAGCTAGCTAACTTTAGATAGCTTGGCTAGTTAGCTCTCTGGCTGGTTTAGCTAAGTGGCTAACTAGCTCTCTAGCTATGTTTAACTGCTTCTGTGAGTGTTGAGCCCCTCTTGCCTACATGATACCCTTGTGAGCTGGATTTGTTCTTAAACTGTTACAGAGTCCTGAGGCCGGGTGTGAAGGTTCACATCTCTAATCCCAGCACTTTGGGAGGCCGAGGTGGGCAGATCACTTGAGGTCAGGAGTTCAAGACCAGCCTGGGCAACATAGAGAGACCCTGTGTCTACAAAAAAATACACCAGGTGCGGTGACTCAAGCCTGTAATCCCGGCACTTTGGGAGGCTGTAGTGGGAGAATTAGTTGAGCCCAGGAATTCAAGAGCAGCCTGGGCAACGTAGTGAGACCCCGTCTCTACTAAAAATAAGAAAAATTAGCCTAGTGGATTGACACACACTTGTGATCCCAGCTACTCTCGAGGCTGAGGTGAGAGGATTGCTTTAGTCTAGGAGGTGGAGGCTGCAGTGAGCCATGATTGTACCACTGCACTCCAGCCTGGGTGACAGAGTAAGACCCTGTCTCAAAGAGGGGAAAAAAAAAAAAGACTAGGCATGGTCATGTCAGCAGGACTGTTATGTGTCTATTATCAGTAGAAACCGCAGGTATGTTCCTGTTGCATTTCGGTTATTGCAGATACCACAGGCACCCTTCCAGAGATAGTCCATGCATATTCAAATGAATATATAAAAATATATAAAAAGATTCCTCTTCCATCCTTTCTTTTTTTTTTTTTTTTTTTTTTTTGAGACAGAGTCTCGCTCTGTTGCCCAGGCTGGAGTGCAGTGGCGCAATCTTGGCTTACTGCAACCTCCGCCTGCCAGGTTCAAACAATTCTTCTGCCTCAGCCTCCCAAGTAGCTGGGACTACAGGCATGTGTCACCACACCTGGCTAATTTTTTTTGTACTTTTAGTAGAGATGGGGTTTCACCATGCTGGCCAGGCTGGGCTCGAACTCCTGACCTCGTGATCCACCCGTCTCGGCTTCCCAAAGTGCTGGGATTGCAGGCGTGAGCCACCGTGCCCGGCCCTCCTCTTCCATCCTTTCTAATGCAAATGGTAGCTCCTCACGCAGTCCTCAACTCACCTCCTTTTACTTGATATTGATTTGAAGACAGTCCCATGTCTATACATAAGAGCTTTGTAGGAATGCATCGTATGAAGATGCATTCAGGTCGTTTCTAGTCTTTTGCTGCTACAAAGAGTGCCTCAACCGGTCACCTCGCACATGGTCATTTCCTGTGTGAGTCCAGGCAGCCACAGGCTGTGACCCAAGTCTGGCTGGCTGCAAAGGCCTTGTTCTCTCTCAGGACAAATCCTCACCCAGACAGTGCCTTTGTGCAATTTGGAAAGATTCTTTGCTACCATCAGCCTGAAAATGCTCATAACAAACATTCAAATCTACATTGTTATGGTGTAGACATACCATGTGCAGATAGATGCCCTTGTGCAGTGCACGGCCTGCTCAGCAGCCCCATGACGCCTTTCAGGCCGTGGGCAGCCATCTGAGACCCTCTCCCCTCTCACCCACTGCAGACGTACTCCGGCCTTTTCTGTGTGGTCATCAACCCGTACAAGCAGCTTCCCATCTACACAGAAGCCATTGTGGAGATGTACCGGGGCAAGAAGCGCCACGAGGTGCCACCCCACGTGTACGCAGTGACCGAGGGGGCCTATCGGAGCATGCTGCAGGGTGAGTGCTGGGTGGGGCTGTAGGCCAGCGAGGCGGCTCTTCAACGGGGGCCTGACCTGGGGCTGCCGGAAGCCAGAGTCCAGGTCAAATGACAGCTTGTAGACTTGACTCTGTAGGGCTTCTTAGGGGGCTGGAGGGAGCACAAGTAGAGGCCTGAGTGGGTGAGGTGCTAGGTCCTAGAGTCTTTTTACCTGTCTCCATGTTCATTGTCTCTTTTATTATTGTTATTATTATTATTAGTTTGAGACGGAGTCTTGCTCCGTCACCCAGGCTGGAGTGCAGTGGCATGATCTTGGCTCACTGCAACCTCTGCCTCCTGGGCTCAAGCGATTCTCGTGCCTCAGCCTCCCAAGTGGCTGGGACTACAGGCGTGCACCACTGCGCCTGGCTAAGAGATGGGGTTTCACCATGTTGGCCAGGCTGGTCTCAAACTCCTGACCTCAAGTGATCTGCCCACCTCGGCCTTCCAAAGTTCTGGGATTACAGGCATAAGCCACCATGCCTGGCCTCTTTTTAAATTTTTAAATAAATTAATTTATTTTTGGCCAGGCGCGGTGGCTCACGCCTGTAATCCCAGCACTTTGGGAGGCTGAGGCAGGCGGATCACGAGGTCAGGAGATCGAGACCATTCTGGCTAACACGGTGAAACCCCGTCTCTACTAAAAATACAAAAAGAATTAGCCGGGCCTGGTGGCGGGCACCTGTAGTCCCAGCTACTCGGGAGGCTGAGGCAGGAGAATGGCGTGAACCCGGGAGGCGGAGCTTGCAGTGAGCCGAGATCGCGCCACTGCACTCCAGCCTGGGAGACACAGGGAGACTCTGTCTCAAAAAAAAAATTAATTTATTTTTTATTTCAATAGTTTTTGGGAAACAGGCGGGGTTTGGTTGCATGGAAAAGTTCTTTGGTGGCGATTTCTGAGATTTTGGTGCACTTGCCATCGGAGCAGTGTACACTGCACCCAATGTGTAATCTATCCCTCACCACCCCCCACTACCCTTCACCCTGAGTCCCCAAAGTCAGTTGTGTCATTCTTATGTTTTTGCATCCTCAGAACTTAGCTCCCACTTACAAGTGAGAACATACGATGTTTGATTTTCCATTCCCGAGTTACCTCACTTACAATAATGGTCTCCAATTTCATCCAGGTTGCTGTGAATGCCATTATTTCATTCCCTTTTATGGCTGAGTAGTATTCCATGGTGTATGTGTGTCTATATATCCCATGGTGTGTATATATATATTTTTTATATATACACACCATGGGATATATACTCTCTCTCTCTATATATATATATATGAGTATTCCATGGTGTGTATACACTCACACACACACCATGGGATATATATGTGTGTGTGTGTATACACACCATGGAATACATATATATATGTATCACAGTTTATCTACTCGTTGGTTGATGGGCATTTAGTCTGGTTCCATATTTTTGCAATTGTGAATTGTGCTGCTATAAACATGTGTGTGCAAGTGTCTTTTTCATATAATAGCTTCTTTTCCTCTGGGTGGATACCCCAGAGTAGGGTTGCTGGATCAAATGATATATCTACTTTTGGTTCTTTAAGTAATCTCCATACTGTTTTCCATAATTAAAAAATCAAAAAATAACATGTTGGTGTGGATACGGTGAAATGGGAACACTTTTACACTGCTGGTGGAATGTAAACTAGTACAACCACTATTGAAAACAGTATGGAGATTCTTTAAAGATCTTTGTTCCCTCTTTCTCCGAACAATATTGGTTGGGTGTGGGGCTTTTACGAACATTTCCCTTGAGACAGTAATTCCCAGAGTGTTCATTCATTTATTCAACATTTATCGTTGAATTGTAGATCTGATCTCCATTGTCACGGGGTAAATGTAGCCCCTTAGACAGATGGCAGGTCAAGGCAGTTGTGTACAGCTGAGCAGGTTGTACACTGAACAAGGGTATCCATCCAAGGGGCTGCCATTCATACCATGACAACATAGATCAGTCCTGGCAGAATTACATGATTAACATCTATTATAGATATAATGCCCTTATTATATATTTGCTATATATCATCTATTTTCATAGATATTTAGTATTTTTTGTTTATATCTATTAAACATTTAAAAATTATATCTATTTACATCATATAACATATAATAGGCCAGGGGCGGTGGCTCACACCTGTAATCCCAGCACTTTGGGAGGCCAAGGCAGGAGAATTGCTTGAGTTCAGGAGCTCAAGACCAGCCTGGGCAACATAACAAGACCCTGTCTCTACAAAAAAATTTAACAAGTTTTTGTTAAAAAAGGAAAAACCCCATGTAATAGTACACAACATTCAGACCCTTCGATCATGGCTTCGAAACCCATCGGTGCCGCTCGCCATTTCCGTCCCGCACCCCAGCCTCACCCACCTTCCTGTCTGTCAAACATCCCTAAGTCAGTCCTACCTCAGGGCCTGAATATGAATATATTATACTTATTGAATATGCATATTAAATATGAGCAAATTATTAAATTTATATATTTGATTAAATAGTATAATATTGTGAATATATTATGCTTATTTAATATGCATATTCAATAAGTATTTTATTTTATTATACTTTATTTTTATTATACTTCATTTTTATTTTATTATACTTTATATTTATTTTATTATTATATAAATGTAATGTTGATTTAATAAATTATACCTATTAATATGCATATTCAATAAGTATAATGTGTTAAATTAAATAGTATAACATATTAAATTAAATGGTATATTAAATAGCATAATATTGTAAACATATTATGCTTATTTTTTTTTTTGAGACAGAGTCTCACTCTGTCACCCAAGCTGGAGTGCAGTGGCATGACCTTAGCTCGCTGCAACCTCCTCCCGGGTTCAAGCCATTGTCCTGCCTCAGCCTCCCGAGTGGCTGGGACTACAGGCACATGCCACCATGCACAGCTAATTTTTGTATTTTTAGTAGAGACCAGGTTTCACCATGTTGGCCGGGCTGGTCTCGAACTCCTGACCTCAGGTGATCCGCCTACCTCAGCCTCCCAAAGTGCTGGGATTACAGGCATGAGCCACCATGCCCGGCCTAATATGCTTATTTAATATGCATATTAAATGGGAGTATCAAATGGGAATACTGAAGTCTCCAGGTAGAATAGTGGATTCATCTATTTCTCCTGGCAGGTCTATCAGTTTCTGCTGGATTAATTCATTTAACCTCGTAGCAAATCTATGAAATAGGTTATCTCCTTGTCCCTGATTTCTGGGTGGGGAAACTGAGGCACAGAGCAAAACAGTCATGGTCACACTGGTGGGTGTATGCTGAGGTGGGATTCGAACCCAGGGCCCCTGACCACCGCCTCCCTGTATGTCACACTGTGTGTTATATTTCCTCCTGTGCCGTGCACTGTGCTGAGTGCATTTTGAGCATTCTGAGTTCTGACTACAGCCCTGGGAGATGGCAGCTGTTTTGAGCCCCATTTTTCAGATGGGAAAACAGAGGCACAAAGCAACTCAGAGACTGGCCCAAGGTCACGCAGCAAGTCAGAGAGGCAGCCGGGCGGTGAACCTGTGTGCATATAGTCCCCCATACCAGGCTGCCAAGTCTGAGGTCCTACTGGACGCAGCTTACTCCCTGGCTTGAAGACACCCAGAGGATGCCTGTCCTGCTTAAAAAAACATTCAGACCCTTTGATCATGGCTTTATTTATTTAAATTTATTTATTTAGAGACGGAGCCTCACTCTTGTCACCCAGGCTGGAGTGCAATGGCACGATCTTGGCTCACTGCAACCTCCGCCTCCCGGGTTCAAGTGATTCTTCTGCCTCAGCCTCCTGAGTAGCTGGGGATTATAGGTGGCGCCACCATGCCTGGCTAATTTTTGTATTTTTAGTAGAGATGGGGTTTCACCATGTTGCCCAGGCTGGTCTTGAACTCCTGACTTCGGGTGATCTGCTGGCCTCGGCCTCCCAAAGTGCTGGGATTACAGGTATGAGCCACTGTGTCCAGCCTAATCGCTGCTTTAAAACCCATCCCACCACTCGCCATCTCTGCCCTATCCCCCAACCTCACTGGCCTTTCTGTCTCTCAAACATTTCTAACTCAGAGCCTTTCCCCTGGCTGTGCCCTCTGCCTGAAATGCCACCTCCACTGAGAAGCCTTCCCTGCTCCTTCCCCCAAGTCAATTCTTATTACCTAACACCAGGGTTTTGGAATCCTGGCTCTACTGACATTTGGGGCTGGATGATTCTTTGTCGTGGGAGGCTGTCCTGGTCATTGTAGGATGTTTAGTAGCACCCCGGCCTCTACCCACTCAGTGCCCATGGAGCTCTCCTCTCTCAGGGTAATAACCAAAAATGTCTCCCAGACATTGCCAGGTGTCTCCTGGCGGGAATGGAGGACATAATTACCCCCGTTTAAGAACCACTGCTTCGGCCGGGTGCAGTGGCTCATACCTGTAATCCCAGCACTTTGGGAGGCCGAGGCCGGTGGATCACGAGGTCAGGAGATCGAGACCATCCTGGCTAACACAGTGAAACCCTGTCTCTACTTAAAATACAAAAAATTAGCTGGGCGTGGTGGTGGGCGCCTCTAGTCCCAGGTACTTGGGAGGTTGAGGCAGGAGAATGGCGTGAACCCGAGAGGCAGAGCTTGCAGTGAGCCGAGATTGCGCCACTGTACTCCAGCCTGGGCGACAGAGCAAGACTCCGTCTCAAAAAAAAAAAAAAAAAAAAAGAACCACTGCTTTATTCTAGTACTGATTCAATTTTCTTCCCAGTGCTGATCGGTATTTGATTGTAGGTTTCTGTCCCCTACATCTTAAGTGGAAGCTCTGTAGGGGCACACACCCTGCCAGTTCCCCACTCCCCTCCATGCCTGGCGCTCAGTAGGTGGTCAGCATGTGATTGTGGAATGGCTGTGTTAGGCCCAGGGCAGGCGCTGGGGTAGACATCTTATATTACAGGACCTCGCTTCTGTCTTTGAATCTCACATGCCCAGCATGAGGCAGCACACAGTAGGGTCTCACGTTGAGGTCGTTGAATGAATCATATTCTCTTCAGTTGAGGGAGGCTGTCTCCATTTTACGGGTGAGGAAACCAAGGCTCAGAGAGGGACAGCTGCTTTCCCAGGGTCACACAGCGAGCAGGGGGCTGAGCTGGGTGGGGAATTAGAATCCAGGATTGTTACACATCAAGACCCAAGCTTTTCCTTACTCCCTGGGAATAATTTTTAAAATGCAGCGGCCAGTGTAAGGGACCAGAGGGCCCTGCTAGAGACTCTCTCAGATGACATATTCCCCCACTCTGTCCCCTACAGATCGTGAGGACCAGTCCATTCTCTGCACGTGAGTAATCTGGAAGGACTTCCTGGAGGAGGAGAGGTCTGGGTGGGGCGTGGCTGTGTTTGGAATGGGCAGGGCAGGTGGGGAGCTTGCCTGAGGTCATTGCCAACCCCTTTGCTTCCCCTTGTCATCCCCACAGTGGAGAGTCTGGAGCTGGGAAGACGGAAAACACCAAGAAGGTCATCCAGTACCTCGCCCACGTGGCGTCGTCTCCAAAGGGCAGGAAGGAGCCGGGTGTCCCCGTAAGCAACCCCGCCTTGGGTCACCCCCGGGCCCTGCCACAGCACTGCCCCTTCCATCTTGGGCTTTCCCCACAATTGTCTCTTCCCCTCATGGAGGTCCTTCTCCTAGACGCCTATGCCACCTGAGCACCTACTGTGTGCCTGGGGTGGGGCTGGAAGCAGAGTCAGGGGGACACAGAGGTGTGAGGGTCAGTCTTGGTCTCACTGGCTCTCGGAATGGCTCCTAGTACTTAGTAGGTGCTTTCTTTTCTGAGCACCTACTGTGTCAAGCCTGATTTTAGGTGATCATGATGCCTGGGTTTGTCGTCTAAGTGAATGTTATATGGTGCCCTCCACTGTTCCAAGCCCTGTTCTCACACTGCCTTACTTACCCCTCGGGTGGGGTGGGTGCTGTTTTCCTGCACTGAAGACGGAGAGCCCAGGCATGGGAGGGGTGAGTCAGTTGTTGGTCATGCACCGAGGAAGAGGTACAGTGAGGCCGGGCACAGTGGCTCATGCCTGTAATCCCAGCAGTTTGGGAGGCCGAGGCAGGAGGATCGCTTGAGCCCAGGAATTCAAGACCAGCCTGGGTAATATAGTGGGACCCCATCGCTACAAAAAACATTTTTGAATAAAGGAGGTAGAGTGGGATTCAAACCCAGGAGTGTGGTCCTCCAGGCCACCCTACTCCACATGCCCGGTTTCCCCAGTCCCCCTTCCCCCACCCCCCATGCCACCACCTGAGATCACTGGTTCACCTGTGTGTCTGTCCACGTTCCATGTGCTGTGTCCTGGTCCGTGTCTCGTGTCCCGTGACTTCCTCAGGCCTCCGTCAGCACCGTGTCTTATGTGAGTAGCAGGGGATCACCTCGAGTCTTGCTGCCCCTAATGCCTTCCCGGCCACCCAATGCATGATCTTCTTGGTAGACAGGGCCCAAGGCAGCAGTGGTCCCACCTGCCAGGGACCCCTCTGCCCCACCACTGCTATTCATGGCGGCCCTGCTGTGTGAGTGTGTGCAGATGGGCCACAGACACCAACATGAAACAATCCAGAGAACAAAACTGCCACTTACTGCTGATCTACTAAATGTGTCCAGCCAGGGCCCACAGATGCTGCGTGCACACAACCAGAGTGAACAGTGTAGCAAGGGAAATACACGCATGTCCCATGTTCTTCTGTGTGCCAAGTCATGTGCCCTTCACTTTGTGTATCTTTTCATTTGACAAAGCATCCACCTAGCTAGATCATTTCATCTTAACACAAGCAAGACATGGACTGAGAGAAGACATAAACAGGCTGCCATTTATGAAGCACCTACTGTGTGCCAGGCTCTGACACCAAGGGGGCTGGAGGGAAGTTTGGAGTAGAGTTCCTGCCAAGGAGTAGCCTGGTGGGGCTAGGAACCCACTATTTTTTGAAGGCCTATTATATGCCAGACTGCTTGAAGCACTTTACATAGGTGGTACAGATTTTTGCCTTACTTAAAAATTCTAGGCTGGGTTTGGTGGCTCAGGTCTATAATCCCAGCACTTTGGAAGGCTGAAGTGGGAGGATTGCTTGAGGCCAGGAGTTCAAGACCAGGCTAGGCAAAAGAGTGAGACCCCATCTCTACTAAAAATTTTAAAAAGTAGCTGGGCATGGTGGTGCTTGCCTGTAGTCCCAGCTACTCAGGAGGCTGAGGTGAGAGGATTCCTTGAGCCCAGGAATTTGAGGCTGCTATGAGTTATGACCATGCCACTGCACTCCAGAATTTCTACAAGCAACACATGAGTACATATTCATTGTAACAACAACAAATCAGATGAAATGAAATTCCTGTTTCCTCCCCTCAGTCCCCTTCCTTGGAGTGCCTTACACTGTTGACAGTTTGGTGTGCATCCTTGCAGACCTTTCTCCATATGTTTACAAACATGTATATATCTGTAGATTTAAGAGTCCTGTTTTGTGGCGTTTCTTCCTTAATTCATTTCTTATTAATGGGATAACATTGTAGACATTGTTCTGCAACTTGTTTTTTTGTTTGGCTTGGTTTGGTTTGGTTTCCACTTAACAACATGTCTTGGAGATGCTTCCCTCTTCCCCTCACAATAGACAGATGGGCAAGACCCGGATATGGGAAGTGGGTACACGCCCAGACACACAAAGGCCCCTCACACACAGATACTCAGTCAGCTGGAGACACAGCCCGAGCTGGGCTGGCCTGGCCTCCTGCCCCATTCTCACTGACCTCATGCATCATCTCCTGTGCCCGGCAGGGTGAGCTGGAGCGGCAGCTGCTTCAGGCCAACCCCATCCTAGAGGCCTTTGGCAATGCCAAGACAGTGAAGAATGACAACTCCTCCCGATTCGTGAGTGCCAGGGGTGGGCAGTGCTGGCTGTGTCAGGGATACAGGAGCTGGGAACCTCAGGGTGGGCTTCAGGGGGAAAGACACGTGGATCTGTTGAGGGAGGAGGGGCTGGGGGTCTGGACTCTTGAGTCTGAGGGAGGAGGGGCTGGGGGCCTGGACCCCTGGGTCTGAGGGAGGAGGGGCTGGGGGCCTGGACTCTTGAGTCTGAGGGAGGAGGGGCTGGGGGCCTGAACCTCTGGGTCTGAGGGAGGAGGGGCTGGGGCCCTGGATTCTTGAGTCTGAGGGAGGAGGGGCTGGGGACCTGGACTCTTGAGTCTGGGGGAGGAGGGGCTGGGGGCCTGGACCCCTGGGTCTGAGGGAGGAGGGGCTGGGAGCCCCAGACCCCTGGGTCTGAGGGAGGAGGGGCTGGGGGCCTGGACTTTTGAGTCTGAGGGAGGAGGGGCTGGGGACCTGGACCCCTGGGTCTGAGGGAGGAGGGGCTGGGGGCCTGGACTTTTGAGTCTGAGGGAGGAGGGGCTGGGGGCCTGAACCTCTGGGTCTGAGGGAGGAGGGGCTGGGGCCCTGGATTCTTGAGTCTGAGGGAGGAGGGGCTGGGGACCTGGACTCTTGAGTCTGGGGGAGGAGGGGCTGGGGGCCTGGACCCCTGGGTCTGAGGGAGGAGGGGCTGGGAGCCCCAGACCCCTGGGTCTGAGGGAGGAGGGGCTGGGGGCCTGGACTTTTGAGTCTGAGGGAGGAGGGGCTGGGGGCCTGGACCCCTGGGTCTGAGGGAGGAGGGGCTGGGGGCCTGGACTTTTGAGTCTGAGGGAGGAGGGGCTGGTGGCCTGGACCCCTGGGTCTGAAGGAGGAGGGGCTGGGGGCCCAGATCCCTGGGTCTGAAGGAGGAGGGGCTGGGGCCCTGGACTCTTGAGTCTGAGGGATGAGGGAGTGCAGGCCCGGATCCCTGGGTCTGAGGGAGGAGGGGCTGGAGGCTGCGTGCCTAGTTCCAAGGGAGGAGCAGCTGGGGACCAGGGGGCTGGGGAAAGAAGTCCAAGGGGCCCGGACCTTGAATTCCCAAGGAGCCCCCCGATGGGGACTCACCACAGGATGGGGTTCAGGTAGAGGGAGCAAGGAAGTGGGGGGGCAGCCGCAGCTCTGGGAGCAGTGGGTGTGGGGTTTGGGCTGTTGTTCACGTGTGAGTGGGGAAGGGGACCCTCTGCTGAAGCCCACCCACTTTGGTCTCTCCCAGGGCAAATTCATCCGCATCAACTTTGATGTTGCCGGGTACATCGTGGGCGCCAACATTGAGACCTGTATCCTCTCACAGCCCATGGGGGTGGCAGCCAAGGGGGGCAGCCTTTCAGACAGCACTGAGTATGGAAAGCACCTCCCACTGCAGGGACCCCTTACCTGCTACTCAGATGGGACCTGATGCTCAGGCGGCATCTGCATGGGGAGGGGAGGGTGGGACTTCTGGTGTGTATGAGGCCAGCACAGCCTCGCTATGGGGTGGTGGGTTGGGGTCCACCCAGTTCAGCCATAAGGGGAGTCCCAGCACTTAGCCTGCAGTGGCACTCATGGTGACCCATGACAGTGAAATGACATAGAGCAGTATAAGCAAAGGGAAAAGGCACGTGGGGCCAAGTCCCCAGGGACCAGGCACAAGCTCCTAGAACCCTCTCCAGCAGAGGCACACAGGACACCAGGTGCGACAACACTTATGAAATGCTGTCCCGGGGAAGCACAGAGAGACTCACTACCAGGGTTTTCACTGGTGGCTGGCCACATCCCCGCCTGCACCCCCCGTCCCCCGCCCTTAGTATGAACCAAAATTCCACACTCCCGGGAGGAAAGCAGGTGATCAGTGTAAACCACAGTGTTTGCACAAACCCTTTAGGTCTAGCGAACCCCTCATCCTGTTAGAGGATGCTGGAACCCTCCCGAAATCCAGGTGCCCAGACGCTAGCCAGGGGCCCACCTGGCCAGCAGGCCTTTCCAGGGGAGCATCTCAGGACGGCTGTTTTCTGCTCAGATGGCATATGGGCGTTTAAAGGAAATTAAACAATAAAACACAGGCACTCTGGGAGTGCAGAAATTAAGAGAATGGGCCAAGAAATCGTACCAACCTGGGTTCAAATCCCAGTTCTGCCACTTTGAGACTCTGGGGACTTGGGTACGTGACTTGGCCTTTCCCTGCCTCAGTTTCTCCCTCTGTAGAAGGAGAAGGAACATAGAACCTACCCAAGAGGGGTTTGGAGGATTTTGGAGTTAAATGCTTGGCCACAGCACCTGCTACATAGCAGGCACTCAAGAACAAGCTATTATTAGCAATTAATGATTAAATTAGTGGCCAGGCACGGTGGCTCATGCTTGTAATCCCAGCACTTTGGGAGGCCAAGGCCGGTGGATCATTTGAAGCCAGGAGTTTGAGACCAGCCAGGCCAACATGGTGAAACCCTGTCTCTAATAAAAATACAAAAAAATTAGCCGGGCGTGGTGGCGCATGCTTGTAGTCCCAGCTACTATGGAGGCTGAGGCAGGAGAATTGCTTGAACCTGGGAGGCAGAGGTTGCAGTGAGCCGAGATCACGCCACTGCACTCCAACCTGGGTGACAGAGCGAGACTCTGTGTCAAAAAAAAAAAAAAGGTTAAATTAGCAATATCTGTATCAATGCTAATATTATTGACTAATATTGATTGATAATTACTAATCAATAACATTAACAACTGCTAATAAGCCACATCCCCATCCCAGAGGCATCTGATAAGCTCACGCTCTTCCATAATCAGTGGGGAGGGGTTTCTCCTAAGTCTGCTCAGGGCATGAAGCAGCCAGCCGGCCCGTTGGTTCTGCTGCCTTGTGGGAGATGCTTCCTGGGCTGTCACCACCCCAAGTCCCCAGCAGCACCGCAGCCCCTGCTCCTGCCGTTTTCTGCTCATGGCTGCTCCTTCCTCCAGGTCCTCTTGCCCTTGGCTCCCACCTCTCCATGGTACCTGCATATCCAGGTTCTTGGAGCTCATGGCTCTTCCTGCCAAACTGTCCTGGCACTTGTGTGTCTCTGCTTATATTCATATTTGCCTTCTCTGTCCGCTTCCACCTGCTCACTTTCTCCTGTCCACGCTCCCCATGCAGTGTGGCTGCCCCTCCTGGGCACAGCTGTGGTCCCGGCTGTCTCAGGCACCAGTGGATTGATGCTCATGAATCAGGTCCCGCCCCCAGGCCAATCGTATGAGTCTTGGGATGGCCTGCCGGGTAAGGAGCACCACCCTGTGTGGCTGACCCCTCGGCACTAGCATCAGTGCCATCGTGACCAGCTTTTCTGGAGTGCTGACTGTGTGCCCACCGCCACCTCGAGAGTCCCCATGATATCTCAGTTCCTCCTCTCTGCAACCCTGCGAGGTGGCTGCTGCTATCACCCCCGCTTCACAGAGGAGGAAACCGAAGCTCAGGGCTGTTGTCCCCCAGGGTTCGACAGCCTGCGTGTGCTCCCTGCCTTCCAGCTTTCCTTGTGGGAGCCCCTCCACCTGTTTCTCCCCATCTAACCAAGCAGGTTACACCCCAGGGCTTCTGGGAAATGGACCTCAGGTTTGCAGCTGATCTTGGTCCAAATATGTATTTGGTGGTGCATGAGTGTGGTGGTGCATGAGGGACACAGAGGGGTTAAGCAAAGTGTATGGTGTTTTGGTGTTTTGTTTTACTCTAAGATGTTTTGGCTGGGCGCAGTGGCTCATGCCTGTAATCCCAGCACTTTGGGAGGCTAAGGCTGGAGGATCACTTGAGCTCAGGAATTCGAGGCCAGTCAGACCTCCTCTCTACTAAAATAAAGAAAATTTAAAAATTAGCCAGGTGTGGTTGTGCACACCTGTAGTCCCAGCTACTTGAGGCTGAGGTGGGAGTATTGCTTGAGCTGGGGAGGCGGAGGTTACAGTGAGCTGTGATTGTGCTGCTGTGCTCCAGCTGAGGCAACAGAGCCAGACCCTGTCTAAAAAAACAAAACAAAACAAAACAAAACAAACAAAAGTCTTGCCACCTTTTAATATGTAAGTTTGACACGTGACTTTCTTGGGAGGGAGAGCATGCAGAGTGACAGTCTAGTTGAAGGTGGGAGCTGATTATCTGCATGGGGAAGCTGAGGCTGGGAGAGTACTAATGGCAGGAGACATTCTCACCTGCGGGTAACTTTGAACCAGGCATTGTTCAGGGTGCTTCATGCACAATAAGTCATTTATCTTCACAGCAACTCATCCAGGGTCGATGAGGTTTCTTTGTTTTGTTTTTGTGACAGAGTCTCACTCTGTCGCCCAGGCTGGAGTGCAGTGGCGCAATCTCGGCTCACTGCAACCTCCTCCTCCCGGGTTCAAGCGATTCTCCTGCCTCAGCCTCCCAAGCAGCTGAGATTACAGGCACCCGCGATCACACCTATAATTTTTGTATTTTTAGTAGAGATGGGATTTTGCCATGTTGGCCAGGCTGGTCTTGAACTCCTGACCTCAGGTGATCCGCCTGCCTTGGCTTTCCAAAGTGTTGGGATTACAGGCGTGAGCCACTGCGCCCACAGGGTTGATGAGTTTTTTAGAGACAGAGCAAGACCCTGTCTCTAAAAAGAGAGAGAGAGAGAGAGGAAGGTCTCCTAAAGGTGTTATTTTCAAGCCCCTTGAACAGGTAGATGAGGAAACTGAGGCACAAGTGCTTAAGTGACATGAGCACGGCTGCTCTTCCAGTTAGTGGCAAAGTCACCAGCCTGGGCTGTGAGCGACTCCACTACACCACAGGAGAGAAGGGGGCAGCGTGGGCAGGGCAGGCTCCTGTAGTGGCCTGGCAGCGTCGGGGCCGTCCCTTCCCCTCTAGCACCTTGACTCGCTGTGTCCAGACCTGCTGGAGAAGTCGCGGGCCATCCGCCAGGCCAAGGACGAGTGCAGCTTCCACATCTTCTACCAGCTGCTGGGGGGCGCTGGAGAGCAGCTCAAAGGTCAGTGCCGCCCCGTCCTACCCTGCTCACCCGGGAGAGGGTGGGCACCATGTCTCTCGGGGGCCCCTTCTGGGGAGGAAGCAAGAGTGGGGGGCTCTAATATCCGTCAAACACCGACTTCGCATGAGGCTCCCGCAGCCCCTGCTCTCGCTGCGTAGTGGCGTCTGTCGCACGGTGGGTTCTGCTGCGCTCTGGTTCCAGCTCTGTCCCGGGTCTGGCTCGCGCCCGCTGTCACGGCCACGCAGCCCCCGCCGCCTGGTGGCTCCTGCTCACGCTCGCTTCCGAAGCTCCGTGGCTTCTCTCTCGCGCGGCTTCTCCTCACTCCGGCGGGTGACTCCGGCTTTGCTGAGGCTCCTCCTGGTTCCTGACGACGCTGGTTTGTGTTGCTTCTCGGCTCGTGCTGCCTCGTGCTCCCCTCTGCTCTGGCTCCTAGGCCACGGCTCTTGCCGGAGTCCTCCTGTCCCTGCTCCCTGTTCCTCCTGCCCTCTGGCTGCCCAAGCGCCCTTGGCTCCTGTTTGCAGTGGCTGGCACTGCCCTGTAGCTCCCTCTGCTCCTGGCTCCTTCCTCCTGGTGGCTCAGGCCGCTTCCTGGCTCCTGCGGCCACATAGCCCCTCCTCATCCAGGTTCCCACTCACTGTGGCCTTTGAGACCGCATGTCCTTGGGCGCCGGCCCCTGCCATCCCATGGCCTGTGCTGACTTGGGCCTGCAGCCCCACTGCTTCTGCCAACCAGTGGCCCCTGCCTGCTCTGGGCACTTCTAGAGACTCAAAAGTCCCTGCGGAGGGAGCAAAGAGGAGTGGTATACACTGCGTGGGGACTCATGCCTGCAATCCCAGTACTTTGGGAGGGTGAGGCAGGAGGATTGCTTGAGCCCAGGAATTTGAGTCCAGCCTGGGCAGCATAGTGAGACCCCCATCTCTGTAAATAATAACAATAATAATAAGCTGGGCATGGTGGCACACAGCTGTAGTCCCAGCTATGTGGGAGGCTGAGGTGGGAGGATTGCTTGAGCCCAGGAGTTTGAGGCTGTGGTGAGCCATGATTGCATCACTGCACTGCAGCCTGGGCAACAGAGCAAGACCCTGTCTCTAAAAAATTAAAAAAAAAAAATAGAGACAGAGTGGTGGTCTCATAGGTGCTAAACGCCCACTCCACCCCCGACCCTTCCCACCACACTTGTGAGTAAAGGCCCCCACCCACTTGACAGTGAGGATATGGCATGTCCTGGGATTGCCACCGATGAATCCAGGATGAGTCTGACTGCACAGCCCACCTTTGACCTTGACCCCACTCATTGTCCCTGCAGCCGACCTCCTCCTCGAGCCCTGCTCCCACTACCGGTTCCTGACCAACGGGCCGTCATCCTCTCCCGGCCAGGAGCGGGAACTCTTCCAGGAGACGCTGGAGTCGCTGCGGGTCCTGGGATTCAGCCACGAGGAAATCATCTGTGAGTGAGCCCCGTGGAGGCCAGGGGTAGGGGGGAACCCCACGGAGAGCTGGGGACCTGGCCATTCATGCCCCGATCTCTTTGAGCAAGTGTTTATTGAGCACCTACTGGGTGCAGGCACCGGGGCCAGAGCAGGGAATGAGGCTCACAGACATCTCTGCCTTGAGGAAGCTGACAAAATGAGAGCCCCCAACCAAGTCAATAAGGAATCACATGGCCTGTTAGTAGACTATGAGTGCAGCTGGGCGCAGTGGCTCATGCCTGTAATCCCAGCACTTTGGGAGTCCCAGGCAGGTGGATCATTTGAGGTCAGGAGTTCAAGACCAGCCTGGCCAATATGGTGAAACACCGTTTCTACTGAAAATACAAAAAAGTTAGCCAGGCGTGGTGGTGGGCACCTGTAATCCCAGCTACTCAGGAGGCTTAGGCAGGAGAATAGTTTGAACCCAGGAGGCGGAGGTTGCAGTGAGCTGAGATCGCACCACTGCACTGCAGCCTGGTCAACAGAGCGAGACTCTGTCTCAAAAAAAAAAAAAAAAAAAAAAACAAAAAGACCATGAGTGCCATGGAGAAAGATGGGGGAGGGAGGGGCACAGCTTTAAGCAGGGGCTCAGGGGAGGGTGGACTGAGATGGGGATGTTTGAACGAAGTCCTGAGGAAGTGAGGGAATGAGCACTGGAGATGTGGGGGAAGAGCATTCCTGGCAGAGGGAACAGCCTGTGCAAAGGCCCTGAGGCAGGAAAGGGGTGGCATATTTGAGGGATTGACACTTCTGGTGGTGGAGCTGCAGAGGGGTGGGGAGTCTCAAACGCCAGCCTAGGAGGTTGGGACTTTGTCCTGGGGTGCTGGGGAGCTGTGGGAGGGCTGGGAGCAGGGGTTGGACAAATTCAGCTCTGGGAGCAAGAAGACCCCTTGGGGGCCGTGTGAGAGACACACTGGAGTGGGTGGTGCTGAGACCAGAAGGAGGCTGCTGAGGCTCTAGGGAAGGCTCAGGACGCTGTCCCAGGGCTGCTCAGGTTGGCCCAGGCTGCGCGGCACTGGTTATTTGGTGTTAAATGCTCAGCTCATCACCCCCGTGTCAGGGTGCTGTGCCCACCCCCACTTTTTTTTTTCTTTTGAGAGGGAGTCTCACTCTGTTACCCAGGCTGGAATGCAGTGGTGTGATCTCAGCCCACTGCAACCTCTGCCTCCTGTGTTCAAGTAATTCTCCTGCCTCAGCCTCCCGAGTAACTGGGATTACAGGCGCCCGCCACCTCGCCTGGATAATTTTTGTATTTTTAGTAGACATGGGGTTTCACCATGTTGGCCAGGCTGGTCTCGAACCCCTGACATCAGGTGATCCACCCTCCTCGGCCTCTCAAAGTGCTGGGATTCCAGGCGTGAGCCGCTGCGCCCAGCCTGTGCCCCCACTTTTTTCACCAAACAGCATGTTTTGACAGCAGCTCTGTCTCAGTGCTGCATTAGTTTGCTTAGGCTAACAAAGTACCACAAACCTAGTGCCTAAAACAACAGAAATTGATTGTCTTGTGGTTCTGGAGGCCAGACGCCCGGGATCGTGGTGTTAGTGAGGGTGGTTCATCCCGGGAGAATCGGCTGCAGGTCTCTCCCTAGGCTCCTGGTGGTTTTCTGGCAATCTTCGGCGTTCCCTGGCTCATAGTCGCATCACCCGATCTCTGCTTTTGTGTTCACATGGCGGCTCCCTGTGTGTGCATCTGTGTCCAAAATTCCCCCTCCCCCCTCCCCCCGACCCCCCCGCCCCAACCTTTTTGTTTTTTTGAGACGGAGTCTTGCTGGAGTGCAAGTGGTGCAATCTCGGCTCACTGCAACCTCCACCTCCCGGGTTCAAGCGATTCTCCTGCCTCAGCCTCCCAAGTAGTTGGGATCACAGGCGTGTGTGCCACCACACCCGGCTAATTTTTTTGTACTTTTAGTAGAGACAGGGTTTCACTAAGTTGGCCAGGCTGGTCTCGAACTGCTGACTTCAAGTGATCCTCCCGCCTCCGCCTCCCAAAGTGCTGGGATTACAGGCATGAGCCACCGCACCTGGCCTCCTACCCTACACTGGTATGATTTTATCTTAACTCGTTACATCCGTAATGACCCTGTTTCCAATACTGTCACATTCTGAGGTCCTGGGGTTTAGATCCCCAACATGCTTTTTAGGAGGGGGTGGTGTAGACATGATTCAACCCGTAACAAGTACGTAGGTGGACCTCCGCCTTTTCAGAGGCTGCGTAATGTTTCATTGTTTGCGTGAACTATGATTCTTTTAACCAAGCCCTCCAAAGAAAGACCTTTAGGTGTTTCTGGGCTGAGCCAGGGCCGCCTCTGGGTCTGATTGTCTTCTGGTCTCTGGCGCTGTGGGAGGCCCCAGGAGCTATTGTTGGCTCCAGGGCCGGATTGGAAGTGCTGGAAATGGAGCGTAGCTTGGCTGTCTACCCAGGCTGCAAACAGCCGGGCCTCTTGTGGCCTATTGACACAGGGTCTTGGGCCTCTCCCACCCCCACCCCGCCGCATTTCCCAACCAGGGTTGCATAATTCCCCAGCCTGCATGACTCCGCAGCTGGGCAGCTGGCACACAAATTCAGACTGTGGCTGCAATGGGGACCTGGGCCTCCCAGCCTGTCCTCTTAGGTCCTGCCTGGCCTCTTGTCACCATGAGCTCATGTGACCCTCCTGGCAGCTGCCCTGCTGTGTGGCAGGCGCAGGCAGCAGCTCTGATTTTTGGAATTCAGAAATAAAAACTTTGCAGCAACCTATGCATGTAGTAACATAAACTGAATGTGGCTAAAGGTTGTACTGACAAAACCAAGCCTTCCCACTCTTCCCTGGCCCTAGTTTCCCACTGTTGAGCTTCTTGTATCTCCTTCCAGAAATATTTTAAGAATATAAGAAAAGACACATATTATTTGTCTATAGGAGGAGGCATTCTCTAACCCCACAGCTGATGTTCAGCTGTCAACATCACTGTGGTGATAAAAAAAATGTGAAGCAATTTCTCTATTGGTTCAAAAGTTCCGGCCAAGTGCAGTGGCTCACGCCTGTAATCCCAACAGTTTGGGAGGCCGACTGAGGTCAGGAGTTCGAGACCAGCCTGGCCAACATGGTGAAACCCCGTCTCTACTAAAAATACAAAAATTAGCCAGACATGGTGGTGGGCGCCTGTAGTCCCAGCTACTCAGGAGGCTGAGGCTAGAGAATTGCTTGAACCTGGGAGGCAGAGGTTGCAGTGAGCCAAGATCTCACCACTGCACTCCAGCTTGGAGCAGAGCGAGACTCCATCCAAAAAAAAAAAAAAAAGTTCCTGGATGTTGGTTGCTCCAGCTGGCCCCCCAGCTCCCTACCCTTCCACTAGAGACCCCCCTGGACCCTGGCCCAGCACTCTGGCCTAGGTTAGTCTGGGCCAGGCAGTGCTAGAGTTAAATACTCAGCTTGTCATTGGCTCACTCCTGTAATCCTAACACTTTGGGAGGCCGAGGTGGGAGAATCACTTGAGGCCAGGAGTTTGAGACCAGCCTGGGCAATATGGTGAGACCCTGTCTCTACTAAAAATTAAAAAAAAAAAAAATTAACCAGGTGTGGTGGTGCAAATCTGTAGTCCCAGCTACTTGGGAGGCTGAGGTGGGAGGATTAAGTCCAGGAGTAGGAGACTACAGTGAGCTATGATTGCACCACTGTACTCCAGGCTGGTGATAGAATGAGACCCCATCTCAAAACACCCCAAAACAAAGAAACAAATTACTCAGCTCATCATTCCCATGGAAGGATGCTCTGGACCCCCTCTCCACTGCCCTTTCCTACAGACTGGTATATTTTGGCCATAGTTGTGGTTCAAAATAGATGGACCTCATTCCTTTTTGCAGCTGCGTAAGGTTTTATTGTTTAAATAAACTATGATTCTTTCAGCCAATCCCTTGCAGATAGAGCCTTAGGTTGTTTCCATTCCATTACTATTGGAACAATTAAAAAAAAAAATGCTAAGCCAGCGCAGTGGCTCACGCCTGTAATCCCAGCACTTTCAGAGGCCAAAGCAGGCAGCTTGCTTGAGCTCAGGAGTTTGAGACCAGCCTGGGCAACATGATGCAACCTCGTCTTTACAAAAAACACAAAAAATTACCTGGGCGTGGTGGTGTGCGCCTTTACTCCCAGCTATTTGGGGGGCTGAGGTGGGAGGATCTCTTGAGCCCGGGAGGTGGAGGCTGCAGTGAACCGAGATCATGCCACTGCACTCCAGCCTGGGCGACAAAGTGAGACTCTGGGTCAAAAAGAAACAAGCTACCGTGAATATCCTTGTAAACAGGTTCTTGTGCTCTTGTGGAAACAGACCTGTAGGTTCAATTCTTAGAAACGAAATGCCAGCTGGGCGCGGTGGCTCACACCTGTAATCCCAGCACTTTGGGAGGCCGAGGCAGGCGGATCATGAGGTCAGAAGTTTGAGACCAGTCTGACCAACATGGTGAAACCCTGTCTCTACTAAAAATACAAAAATTAGCTGGGCGTGGTGGCACATGCCTGTAATCCCAGCTACTCGGGAGGTTGAGGCAGGAGAATCGCTTGAACCCGGGAGGCGGAGGTTGCAGTGAGCCAAGATTAAGCCACTGCACTCCAGCCTGGGTGTCAGAGCAAGACTCCATCTCAAAAAAAAAGAAAAAAAAGAAATGAAATGCCATTTCCAAGGAGACTTGTGATTCTTGTTTGCGTTCAGCATTAAAAAAATCGAACAGCTTTAAGATATAATTCACGTCACACCATTCACCTATTTAAACTGTGCAATTCCATAGCATTTTGTGTATTCATAGAGTTGTGCACCTATCATACAGTCACTTTTAGAACATTTTCAGTAGCCCAAGAAGATAACGCATACCCTTTAGCTGTCCCCCCAGGCCCTGTCCACAGCCTCTGGCAACCACTCTTCTGCTTTCGGTCTCTATGGACTTGCGTATTCTGGACATTTCATAGCAGTGAAATCATGCCGTATATGATCCTTTGTGACTGGCTGCTTTCTCTTGGCATCATTTTCAAGTTTCATCCACATTGTAGCATGCAGTAGGTTTCCTTCCTTTTTATTGCTGAATAATTTTTATTGTTATCTTCTTATCATGGAAAATTTCAAACATGTATGCAAACAGAGTGCAGAATGTAATGAATGCCCCACCACCACCAGCTGGCAGCTGTCACCAGCTCCATCAATGATGAACCGGTGACCTCTTGTGTTTCATCTCTCCCCAACCTCCCTACCCCAACTCAGGTGTGAACATTTTTTTTTTTTTTTGAGACAGAGTCTCGTTCTGTCACCTGGGGTTGGAGTGCAGTGGCACGATCTCGACTCACTGCAACTTCCACCTCCCGGGTTCAAACAATTCTCCTACCTCAGCCTCCTGAGTAGCTGGGATTACAGGCATGTGCCACCACACCCGCTAACTTTTTTTGTATTTTTAGTAGAGGCAGGGTTTCACCGTGTTGGCCAGGCTGGTCTCGAACTCCTGACCTCAAGTGATCCACCCGCCTCCGCCTCCCAAAATGCTGGGATTACAGGCGTGAGCCACCGCACCCGGCCATGAGCATTTTTTAAATTGCAGAGAATCTACCTCGTCGCTGTCCACAGGGTGGCGCTAGTTTCCAGTTCCTCCAGCATATACCTGGAGCACCTGTGTCCCCACCTGCACCCAGCAACGATGGCTGGAGCTTTTTTGTCTTTGCTGATGTGGCAGATGAATGAGCTCTCATTACAGTTTCATTCTGTGTTTTGCTTACAAGGAGTGGAGTTAGTCACCTTTTCACAGACTTTTTTTGACAAGAGACAGAGGGTCAGGGAGGTGGGGTGTCCTGTCCTAGGACTCACCCCAATTCAAGAGGAGGAGGCAAAGCCATGGTGGAAACGTCTGACCCCAAAGCCAGCCCATGATCCAGAGAGAGAGGTGGACACCTCAGTGTCACCCACAGGGAGCCCAAGGCAGAAAGCATTTGGGGCCAATCAAGGCAGGGTGTCTGTCCATCTCCTTCCCCATTTTACATCTCTGCCTGCCACCCCTTGGCACCATAAATGCCATGCTGAGAGGTTGAGCAGGTAGCCTGGGACACAGGGAGGCATGCCAGCCTCTCACATGAGGCATCCGCAGGCTGGGCTTGCTAGTGATGGGCGAGTCTGATGTCAGCAACAAGAGCTGACTGCCAGGTCCTCAGGGCATCAGATGCGCCCTGGGGCCTGGCACAAACACAGCTTCCTAAGCCAACTGCAAGAGGCCATTTTAAAGGCCATTGATGGAAGCCAGGTCTGGACGGGGTCTAAGCTGATGTTAAGGAATGATCATTAAGTTTGCTGGGCCAGATGCACTGTGGGTCTGTAAGGATGTGTCCTTCTTTATTTATCTTTTTTATTTTTTATTTTTTTTGAGATGGAGTCTAGCGCTCTGTTGCCCAGGCTGGAGCAGAGTGCGGTGGTGTGATCTCAGCTTACTCCAACCTCCACCTCCCTGGTTCAAGCAATTCTCCCATTTCAGCCTCCCGAGCAGCTGAGATTATAGGCGCTCGCCACCACACCCAGCTTATATTTTGCATTTTTGGTAGAGTCGGGGTTCACCATGTTGGCCAGGCTGGTCTCGAACTCCTGACCTCAAGTGATCCCCTTGCCTTGGCCTCCCAAAGTGCTGGGATTACAGGTGTGAGCCACCACGACTGGCCTAGGATCCTTCATTTAATCACATCTGCAAAGTCCCTTTTGCCATGGAAGGTCACATTCACAGGTCCCAGGGATTAGGTTATGGGTATCTTTGGGGTCTGTTATTCATCCTCCCACCTCCTCTGAAAACATCAGCATGTATTTCCTACGAACATTCCTTTATACAACCACAGACCAGCAGTGTCACCAGGAAATCGAGTTCAGCACAGCACTGTTATCCAGTCCACAGACCTTAGGCCAGTTGTCCCCCAACCTCCAAAAAAAAACAAAAAAAATTCTCTCTTGCGCATGATGGAGTCTCACTCTGTCCCCCAGGCTGGAGTACAGTGGCGCGATCTCAGCTCACTGCAACCTCCGCCCCCCAGATTCAAGCAATTCTCCTGCCTCAGCCTCCTGAGTAGCTGGAATTACAGGCATGCGCCGCCACACCCAGCTGATTTTGTATTTTTAGCAGAGACGGGGTTTCTCCATGTTGGTCAGGCTGGTCTCGAACTCCTGACCTCAGGTGAACCGCCTGCCTCGGCCTCCCGAAGTGCTGCGATTACAGGCGTGAGCCACCGTGCCCAGCCCTCTTGCTCTCTTTTTTTCCTGGTCATCCATCTCTTTACTCTCCTTCAGTCTGAAACTCTTCCTGAGTCTTTCTTTATCATTCATGGTTTTGACACTTGGGAAGATTACAGACTGGTTGTTTCATCTGTATCTGGGTCTGTTTCCCTGCAATTACATTCTAGTTACACGTTTTTGGCGGGAGTATTCCAGAAGAAATGCTGACCTCCCACCCCCACTCACACACACCTTTTTCTTTTTCTTCTTTTTTTGAGACAGTGTCTCACTCTGTCACCCAGGTTGGAGTGCAGTGGCCCGATCTCCGCTCACTGCAAGCTCCGCCTCCCCGGTTCATGCCATTCTCCTGCCTCAGCCTCCAGAGTAGCTGGGACTACAGGTGCCTGCCACCACGCCTAGCTAATTTTTTGTATTTTTAGTAGAGACAAGGTTTCACTGTGTTAGCCAGGATGGTCTCGATCTCTTGACCTCGTGATCTGCCCGCCTCAGCCTCCCAAAGTGCTGGGATTACAGGCGTGAGCCACCGCGCCCGGCCACACACACCTTTTTCTAAGCCACCTTTGTGTAGAAGTACAGTATACACACCAATAAAAGGAGCACAGGCCCTTGGCATCCAGCCTGGGGGAGTTTTGGGAGGGAACACCCTGTATATCCAGCACCCAGGAGCCCCCCATGTCCCTTCCCACCACCAGCACCCCCTCAAGGTAACCATTATTCCGACTTCTAAGAGCATGGAGTTGTGTTGCCTCTTCTTGGATTTGGTACAAATAGAATCACACGGTGTGCAGTTTCTCACCTGGCTTCTGTCACTCAGCCGTGTGTTTGTGACATTCATCCATGTCCAGTGAGGGAAGGGGGCTTTGGAGAGGCCAGTTCCACAGACACATTCACTTTGTAAACGTTCCTGGAGCTGGATGTCTATAGTATGTGTCCTTTTCTGTATGTGTGCTGCGCATATGTATTTACATTCATAAACCTATGCTACGCCGGCACGGTGGCTTATGCCTGTAATCCCAGCACTTTGGGAGGCTGAGTTAGGAGAATCGCTTGAGCCGGGGAATTTGAGACCAACTTGGGCAACATGCCAAGATCCCATCTGGACAAAACATTTTTTTAAATTAGCTGGGCATGGTGGTGAGCATCTGTAGTCCAGCTACTCAGAAGGCTGTGGTGAGAGGATCGCTTGAGCCCAGGAAGTTGAGGCTGCAGTAAGCTATGATCACACCACACCACTGCACTCCAGCCTGGGCAACAGAGCAAGACTCTGTCTCTTTAAAAAAAAATCTATGCTAAAATGAAAAAGGAAAATGGAAGCACAGAAATTAAAAGCACTGCCTCCCAGGCCAGGCACAGTGGCTCATGCCTGTAATCCCAACACTTTGGGAGGCCAAGTGAGGAGGACTTCTTGAGGCCAGGAGTTGGAGACCAGCCTGGGCAACAGAATGAGATCTCATCTCTATTAAAAAAATAAAATAAAATAAAAAAATAAAAACAGAAAAACAAACAAAAAAACCCAAAAAAACAACCACAGACTGCCCTGGTTTGAATCCCAGCTCTGCCAGCCTATGTGAGCTGGGTGATCTTGGGTGAGTTGATTGAGTGCCTCAGTTACCCTATCTGTAACATGGGAAGCATAGAAGGACCTGCCTTGTTCAGTGGTTATGAAGGGTACCTGAAGTCATTTGTAAGTGTTTGGAACAGGTTGTGGTATGGAGGAAGTGAAAAATAAATCAAGGTCCATTTCAGTGCACAAATGGTACAAACTGTTCTAGAATGAATGGTTGACCAGGCGGCTGAGGGGTTGCACTGACCTATGGCCCCACCATGAAAGCATCAGATGCAGCCAGGCTTGGTGACTCATGCCTGTAATCCCAGCACTTTAGGAGGCCCAGGCGGGCGGATCACGAGGTCAAGAGATTGAGACCATCCTGGCCAACACGATGAAACCCCGTCTCTACTAAAAATACAAAAATTAGCTGGGCGTGTTGGCATGTGCCTGTAGTCCCAGCTACTTGGGAGGCTGAGGCGGGAGAATCACTTGAACCCAGGAGGCAGAGGTTGAAGTGAGCCAAGATTGTGCCACTGCACTCCAGCCTGATGACACAGCAAGACTCTATCTCAAAAGAAAAAAAAAAGAAAAAGCATCAGATGCAAACACAAACACAGCCTCACCTGCTGTCCCCTTGACTCAAACACCACACACAGCTCTGCTGTCAGGGGAGAGTGTTCTGAAAAGGTGATCAATTTTGATTGAGTCCTGAGCAAAGCAAAGAACAGCCTTCTCTGGGATTTACACAGTGGCTGTCCTCCTGGAAAATTCACTGTATATTAATTTTTTTTTTTTTTGAGGCAGGGTCTCTCTCTCATTGCCCAGGCTTGAGTGCAGTGGTGCAATCATGGCTCACTGCAGCCTCGACTTTCCAGGCTCAGGTGATCCTCCTACCTCAGCCTCCCGAGTAGCTGGGACCACAGGCATCCACCACCATGGCCACCTAATTTTTTGTATTTTTAGTAGAGACAGGTTTTCACTATGTTGCCCAAGCTGATCTCAAACTCCTGGACTCAAATGATCTTCCCGCCTTTGCCCTCCCAAAGTGCTGGGATTACGGGCGTGAGCCCGTACCACCACCACCACACCGCACCAAGCCTCACTGTGTATTAAAACCAAGCACAAAACACTGCTGTATTTATACGTAAAACTGTTGGGAATTTGTTGCAGATAATTACAAACCATGACTTCATGGACGCAAATGTCCAGGGGGCCATTTTTCAGAAGCCATGTGGGCTGTAGAAACCGTCCGCATCCAAGTGGACTGCCTAGTCCTGGTGACGTCCAGAAACACCCGACCCCTCCACAAGTTCCTGAGACATATTCTAGGGGGCAGCACTACCCACTTCCAATGCACTTTCTAGAACTCTGCACAGCCTACTCGCCAAATCTATTTGTAACCCCCAATTCAAGGTCCATTTCTGTATTAGTCATGCTGCTGATAAAGACATACCCAAGACTGGGTAATTTATAAAGTAAAAGAGGTTTAACAGACTCACAGTTCCACGTGGCTGGGGTGGCCTCCACAATCATGGCAGAAGGCAAAAGGCACATCTTACATGGTGGCAGGCAAGACAGAATGAGAGCCAAGCAAAAGGGGTTTCCACTTATAAAACCTCAGATCTCGTGAGACTTATTCACTACCACGAGAACAGTATGGGGGAAACAGCCCCCAAGATTCAGTTACCTCCCACTGGGTCCCTCGCACAACACATGGGAATTATGGGAGCTACAATTTCAAGATGAGATTTGGCTGGGGACACAGCCAAACCATATCAATTTCGATCCACAAATCGTGAAAACTGTTCTACAATGAACAGCTGATGATGTGGCTGAGGGATTGCATTGGTGCATAGCATCACCATGAAATCAGTACTCCTGGTGTGTTCGTGGTCATTTACGGTCCTGCGTAGAATGGAGGAAAATTTGAGTCACCGAGTGCACACTCAGCTCACATCAGACAGGGGTGGTGTTCTGCCTTCTGGTTTCAGTTCTCATACTGTACAGTGTCCTTTCCTAAATAGTGCCATGTTAGTCACAAATTTGCACTTTTTGCTGGTGATTGCACTGTCTCAAATGTCCCCTGAGCACAGTGCTGATGTGCTGTCTGGCATCCCCAAACACAAGAAGGCTGCCATGTGGCTTTGGAGAAATGATAAAATACGTGTGTGAGATCAGCTTCCTCCAGGTGCGAGTTACGGTGCTGTTGGCCTCGAGTTCTGTGCGAATGAGTCAGTAGTATATTAAATAAGGTGTCTCTAAAACAAAATGCACATAAAACAAGGTGACGAGGCTGGGTGCAGTGGCTCACACCTGTAATCTCAGCACTTTGGGAGGCCGAGGCGGGTGGATCATCTGAGGTCAGGAATTCAAGACCAGCCTGGCCAACATGGCGAAACCCCATCTCTACTAAAAATACAAAAATTAGCCGGGTGTGGTGGTGTGCACCAGTAATCCCAGCTACTTGGGAGGGTGAGGCAGGAGAATCGCTTGAAGTTGGGAGGTGGAGGTTGCAGTGAGCCGATATGGCACCACTGCACTCCAGCCTGGGTGACAAGAATGAGACTCCGTCTCAAAAAAAAAAACAAGGTGACTTATTGATCGGTTGGTGAAAATGTGACCAGAGGTGGTGGTACACACCCGTGGTCTCAGCCACTCTGGGGGCTGAGGCAGGAGGATCACTTGAGCCCAAGAGGTCAAGGCTGCAGTGAGCTATGATCGTGCCACTGCATACCTGCCTGGGCAACAGAGCAAGACCCCATTCAAAATAATTTTTTAAGAAAGAACATGACCAGTGCAAGTCACAAGAATCGACTATACTTTATATTTCCTCCCTTTTGCACATAGATAGCAGTAAGCCACACACAGCATTGTTTGTTTGCCTCCTGTTTTTCACTCATTGTGGTAGAAGTCTTTCCATATCACTGTAGACCTTCTTCATTCATTTCCCTAAGTCCTTTTAAATTCTACTTGCATTGTTTTACAAAATACACAACGTAAGCAGACACTGTTTAAGTATCATAGCGATAGGGCAAGCCTCAGATATAATAAACTCAACCGGAATTCACCGATCTGTTCACATATTTCAAGGCCTGCCCAGTGTCAAAGATGGATTCTTTTTTTTTTTTTTGAGATGGAGTCTTGCTGTGTTGCTCAGGCTGGTCTCAAACTCCTGGGCTCAAGTGATCCTCCCGCCTCGGCCTCCCAGAGTGCTGGGATTACAGGTGTGAGCTATCACGCCCATCCCACAAGTAGATTTTAAGCTGAGGGGTGGTGATATAATTTGCCTTAAGCTTTTTAAGTTACATGTTTAAGGGGCCAGTTAAGACCACACATCGGGGTCCAGAGCCACACGTGACCTCTGTCCTTGCGTCCCCAGCCATGCTGCGGATGGTCTCAGCAGTTCTCCAGTTTGGCAACATTGCCTTGAAGAGAGAACGGAACACCGATCAAGCCACCATGCCTGACAACACAGGTACTGCCCCCGGCCTGCCTGCCCACGACCTCCAGCCCCCGCCCAGGTGGTGCCCAGCCCTCCTGCACCCCTGTCCCACGTAGAGAGCATCCCCCTTCCAGCCACACCTGTCTCCAACCCAGGATCACTCTGATTTCCTGCATTTTTTTTTTTTTTTTTTTTTTGAGATGGAGTCTCGCTCTGTCACCCAGGCTGGAGTGCAGTGGCGTGATCTCAGCTCACTGCAAGCTCCGCCTCCCGGGTTCACACCATTCTCCTGCCTCAGCCTCCTGAGTAGCTGGGACTACAGGCGCCCGCCACCACGCCCGGCTAATTGTTTGTATTTTTAGTAGAGACGGAGTGTCACCGTGTTAACCAGGATGGTCTCGATCTCATGACCTCGTGATCTGCCCACCTCGGCCTCCCAAAGTGCTGGGATTACAGGCCTGAGCCACCGTGCCTGGCCGATTTCCTGCTTTTTGCTGAGTCTTTGCCAAAATAACATCAACCACTCTTTTCCTGATTCTAAAAGCGTGAGCTCTGCTGAAAGTGAACCGCACCAGCACGACAGTGGGGAACAGCAGGAGCCCATCCTCCCAGACCCCCTCTCCCCACAGGGAGCCACCATTAGCATTTGGCGTAGCTTCTCCAGCCTCTGCACTCTGCAGAGACACACTTCTTTTTGCCTTTCAAGAACAGAATTATAGTCAATATCCCTTACTTTAAACCAAAATAGAAATAGCTATGTCTCTTTATTATTATAAAATAATACAAGCTGGAAGGGGGAAAAATCTGGCATGACAGAAAAGTAGAAAGGAAGAGAGAAAATTACCCATAATCACCTGTAATCCCAGCACTTTGGGAGGCCAAGGCAGGCAGATCACTTGAGGCCATGAGTTCGAGACCAGCCTGGCCAACATGACAAAACTTCTTCTCTACTAAAAATACAAAAATTAACTGGGAATGGTGATGGGTGCCTGTAGTCCCAGCTGCTCAGGAGGCTGAGGCAGGAGAATTGCTTGAACCCAGGAGGCGGAGGTTGCAGTTGAGCCGAGATTGTGCCGCTGCACTCCAGCCTGGGCAACGGAGCAAGAATCTGTCTCCAAAAAAAAAAAAGAAGAAGAAAGAAAGAAAAAGAAGAAGAAAGAAAGAAAAAGAAAAAGAAAGACAATTACCCATAATCATATTCCCAGAGATAATTGCTGCTCACATTTTGGGATGTGTCTCTCTGGGCTTTGTTCTGTGTCTGTATCACTGTGGATATAGAGTGTCACAGAAATGGAATCGTGCTTCACCCCCTCTTCCCCTGGAGACAGCAAGAGCTTTCTGTCCTGATTATGAAATCCGATGGGCTCATTTCTGAAAGCTGCACAGCACAGAAAATAGGAGGACAGGATGTATTACCCCACTATGCTGCTGGTAACAGCATTACCTGAGGCACCTGGGGGCTCTGTACATAGGCACCCAGCAGGTGTGCCGTGCACACACATTTACTCATTTGTTTTACAAAACTGGAGTCAGACCCTGCAAACTGTTTTGAAACCTGCTTTTTTTTCCCCTGAATGCTTTCGGGATAACTTTTCAGGTTATTCACAAGAAACTCTACTGGGATCCCTTCCCTCCCTCCCTCCCTCCCTCCCTCCCTCCTTCCCTCCCTCCTTCCTTCCTTCTTTTAGATAGAACTGTACTGGGATTCCCTCGCTCCCTCCCTCCCTTCCTCCTGCCCTCCCTCCTTCCTTCTTTTAGATAGAACTCTACTGGGATTCCCCCCCTCCCTCCCTCCCTCCCTTCCTTTCTTCCTTCCTTCCTTCCTTCCCTCCTTCCTTCCTTCCTTCCATCTTTCCTCTTTTAAATGAAGTCTCGCCCAGACTGGAGTGCAGTGGCACCATCTCAGCTCACTGCAACCTCTACCTCCTGGGTTCAAGCGATTCTCCCTGCCTCAGCCTCCCAAGTATCTGGGATTACAGGCACGCACCACCATGTCGGGCTAATTTTTGTATTTTTAGTACAGACGGGGTTTCACCATGTTGGCCAGGTTGGTCTCAAACTCCTGACCTCAGGTGATCCGCCCACCTTGGCCTCCCGAAGGGCCTCCCTGGGATTACGGGCGTGAGCCACCGTGCCCCGCCTCCAGTGTAGCTTTTAGTGACTGCAGAACATTCTTTCAAATGGGCCAGGCACCTGTAATCCCAGCTACTCAGGAGCTGAGGCAGGAGAATCACTTGAACCAGGGAGGCGGAGGTTGTAGTGAGCTGAGATTGCATCACTGCACTCCAGTCTGGGTGATAAGAGCCAAACTCTGTCTCAAACAAAACAAAACAAAACAAACAAAAAAACCATCAGAACATTCTTTCAAATGAATGAAGCCCGACCCATCTAACCAATTCCCGCTTCTTGGGCACTGAGGTTGTTTCCTAGCTTTCTCCGATTATAAACAACACTGCGCTGAACATCCTTGTGGCACGGTCTTTGCTCACATGCAGGGTTATTTTGCCAGTGCTGGTTCCTGGAAAAAAAATAGTTGGGCAGAGAATGTACACACTTTTGGGACTCGTAATGCCTCTCCTGGGAAAGGCGGGGCCCGTCTTCTGCTCCCCCAACAGTGTGGGAAACGGTACCCTCTCCCTTGCTGGGCAGCAAGCACCTCTTCCCAGTGCTGATGGAATCTTGGTGCCTCTCGCCCTCAGCTGCACAGAAGCTCTGCCGCCTCTTGGGACTGGGGGTGACGGATTTCTCCCGAGCCTTGCTCACCCCTCGCATCAAAGTTGGCCGAGACTATGTGCAGAAAGCCCAGACTAAGGAACAGGTAGGCGGGGCTGGCGGTGGGCAGGCACAGAAAGAGCCGCGCACCCCGGCCCTGGGTCTTTAAACAGTGTATGCTGTTTTTCCCACCACTCAACAGACTTTTGCTGAGTGCCCGCTCCGTTACCGATCCTGGTCTAGGTGCCAGGCGTAAAAGCAGTCATCGAAACAAATAACCAGGCCCTCAGGGACCTCAAGTTATAGTAAGGAAATGGATAATAAAAGTTCAACAGGATGTGTCTGGGAGTGGTGGCTCACACCTGTAATCCCAGCACTTTGGGAGGCCAAGGTGGGAGGATTGCTTGAGCCCGGGAGTTTGAGGCTGCAGCGAGCTGTAATTGCGCCACTGCACTCCAGCCTGGGTGACAGACTGAGACTCTGTCTCTAAAAAAATTAAAAAATTTAATAATAATTTAAAAAAACAGGATGTAAATGCAACATGGTATCCTAGAAAAACAAAAAACAAAAACCCAGGATGCTTTTAGATGGTGAGAGCACCTGTGAAGGGGAGGTTTTGTTGGTCAGGAAAGTCCTCTCTAAGGAAGCTCTAAGGATGAAACATTCGAGATGAGACCTAGATGGTTCGAGGCAGACGGAACCGCAAGTGTAAAGGCCCTGGGGGTGGAGCAGGCTTGGGGAGTTGGGAACATTAAGCAGGTCAGTGAGGCCGGGTGTGGGGGCTCATGCCTGTAATCCCAGCTCTTTGGGAGGCTGAGGCGGACAGATTGAGCTCAGGAGTTCAAGATCAGCCTGGGCAACATGGTGAATCTCCGTCTCTACTAAAATACAAAAATTAGCTGGGTATGTGGCACACGCCTGTAGTCCCAGCTACTTGGGAGGCTGAGACACGAGGATCACTTGAACCTAGGAGGCAGAGGTTGCAGTGAGCTGAGAGCACGCCACTGCACTTCAGCCTGGGTGACAGAGCGAGACTCTGTCTCAAAAAAAAAAAAAAAAAGAAAAGAAAAAAAGAAAATTGAAGGAGGTCAGGTCAGTGAGGCTGAAGAGCAAGGGAGAGAGGGTGGGTGAATCCACAGTCAGAAATGTCAGCAAGGGGCAGATCATGCAGGGTCTTAGGGGCCACAGTAAGGAGGTGAGTTTTATTCAAACTACATAGGAGGCCATTGAGGTTTTAAGCCAGGGAGTGACTTGATTCAGTTTGTCTTTCATAGAAAGATCCCCTTGGCTGCTGCATGGAGAATTGGGTTCAGGGATGCAGGTAGAGGCGGGGAGACCTAAGGAGGCTGCATCCAGAGTCTTGGCAATCGTGGGAGCTCACACCATGAGCAGGGAGGGTGGAGTGGAGCGACCACAGGCCAGGGAGGGTTTCAGAATCCAGCTTTTGGGCAGAGGCCTCTGCTGGCCCCAGGCTGGGCAGTGAGGTACCTGGATGAAGACCCCGTGGGGGAGATGAGGAGTCTGGGAGCCACACTGACCCGGGTTCAATCTCAGCTGGGGTACTGTTGTTAGTTCCCATTTTACAGAGGAGAAAACTGAGGCACAGAGAGGTTTATTCACATGCCTGAAATCACACAGCCCCTAAGTGGCAGAGCTGGGATTCAAACCCAAGTTGTCCGGCTCCAGAGTCCACGCTCTTAACCGCTGTGCGGTAGAAACTGCTTTGAGGGGGTGAGGGAAGGATTCAAGGGCTAACACATCCGAGCCCGTCATGTAGTACCTGGTGCGCAGTAGGACTTCAGGAATGTCTGCCTGTTGTTCATGGCATTGTTCTTGATGGTACTTACACTCAAGGAGCTGGGAGGCGACCTTAAGGGGGACGAGCTGGGGGCCCTTCCCCGGTTCACCCCCGACGTCTTTCAGTCTGCTGATGTGCAGGCTGCGCCCTTACCATGAGCCCTGTCCCACAGGCTGACTTCGCGCTGGAGGCCCTGGCCAAGGCCACCTACGAGCGCCTCTTCCGCTGGCTGGTTCTGCGCCTCAACCGGGCCTTGGACCGCAGCCCCCGCCAAGGCGCCTCCTTCCTGGGCATCCTGGACATCGCGGGCTTTGAGATCTTCCAGGTCCACCCTTGTGCTGGGAGGGGGATGCCAACTTCCTCACTCCGGTCCTGGTCCTTTCTGAAGCCCTGGGTCTCTCCCCTTCTCCCTGGTCTCTGTCCCCCTCTCTCTCTCTGAGTCTCTGTTCCCCCCTCTCTCTGGTCTCTGTCCCCCTCTCTCTGGGTCTCTGTCCCCTGTCTCTGGGTCTCTGTCCCCTTCTCTCTCTGGGTCTCTGTCCCCTGTCTCTGGGTCTCTGTCCCCCTCTCTCTCTGGGTCTCTGTCCTCTCTCTCTGCATCTCTGTCCCCTGTCTCTGGGTCTCTGCCTCTCTGTCTCTGGGTCTCTGTCCCCTGTCTCTGGCTCTGTCCCCTGTCTCTGGGTCTCTGTCCCCCTCTCTCTGGGTCTCTGTCCCCCTCTCTCTGGGTCTCTGTCCCCTCTCGATGCATCTCTGTCCCCTGTCTCTGGGTCTCTGTCCCCTGTCTCTGGGTCTCTGTCCCTCTCCATCCTCCCAGCTCACGTGTCCTGCGTCCCTGCAGCTGAACTCCTTCGAGCAGCTCTGCATCAACTACACCAACGAGAAGCTGCAGCAGCTCTTCAACCACACCATGTTCGTGCTGGAGCAGGAGGAGTACCAGCGTGAGGGCATCCCCTGGACCTTCCTCGACTTTGGCCTCGACCTGCAGCCCTGCATCGACCTCATCGAGCGGCCGGTGAGCCCCAGGCCCCTCCCAGCCCACACTCACGGTTCAGATCCGTCTCTCCCAGCATCTGCGAGACCAGGGTCTAGCTCCTCCTCTGCTGGGCCTCAGGATGCCCCATGGGTTCTGTGGGGAAGGTGACAGCACCTGCTTCCTCGATCTTTTGTGACCATAGGTGATTAGGGCCCAGAATGTGCCTGCCACAGGGCCCGGCTCAAATCAATCGGTTAATCAGAGCTCTCACCGTAACTGTTGTTCTCACGTTTGTTTTTTGTTTGTTTGTTTTGTTTTGTTTTGTTTTTTTCTTGAGACGGAGTCTCGCTCTATCGCCCAGGCTGGAGTGCAGCGGCGCGATCTCTGCTTACTGCAAGCTTCGCCCCCTGGGTTCACGCCATTCTCCTGCCTCAGCCTCCCGAGTAGCTGGGACTACAGGTGCCCGCCACCACGCCCGGCTAATTTTTTGTATTTTTAGTAGAGTCGGGGGTTTCACTGTGTTAGCCAGGATGGTCTCGATCTCCTGACCTCGTGATCTACCCGCCTCGGCCTCCCAAAGTGCTGGGATTACAGGCGTGAGCCACCGTGCCTGGCATCTCACGTTTGTTTTTATGTCCAAGTGTGACTTATAAGAGCTAAAAATCAGCAGCCACCTGAGTGTCCAATATGTGGGGATCTGACTTACTCTCCCCCTGCTGTCAATGGCCAGGCCAACCCCCCTGGACTCCTGGCCCTGCTGGATGAGGAGTGCTGGTTCCCGAAGGCCACAGACAAGTCGTTTGTGGAGAAGGTAGCCCAGGAGCAGGGCGGCCACCCCAAGTTCCAGCGGCCGAGGCACCTGCGGGATCAGGCCGACTTCAGTGTTCTCCACTACGCGGGCAAGGTAGGGGCTGGGGCCGGCCTTGGGGCATGTGGGAGTGGGGATCAAGGGATCTCCACTGGCTACAGATGGGGGGAGGGTGCAGAGGGAAAACAGGGTCCTCCTGAGGTCCAGACAAACAGAGCAGGGGCTAGGAGAGCCCAGGGAGGAGCAAGGATTCTGTCTGATGGGATCACCAAAAACTTCCTCAAAGAGGTGATATTTGCAGTGGGTTTTGAGGGATGGGTAGGAGTTCATCAGGAGGCGATCTATGTGCATTTTATCCACTTATTCAGCAGATATGTGCGGGGTGCCATTTGTGTGCCCAGCTCGGGGCCGAGCAAAGCTGGATACACAGATCAAACATGGTTTCTGTCCTCACAAAGATCCCTATCTGGGAGGGAGGCAAATACAGACGATCAGGATATAAGGTTAATAGGTCTTTCAGTGGAGGCAGCTGAGGGTAGTGTCAGAGCCCAGAAGAGAAGTACCTGGGAAAGCTTCACAGAAGAGAATATGCTCAATCTCAAATCTCAGTCAAGGGCCGGCAAACATTTTCTGTAAAGGGTCCGATAGTAAATAGTTTCAGCTTTGTGGGCCAGACGATCTCTGTCACAGCTACACAATTCTGCTGTGGTCACACAAAAAGAGCCACAGATAATACATAAGTATCTTCAAGCCCCCAGGGAAAAAGAAAGGAAAAACAGACTGAGAAACAGTTTCGAGGGCTCTCTTGCCCCCAGAAGGGCCCCCATGAGTTTGACTATGAAGACATAAATGAAGGTTCTATTCCTATATATATATACACATATATATATACACACATATATATATACACACATATATATATACACACTACACACACACACACACACACACACACACACACACACACACACACACACATATATATATGTATTTTTTTTTATTTGAGACAGAGTCTCCCTCTGTTACCCAGGCTGGAGTGCAGTGGCACGATCTCGGCTCACTGCAATCTCCGCCTCCTAGGTTCAAGCAATTCTTCTGCCTCAGCCTCCCCAGTAGCTGGGATTACAGGCACCTGCCACCATGCCTGGCTAATTTTTGTATTTTTAGTAGAGACAGGGTTTCACCATGTTGGCCAGGCTGCTCTCGAACTCCTGACCTCAGTTGATCCACCCGCATAGGCCTCCCAAAGTGCTGGGATTACAGGTGTGAGCCACCGCGCCCAGCCCTATTCCAGTGAAAGTATTTGCAAAAAGAGGTGGCAGGCTGGATTTTGCCTGTGAGCCATAGTTTGCTGACCCCTGGTTTTGATGATGTGGACCAGGCAGCCCCAGAGGATGGGTGAAGGGTGGGAAGGGCTCTCCAGGCAGAGGGAACAGCATAGACAATGGCTGGGAGGCAGGAGATTCCATGTGTTCTGTGTCTAGCCCTCAGTTTCTTCCCCAGACATACTCCAGAACTCCCCCTGTACCCAGCCCTCTGCTAGGCCGTGAGTCAGACCTGGGCCCTGCCCTCGGGGGACCGCTGTCTGGTGGGGGGCACATATGCAGAGAATTGTAGCGGCCAAGATCGTGACTCTATGGAGCCCCACAGCAAAGCCCTGAGTACCCAGAAGGAGCCAGTGGTGTGAAACCCACAGAGACAGAACCCCAGGTGGCAGGAACCGCAGGGGTAAAACCCCGAGGTGGGAGTAAGCTCGCATGTTTGAGGAACAGTGCGGAGGCCAGGGTGGCTGGAGCGGAATGAATAGGAAGAAAGTGGTGGTGGTGGAGGTCACAGAGGTGGCAGGGGGCATAGAGGGGAAGGAGAGAGAGGGGACCATGCTGGTGGGGTGCAGTTCAGAATATGGACACAAGGTGGCACCAGTGCTCGCTTGTCCATGGTGAGCTCCAGACCTGGGAGTCTCAGAGCTTCTGGAAGGCTCCTTAGGAAATCCAGAGAATGTCTGAGCCTGCAAGTCATCGCCCTCCTCTACCTGACTTCATTCAGGTCGACTACAAGGCCAACGAGTGGCTGATGAAAAACATGGACCCTCTGAATGACAACGTCGCAGCCTTGCTCCACCAGAGCACAGACCGGCTGACGGCAGAGATCTGGAAAGACGGTGAGGACCCACTTCCCCCACCCCGGCTCTAGGGGTCTGTGCGGCCATTCTCCAAATCCACAGCGTGAGCACCTTTGTTTCAGAGGCGGAGGTCTGAACCTGAGTTTTCTGCTCAGACCCAGAATAGCCAGTGTCACAAATAGTATTTCAAATCAGTGATGGATGGATCCATAGATTAATTGATTGACTATTGATTTGATTGATAAGCCAGCATCCTTCTCAAGGATAAAGCACTCCGCCTTAATCAGAAACGTGGCAAAGATACCCACTAACACTACTGTTAAACATCGTTTTTTTAGCAATACTAGCCTATGCAATCAGACCAGAAAAAGTATGAATATCGAACAGGAAGAAGTAAACTTATTATTTTTAGATGGCCTGTGTTCCCTAAACAATTAGGAGATTTGGCTGGGCATGGTGGCTCACACCTGTAATCCCAGCACTTTTGGGAGGCCAAGGTGGGCGGATCACTTGAGGTCAGGAGTTCAAGACCAGCCTGGCCAACATGGTGAAACCCTGTCTCTACTAAAAGTACAACAATTAGCCAGATGTCCTGGTGCATGCCTGTAGTCTCAGCTACTAGGGAGGCTGAGGCAGGAGAATCGCTTGAATCTGGGAGGTAGAGGTTTCAGTGAGCCAAGATTGTGTCACTGCAATCCAGCCTGGGTGACAGTGTGAGACTCTGTCCCAAAAAAAAAAAAAAAATTCTACTGAGAAATAATTTATAACAATAAGAGAACACAGAATGATGATCTTTTGCAGGTCAGTCAACTTTTAGGCTTTGCTTTCTTTGTTTTCTTACAAAGTTCCCTTCACGCCCCCAGGGAAGAAGAAAGAAAAAACAGACTGAGATACAGTTTTGGAGGGCTTTCCTGCCCCCAAAAGGCCCCCATGAGTGTGACTGTCTTTTTGGATTGACACTTCTAGGGGTCATAGGCAGAGATGCCAAATGCCCTGTGGTAGGACTCTGACCTTTTCCAAGCCTTTTCTGCCACTGCCCCTGCCCCCCCATCCTTAGAGGAGGTTTGAGAAATGGTTTTAGAAAGCTGGCAGAACTGGCATCCTGTTTTTTCCAGGTTCCAAGTTTCTGGCATTTGTCAGTTTGCCTTAATCTTTTATTGACATGAAAAGGTAGCTGTAGAAATACCAGTCCATGCAATTTGGCAAGAAAACAAAATGAGCGGCCAGGCGCGGTGGCTCACGCCTGTAATCCCAGCACTTTGGGAGGCCAAGGTGGACGGGTCACCTGAGGTCGGGAGTTTGAGACCAGCCTGACCAACATGGAGAAACCTCATCTCTACTAAAAATACAAAATTAGCTGGGCGTGGTGGCACATGCCTGTAATCCCAGCTACTCGGGGGGCTGAGGCAGGGGAATCGCTTGAACCCGGGAGGTGGAGGTTGTGGTGAGCCGAGATCGTGCCATTGCACTCCAGCCTGGGCAACAAGAGTGAAACTCTGTCTCAAAAAAAAAAAAAAAGGAAAAAAAAAGAAAACAAAATGAGCAAGGTGAGTGGTTCCCAAAACACACTCACAGAGCAAAACAGCATGGAGGGTCTTGATCTTGTGAGCTCATGCTAGAAAGATAGATTTTATTTTTATGTCTCATATAGTATTTACACAAGGAGATTGGAAAGCAGAGTTTGATGTTCAGGAACAGAACCAGATTATGCTACGAGAATCATCTCCCGGCTGAAAATCTGCTGCCCTTTTAAAATATTTGTGCTGTCTTCATAAACACATGATTCTCCACAGTGAGCCCTCATTTGTCACACTCTGTGTGTGCCTGACTCTCAGAGGGTTCCAAAAGAAAAAGTGGAAGCTGCAAAACCTCCTGGCTCAGCCTCCCGAGTAGCTGGGGAGCTGCCATAATGTCACTTCCTCCATAATCCTCCTAAACAAAGCTAGTCACAAGGTCTTCCCAGATTCAAGGAGCTGCAAGACACAGGCAAAGGGTGTCAATACAGGGGAAAGTGGGGAATCGGGGCCATTTTTGCCCAATCTCTGCTAGAGCTGCTTTGAGCCCAGAATTGGATGCCCAGCATCCTGACAGCCCAGGGAAAAACGGAAATGAGATTAGCTCTCCTCTGAGAGGCAAAAACAACAAGTGGCCTGGGAGCATCAAGTTCATTCTTGAGCTTCCTGGCAGCCAGAGCAAAAAGGGCAACCTACTAAAACAGACACAACCTCTAGAGGGAGAGATTTTTTATTCTTTGCACTGAATTCTTACAGAGGACATTCGTCCTTTTGGCCAACAGTGTGTGGATACAAAGATGAACAGGAGTTCAGAAGTTTATGGCCAACATTCTGGTTTTCCATCTTGCTTTGCTCTGTACTGTTGACTAATAACCCTCTCCTCTTTTTCTTCCTGCCACCTCCTCTCCTTCCCCTCTTTTCATGCATCTCTCTCCGCCATCTCTCTGCCATCTCCCCTCCACCCACCCACACATCTGTCCTCACTCCCCAGAACATGGGGGCTTCCAGCAGTTCTCTTTCCTTGGCTCCTTCCCACCGTCGCCCCCAGGATCTGCAGAGAGGTGCAGCTCTGCTATTTCTCCGCCAGGGGGTGGGTGTCTCTGTGCATCGATGGGTGAGGCTTGCTGGAGGAGGAGGGTGGACCTGTTGGGCTGGGGACCTGGTTTTGAACATCTGTCCCCTCTCCTCTTACTGTGGAGGTCTCTCACTCTTCCTTTCCCTCCTTGTTGGCTCCCTTGGAAGTTTCCAGACTCTGTAGCAGCAGAACCCCTTCTTCTAACTAAACTGCATGTAAAAGTACAAACAAGCGTGATAGTACCAGCTCGCGTTTCTTGAGCACTTACTATGTGCCGTTCACCATGTGAAACCCCTTTAGAATTATCAACACCCCATTACACAAATGAGGAAACTAAAGCACAGAGAAGTTAAGTAACTTGCTGAGGTCACACAGCCAGTAAGTGGCAGAGCTGGGATTTGAACCCAGGACATCAGATTCCAGAACTTTAGTTCTTATCTGTGCTATGAGGACTTAATAAATGATAATTATCATTTTGAAAATGACAGGGAGTACGGGGTAGGGGAGACGGTTGAACCTGGGGAAGAAAATAACATATTTGAGCCCCTGCCATGACCTGGCCCTGCCCTAAGCACAGATTATCTAGTTGACGGTTGATGGCGCTTGAATGGGATGAGTTTTGCAGGACATCAGATTCTGCCCTAGCTGTGGGTTCCTGAGGAACCTGGCATGATTCAACACATAGAATTTGGGACCAGGTGCATTGGCTCACCCCTATAATCCCAGCGCTTTGGGAGGCCGAGGTGAGAGGATCACTTGAGGACAAGAGTTTGAGATTAGCCTGAGCAACACAGGAAGACCCCGTCTCTACAAAATAAATTTAAAAATTGGTGGGCATGGTGGTGTGCGCCTGTAGTCCAAACTACTTGGGAGGCTGAGGTAGGAAGATCACTTGAGCCTAGGAGGTTGAGGCTGCAGTGAGCTGTGATCACTCCACTGTACTCCAGCCTGGGTGACAGTGAGACTGTGTCTCAGAAAACAAACAAACAACAGAATTCGAGACAGTGCCAATAGAAGGAATGGATATTTTTCACTACCCAAAGCAGCACCGCCAAGCGGCACTAGAGAAAATAGAATCTTTTTGTTGAGACAGAGTCTAGCTCTGTTGCTCAGGCTGGAGTGCAGTGACACAATCTTGGCTCACGGCAACCTCTGCCTCCCAGGTTCAAGTAATTCTCCTGCCTCAGCCTTCCAAGTAGCTGGGATTACAGGCATGTGCCACCACACCTGGCTTAATTTTTTGTATTTTTAGTAGAGATGGGGTTTCACCATGTTGGCCAGGCTGGCCTCGAACTCCTGACCTTAGGTGATCCACCCGCCTTGGCCTCCCAAAGTGCTGAGATTACAGGCATGAGCCACCGCACCCTGCCAAGAAAATAGAACCTCTATGAAATTAGGCTCTTCTGGAAAAATGGTTAAAATAGAGACAGTTTGCCCTATTTCAAATATTGCATATAATGCAAGAATTTATTACATCTTTTAATATGTTTCAGATTCCTAAAATGCAACTGCAGTGGTTATGTTATCACTGTTTTCTCTCTCTATGCCTCAGTTTCCAAATCTGTAAAATGGGAATGATTCTTACAGGCTTATAAAGCCATTGATGTAAATTGCTTTGAGCAATGCCTGCCAGAGTATCTATGCTAGGTAAGCATTTGCTGTTATTGTCATCATTTATTGATAAGGAAAACAGAGATCATGTCCTTGAAGAGAAGAAGGGTCAAAGACCAGAGTTTGAGAGGACTCCTACTGTCTGAGTTCTAATCTCGGATCTTCAGTTTCTAAGCTGTGTGACCTTAAGCACATTCTCCCACTCTTCAGAGCCTCAGTATGTCCATCTGTCCAATGAAGCTGATATCTACCTTACAGGCTGTGTGAGGTCCTTCATATGTAAAGTGCCAGTTGTGATAAATGATAAGACCCTTGACCTTTGGCCCAGGTCCCTAAAACTGACCCTGACCTCCTTCTCTCTCTCTCTGCATCTCCATCTGACAGTGGAGGGCATCGTGGGGCTGGAACAGGTGAGCAGCCTGGGCGACGGCCCACCAGGTGGCCGCCCCCGTCGGGGTATGTTCCGGACAGTGGGACAGCTCTACAAGGAGTCCCTGAGCCGCCTCATGGCCACACTCAGCAACACCAACCCCAGTTTTGTCCGCTGCATTGTCCCCAACCACGAGAAGAGGGTGAGTGACTCAGCCTGGGGAGGAAGGGGTGGCTGTGGCTGTGGGTTAAGGTTTGGCCTCTGGACTTGGCTGGAGCCACATCTGATTCGAGGACCCTCAAATTAGCTGTGTGGCTTTGAGCAAATTGCTTCTATTCCTAGGCTCAGGGTCCGGTTGGGAAAATTCATGCATTCATATGACTTAATGTATTAAGCATCTACTGTGCTGGGAACAGGTACTGGGGAGGCATTGGAGAGAAAGGCACAGCCAACTCCTGTTCTCAGGGAGCTCACAGTCTGATGGGGAGCATAGACATTCATCTAACCATCCAAAATGAACGTCCAGTTAAATCTGTAGGGGTGGTGAGTATCACACAGGGCTTGATCTGGTCAGTGAAGTTAGGGAAGGTTCCCTGGGGGACGTGATGACTGAGCCCTGAAGGATACGTGATATTCCAGGCAGAGAAGAGTTTGTACAAAGGCCCAATGGTAGGTTGGAGCACGCGAGGTACAAGGGATAGAGGAAGGCCATCAGGGCTGGGCTTGTTGCATGGGTGTGACAAGACCATGGCCAGCCTCACTGGCCACTGATTTTCATGTTGAGAAAATCAGAGAATGGGCCCTACAGAGAAGGGTCAATGGGAATGGAAAACAACATGTTTGCCATGTTGCCCAGGCTGCTCTCGAACTCCTGAGCTCAAGCGATCCACCCGCCTTGGCCTCCCAAAGTGCTGGGATTACAGGCGTGAGCCACCACGCCCAGCCTGAGATCCCATATTTTATCAAATCTAAGCCATGTATTCCTCCCCACTAGCGTCTCTGAAGTCGAGATGTAGCTTAGTCAACGGCCTGTCAGGGTTTAATTACCAGTCTTTTTCCTTTCTTGGTGGCATATTTAACGACAGCGTGTGCCACTGGAATTTTTGTACTGTTTAGATTTTTGCCATTTGTGCATTACTGTTGAAAAGAGAAAAGGCGGCCTGGCACGGTGGCTCATGCCTGTAATCCCAGCACTTTGGGAGGCTGAGGTGGGAGGACTGCTTGAGCCCAGGAGTTCAAGACCAGCCTGGGCAATGGCGAAACGCCGTCTCTACTCAAAATACAAAAATTAGCTGGGCATAGTGGTGTGCACCTATAATCCCAGCTACTCAGGAGGCTGAGGCAGGAGAAGCTCTTGAACCTGGGAGGCGGAGGTTGCAGTGAGCTGAGATCATGCCATTGCACTCCAGCCTGGGCAACAGAGCAAGACTCTGTCTCAAAAAAAAAAAAAAAAAAAAAAACGAACAAACAAACAAACAAAAACCAAAAAAACATGATTTACCAGCTTTGGACAGACATCAGCTTCCCAGGAGGCCTTTTGGCGACTCTCTTGCGTGCAAATTCAGCCCCACCCACATCCCTCCCTGCGGATCTTTTCTCCTTAGCACTTAGTATTTCTTCTTTATTAGTGACTGCTTCACCTAGGGTATTTCTAGTTTCTCCTACTGAACTCTCAGTTCCCCAGGGCAGGATTTCCCCCTGGTTTGAGCATTGCTGTCTTCCCAGGGCCTAGAACCGTTCCTAGGCACCTAGTAGGTGCTCAGTAAATTACATGTGGAAACAGGAAATTGCCAAGCTTGACCGTTTGGCGCCCCCGTGTGGCCGCCGCTGACCCCCGCGTGTCCGTCCGCTCTCCCCAGGCCGGGAAGCTGGAGCCACGGCTGGTGCTGGACCAGCTTCGCTGCAACGGGGTCCTGGAGGGCATCCGCATCTGTCGCCAGGGCTTCCCCAACCGCATCCTCTTCCAGGAGTTCCGGCAGCGGTGAGCTAGAGCGAGGGCCCAGGCCCGGCGGAGGGGCTGGGTGGGACCCGGGTCTGGAAGCCGACACACCTGCATTCAGGTCTCCACCCACTCTTGTTCCTTCTGCGCTGGGGAAGTTGAGGCAGATTACTCACTTTGCTGAGCCTCAGTTTACTCGTCTGTGTATGGGAGAACAATAGCCCACTTGATGCACTCCTGAGAGAAAGCACACAGAGTCTATGGGGATCTGGGGTACATTGCTGCTGCTGTTTAGGGCAGTAGGCCCCAAACTATGAACGTGAAATCACTGCATGGTGTTACAAATCTGCATGTCTTTAAAAATGAAGTAGAAGGCGGGGCGCGGTGGCTCACGCCTGTAATCCCAGCACTTTGGGAGGCCGAGGCAGACAGATCACCTGAGGTCGGAAGTTCGAGACCAGCCTGACCAACGTGGAGAAACCCCATCTCTACTAAAAATACAAAATTAGCCGGGTGTGGTAGCACATGCCTGTAATCCCAGCTACTCGGGAGGCTGAGGCAGGAGAATCACTTGAACCGGGAAGGGGGAGGTTGCAGTGAGCCGAGATTGCGCCATTGCACTCCAGCCTGGGCAACAAGAGCAAAACTCTGTCTCAAAAAAATAAATAAGTAAATAAAGAAGTAGAATAGGACAGAATAGAAAATACCAAGGCCTAATGAGCAAGTAATACAGCAAATGTAACAAAAATGATGCTTCACACAAGCTGTGTAGAGCAGCACCGTCCCTTAGAAGTAGAATGGGAAGCCTTGTACACAATTGAACATTTTCTAATAGCTACACTTTTACAAGTGAAAAAAATGAAATTAATTTTAACAAGATATTTTACTAAAGCCAATACATCCAAAATACTGGCCAATACTGGCTGGGCACTGTGGCTCATGCCTGTAACCCCAGCACTTTGGGAGGCCGAGGCGGGTGGATCACTTCAGGTCAGGAGTTCAAGACAGCCTGGCCATCATGGAGAAACCCCATCTCTACTAAAAATACAAAAATTAGCTGGGCATGGTGGCACATGCCTGAATCCCAGCTACCTGGTAGGCTGAGGCAAGAGAATCGCTTGAACCTGGGAGGCGGAGGTCGCAGTGAGGCAAGATCTGACCACTGCACTCCAGCCTGGGCGACAGAGCGAGACTCTGTCTCAAAAAACAAACAAAACAAAAAACTGAAACAGTCGATCATTGTCGATGTTGCTGTCCTTGGTGGTGGCGTGAATGCTCAGATGTGAGTTTTGTGACTGTCCTTGTTATTGTCACTGTTGTTCCTGCTGTGTGTCACTCTGAGCCCAGTGCCTGGCCCGCAGCAGGCACTAGGTGAGCGTTTGCTGTAACTCTCTCCTCCCCACCCCTCCCTGCTCATTGCAGATACGAGATCCTGACACCCAATGCCATCCCCAAGGGCTTCATGGATGGGAAGCAGGCCTGTGAAAAGATGGTGAGTGGGGCAGAGCCTGGAATGCGTGTGTGCGTGTGTGTGTGTGCGTGCATGAGTGTGCGTGCATGTGTGTGTGCATGCATATGTGTGCATGCGTGTGTGTGCAAGTGTGTGTGCATGCACGTGTGTGCGTGTGTGTGTGCATGCATATGTGTGCATGCGTGTGTGTGCATGTGTGTGTGTGCATGCGTTTGTGTGCAGGGGCCCAGGTGGTCGGGGAGTGGGGCTGGGATCTCCCCTTCATTGACCTTCCTCATTACCTCTCCCTATCACCGCCCCCACCCCCGCTTCCTCATCATCCCCTATCACCCCCCTCCCCGTCACCCCATCACCCCCTCCCCATCACCACTCCCCCATCGCCCCCTCCCTATAACTCTTCTCCCCTATCACCCTCCTCCACATCACCCCCTCCCCCATCACCCCCTCTCCCCAATCACCACCCCCTCCCAATCACTGCCCCTCCTCACCACCCCCCCATCATCCCCTGCCCCATCACCCCCTTCCTATAACTCCCCTCCCCTATCACTCTTCACATCACCCCCTCCCCTATCACTCTCCTCATCACCCCCTCCCCATCACTTCTCCCCCATCACCTCCCTCCCCCATCACCCCCTCCCCCATTACCCCCTCTCCCCAATCACCACCCCTTCCCTATCACTCCCCCTCCTCGCCACCCCCTCCCCCATTACTCCCCCTCCTCACCACCCCCACTCCCCCATCACCCCCTCTCCGTCATCACCCCTCTCCCACCCCTCACAGATCCAGGCGCTGGAACTGGACCCCAACCTCTACCGCGTGGGACAGAGCAAGATCTTCTTCCGGGCTGGGGTCCTGGCCCAGCTGGAAGAGGAGCGAGACCTGAAGGTCACCGACATCATCGTCTCCTTCCAGGCAGCTGCCCGGGGATACCTGGCTCGCAGGTGGGCAGCCACGCTGTCTCCCGGGGTCCTGTTGGCCGAGACTGGGTCAGGGAGGGGTTGACCAGATGGCTCTAGGTGTCAGGGCCTCCAGGATGGGTGCAGGGCTGAGGAGCAGGTGGATGGAGGTGCCGGGTGTCCAGGCTTCTTGGTTCTGCAGTCCCTGAGGGGCCCTGTGGGCAGGGCAGGCCCTGTTCAGAGTAAGACTGGCAACACAGAGGCTGGACTTAGCCGCAGGGTGACCAGCTGTCCTAGTGGGCCTGGGTCTGGGTTTCCCAGGGTGCAGGACTTCCAGTGCTAAAACAGAGAAAGCCCGGGGCAACCCAGGTCAAGCTGTCCGCTCTCCCTGGCCAGTCCCTCGAGGGGCTCCAGTCTGGAGGTGAGACTTCCATGGGCATAGAGTCCCAGTCCCGGGTGAGACCTGCTTTGATGGGGGCCATAGAGGTGCAGCAAGGAGGCCCTGCTGCAGGCCATGACTCCCCCAGGCCACACCGGACAAGCAGGTGGATGAAGGAAAATGGGAAAGGTGATCAGGGCAGGAGCAAGCTTGTGCAAAGACCCAACGATGCAAGATCCTGGCACGCTTCAGGAATACAGGGAGTTTGCGGGAGAGTCTCCTTCCTCCTTAGAAGTGGCTCAGAGAGGCCGGGCACGGTGGCTCACACCTGTAATCCCAGCACATTGGGAGGCCAAGGCGGGCGGATCACTTGAGGTCAGGAGTTCGAGACAAGCCTGGCCAACATGGTGAAACCCCATCTCTACTAAAAATACAAAAATTAGCCGTAATCCCAGCTACTCAGGAGGCCAAGGCAGGAGAATGGCTTGAACTCGGGAAGCAGAGACTGCAGTGAGCCAAGATCATGTCACTGCACTCCAGCCTGGGTGGCAGAGTGAGACTCTGTATCAAAAAAAAAAAAAAAGCTGAAAGAATAGAGTGGCAGGAAAGGATGGCCCAAACACCAGGCTGAGTGGGGCCTTGTCCAGAGGAGCTAGGGAGCCATGGAGGGCTGTGAGCAGGGGAGGGGTGGGTCAGCTCTGGGTGTAGAAAGACTCTCTGGAGGCGTGTTGGGATGGGCTGATAGGAGAGGCTGGAGAAGGAGGCCAGGCAGAGGATCCAGGCAAGGGAGGGTGGGGCCTGAACTGCGGCTGGGGCTTTGGGACTGGGCAGAGAGAGTCGGGAGCAGGGGGACGAACGGCCAGAACACAGTGAGATCTCAAAGTAATAAGAGTGCCTGCACACAGTAGGCATTTTATGATGGCTGACTAAGTGAAAGGAGCTTGGCTTGGTCAGGCATGGTGGCCCACCCCTGTAATCTCAGCACTTTGGGAGGCCGAGGTGAGTAGATCACTTGAGGTGGGGAGTTGGAGAGCAGCCCGGCCAACATGGCAAAACCCCATCTCTACTAAAAATACAAAAATTAGCCGAGTGTTGTGGCACGCACCTGTAATCCTAGCTACTTGGGAGGTGAGGCAGGAGAATTGCTTGAACCTGGGAGGTGGAGGTTGCAGTGAGCCCAGATCATGCCATTGCACTCCAGCCTAGGCAACAGAGCAAGACTCTGTCTCAGAAAAACAAACAAACAAACAAAGAAAATAAATAAGAAAGGAGCTTGGCTCTCTTGCTAAGGGGATGGCGCCTGGAGGCTCCCACTCTGCCCCTCACCCATTTCCCCACCCAGGGCCTTCCAGAAGCGCCAGCAGCAGCAGAGCGCCCTGAGGGTGATGCAGCGGAACTGCGCGGCCTACCTCAAGCTGAGACACTGGCAGTGGTGGCGGCTGTTTACCAAGGTGAGGGCAGCCTGGGGAGGTGGCCCCAGTAGGGAGAGGATAGGGCCTTGGGGCTTGGTCTGCTTGACAAGTGACTTCCTCCATGTGGGCCTCAGTTTTCTGCATCACTAAAATGGGGCCAGTCGGCCCAGGCTTTGCTAGCTGGGATTCTTTAGTTAGCAAGCAACAAGAAAAATCTGACTCGAACCAACATGGATCAAAGATTCAAGACAATGTGGGCTGCACCTGGATCCAGGGGTCCCCAAGACTTCTGTTCAAGGATTTGCTGGAAGGACTCACAGAACTTAGAAAAGCTGCTGTACTCACAGCTACAGTTTATCACAATACAAAGATACAGATTGAAAACAGCAAAGGTGCTGGGTGCTGTGGCTCACACCTGTAATCCCAGCAGTGTGAGAGGCCGAGGCGGGCGGATCACTTGAGATCAGGAGTTCGAGACCAGCCTGGCCAATATGGGGAAATCCTGTCTCTACTAAAGATACAAAAATTAGCTGGGCATGGTGGCAGGTGCCTGTAGTCCCAGCTACTTGGGAGGCTGAGGCAGGAGAATCACTCAAACCTAGGAGGTGGAGGTTGCAGTGAGCCAAGATAGTGTCACTACATGTAGCCTGGGCAATACAGCAAAACTCTGTCTCAAAAAAAAAAAAAAAAAAAAAGAGCAAAGGTTAAAAAAAAAAAAAAAGTACATAAGTGTCTCGGAGAGACCAAGCATGAGCCTACAGCTGCTCTCTCCCAGTGAAGTTCTGTGGACAACACTTAGCTGTTCCCAGCAATGAAGTATGATAATATGCACGGAGTATTGCCAACCAGGGAAGCTCACCTGAGCCTTGATGTCCAGCGTTTTTCCTGGGGCTGGTCACACAGGCATGGACAAGGTCACACACATGGTGACCTCAGTTACTCAGTCTCCAGCCCCTCCAGAGTCAAACTGATGCCATGTGGCCCAGGGCCCCCACCACAGATCCCATCGTTAGCATAGACTATCCAGGGTGGCCCAAGGCCCCAGGTAAACCAAGACACTCTTATCAGATGGGACATTCTAAGGACTTAGAGGTAACCTCCCAGGAGCCCATCAAGGGCCAGACTTTTCTTAGGAATGTGTGGGGTTTGGACAACCCAGGTCTGCTGAGTTAACCCTTTACTGCACAAGGGTCCAAACAGTGACGTCAGTATGCAGTGTTCTGCGTCTCCCGCTTGGCTTTCCTCCGTGATGATCACCAACAGAGGCTTTCCACACAGGGGCCACCAGCAGATGGAGTCTTGCCCCTAACAACCTTGGCCAGCCTGGTCTCTCTTATCATAGAGCTCCAGCCAGATTCCCAGGTTTCATGCTCATTGGCCCAGCTGGAGTCATGTGACCATCCCAGAGCCAGTTAGTAGGGATCAGATGAGCCAGGCTGGCATCACATGCCTACCCAAAGCAGAGGGTGCCAAGCCAGGTCGCCATGCACCATGGAGCTCAGGGACTAGGTGTTCCCCCAGGGGGAAATTGGAAAGGAATGAGAAGGATGGAGGTTTTGGGGGCAGTAATGTAATTCTGAATACGATGTCTGAGAGATCAGCCTGCATTCCCTTGGTCAGTGTTAACTGAGCACCTACTATGTGCCCAGAACTTTTATAGAGGCTGGGGTAAATGGTGATTAAAAAGAGACAAGGTCCTGCCACCATGGAGCTCACAGTCTGGGACAAGAGTTGCTGCACTGCGGCCTGTGGGCCAGATGGCTGTTTTTGCAAAAGCCCTTTCGTTAGCATGGTGTCTGCAGCTGCATCTGAGCTACAGCAGCTGAGTGGAGTAGGTAAACAGCCAGAAGCTGAGGTTAGGGGCTCACACCTGTAATCCCAGCACTTCGGGAGGCCAAGGCAGGAGCATCACTTGAGCCCAAGAGTTCAAGACCAGCCTGGGCAACAAAGTGAGACCCTCATCTCTACAAAAAAAAAAAAAACAAAAACAAAAACTGGGTGTAGTGGTGCACACCTGTAGTCCCAGCTACTTGGGACGAAGGATTGCTTAAGCCCAGGAGTATGAGGCTACAGTAAGCCATGATCGCATCACTGCACTACAGCTTGGGTGACAAGAGTGAGACCCTGTCTTGAAAAAATAAATCAAAATTAAAAACTGGCCAGGCACGGAGGCGTATGCCTGTAATCCCAGCAGTTTGGGAGGCTGAGGCAGGTGGATCACTTCAGGTCAGGGGTTTGAGCCCAGCCTGGCCAATATGATGGAACCCTGTCACTACTAAAAATACAAAAATTAGCTGGATGTGGTGTCAGGCACCTGTAATCCCAGCTACTCAGGAGGCTGAGGCAGGTGAATCGCTTGAACTTGGAAGGTGAAGGTTGCAGTGAGCCAAGATCGCACCACTGCACTCCAGCCTGGGTGACAGAGTGAGACTCTGTCTCAAAATAAATAAATAAATAAAAATAAAAATTAATAATAAATAAAAAACAGCCAGGGTGGCCTGTAAAATCTCAAATATTTCCTGCCTGGCCCTTGAAGAAAAAGTTTGCCTACCTTAGGTGTTGGGGGTTGGGGTCAAGTAGGATTTGATTGGCATCATTTGAGAAATGTGAATGATACCTGCGAAAGATGCAAGGAGTCGGGGCAGAAAAGGAGAGAATAGAAGGGATACAGAATTGGGTGGAGAGGAAAAGAATCAAGTAGACTTGTGTAGAACGGAGTAGAATATGATTGAACAGAAATTATCAGAGCAGATCTCACTTAGCAAGGGCGACGAGGTTTTGTGAAATTTTTGTTTCAGTTCTGTGTGTACCTCTGTCACTGCAGCCTGAATCATGCCATGTAAAGCTCATCTCTCACTAAGGACCTTGGACTAACAGGCTTAAGAAACACTGGCCTTTGGCCAGGCATGGTGGCTCATGCCTATATCCCAACACTTTGGGAGGCTGAGGTGGGTGGATTACTTGAGGCCGGGAGTTGGAGACCAGCCTGGCCAACATAGCGAAACCCTCTCTACTGAAAGCACAAAAATTAGCCGGACGTGGTGGCATACGCCTGTAATCCCAGCTACTCGGGAGGCTGAGGCAGGAGAATCGCTTGAACCTGGGAGGCAGAGGTTGCAGTGAGCCGAGATCCCACCACTGCACTCCAGCCTGGGCGAGAGAGCAAGACTCTGTCGAAAGGAAGGAAGGAAGGGAGGAAAAAAGGAAGGAAGGAAGGACTGTTCCACAGAATAGCAGCAGCCACAGTACACAGTGTCTCTTGGATGTGGAAGGATCCTTTAGCCAGAGAGATTAGATAGATCAATAGTGTATTTAGTGGTGCTTGCCTGTACCTGTCAGTGTTCTAGGCCTGTGACCAGGGACTGTTGCCAAGGCGGGGACACACAGCTAATAGGTGGAGGAGAAGGGATTTGAACCCAGAAACTCAAACCCCACTAAGAGTGTGAGGTCTTGGCGCCTGAAGTCAGCCATTCCACCCCTTTCACCTCCACCTAGGTGAAGCCACTGCTGCAGGTGACGCGGCAGGATGAGGTGCTGCAGGCACGGGCCCAGGAGCTGCAGAAAGTGCAGGAGCTACAGCAGCAGAGCGCCCGCGAAGTTGGGGAGCTCCAGGGCCGAGTGGCACAGGTGAGGGGGCGGGGGCAGGGCGTGGGGGCGTGTCTTCGGGGTGGGGCTGTGTCGCATGGGTGGAGCCAGGTGTGAGGGGCGGGGCTTCCGGCTGAGCCAGCCTGTGCCCAGGCAGGGCTGTCGGGAGGATGGGAGCAAAGCTAAGGTGTACTGAGGCCGGGCGGGGATTGGGGCTGTTTAGTTTGGTTGAGTCGTGACGTACAGGGAGCAGGGCCCTGGGGGTGTAGCCAGGGTATGGGCCGGGTAGGGGTGGGGTGGGAGAGTCCTGCAGAGCCAGAATGGAGCTGGGCTGTAGGATCTGGGGGCAGGGGCCTCAGCTGTGGCCGGGCTATGGTATGCAGGTGGCGAACTTATAACTGTTTCCAGTATTTCAGCTATCTTAAAATAATGCTAGAACATTTGGGAGGCTGACGCGGGCAGATCACCTGAGGTCAGGAGTTCAAGACCACTCTGGCCAACATGGTGAAACCCCGTCTCTACTAAAAATGCAAAAATTAGCCGGGTGTGATGGCGCACGCCTGTAATCCCAGCTACTCTGGGAGGTGGAGGTTGCAGTGAGCCGAGATGGCGCCACCGCACTCCAGCCTGGTCGGCAGAGTGAGACTCTGTCTCAAAAATAATAATAATAATAATAATAATGCTAGAACAAACCCCTTCTTGAGCATTTTTCTGTTTGCCTTTTCTGCATTATTTCCTGTGGTTACATTTTAGGTATGAAATGTATTAAATGAAATGTGAGGTAGTAGAAAGACCCCTCGGGGGTTATTTGAAGGATGGACTGGAAGGGGAAAGGCTAGAGTCTGGGAGGCTGGGGAGGAGGCTGGAGAGAGACAGGTGAGAGAAGGAAAGACCTGAGCCTGTTGGGGCTGTAGGGACAGAGAGGAGGGGCCAGAGAGAGCAGGGGTGCAGACTGATGGCTGTGAGAGGTGAGGGAGGGCATCCCCAGGATTCTGACTTAGTGATTAGGGGGATGTGGGCTCATCCTGAGATGGGGACCTGAGGGGGAGGAGGTGGGGACACCGTGTCCTCCTGCCCCTCAGTCCTGCCCTGGAGAACTTAAAGGCCAAAGCAAGTTACAAGGCAGTAGGCACCCAGTGCAGGTTGCCCTGGGAGCACTGCCTGCTGACCACTAACCTCCCACACACTCCCCAGCTGGAAGAGGAGCGCGCCCGCCTGGCAGAGCAATTGCGAGCAGAGGCAGAACTGTGTGCAGAGGCCGAGGAGACGCGGGGGAGGCTGGCAGCCCGCAAGCAGGAGCTGGAGCTGGTGGTGTCAGAGCTGGAGGCTCGCGTGGGCGAGGAGGAGGAGTGCAGCCGTCAAATGCAAACCGAGAAGAAGAGGCTGCAGCAGCACATACAGGTCTGGCCCCTTGCATGCCCACCAGGCCACCCTCCAGACCCCTCTGTCTACACCATCCACCTTTGCTTCTACAAACCGTGTGTCTTTGGGCCATGAATTTGTAGAAAACTCAGTTCTAAGTGAATTTGCAAAAAGAATACATTTTTGATTCAGATCGCGGGAGACCTTAAAATGTGTGAGCTTCACCTATGGATGGATCCAGGCATCCAAGTGATATGTTCAGCTTCAGGCCTGGCTGGATCCAGGTGTCTGAGTGATTTCCTCAGCTTCAGGCATGGCTGGATGCAGGAATCCAAGTGATATCCTCAGCTTCAGGCATGGCTGGATCCAGGCGCCTAAGTGATGTCCTCAGCTTCAGGCATGGCTGGATCCAGGCATCCAAGTGATATCCTCAGCTTCAGGCATGGCTGGATCCAGGTGCCCAAGTGATGTCCTTAGCTTCAGGCATGGCTGGATCCAGGCATTCAGGCAATGTTCTCAGTACTCCCCCTCTCTCCGTCTCCTGGCTGCATTCACGGGCAGGCTGCCCTCATGGTTCCCCTTCAAAATCTAGTGTGTATTTTACACTACAGCACATCTCAATTCAGATGCTAAATTTTCATTGGAAATACTTGATCTGTATTTCTATTTCATAATTTCTGCAGTTTATAAAAACTAGATTCACATGGCCAAGTTGTTCCAAACATGCTTAAAAGCTTTTCAGTGATTGGGTGTCTGGTTTTAAATTTAAAATAAATAAAATTAAATAAGACAGAAAATTTAGTTCATCAGTCCACATCAGCCACATTTCAAAAGCTCAGTAATGTTTTTTTGTTTTTTGTTTTTTTGAGTCAGAGTCTTGCTCTGTCGCCCAGGCTGGAGTGCAGTGGCACCATCTCAGCTCACTGCAACCTCCGTCTCCCGGGCTCAAGCAATTCTCCTGCCTCAGCCTCTACAGCAGTATCTGGGATTACAGGTGTGTGCCACCATGCCCAGCTAATGTTTTTTTATTTTTAGTAGAGACAGGGTTTCAGTATGTTGGCCAGGCTGGTCTCGAACTCCTGACCTCAGGTGATCCGCCCACCTCAGCCTTCCAAGGTGCTGGGATTACAGGCGTGAGCCACCATGCCCGGCCCAGTAGTGTTTTAATCAACTTCTCTTGATCCCTTTGGTGAGGGAGGGACCCTACCCTAGGTTTATGGGGATGGCTGAGCACACAGCACTGGGCACCAGACAGGTGAGGGGGGCCGACATCACACCACAGACGGCCACATGGATGTTGCCCTCAAGAGCAGAGTGAACAAGCAGGGGCTGTGGGAAACAGGCTTTGTCACAACAACAGGTGGAGGTGACCCCTGGGTGCCGTGGGAAAATGTGTTTGGTTTGTTTCAGTAATTCCATGGGCTGGCAGGGAGCTGGAATGTGCTTCTCAGGGATAAGCAGGCACTGTGCCTGGTCCCCAGGATAAGGAGGGTCCCCAGATAAGGCTGGGGGACCTTATCTATGGGAGCAGAGGGAGTAGGAGGACTTCTGTTTAGGCCATTTGAGGCCCCTGCTACTTTTAGCAAATGTCAAGGCAGCACATAAAATTGAGTCTTGGCTAGGTGCAGTGGCTCAATGTGTAATCCCGGCACTTTGGGAGGATCTCTTAAGCCCAGAGGTTCAAGACCAGCCTAGGCAATGAAGTGAAACCCTTTCTCTACAAAAACAAAAACACAAAAATTAGCCAGGCATGGTGTCACACACCTGTGGTGTTGTCACACTACCCACGAGGCCTGAGGTGGGAGGATCACCTGAGCCCAGGAGGTCAAGGCTGCAGTGAGCTGTGATGGCACCACTGCACTCCAGCCTGGATGACAGAGTGAGACCTTTCTCAAACAGAATAAAATAGGCTGGGCGCAATGGCTCACTCCTGTAATCCCAATACTTTGGGAGGCCGAGGTTGGTGGATCACCTGAAGTTAGGAGTTCAAGGCCAGTCTGGCCAACATGGTGAAACCCCATCTCTACTAAAAATACAAAAAATTAGCCAGGTGTGGTAGCGGGTGCCTGTAATCCCAGCTACTCGAGAGGCTGAGGCAGGAAAGTCACTTGAACCCCGGGAGGTGGAGATTGCAGTGAGCCAAGACTGCACCATTGCACTCCAGCCTGGGCAACAAGAGCAAAACTCCGTCTCAAAAAAAAAAAAAAAAGAAAAGAAAAAAATTTAAACAGAATAAAATAAAATAAATTCAAAAAATAAAATTGAGTCTTGATTTCCAGTGTGCCCAATGACTGTCATGTTGGCAGTACCCATTTCTATAATTTGTGTATTTACTATGTTTATTTTATTTTTAAAATTATTTATTATTTATTTATTTTTTTTTTGAGACAGAGTCTCACTCTGTTGCCCAGGCTGGAGTGCAGTGGCGCGATTTCAGCTCACTGCAAGCTCTGCCTCCTGGGTTCACGCCATTCTCCTGCCTCAGCCTCCAGAGTAGCTGGGACTACAGGCACCCGCCACCACGCCCGGCTAATTTTTTGTATTTTTAGTAGAGATGGGGTTTCACCGTGTTAGCCAGGATGGTCTCGATCTGCTGACCTCGTGATCCGCCTGCCTTGGCCTCCCAAAGTCCTGGGATTACAGGCGTGAGCCACTGCGCCTGACCTATTTACTATGTTTATAGTTTATAATCTGTACCCCTAACCCCCACACAAGAATGTGATTTCCACAAGGATAGGTGTTCCTTTTTTTTTTCAGAGGCAAGATCTCGCTCTGTTACCCAGACTTCAGTGCAGTGGTGCGGTCATCTCTCACTGCAGAAGGACAGTCACTTTTACCCATCCTCAGTGCCTAGAACCGTGCCTGGCATACACTAGGCACTCAATAAATGCTTGTTGCGCTAATGAATGAAATGGGAAAGCCAATAAGAGTTTGATCCTTCCCGGCCTCACCCAGGGCATGGACATCTCTGAACCACAAGCCGCGGGGATCCGTGGGCCAGCCATCCCCGCTCCCATCCTTCCCCATCACACTCCATCTATTGGCCCAGTATCCTCACTCCTCCTGCCTTCCCACCCCAGGAGCTAGAGGCCCACCTTGAGGCTGAGGAGGGTGCGCGGCAGAAGCTGCAGCTGGAGAAGGTGACGACAGAGGCAAAAATGAAGAAATTTGAAGAGGACCTGCTGCTCCTGGAAGACCAGAATTCCAAGCTGAGCAAGGTTGGGGGCCTGAGGGCAGCTGGGAAAGTGGGGATGGGGTGCATTGGTGGGTTAATGAATGGTGAACTTCACGCCATGGGGGTTACCACACTGCGGTTCTCAGGTGTGCACCGGTGGGGGTGGGATGGGTCTATAGCCCCAAGGGAATGGGAAGGAGAGGGAGGTGTAGGGGGAGGAAGGTCAGAGAAGGGTGAAAAGGAGCAGAAACATAGATGAGAACAACACCAGAAGCTGCAGATCAGGTAAGGGCTGCTCCTGGCCCAACTCCTCCTGACTGCCCCCCATCCCACTCCACCCCTCAGGAGCGGAAGCTGCTGGAAGATCGTCTGGCCGAGTTCTCATCCCAGGCAGCTGAGGAGGAGGAGAAGGTCAAGAGCCTCAATAAGCTACGGCTCAAATATGAGGCCACAATCGCAGACATGGAGGGTGAGCTCCCGCCCAGCCAGTAGGGGTCTGTGTGTGCTCTAATGGGGGACCTCAGGCAAGCCCCATGTGCTACAGGGCCTCAGTGGCTGTGTCTGCTAAATGGGATAGGAAGGAAGGCTCAGGGCAGATTGAGTGTCCTCCCAGCTCTTGAGTTCTTAATGCATCTCTAAATCCAACTCTCTTTCTCTCCTTGGTGTCTTGGGTTGTCCTCCTTTCTTCCCATCTGACTGTCCCACTGTCTGTCTGTTTCAGACATGTTTTTGTCTCCCTGTCCCTTCCTGTTGACTTAGAATCAGAAACAGAAGGGAAGGGGCACAGGGAGGAGGCAGGGCTGTAGACACAGGGCAGAGAGAGTCAGAGGGTGGAGGCATGGGCTGTTGGTGGGGATGAGGAGGAGAGGACAGTGCGTCTAGGACAACATTGTGGGAAGAGTCCCTGAGATAGATGGGGAAGGTGGGAGGAGGAGAAGGCGTTAAGGGAGGTGCTGAGCTTAGCCTTATATGTGACTGGGGACCTGTGGTCTCTGTGAGAGCGGCTGAGTGTGCAGGCCTGGAGTCCTCATGCACGGCCCCCACCCCTGCCTCCAGACCGCCTACGGAAGGAGGAGAAGGGTCGCCAGGAGCTGGAGAAGCTGAAGCGGAGGCTGGATGGGGAGAGCTCAGAGCTGCAGGAGCAGATGGTGGAGCAGCAACAGCGGGCAGAGGAGCTGCGGGCCCAGCTGGGCCGGAAGGAGGAGGAGCTGCAGGCTGCCCTGGCCAGGTGCAGGGTGGGGTGGGCTTGGTGGGGTAAGCAGCATGGGTGCACGGCCAGCCAGCGTGGGGTGCCCAAGTCAGAAGCTCCTGGGTACAAACCCCAGTGGAGCCACTCACCAGCCACAGACAGGCCACATCCCCTCCGAGCCTCAGTGTCCCCTTCTGTCAAATGAAGATAGCAAGAGTTCCAGGCCCACTAGGTTAAGGGAAAAGTGAAACAAGACTCTATGTGTCTGGTAACTTGCATAACAGTGCACAATGGGAACAAGAAAATGCTATTTCTAGGCCAAGTACGATGGCTCACACCTGTAATCCCAGTACTTTGGGAGGCCAAGGCAGGTGGATCACTTGAGGTCAGGAGTTTGAAACCAGCCTGGCTAACATGGCAAAACCCTGTCTCTACTAAAAATACAAAAGTTAGCTGGGTGTGGTGGCGGGCGCCTGTAATCCCAGCTACTCAGGAGACTTAAGCACGAGAATTGCTTGAACCCAGGAGGCAGAGGTTGCAGTGAGCCGAGATCACACCACTGCACTCTAGCCTGGGCAACAGAGCAAGACTATGTCTCAAAAAAAAAAAAAAAAAAAAAAAAAAGAGCTATTTCTTCCTCTTCCCTGCTTGGCCTCCCCACACCAAACAGCCCAGAATCAGCTGAGATTTGCCAAGTGGCCTATGTTAGGAATCATAATAATTATATTTACACTCGTTCACAGTAATTGAGCTCCTACTGTATGCCAAATGTGGTGCTTAGTGTTTCAAATGCTTTTTATGCACTGTGCTTCATGCAATCTAAGACCCACTTGATTACAAGTACAGCTCCATTTCGGAGATGTTAAAATGTGAAAAACTGTGCATCTTAGAGTTGATGGAACATGGGGGGTGTGTGTGTGTGTGTGTGTGTGTGTGTGTGGTTAAGAACACGTCTTTGTTTTGTTTTGAAACGGAGTCTTGCCCTGTTTCCCAGGCTGGAGTGCAATGGTGTGATTTCGGCTCACTGCAACCTCTGCCTCCCAGGTTCAAGCAATTCTTGTACTTCAGCCTCCCAAGTAGCTGGGATTACAGGTGCCCGCCAACAAGCTAATTTTCGTATTTTTAGTAGAGACGGGCTTTCACCATGTTGCCCAGGCTGGTCTGGAACTCCCAACCTCAGGTGATCCATTCGCTGAGGTTAGGATTATAGGCGTGAGGCACTGCACCCGGCCGTGAACACACATCTTTGAGTCTGACTTCTGGGTTGGAATCCTGGCTTCTCCCCTTTCTAGTCATGTGACCTCATGCAAATCACATCACCTCTCTAGCCTCAGTTTTTTCATCTATAAAATGGGGTAATTGTAGACAGTACTCCTAAGGTTAGTGTGAGGGTTAAAGAAGAAAGTGCTCCTCAGACACTTCGCATACCCTGAGCCCTCAATAAATGCCGGATGTTTCTGTTACTACTTTATTACTCTTGTTAATTTTTTTCTTTTTTACTGAGGTGAAATTCACATAAAAGTAACCATTTTTTAAATGTACAATTCAGTAGATTTTGCCCATTCACAATGCTGTGTAACCATCACCTCTATCTAGTTCTAGAACATTTTCTCTTTTATTGAGCTGGAGTCTTGCCCTGTCGCCCAGGCTGGAGTGCAGTGGCATGATCTTGCCTCACTACATCCTCCGCCTCTTGGGTTCAAGCAATTCTCCTGCCTCAGCCTCCCGAGTGGCTGGGACTACAGGTGCCCACCACCACACCCAGCTAATTTTTGTATTTTTAGCAGAGACGGGGTTTCACTATGTTGGCCAGGCTGGTCTCAAACTCCTGACCTCAGGTGATCCACCTGCCTTGGCCTCCCAAAGTGCTGGGATTACAGGCATGAGCCACTGTGCTGGCCTCCAGAACTTTTTTATCACCCCCAAAAGGAAACCCTGTATGTATTAACCAATCACAGCCAGGCACAGTGACTCACGCCATAATCCAGCACTCTGAGAGTAGGAGGCAGGAGGGTCGCCTGAGCCCAGGAATTCAAGACCAGCCTGGGCAATATAATGAGACCCTGTCTCTACAAAAAACTTTTAAAAATTAGCCAAGCATGGTGGCATGTGCCTGTAGTCTCAGCTACTTAGAGGACTGAGGTGGGAGGATCCTTTGAACCTGGGAAGTCGAGGCTGCAGTGAGCTATGATTGTGCCACTGCACTCTGGTCTAGGTGACAGAACGAGACCCTCTCTCTCAAAAAAAAAAAAAAAAAGAAAGCAGCCACTCCCCATCCCTCCTTCTCCCCAGCCTGGCAGCCTCTGATCCACTTTCTGTCTAAATAGAATTTGCCTATTCTAGATATTTCATACAACATGTGGCCTTTTGTGCTTTAGTTATTTTTATCGCCATCTCCCCAGCAACCCTGGTAAAGGGGAGTGTTCATCGTCATGTCCTCCCACAAATCAGGACCCTGCCCTTCTTAAGTCACTTGTTGGAGCAGGGGGCCAGGAGAGGATACTAAGCCAGGCCTGTGTGGCTCCTGAACCATTAACCCCCAGGTCCCAGTTGGTGCTGCCCCCAGATCCAGCTTCTCTTTGCAATGACGCTGTGTGAAGGGACAGGAAGCCACATCCCTGTGAGAGCTGTAAGGAGGGACTCCGGGCCAACCCAGCCACTCACGGACCCGGTAACCTCGGCAAGTGCTTTCTCCACGCTAGACCTCAGTTTCCTCATTTGGCAGGAACATTAAATGAGGTGATACAAGTAAAGCACTGGCATGAGGCAGGAACTTACTAAGTGTCTCCTACGATTACTGTTGCTGTCATTCCCACTTTACAGCTAAGAAAACTGAGGTTCGAAATGAGTCAGGCTGGGCGAAGTGGCTCACTCCTGCAATCCCAGCACTTTGTAAGGCCGAGGTGGGAGGATGACTTGAGGCCAGGAGTTCGAGACCAGCCCTAGGCAACATAGGCAGACCTTGTCTCTTTGGGGAAAAAAGATTAGCCAGGCATAGTGGACCGCACCTGTGGTCTCAGCTACACGGGATGCTGTGGTAGGAGGATCACTTGAGCCCAGGAATTTGAGGCTGCAGTGAGCCGTGACTGCACCACTGCACTCCAGCATGGGCAGCAGAGCGAGACCCTGTCTCAGAAAACTTAAATTAGTACTGCAGCCAAGTGCCCAGTGGCAGAGAGAGGATTCTAACCTGGGACTGGCCACTCCCAAAGCCCACATCCAGCCTCTCAGTCCCCAGAAATCATTGCCTCACTCTGGCCTGCCCCTGTATCAACTCCACGGTTCTTGTCACCCCCAGGGCAGAAGACGAGGGTGGGGCCCGGGCCCAGCTGCTGAAATCCCTGCGGGAGGCTCAAGCAGCCCTGGCCGAGGCCCAGGAGGACCTGGAGTCTGAGCGTGTGGCCAGGACCAAGGCGGAGAAGCAGCGCCGGGACCTGGGCGAGGAGCTGGAGGCGCTGCGGGGCGAGCTGGAGGACACGCTGGACTCCACCAACGCACAGCAGGAGCTCCGGTGAGGCCCGGTGGCAGGCCGCTGTCACAGCCTGTGCACATACAGGGCTGGGGGAAGGACTTAGGTACAAAGTCTCTGTCTATACAGAGGCTTACTTATTGTACAGTTGTTCATGAACCACCGGCTCTAGGTCCGGCCTGGGTCAAGCTGGGGACAGAGATGGGTCAGACCCAGGTGTTACCCTTGGGAACTTCCAGTCTCAGGGGAGGCAGATTCAGGCAAAGACAATCTCAACCCAGAACAAGGGGTGCTTTAGCGGAGTAACACGGGGCACTGTGGGTGATAAGTGAAGACCCCTAAACCAAGTCTATGGGAGATCCAGGAAGACTTTCCTGAGGAAGGGCCTTTTGGAAAAGGGTTTTGAAAGGTGAATAGGAGTTCACCCTTAAAGCCACACTCCTTCCACAGCATCACCACCCAGATCTCCTGAGGAGCATAACATGAGGCCCTCATATTTTAAGGAAACATGAAAAGGAGAAACAACCAGCTCCCCCAAAGCCCCTGCCTTCCTCTGCTCTGAAATTCCCATCCTCTCTCCTTTCCCCCAATAAAGGTCCAAGAGGGAACAGGAGGTGACGGAGCTGAAGAAGACTCTGGAGGAGGAGACTCGCATCCACGAGGCGGCAGTGCAGGAGCTGAGGCAGCGCCACGGCCAGGCCCTGGGGGAGCTGGCGGAGCAGCTGGAGCAGGCCCGGAGGGTGGGTTGGGGCAGGGGGACAGGGCAGGGGGGCCACGGGGAGGGCAGGGCAGGACGCGGGGTTGGAGGAGGTACCGCTGGCTGGTTCTAGGCTAGCTCATCTCCCTGGGCCCCTTTCCTCACGCATTCATGTGCATCTTTCATTCAGCAAGCATTAATGGGGTGTGGACTATGTTCCAGGAGCATTGCTGGGGAACCAGCCATGAACCCAACAACCAGCACTGCCTTCCCTTGTGGAGCTTTCCTTTTAGTGAGAGAGGCAGAGGGTAAACAATATAAACACTTTCAGTTTATATTGGGGTGATAAGTGCTATGGGGCCATAATGAACAGGAAAAAGGGATCAGAATTCTAAGGCGGGTGAGTTTTTAAGTAGAGAGGCTGTGGAGGTATTCTGCGAGAAGGTGACATCAGGGTAAAAAACTGAGGGAGTGGCCGGGCATGGTGGCTCTTGCCTGTAACTTTGGGAGGCTGAGGCAGGCAGATCACTTGAGGCCAGGAGTTCGAGACCAGCCTGGGCAACATGGTGAAACCCCATCTCTACTAAAAATACAAAAACTAGCTGGGCGTGGTGGCACACACGCCTATAGTCCCAGCTACTTGAGAGGCTGAGGCAGGAGAATCACTTGAACCCAAGAAGCAGAGGTTGAAGTGAGTCAAGATTGTACCATTCCACTCCAGCCTGGGTGACAGAGCAAGACTCTGTCTCAAAAAACAAACAAACAAACAAAAATGGGCCAGACGTGGTGGCTCATGGCTGTAATCCCAGCACTGTGGGAGGCTGAGGTGGGTGGATCACCTGAGGTCAGGAGTTCAAGACCAGCCTGGCCAACATGGCAAAATCCCATCTCTACTAAAAACACAAAAAATTAGCCGGGCGTGGTGGTGGGCGCCTGTAATCCTAGCTACTTGGGAGGCTGAGACAGGAGAATCACTTGAACCTGGGAGGCGGAGGTTGCAGTGAGCAGAGATCGTGCCTTTGCACTCCAGCTTGGGCAACAAGACTGAAGCACTGTCTCAAAAAAAAAAAAAAAATTGGGAGTGAGGGGTGAGCTATTTGTTCACTGGGAGAAGTGTGTTCCAGGCAGAGGGAACAGCCAGTGCAAAGGCCCTGAGATGGGAGTGTGCCTGGCCTGGTCCAGGAAAGGCCTCATAGATCTTTGCTCATCTCCTTCCCACACCAGGGCAAAGGTGCATGGGAGAAGACCCGGCTGGCCCTGGAGGCCGAGGTGTCCGAGCTGCGGGCAGAACTGAGCAGCCTGCAGACTGCACGTCAGGAGGGTGAGCAGCGGAGGCGCCGCCTGGAGTTACAGCTGCAGGAGGTGCAGGGCCGGGCTGGTGATGGGGAGAGGGCACGAGCGGAGGCTGCTGAGAAGCTGCAGCGAGCCCAGGTAAGTGGGGTGGGCAGGGCAGAGGTTTCTGCTGTGTGACCTTGGTGACATGCCTGCCCTCTCTGGGCTTCTATTTGGTCCATATCAAACCAATTGTCTCGTTTGGCTCTTCCAACATAATCATGTACAAGTCTGGGCACAGTGGCTCATGTCTGTAATTCTAGCACTTGGGAGGCCAAGGCAGGAGGATTGCTTGAGCCCAGGAGTTCGAGACCAGCCTGGGCAACATAGTGAGACCCCATCTTCAGAAAAAAAAAAATTTTAATTAGCCAGGTATGCTGGCATGTGCCTGTAGTCCCAGCTACTCAGGGGACTGAGGAAGGAGGATCCCTTGAGCCTGGGAGGTCGAGGCTGCAATGAGCTGTGATTGTGCCACTGCACTCTAGCCTGGGCAACAAAGTGAGATCCTGTCTCAAAATAATAATAATAATACCCAGTACTTTGGGAGGCCGAGGCGGGCAGATCACCTGAAGTCAGAAGTTCGAGACCGGCCTCACCAACATGGAGAAACCCTGTCTCTACTAAAAAAAAAAAAAAAAAAACACAAAATTAGCCGGGCGTGATGGCGCATGCCTGTAATCCCAGCTACTCGAGAGGCTGAGGCAGGAGAATCACTTGAACCCGGGAGGCAGAGGTTGTGATGAGCTGAGACCGCGCCATTGCGTTCCAGCCTGGGCAGCGAGAGTGAAACTCCATCTCCAATAATAATAATAATAATTCACTCATTTAAGATGTGCAATTCAATGGATTTTGGTATATTCACAGAGTGGTATGGCCATCACCATAATCTAATTTTGGACCATTTTCATTATCCCAAAAAGAAAATCCTATACCCTTTAGCTATCATCCCCCACTTCTCCCCCACCCCACCCAGGGAACCACTAATCTCCTTTCTGTCTTTACTGATCTCCCATTCTGGAGATCTTATATAAATGGAATCCTACTATATATGGGTGGCCTTTGTGGCTGCCTTCTTTTACTTAACATAACGGTTTCAAGATTCATCTGTGTTGCAGCTCGTAGCATAATTCCTTTTTTATTTTTTAATTTTTAAAACACCAGCTGGGTGCAGTGGCTCATGCCTGTAATCCCAGCACTTTGGCAGCGGAGGCGGGTGGGTCACCTGAGGTCAGGAGTTCAAGACCAGCTGCCTGACCAACATGGTGAAACTTCGTCTCTACTAAAAATACAAAATTAGCCGGGTGTGGTGGCGCATGCCTGTAATCCTAGCTACTTGGGAGGCTAAGGCAGGAGAATCACTTGCACCTGGGAGGCGGAGGTTGCAGTGAGCCGAGATTGCACCATTGCGCTCTAGCCTGGGCAACAAGAGTGAAACTCTGTCTCAAAAAAACCCCAAAAAACAACAGCACGCAATAGATCCATATACCTTTCTATTGCCGAATAATGCCCGTTGTATGGATATTCCACATTTGTTTATCCATTCGTTTATTGATGGACATTGGGGCTGTTCCCGCCTCTTGGCGATGGTGAGTAATGCCACTGAGAACATTCCGGTACGAGTTTCTGCATAGACCTATGCGTTCATTTCTTTTGGGTATGCACCTAGGAGCGGGATTGTTGGGTCATGTGGGAACCCTATGTTTAAGCATCTGTGGATCTGCCAGACTGTTTTCCACGGCAGCTGTAACATTTCACATTCCTGCCAGTGTGGTAGAGAGTTGAGGCAGATGGGGTCACTGGGTGGAAGCCACGATTGGAGGGCTTCATTCCCGTCCCTTCCCTGCAGGCTGAACTGGAGAATGTGTCTGGGGCGCTGAACGAGGCTGAGTCCAAAACCATCCGTCTTAGCAAGGAGCTGAGCAGCACAGAAGCCCAGCTGCACGATGCCCAGGTGACCCTGCCTGCCCTTCGGCTCCACCGTCACCCTCCCCTCCTTGTCCTCCCAGCCACACCTGACATTGCCGTCTCCTCCATCTACAGGAGCTGCTGCAGGAGGAGACCAGGGCGAAATTGGCCTTGGGGTCCCGGGTGCGAGCCATGGAGGCTGAGGCAGCCGGGCTGCGTGAGCAGCTGGAGGAGGAGGCAGCTGCCAGGGAACGGGCGGGCCGTGAACTGCAGACTGCCCAGGCCCAGGTGAGCAGCCCTACGTAAGACCTTCAGGGAGGCACAGCCCCCCTCACTGCTCCTCCTGGGTTCCCCAGCTCAGGGATGGCCATGCTGCCCACCTTCTCATAGGCCAGACCCATGGGTGCCTTTCTCATCTCTGACTCCCCCTTACCCCCCACAGCCCATGCCCAGCCCTGGCTGTCCTGACCCCTGACTCTCAGCCTCATCCCTTGTCCCAGCTCCAGCTCAGCCCCAGCTCCAGTGCCGTCCTCTCCCATCTAGATCCTCCTCTTGGCCTCTGGGCCTCCAGCCTCTCCCCTAACAGCTCATCCCCTGCACAGCCCCAGAAGCTTCTTTCTTTACCTGGAGCTGACCCTGTCCCTCCTCTGCTCACAGCTCTCCCACGCCTCCCCAGTACTCCTAGACAAAGTCCATGCCTCTCAGTCAGGCATTGAGGCCCTGCAATCTCTGGTCCTTCCTCTGCCTTTAGCTGTATTCATCTCTATCTCTACTTTCCTATTTTATTTGAAAAAAACCTTTTATTTTTCCAGACTTAGCATTAGGCTCCCCTGTGGGAAGTTTCCTGACCCGTCTTCTCTTTCTCCTCTGTCCCAACTCCAGTCACCTTGGGCTGGGACTGTCTCTGCCCATGAGTCTCCCCACCAGACTGAGAGCCCCTTCAAACTAGAATCCCATCAGAGTTAGATCCAGGTCTGTAGCACAGCCTGATATAGGGCCTGATGTATGGTAGGCGTTGAGAAATGCCTATTGAATGAATGAGTGATGGTACGTGCCTGCAGATATCCTTCAACTGGCAGACTTCTATGCATACTTCAAGACCCATCTCAAATGCTCCTCCTTCAGGAAGTTTCTCCTGAATGTTCTAAACAGATTCTGGGCACTTCCTGTGGACCTCCATAGCTCCCATACTGCTACCTTAACCCCTATCACCCTGGCTGTGACTCTGTGTCTCCCCCAGCAGCCGAGGGGCTCCCCAGGAAAGACTCCAGGTCTGATTCACCTCTGCATCTTGGAGGGAGTAATTTTAATTCCCTGGAAGAACTAGGGCTCATAGTATTCACAACTTCACACCACTCAGAGGCAGAAGAGCCCAGCAGAATGACCCCTTTCCCTCTTCAGGCCTCAGTCTCTTCATCCTGGAAATGGAGCACCACCAGCTTACACCTTGGTCACTCATGGCCGTGACCACCAACCACCCTCTCTCTCCTCCCCTCAGCTTTCCGAGTGGCGGCGGCGCCAGGAGGAGGAGGCAGGGGCACTGGAGGCAGGGGAGGAGGCACGGCGCCGGGCAGCCCGGGAGGCCGAGGCCCTGACCCAGCGCCTGGCAGAAAAGACAGAGACCGTGGATCGGCTGGAGCGGGGCCGCCGCCGGCTGCAGCAGGAGCTGGACGACGCCACCATGGACCTGGAGCAGCAGCGGCAGCTTGTGAGCACCCTGGAGAAGAAGCAGCGCAAGTTTGACCAGGTGGGGCACCTCAGTTCACCCAGCCGGGGAATCAGCAAGTCCATCTACGCTTCCCATGGTCGTTGTGAGGAACCAGTAATCCGTGCTGTCACGGCTCAACTAGGCAGTTGTAGTGGACCAGGAAGCAAGACCCTTCTTTGCTCTGGGCCTCTGTAAAATAGGACATCCCTCTGTCCTGATTCATGCCTCTTGCCACAGCATAATTCCTCGTAGCACCCACTTTTACTTTCAGAGCTGCCCTGGTTTTTGGATGACAAAATATACGAATACCTTCAGTACCCCAGAGATTGCTTATGAGAATTAAATCAAATAACTCATCTCACTTCTGCTGATTCACGGGGTACCTCAGGCAAGTTGCTTTTTCCATCTCAGCTTCAGTTCGCCCATCTGGAAAATGGCAATAATACCAAGCATCTGGCAGCCTGAGGATGAAATAAAAATCACAGAACCTTAGAGAGTTCAGATCAGGCAATCCTGAGGTTCAGATCCCAATTCGGCCTCTTGATGGCTGTGTGGCTTGGGCAAATTGCTCAACCTCTCTGTGCTTTATTTTATTCATTTAGAAAATGCAGTGTGAAGCTGGGCACTGTGGCTCATGCCTGTAATCCCAGCACTTTGGGAGGCCAAGGCGGGCGGATTGCCTGAGCTCAGGAGTTCACAACCAGCATGGGCAACACGGTGAAACCCCGTCTCTACTAAAATACAAAAAAATTAGCTGGGCATGGCGGTGTGCGCCTGTAATCCTAGCTACTCGGGAGGCTGAGGCAGGAGAATCACTTGAACTGGAAAGGCGGAGGTTGCAGTGAGCCAAGATCGTGCCACTGCACTCCGGCCTGGGTGATAGAGCAAGACTCCATCTCAAAAAAAAAATAAAAAATTAAAAAAAATTTTTTTAAATTGTCATTTCCCTGTAGGTGGTGCAGTATGTTTTTCTAGCTGACTTACGATTTCTCTCTTTATGTTTGGTTCTTAGTGGTTTGACTGTGATATGCCCAGCTGTGGGTTTTTTGTATTTATCCTGCTTTAGATTCACTGTGCTTCCTGTAGCTGTGGGTTGATGTTTTTGATCAAATGTGGAACATTTCAGCCATTATTTCTTCAAATATTTTTATCTCCCACTCTCTCTCCTTCCCCTTCTTCTTGGACTCCAAATACATATGATTTGATTGTAATACTCTTCCACAGGTCATTGAAGCTTTATTATTTTTGGCATCTTCTGGAATTTTATATAAATTATTTTCACATAAATCTCTTTTGGGATGGGCTTATTTTACTCAAAATAATTTTTTTTTTTTGAGACAGAGTCTCGCTGTGTCACCAAGGCTAGAGTGCAGTGGCACGATCTCAGCTCACTGCAACCTCCACCTCTCAGGTTCAAGCGATTCTCGTGCCTCAGCCTCCCAAGTAGCTGGGATTACAGGTGTGCACCACCATGCCTGGCTAATTTTTGTGTTTTTAATAGAGACGAGGTTTCACCATTTTGGCAAGGCTGGTCTCGAACTCCTGGCTTCAAGTGATCCACCCACCTCGGCCTCCCGAAGTGCTGGGATTATAGGAGTAAGCTACCGCACCCAGCCTCAAAATAATTAGTCTGAGATCCATCCATATTTTTGCATATCAATAATGTATTCCATGTATCAATAATGTATTTTTGCTGCTGAATATTATTCCTGTGGTATAGATCAGCCACATTTTGATATTCATTAACCTTTTGATGAACATTTGGGTTTTTTTCCAGTTTTTTTCTAGTTATGGATAAAACCTTAGTCTTTCTCAAAGGTGGTTTTAATTAACATTTCCCTAATGACCAGTGACGTTGAGCATCTTTTCATATGCTTATTTGCCATCCATATATCTTATTTGCTGAAGCTTCTGTTCAGATCTTTTGCCTATTTGTTAATTAATGTTGTTTGTTTTACTATTATTGAATTTTGAAAATTCTTTATGGGCCGGGCACGGTGGCTCATGCCTGGTAATCCCAGCACTTTGGGAGGCCAAGGCAGGCAGATCACCTGAGGTTGGGAGTTTGAGACCAGCCTGACCAACATGGAGAAACCCCGTCTCTACTAAAAATACAAAATTAGGTAGGCATGGTGGTGCATGCCTGTAATCCCAGCTACTTGGGAGGCTGAGGCAGGAGAATCGCTTGAATCTGGGAGGCGGAGGTTGTGGTGAGCCGAGATCATGCCATTGCACTCCAGCCTGGGCAACAAGAGTGAAACTCTGTCTCAAAAAAACAAAACAAAAAACAAAAAAAAAACAAAAAAAAAGAAAGAAGTTATTTATGTATTCTAAATGCAAGTTCTTTATCAGATATATGCTTTGCAAATATTTTTGTCCAGTCTGTGGCTTTTCTTTCCATTCTGTTAGAGTCTTTCAAAGAACAGAAGTTTTTAATTTTGTCCAATTTATCAATTTGTTGTTTTATAGATTGTGCTTTTAGTATTGTATATAAGAAATTTTTGCCTAACTCAAGGTCACAAAGGTTTTATCCTGGTTTTTTTCTTGTTTTCTTTTTGTTTGTTTGTTTGTTTTGTTTTTTGAGACGGAGTCTTGCACTGTTGCCCGGGCTGGAGTGCAGTGGCATGATCTTGGCTTACTGCAACCTCTGCCTCCTGGGGTCAAGCGATTCCTCCTGTCTCAGCCTACCAAGTAGCTGGGATTACAGGCACATGCCGCCACACCCGGCTAATTTTTTTATTTTTATTTTTTTTTTATTTTTTATTTTTAGTAAAGACAGGGTTTCACTATGTTGGCCAGGCTAGTCTCAAACTCCTGACCTTGTGATCCACCTGCCTCGGCCTCCCAAAGCACTGGGATTACAGGCATGAGCCACTGCACCCGGCCTATCCTGTTTTTTTTTTCTGGAAGTCTTCCAGTTTCAAGTTTACATTTAGGTCTGTGATTTATTCTGAGTTAATTTTTACATATGATGCTATCATGGCTCCATGTTAATTTTTGTGAATATAAATATCCAAGTATTCCAACACTGCTCTCCACTGACTTGTTTTTGCATATCTATTGAAAGTCATTTTTCTTCTTCTTCTTCTCCTCCTTCTTTTTCTTCTTCTTCTTCTTTTTTTTTTTTTTTTTGCCCAGGCTGGAGTGCAGTGGCGTGATCTTGGCTTGCTGCAACTTCTGCTTCCCGGGTTCAAGCAATTCTCCCACCTCAGCCTCCCGAGTGGCTTGGATTACAGGTGTGCGCCACCACACCTGGCTAATTTTTGTATTTTTAGTAGAGATGGGGTTTCACCATGTTGGCCAGGTGGTCTTGAACTCCTGACTTCAGGCGATCTGCCTGCCTCAGCCTCCCAATATGCTGGAATTACAAGCATAAGCCACTGCACCAGCCTTTTCTTCTTATTTGAAGTTATTTTGCCTCTTCTAGTTCCTTTGCATTTCCGTATGTATTTTAGAATCAGTTTGTCAATTTCTACCCCAAAACAAAAAGCCTTCCAATTTGGAACTGTGTTGAATCTATACAACGGTTTTGGAAGAACTGACATCATAACAATATTGAGTTTTCTCACCGAGGAAGAGGGTATATACGTCCATTGAAATACCTTAGAAATGTTTTTTAGTTTTCAATGTACATCTTTCACATCTGCTGCCAGATGTATTTCTAAGTATTTCATGGTTTTATGGCTATTTTAAGTGATGTTGCTTTCATTTCCATTTTTGATTGCTAGTATATAGAAACAATAGATTTTTGTATATTGATCTTGTATCCTACAATCTTGGCTAAACTCACTTACTAGTGCTAATATAGTTTTTATATATTTCATTGGATTTTCTACATAGATGATCATGTTTTCTGTGAACAAAGGCAGTTTTACTTCTTTCTTTACCTTTTCTTTACCCTTCTAGGACTCCAAATGCTTGTATGTATGACTGCTTGGTACTTTTTTCAGGTTGTTAAAGTTCCATTAATTTCTGTTACAATCTTCTTTCTTTTTCTTTCTTTGCTCTGTTTGGATAATTTATATTGACCTGCTTTCAAGTTTACTGATTCTCCTGATGTGTCCAGTCTGCTACTAATTTCATCCAGTGACTTTTTTATTTCAGATATTTCATTTTTCAGTTCTGGCATTTCTATGTGGTTCTATTTTACAGTTTCAAATCCCTCCTCAAATAACTGCCTCTTCACCCATTGTATCTGTCTCGTTCTGAAACTTATCATGAAGTCCTTGTGTGCACGTTCTAATATGTAGGTCATCTGTGGGTCTATTTGTATGGACTGATTTTTCTCTTAACTATGAGTTCTGTTCTCTTTTCTTTTTTGCATGTTTTATAAGTTTATTTGCCAATTACTGTGTCTTAAAAAAAAACAGTAAAGGTTGAAGTACATTTAAAAATATATATATGTGTATTTTTTCTACTGCCACTCTTAAGAGGAAGGAATGCCCTTTCTTCTGTTGAACATATAGAGTTAGGGACTGATCAGTTTGATCCATTCAAGAGTTAAGCTGGTTTGGGACACGGTTGCAACTTTAATCCCTCTACCTCCCTCTTGTGTCTCTGCCTTTGTCTGTCTCTTTCTCTCTCTTTCTCTGTTCCTGGCTGCTCCCTCTTCCCGTTCCCTTGTACACTCCTTTCAGCTAATCTATTTCCCCCTACCCCATCTCCCTCAAACTGGAAGCTTCTGGCAGAGGAGAAGGCAGCTGTACTTCGGGCAGTGGAGGAACGTGAGCGGGCCGAGGCAGAGGGCCGGGAGCGTGAGGCTCGGGCCCTGTCACTGACACGGGCACTGGAGGAGGAGCAGGAGGCACGTGAGGAGCTGGAGCGGCAGAACCGGGCCCTGCGGGCTGAGCTGGAGGCACTGCTGAGCAGCAAGGATGACGTCGGCAAGAGCGTGAGCAGGGCCCCCGCTCCCCGGGACACACTGGGTGAGGGGAGACACGTACATGCATGTATGCTTTCACACATAGAACATGAAAAACAACCAGCCATCAAAGTCATATGTTCATGCACAAAGAGAACAAGAGGGCTGGGCATGGTGGCTCACTCCTATAATCCCAGCACTCCAGCACTTTGGGAGGCCAAGGTGGGCGGATCACCTGAGGTCAGGAGCTCAAGACCAGCCTGGCCAATGTGGTGAAACCCTGTCTCTACTAAAAATACAAAAATTAGCCAGGCATGGTGGCACATGCCTGTAACCCCAGCTACTTGGGAGGCTGAAGCAGGAGAATCGCTTGAATTCAGGAGGGAGAGGTTTCAGTGAGCCGAGATCATTCCACTGCACTCCAGCCTGGGTGACAGAGCGAGACTGTCTCAAAAAAAAAAGAGAACAAGAGGGGGACTGTTCAGCAAACATTTGCATCCATATAGACACACACAGCGTGAAGAGAATCTCCACCAAACACTGTGCTAATGCACACGCATAGAAAGTAAGGAGAGCCATTCACCAGAGGCAGGTCTTCATGTAGACATTCACAGAACGTGAGGAGAATCTTCCATCCAGCACATGTGTTCACACACAGAATACAAGAGCTGCTCACAAAGCACACATGCTCACATTTGTGTACACGGGATGTAAGGAGAATCTTCTATTACTTGTTTTTGTTTGTTTTTTGTTTTGTTTTATTTTTGAGATAGGGTCTTGCTCTGTTGCCCAGGCTGGAGGGCAGTGGTGCAATCATGGCACATTGCAACCTCAGTCTCCTAGGCTCAAGCAGTCCTCCTGCCTCAGTCTCCCGAGTAGCAGAGACTACAGGTGCATTCCACCATACCTGGCTGTTTTTTAAATTTTTTGTGGAGATGGGGTCTTGCTGTGTTGCCCAGGCTGGTCCTGAACTCCTAGGCTCAAACAATCCTCCCACTTCAGCCTCCCTAAGCATTGGGATTACAGGCATGAGCCACTGCACCTTGCTGAGAATTTTCCATTAAATACACATATTCATGTGCATATGTACACATACAGCATGAGAAAACTACTCACCACACATATGTATGGATGCTCAGAGAGAGAACACGAAGAGAATTTACTACAACACACAGCCTGAGAACCACTCCCCCGACATGACTAGGTGCATGCATACATACATAACACACATACACACACACACACACACAGTGTGAGGACTCCCACTTTGCCTGCCACCAATTCCACTGAGCACACACAGACTCTCCCACCAAGCCTCTGTCTTCCCTTAACTCGTGTATCCCTCCAGGGCCTGTAGGGTGGTGCCCCAAGGCTTCTCGCAGGCTCCCCTCACCCAGCCAGTGTCCCAGCCTTCCGAATGGTCAAAATGACCCGCCACATCCTCCACTCCATCCTTCCTTCATTCATCCTCTGAATACATTTATGGATCACACCCAGGGACACAGGCCACCCTCACTAATGATGGGAGGCACTGGCAGAATTTGTTGAGCTCCTGAATAGATGCTGTCTTGACATCCTTATTTCTTTATTTTCCCAACAACGTGCTTCTAGGAGTCCAATGGGTGAGGGCTTTATCTTCTCCACGCACTTAGACGTTGATCCGATTTTGCTTTTAGCCAGGCCTGGAGAGAACCCCTCTCTCCCTGACACAGACCTGGCCTGCAGCCCTAGGGATAATTGAGCTAAAACCCAGCTCATACTTGAGCCGTTAAGGTCCGTCCCTTGGGAAAAATGTCAGGTTATTTGTAGTGACTCCAAAGGCCCTTGTGGGAAACAGGATGTTGATGGGAGAAAGTTTGATCCCTTCAAGTAAACAAAATAAATTGGCAAGTACCAAATAGGAAGGGAGGCTAGAGGGCCCATTCCACGGACCGAAAGTAGATACTGTCAGTGACCAGAATTGTAATGAACATCATGTGGGCAGTGGCGATCCACAGACATAGGCCTTGCTCTGTGGAACTCACAGTTCAGTGCGGGAGGCGGGTGTTGCACAAAAAGCCACCTAAGCAAATGTCAAATGACCACTGTGACTAGGGCTAGGTAGGAGAGGGGCCCCAGTGCCAGGAGCATGGGTAGCAGAGAGGCCCTGATGGGTTAAGAGAGGCTTCCTTGAGGAGGTGACAGTTAAGTAAGGAGAGGGGTGAAGGGGGAGTCTCTGAAAATTCATAAGCCCAGCTCTATTTTCACAGCATTTGGGGGTTTAATTCATACCTCCCTGAAAGATCAGGGACCCTCCCAAACAGAAAACCCAATAGAAGTAGATAGTGGGTCGGTGACACCCTGGGGAGTCTGGCAAACACCAGCACTGATGACCCTGGAGCTACGTGCCTTCAACCCATTCGCACAGAATTCCCAAAGATGAATTCCCAGTGAGTGAGCTCACAGTGCAAAATTACAAAACTCAGAGGGAATAATCCACCATGAGTGAGAGTCAGCTGACCTAACAGACGCTTGTATTGGACTCTGAAGGGCTTCAGATAATAGAATTATGAAGCATCAGTTATTCATGAAATACATTTTGGGGTGATGCTGAATGAGACACCTAGGAAGGAGCCGTTCAGCAGATTTTGAATGGATGAATGAACAAACTAGGATGGGCACACTGACTTGCCATCTCCCCATCCTCCATCAAATCTTCCCCTACTCTAGCTAGGCTCCTAACCTCCTCTGCCTCAGTGACCCAGGTACCCAGCAGCTACTCTCCCCACCAGGTGCATGAGCTGGAACGAGCCTGCCGGGTAGCAGAACAGGCAGCCAATGATCTGCGAGCACAGGTGACAGAACTGGAGGATGAGCTGACAGCGGCCGAGGATGCCAAGCTGCGTCTGGAGGTGACTGTGCAGGCTCTCAAGACTCAGCATGAGCGTGACCTGCAGGGCCGTGATGAGGCTGGTGAAGAGAGGCGGAGGCAGCTGGCCAAGCAGGTATTGTCACACAGAAGGCCACAGGGTGCCAGTCCAGCTGGGGTATGCCATGGTGTGTACAGGCAGCAAGAAGGGCAGCAAGGGGTCTCCCCGACCCACCCACCACTCTGTCTCCTCCACCCGCCGACCACTCAGTATCTCCCCAACCCTTCCACTGCTCAGTGTCTCCCCACCCACCTGCCACTCGGTGTCTCCCCACCTGCCTGCCACTCAGTATTTCTGCCAGTCTCTCGTGCCAGCCAAACCATCTTCCTCCCACAAAACCATCTTCCTATTCCCCAACCCATTAACCTGCCATGACCCATTAACCCACACACATATCCTGTTGACCTGTTGCTGTACCCAATCATACATCCTCCATCCACCACACAAACCATTCACCCATCCATCTGCCACCCCATCTATTCAACTACCCTAACCACCCACATACAGCCTCTCCCCCAACCAGCGTTGTGTCCAACTACTGCTCCATCCACCCAGTGACTCCCTTCCAACCCATCTCCTCTCCCCAACCCAACCCCTCCCCTATTTACCCAACCCCAGCCCCTCAGCACCCCCTGCTGACTCCACTTAGTCACTGACTCACTGACCTGCTCATCCGCCCTCCCCTCCATCCACATCCTTCCCCAATCCAGTCAGTCATCGCTCCCTCGCTTCCTTGTTTGTTCCATTGCTCTCTCCCTCCCTGCATCGTTCATTCATTACTCGTTCAGTCCAGGAACTTCCCATGTCTCCCCTCTACTAGGTGGTGAGGGGCAGGGGCAGCTCTGGGTGTCAGAAAGACCCCGCTGGAGCCATGTAGGCAACAGACTTGGGGTGGAGGGTGCTAGAAGCTGGGGAGGCAGGGAAGAGAGGTGAACAGGTGACCTAAGGCCAGGGGTCTCTGCAGGGTTTTGTCTCTGCTAGCCCCTTTGACTTAGACATGGCTGAGTGTCCAAGACTTGGCCCTGGGGGCACTGGGGAACCATGGGAGGGCTATGAGCAGGATCAGCTCTGGAGACGTGTTGGAATGGGCTGGAGGGGAGAGATGAGAGGCTAGAAAGGAGGCTTAGGTGAGATGGGGGACTGAGCTGGGGCAGTAGGGATAGAGAGGAGACCAAGTAAAGAGAGTCAGGGAGTGAGAGGAGCGGGGCTTGCAGCCTGGGCAGGAGCTCCAGGGCAGACATCCATGTCCCTAGCACACAGAGGGAGGCTGGGCTTCCTGTGTCTGACCCGGTCCCTCCTGACCTCCTCTCCAGCTGAGAGATGCAGAGGTGGAGCGGGATGAGGAGCGGAAGCAGCGCACTCTGGCCGTGGCTGCCCGCAAGAAGCTGGAGGGAGAGCTGGAGGAGCTGAAGGCTCAGATGGCCTCTGCCGGCCAGGGCAAGGAGGAGGCGGTGAAGCAGCTTCGCAAGATGCAGGTAAGAGCCGGCGTGAGCTGCAGGGAGGGGAGGCTTTGGTGTCTTCAAGCCCCAACCATCACTCCAGGGTCTAAGGCTAGCTCGGACCCCTCGCTCTCAACCCACAGGCAGCATCCGCATGGGTCAGCACCTTTATAAACATCCATGCCCCAGAGGCTGGCTTCCTTCTTCTTCTATTTTACATTTCTTTCATTTAAAATGCTGCACTTTTAAGTCAAATTTCCTCATTTTTTTGTTTGTTTCTTTGTTTGTTCAGTTGGTTTTTTTTTTTTTGAGACAGTCTCATTCTGTCACCCAGGCTGGAGTGCAGCGACGTGATCTCAGCTCACAGCAACTCTGCCTCCCAGGTTCAAGCAGTTCTCCTGCCTCAGCCTCCTGAGTAGCTGGGATTACAGGCGTGCGCCATAATTTTTGTATTTTTAGTAGAGACAAGGTTTTGCCATGTTGGCCAGGCTGGTCTCGATCTCTTGGCCTCAAGTGATCCACCCGCCCCCATGGTTTTGTTTTTGAAGTGAAAATACCATATGGTTTTTTGGCCAGACACAGTGGCTCACACCTGTAATCCCACCACTTTGGGAGGCCAAGATGGGCAGATCACCTGAGGTCAGGAGTTCAATACCAGCCTGGCCAATATGGTGAAACCCTGTTTCTACTAAAAATACAAGAATTAGCCAGGCATGGTGGCACGCACCTGTGGTCTCAGCTACTCAGGAGGCTGAGGCAGGAGAATTGCTTGAATCCGGGAGGCAGTGGTTGCAGTGAGTTGAGATCCCACCAGTGCACTCCAGCCTGGGTGACAGAGCGAGACTGTCTCAAAAAAGTAAAGATAGAAATAAAATAAATAAATCAACAGTAGGCAAACTGAGGCTCAGAGAGGGGCAGTGGCTGGCTCACAGTCACCCAGCAAGGATATGGCCAAGTTGTAATTCAAACCCATGTCTATCTAACTTGAAGCCAGGCTCCATCAGGCTTCCAGCTGCCTTCTAGTTCTCAGCCAGGTCAACCTCCTCCCTTGAGGACCAGAGTGGGAGAGGCTGGCTCAGGGTCACACAGCAAGTGGCTTTATACACAGGAGCCCAGGTCTGCAGGGTTCGGAGAGTTCCCTGCTTGTTCACGGGAGCTGAGGAGCCCCGTCGGTCTGGCAAGGGGGTGGAGGAGTTCCCTGTGCTGTGTGGCCAGGCTGAGCCCATCTACCTATTCCGTTCCACCCAGGCCCAGATGAAGGAGCTATGGCGGGAGGTGGAGGAGACACGCACCTCCCGGGAGGAGATCTTCTCCCAGAATCGGGAAAGTGAAAAGCGCCTCAAGGGCCTGGAGGCTGAGGTGCTGCGGCTGCAGGAGGTGAGGCTGGGGTAGGCTGGGCCCTGGGACAGGAAGCTGGGAGGTGGGCAAGGCTAACCTTGAGGTCCCTGGATGTGAAGCTGGGGAGGTGGGCGGGGCTAACCACAGGGTCCCTGGATGTGAAGCTGGGGAGGTGGGCGGGGCTAACCACAGGGTCCCTGGATGTGAAGCTGGGGAGGTGGGCGGGGCTAACCACAGGGTCCCAGGGTGTAAGGCTCGGGAGGTGGGTGTGTCTTACCATGTGGCCTGCAATGCCAGCCTAAGAGCAGGGATTTTGTCTTAGGGCACTAGGGAGCCATGGAAAGATCCAGAACAGAGGATGGGCAGGGTCAGCTCTGTAGCAGTTGAACTGGAGTGGGGAGATTGGAGTCACAAAGGCTGTGGGAGTGGGAGTGGGAGAGGGGAGAGAGAGAGAGATTGAGAAAGAGAGAGAGAACCCTGAGCCAGGGCCAAGGGGATGCAGAGGACGGAGAAGGCAGTCAGAAGGCAGGAGGGAGAAGGCTATGGTGAGGGGGGCCGGAGGAGGGGAGGAGAGCACTGGGGGTCTGGCCCGGTGATTGGGGGACCCTGGAGGAGAGGCAGGTTTGAGAGGAGGACCTGTGTGCAGTAAAAGGTGGAGAGGGTGAGGGGCCTGGGGGTTGGGCTGCAAGAGGTGAGCACAGGTCAGGGGCTCAGGAGACAGATTTAGGAGACATCTGTAGGTTGCAGCTCATTCCAGGGTTACCCAGGGACAGCATGAGAAAAAAGCCAAGAGCCTTGAGGTGTGAGGGACAGAGAAAGGGGTGAGACCCGTGCCCAGATTGCTTCTCCTCACACCCACCGGCCACCCCTCCATCATCACAGGAACTGGCCGCCTCGGACCGTGCTCGGCGGCAGGCCCAGCAGGACCGGGATGAGATGGCAGATGAGGTGGCCAATGGTAACCTTAGCAAGTAAGTGCCCCAAGGGTCTGAAGGCTGAGGTACTGCGTCTGCAGGAGGTGAAGCTGGGGTAGGCTGGAGGTGGCTGGGCTCTGGGACAGGAAACTGGGAGGTGGGCGGGGTTAACCTCGGGGCCCCTGGGGTGTGAGGCTGGGGAGATGCGTGGGGCTAACCACAGGGTCCTGTAGTGTGAGGCAAGGCACCCTCCTCTGACCATCCTGTCCTTTCATCCCCACGCCTTCCTGTCTCCCTAGGGCAGCCATTCTGGAGGAGAAGCGTCAGCTGGAGGGGCGCCTGGGGCAGTTGGAGGAAGAGCTGGAGGAGGAGCAGAGCAACTCGGAGCTGCTCAATGACCGCTACCGCAAGCTGCTCCTGCAGGTGAGCGTGATTGACCGCCCCCACCAGCCTCAGTCCCCATTGACCTGGGACCGTAACCTTCAGTCCTCTTATTCAACAAATATAGAAAGGGGATATTTGAGTTGGGTTTTGAAGGTTGAATAGGAGTTCTTAAAAGGGTTGAAAGGCATGATTCACTTGTATTTCTGAGGGGTTTCTTCAGGGCTAAATCCAAAGATGAATTATGTGGGGAAACAGACATGGGCCAGCAAGTGTGATCATGGAAGTCTCCTGGGCCCAGTAGAGAGAGAGAAAAGACTTTCTGCAGGAGTCATAAGAAAACATTTGGAAAAAGAGACATTTGGCTGGGGGTTTTAAAGCATAAGTTGGAGTTCAGCAGAGGGAGAAAAGCATGTTTTCCTTTGCATATTTATTTATAAATATTTTCTGAGGATTCCGGTGGCCCAGATCCTATTCCGGGTTATGCTGGGGACCTGGAGATGGTTAATACTAAGCCTCTGCCCTCAAACACGTCTTAGTCTAAAGGAGGAAATAGACCATCCCAATACAGAGATACAAGTGAAAATGGAGGAAACACGGGCACTGTGGGAACCTAGAAGGGACTACCAACCTAGCCTGGAGGATAGAGGCCATCAGAGAAGGCTTCCTGGTGGAGGTGATGCCTTGAGAGATCTTAAAGGAAGTGTAAGAGTTTGCCAAGAAGACAACAGAGTGATGGGATTTCCAAGGACAAACCAATGTCTGCATTCTTCATTAGTTTTTTTCTAATTTTTTTTTTTTTTTTTTGAGGTGGAGTCTCCCTCTGTTGCCCAAGCTGGAGTGCAGTGGTGCTATCTCGGCTCACTGCAACCTCTGCCTCCCAGGTTCAAGCGATTCTCCTGATTCTCCAATTTTCTCTACAAAATATTTAAAAATTAGCCAGGTGCAGTGGTGCATGCCTGTAGTCCAACTACCTGGGAGGCTGAGGAGGGAGGATCGCTTCAGCCTGGGAGATTGAGGCTGCAGTGAGCTATGATTGTGTCACTGCACTCCAGCCTGGGTGACTGGATGACAGAGTGAGACCCTGTCTCAAAAAAAAAAGGTAATAATTATATGCTCAACAGTTATGTGTAGTAAGACTACTTTTTAAATGGAGAGAATGGGGAAAATATGCAAAATGTTTTAACCTACTTTAATTGATGGTGATAGTATTAGCACTGTTTTTCTGAGACATTGAGTTTATAATGTGGGATAAAGTAAATGATCAAAGATGGGATACTATGTCATCTACTACGTCCTTGACATCAGGGTACTCAGCACCAAAGAACCTTGATATAGTTGTCCTAGAGAAGAGATTAAGTTTTTTTTTTTTTTTTTTTTTAAAAACAGGCCAGGTGTGGCCGGGCGCGGTGGCTCACGCCTGTAATCCCAGAACTTTGGGAGGCCGAGGCGGGCAGATCACGAGGTCAGGAGATCAAGACCATCCTGGCTAACACAGTGAAACCCCGTCTCTACTAAAAATACAAAAAATTAGCCGGGCATGGTGGCATGTACCTGTAGTCCCAGCTACTCGGGAGGCTGAGGCAGGAGAATGGCATGAACCCGGGAGGCAGAGCTTGCAGTAAGCCGAGATCGCACCACTGCACTCCAGCCTGGGCGACAGAGCAAGACTCCATCTCAAAACAAAAAACAAAAAAACAAAACAAAAAAAACAGGCCAGGTATGGTGGCTCATGCCTGTAATCTCAGCACTTTGGGAGGCCAAGGTGGAAGGATCGCTTGAGCCCAGGTGTTTGAGACCAGCCTGGGCAACACAGTGAGACCCCATCTCTACAAAAAATATATGTGAAATAAAAAGAGAAAAGAAATTACGTTTAGTGGGGCGCAGTGGGTCACGCCTGGAATCCCAGCACTTTTGGTGGATTGCTTTTAGCGTAGGAGCTCCAGACCAGCTTGGATGACATGGCAAAACTCCATCCCTACACAAAATTGAAAAATTAGCTGGGTGTGGTGGTGCACACCTATAGTCCCAGCTACCCAGGAGGCTGAGTTGGGAGGATCACCTGAGCCCAGGGAGGTCGAAGCTGCAGTGAGCCATGATTGCACCACTGCACTCCAGCCTGGGCAACATAGTGAGACCCTGTCTCAAAAAGAAAAGTGATAAATTATGTTTAAAAAATAGTTTAAGCCAGGCGCAGTGGCTCATGCCTATAATCCTAGCACTTTGGGAGGCTGAGGCGGGTAGATCATGAGGTCAGGAGTTCAAGACCAGCCTGGCCAACATGGTGAAACCCCGTCTCTACTAAAAATACAAAAACTAGCCAGGCGTGATGGCGGGCACCTGTAGTCCAGCTACTCGGGAGGCTGGGGCAGAGAATTGCTTGAACCCAGGAGGCGGAGGTTGCAGTGATCTGAGATCGTGCCACTACACTCCAGCCTGGGTGACAGAGCGAGACTTTGTCTCAAAAAAAAAAAAAAAGTTTAAAAACAAAACTAAGCAAACCCCTGTAGTTCTCAATTTGACTTCATCATATTCACGTGAACTGGTGATGTATTTTATACAGATCCAGTCTCTCTGACCACCCAAAAGGCCTAGAAACAGGGAACCCAGTAGCAATGAGTATCCCTATATCCACGTTGTGATCTGGAAATGCTGTTTCCCTCTAAAAGAAACTGGGGCTGGCTGGGCGCAGTGGCTCACACCTGTAATCCTAGCTCCTTGGAAGGCTAAGGCAGGAGGATTGCTTGAGCCCAGGAGTTTGAGACCAGCCTGAGCAACCCAGTAAGACCCCGTCTCTACAAAAAAAAAAATTAGCCAGGTGCGATGGCGGGCACGCCTGCGGCCCCAGCTACTCTGAGGGCTGAGGTAGGAGGATTGCCTGGATCCGGGAAGCAGAGGTTGTAGTGAGCCAGAATTGTGCCACTCCACTCCAGCCTGGGCAACAGAGTGAGACCCTGTCTCAAAAAAAAGAAAAAGAAAAGAAGAGAAATGAAACTGGAGCTTCTTCCGAAGTGGCTGATTCCAGATCTGGAGCAGGCAATGAACAAGAGTAACCCAGAACATTTTGCGATACCCATTAGCAGGAAAGATAGTATAGTTATGTCAAGAGCACGTAGAAGTCAACGTGAAGAGCCTCGCGCTGGCCCAAAGTGGGGCAAGTTGAGCTTCAATGAGGAAAATAATTGCAACTGATTTAATCCCTTGAAATCTGTTTAAATTCAACAGCAACGTTTTAAAAAAATATTAATTAGTTGCTGTGTTAGTTCCCTAGGGCCACCATAATGAATTACCACAAACACAGTAGCTTAAAGCAACAGGAATGTATTCTCTCTGTTTTTTTTTGTTTGTTTGTTTGTTTGAGATGGAGTCTCGCTCTGTCACCCAGACTGGAGTGCCGTGGTGTGATCTTGGCTCACTGCAACCTCTGCCTCCCGGATTCAAGTGATTCTCCTGCCTCAGCCTCCCAAGTAGCTGGGACTACAAGCATGCACCACCATGCCTGGCTAATATTTGTATTTTTAATAGGGAGGGGGTTTCACCATGTTGGCCAGGCTGCTCTCAAACTCCTGACCTCGTGATCCGCCCGCCTCGGCCTCCCAAAGTGCTGGGATTACAGACGTGAGCCACCGCGCCCGGCCAGGAATGTATTCTCTCGTGGTCCTGGAGGCCAGAGGTCTGAAATCAAGGTGTGGGCAGGGTTGGTTCCTCTTGTTCATGCCTCTCCCCTGGCTTCCCGTGGGTGCTGGCAGTCCCTGCTGTTTCTTCATCTGTAGATGTGTCATTGCAATCTCTGCCTTTAACTTTACAAGGCATTTTCCCATCTTTGTGGCTCTGTCTCATCTCCTCTTTTTTTTTTTTTTTTTTTTTTTGAGACAGAGTCTCGCTCTTGTCGCCTAGGCTGGAGTGCAATGGGCTGATCTTAGCTCACTGCAACCTTCACCTCCCGGGTTCAAGCGATTCTCCTGCCTCAACCTCCCGAGTAGCTGGATTACAGGCGCCCACCACCACATCTGGCTAATTTTTTTTGTATTTTTAGTAGTGATGGCATTTCACCATGTTGGCCAGGCTGGTCTCGAACTCCTGATGTCAGGTGATCCGCTGCCTCAGCCTCCCAAATTGCTGGGATTACAGGTGTGAGCCACCATTGCCTGGCCCTCATCTCCTCTTAAAAGGACACCAGCCGTATCAGATTTGAGGCCCACCCTAATCCAGTGTGACCTCGCGTTAATCAATTACAACTGCAAAGATCCTATTTCCAACTAAGGTCACATTCCGAGGTTCTGAGTGGACATGAATTTTGCGTGGGAGTCTATTCACCCCATGGGTGCATGGGGAGGGCATGGGGGAGGGGCATGGAGCTTCCGTGCCCTCCTGGGAGCGCCACCCTCCAGGTACTGCACATGTTCAGCTTCCAGAAGCTGCCCAAACCCTGTCCTCTTGGGCCTTTTATGGAGACGTCACTGGATAGGTGTGATTAACAACCACGTAGAAATGTGATTGGACAAAAAGGGTCCGATCTAAACCCAGCGAGGCCTGTCTGTTCAGATTCTTCCTGGCTTCTCTATGCAGCATTCCTTCCCCCTCTGAAATGAGGGTCCTGTGATCCACAGTCAGGTTAGAGTTTCTGCCTTGTGCAGGTGAAAGAGGGGGCAGGAGGAGGTTAGAGAGAGAGGTTCTGTTTACTCTAAAAGGGCTATGCAAATTATGATCAAGGAACCATGGACAAAACCCAACACACACACAAACACACACACATACACACACACACACATGCACACATGAAGTATATACGCAAAGCAATATCACAGGTACAAATTCCCTTGAAAATTCACAAATAAGGCCAAGCGCGGTGGCTCACACCTGTAATCCCAGCACTCTGGGAGGCCGAGGCTGGCAGGAGTTCAAGATCAGCCTGACCAATATGGTGAACCCCTGTCTCTACTAAAAATACAAAAATTAGCCAGGCGTGGTGGCGGGTGCCTGTAGTCCCAGCTACTCAGCAGGGTGAGGCAGAAGAATAGCTTGAACCCAGGAGGCAGAGGTTACAGTGAGCCGAGATCGAGCCACTGCACTCCAGCCTAGGCAACAGAGCGAGACTCCATCTAAAAAAAAAAAAAAGAAAAGAAAAAAGAAAATTCACAAATAAGACAGAAAGATCGGGTGCAGTGGCTCATGCCTGTAATCCCAGCACTTTGGGAAGCTGAAGCAGGTAGATTGCTTGAGACCAAGAGTTCAAGACCAGCCAGGACAACAAAGTGAGACCCTGTCCCTACCAAAAACAACAACAACAACAAAACTATCAGGGCATGATGGTGTGCACCTGTAGTTCCAGCTAGTCAGGAGGCTGAGGCCGGAGAATCGCTTGAGCCCAGGAGTTTGATGCTGCAGTGAGCTATGATTGTGCCACTGCACTCCAGTTTGGACAAGAGTGAGACCCTGTCTCCAGAAAACAAAAAACAAAAAAGAAAGAAAGAAAGAAAGAATAAAGTCCCTGGACACAGCTGCCAATTTCCAGGAAACACAGAGGAGAGACAAATAAATGCTGAATTAGACCGTAAGTGTGTGATCAGAAAAATCCAGACAGAGAGGAACTCTACAAGGCTAACAACCTACATTCTTCAACAGATAAATTGTAAGAAATAGGCTGGGGGCAGTGGCTCACATCTGTGATTCCAGCACTTTGGGAGGCCGAGGCGGGCAGATCACCTGAGGTCAGGAGTTTGAGACCAGCCTGCCCAACATGGAGAAATCCCATCTCTACAAAAAAATACAAAAATGAGCCGGACGTGGTGGTGTGTGCCTGTAGTCCCACATACTTGGGAGGCTGAGGCCGGAGAATCACTTGATCCTGGGAGGCAGAGGTTGCAGTGAGCTGAGATTGCACCACTGCACTCCAGCCTTGGTGACAGAGCAAGACTCCATCTCAAAAAAAAAAAAAAAAAAAAAAAAATTTTAAAGGAATAAAAGGGATGGAGGAGGGAACTGCAGGTTAAAAGAGACTTAAAAGACATATATCTGGCCGGGCGTGATGGCTCACGCCTATAATCCTAGCAGTTTGGGAGACCGAGGTGGGTGGATCACTTGAGGTCAGGAGTTTGAGACCAGCCTGGCCAACATGGTAAAACCCCATCTCTACTAAAAATACAAAAATTAGCCAGGTGTGGTGGTGCGTGCCTGTAATCCCAGCTACTCAGGAGGCTGAGGCAAGAAAATCGCTTGACCCCGGGAGGCAGAGATTGCAGTGAGCCGAGATCGTGCCACTACACTCCAGCCTGGGTGACAGAGTGAGACTGTGTCTCAAAACAAACAAAAACAAACAAACAACAACAACAACAAACCCACATACATCTACTTTTTTAAATGGGTAGGATTCAACTATAGGATCTAGGGATGCATCTGTGTGTAATAAAACTAAAGACATACAAGGAAATGAGGACCTGAGAAGTCAGGATAACATGATATTTTGGGGAGAAGGAAGAGGTTTTCATTAGGAGTAGTGCATGAAAGGGCTTCTGGAAGGGCAAAGTTCTCTTTCTTGACCAAGGTGCTACTGACAGTGATGTCTGCCTTTTGTTAACTCATGATGCCTGTGCGGGATGACACCCACACACATCCATGTTCAGAGACAGGAAGCAGCAGGGTCATGGGGCTGAAACGGTTCTCATCTCCAGCTGCTGGAATAATCAGGAACACTCCCATAATGTTCTTGGTTGAGAATTACTGTGCTAATAAAACTAGCAGAATATTTATTACTGATTTTTTTTATTTGATTAATGTTTGGCTCTCTGTATCACCATTTTATTTCACAATAAAAAGTTTGAGGCCGGGCGTGGTGGCTCACACCTGTAATCCCAGCACTTTGGGAGGCTGAGGTGGGTGGATCACTTGAGGTCAGGAGTTCGAGACCAGCCTGACCAACATGGAGAAACCCCATCTCTACAAAAAATACAAAAATTAGCCAGTTGTGGTGGCAGGCACCTGTAATTCCAGCTACTCAAGAGGCTGAGGCAGGAGAATCGCTTGAACCTGGGAGGCAGAGGTTGCAGTGAGCTGAGATCGTGCCACTGCACTCCAGCCTGGGCGACAGAGCAAGACATGGTTTCTAAATAAATAATAAAATAAAATAAAATTAGCAGGGGTGATGGTGTACGCCTGTGATCTCATCTACTCAGGAGGCTGAAGTGGGAGGATCACTTAAGCTTGGGAGTTTGAGGCTGCAGTGAGCTGGGATTTCACCAGCTGGGCAACGGCTGTGCTCCAGCCTGGGCAACAGAACAAAACTGTCTCAAAAAAAGTTTTTTAAGTTAAAAAAAAAAAACCCCACAAAGGAGAATATGCTAATTACCCAGTCATTGTGTCCCTGCGAGGGTAAAATAAAGTATGAATCAGACTGGGTCTGACTCACTTCCATGTACCCAGCAGAAGGCCTCGCTCAGAGTACGAGCTGAATAAATAAACGGGAACTATTATTAGGGGTGTGTTTACACATTTTCCACGTAGCAGCTACTGTTTATTGAGGCCGTGTTTCTCAAAATGCTCCTGCATATAACACCTGAGATGCCCGTTATAAGTGCAGATTCCCAGACTCCACTTTGGTATTGCTGAGTCAGAATCTCTGAAGGGTGAGACCCAGATGTCTGCATTTTTTTCCCAAGCTCCCCCAGATGATCCTGGTGCAAACAAAAGTGTGATAACCCTTAGAATGGACTCATTCACAGTCAGAAGTAGAATTTATGACATTTAAACAAGTTTGTGATGGTCTCGTGGACTTATTAAAGTAAGCAGAAAACTATCCAAAATGTTAAGACCCAGGGCTGGCAGTGCTGTGGGTGACAAGTCAATAAACTATTAATAAAAATACAAGCTAACATCTGTTGAGTATTTAGTATGTTTCAGGCTCTGTGCTATGCGTGTGACAATCATCAGTGCACTTAATTCTCAGAGGTGCCTGGATTTACCTACCACCTTCCCTCTGAGACTCCACCATGACATCCTTCCTTCCCCTCCTGCTACAGGTAGAGTCACTGACCACAGAGCTGTCAGCTGAGCGCAGTTTCTCAGCCAAGGCAGAGAGCGGGCGGCAGCAGCTGGAACGGCAGATCCAGGAGCTACGGGGACGCCTGGGTGAGGAGGATGCTGGGGCCCGTGCCCGCCACAAGATGACCATTGCTGCCCTTGAGTCTAAGTTGGCCCAGGCTGAGGAGCAGCTAGAGCAAGAGACCAGGTAGGTGAGAGCGGAGGCCACAGGAGAAAGGTGACCTCCACATTCTGGTTGGTGAGAGGAAGGAGGCTGTGTTACAAACACGTGGTTTAGAAACATCCAAAAGACATCATCATAGTAATGACTGCTGGCCTGGCATGGTGGCTCACGCCTGTAATCCCAGCACTTTGGGAGGCAGAAGCGGGAGGATCCCTTGAGGCCAGGAGTTTTCAGACCAGTCTGGGCAACATAGCAAGACCTCATCTCTAAAAAAAAAAAAAAAAAAAAAAAAGCCAGGTGTGTTAGCGTGTGCCTGTAGTCCCAGCTGCTCAAGAGCCTGAGATAAGAAGATAGCTTAAGCCCAGGAGTTTGAGGCTGCAGTGAGCTGTGATCACAACACTGCACTCCAGCCTGAGTAACAGTGGAAGACCTTGTCTCTAAAAAAAAAAAAAACAGCCAGGCACAGTGGCTCACACCTGTAATCCCAGCACTTTGGGAGGCCAAGGCGGGCAGATCATTTGAAGGCAGGAGTTTGAGACCAGCCTAGCCAACATGGTGAAACCCCATCTCTACCAAAAAACACCAAAATTAGCTGGGTGTGGTGGCTCATGCCTGTAGTCCCAGTTACTGGGGAGGCTGAGGCAGGAGTATTGCTTGAACTCAGGAGATAGAGGTTGCAGTGAGCCGAGATTGCGCCACTGCCCTCCAGCCTGGGTGACAGAGCCAGACTCCATTTAAAAAAAAAAAAGAAAGAAAAAAAGAAAAGAAAAAGATGCCAGGCACGGTGGCTCACGCCTGTAATCCCAGCACTTTGGGAGGCTGAGGCGGGCAGATCACCTGAGGTCGGGAGTTCGAGACCAGCCTGACCAACATGGAGAAACTGCGTCTCTACTAAAAATACAAAAAATTAGCCGGGCGTGGTGGCACGTGCCTGTAATCCCAGCTACTCGGGAGGCTGAGGCAGGAGAATCGCTTGAACCCAGGAGGCGGAGGTTGTGGTGAGCCAAGATCACGCCATTGCACTCCAGCTTAGCAACAAGAGTGAAACTCCGCCTCAAAAAGAAAAAAAAAGAAAAAGAAAAAGAAAAAACAAACAAAGTGTGTAAATATATGTAAATATTTAAATGATTGCTGATTTTCTGTATCATTTAGGATGCTTTGGGCTGCAAGTAACTGCAGTCTCACTACGAGTATTATTTACGTAATAACGTGCCAGTTAGTTATAGCTGAATTACAAACTACTCTGAAACTTAGTGGCTTAAAACAACAACCATTTATTATTGCTTATGAGTCTTTGGCTAGTAAGTTCTGCTCATTTGGGCTTGGTGGGCTTCACTCATCATCCGCTCAGTTGAGGGTCAGCTAGATGGATTTGCTAATCTTGGCTGGGCTTTCATTTTTTTTTTCTTTTTTCTTTTCAAGAACAGCATGAGTGGTATTGGCTGGGCTTGCATAACTCTTAAGGCTTTGCCTAGGACAACTAAGCTAACTTGTCTCTGCTCTATGTGGCCTCTCATCCTCCAGGAGGCTAGCCCAGGATTGTTCATATGACAGAGTCAAGGTTCTAAGAGCAAGGGAAAGTGCTAAAGACTCCTTGAGGCCTGCACTTGGAACTGGTACTGTGTCACTTCTGCCATATCCTATTAACCAAAGCAAGTCACTCAGCCCGCTCAGATTCAAAGGAATGGGGAAATAGATATGACTGTTTGATAGGAGCAACTGCAAAGTCATATTGCCAAGGGTATGGATACAGAAAGGGGTGAGAACTGGGACCATCTGTTGTATCAGTCTAGCACAAAGAGGAATGTCTTTTTTTCAAGTGATAAGAAGTCTAGAGCTAGGCAGCCAAAAGATGGTAGGGCTCTGGATCAACATCTGTGTTGTTTTTTAGTCTTTTCCTCATGGTCATAAAATGGCTGCAATTGCACCAAGAACCATACCCACAGACATCCATGTTCAGAGACAGGAAGCAGCAGTAGTATGGGGCTGAAAGAGTTTCCATCTCCAGTTGCTGGAATGACCAAGAATGCCCCCATAACATTCCTAGTTGAGAACTGCTGTGCTAATAAAATGAACAGAATATTTATTACTAAGCCTAATACCTTTCACTCTTCCAATACAATAGATTTTCCTATTGCTCAGTACTATTCAGCAACAATAATTACAACAATACTAATAGTTCCTATTTATTGAGGATTTACTATATATCAGGTGTTGGACTACTTGTATATACCTGTATGATACCACATAATCCCTGTGAGAGAAAGACCATTGTTATCCTATTTTGCATGTAGAAAAACTGAGGCTGAGATGGGCTATAAATGTAGGATACTTGACTTGCTATTCATCATCTGCACATTATCTCATGGGGAGGAATGTTATTATATTATACATCAAATTTATATAAGGTTCCCTTTTGTATTCATTCATTCAACAAACAAATATTAAGAGTGTACTGTTGGGGCCAGGCATGGTGGCTCACGCCTGTAATCCCAGCACTTTGGGAGGCCAAGGCGGGCAGATCACTTGAGATCAGGAATTCAAGACCAACCTAGCCAACCTGATGAAACCCCGTCTCTACCAAAAATACAAAAATTAGCCGGGAGTAGTAATGGACACCTGTAATCCCAGCTACTCAGGAGGCTGAGGTAGGAGAATCACTTGAACCTGGGAAGTGGAGGTTGCAGTGAGCCGAGATCACACCACTGCACTCTAGCCTGGGCAACAGAGCAAGACTCCGACTCCAAAAAAAGAGGAGTGTACTGTTTACCTTCCCATGTGCTGGTCACTGAAAAAATTAGACGTACCATGGAAGTATGTCTAATTACCTCCATGGTATGTCTAATACCATGTCTGGTGGGATTCCCCAAGGTGAAAGACTCATGAGCTGGACATGGCAATGAAGGCCTATGAACTAGAAGGGTTGAAGGGACACAGATGAAGAAGAAGCTGGAATACCCTGAGATGTAGTGGTTTGGGAAGGGTATCTAGAGGAGGAGGCACTTGAGCTGGAGCTGACAAGAATGGGATTTCCAGGGCTTAGAGTCCCAAGTCAGTTGGCAGCTTTGTGGGAAAGTCTGGGAGACATCAGGGCATTTGGAGGAGGAGTGTGGTTGGTTCTGAGAGTCTGGGACCCAGGAGAGGGATCAGGGAGACAGGGAGGTAAATGAGGCTTGAAGCACACAGAGCCTTGAATACTGGGCCACGGAACTCTGTTCTGTGGGCAGTGGGGAGCCCTGGGGGCAATGGGGAGCCATGGGAAGGCTGTGGGCTGGGGAGGGACACGGCCAGCTCTAGGTATAGAAAGATCTCTCTGGGGCTAAGGTGGGAATGGATCAGAGGAGGGAGACTGGAAGCTGGGAGGTTTGGAAGGAGTCTGGAATGATGGTCCAAGCAGAACAAGATGAGGCCTGAGCTGGGGCTGGGGCTGTGAAGATGAACAAGAGAGGATGAAGAAGAGAAAGCAGGGGGCAGAAGGAATGAAGCGGAGGCTATGGGTGGTGGCAGGGGAAGAAGACACTGTTTGGAGCTAAGGCCTGGTGACTGAGGGAATATTGGCTTTTTGGAGGAAGATGCTAAATTCGTTGTGGAACTTGATGAGAGTGAAAGGCCTCAGGGACAGGCAGAAGGAAACGGCCCCAGAGGTGCATGAGACAAGTGGTTCTCAGTCCACAGGGTCACCCAGGGGCCCCAGGGCTTATGGGAACTGTAGCTTGAGGTCTATGGGGACCCCTGCTCCATTATACAAATGAGGAAACTGAGGTTCCGAGGGAGTAGATGAGTTGCTTAAAGTCACCCTGCACCAGGTGCAGTGGCTCATGCCTGTAATCCCCACACTTTGGGAGGCTGAGGCAGGAGGATCACTTGAACCCAGGAGTTCAAGACCAGCCTGGGCAACATGGCGAGACCCCATCTCTACAAAAATAAAAATTAAAAATTAGCCCAGCATGATGGCACACACCTGTAGTCCTAGCTACTCGGGACACTGAGGTGGGAGGATCGCTTGAGCCCAGGACATTGAGGCTGCAGTGAGCCATGATCACACCATTGCACTCCTGTCTGGGCAACAGAGCAAGGCCCTTTCTCAGAAGAATAATAAAGTCACCCTGGGAGCAAAGAATGACCAGATGATTCTTAGCTGAAGAAGTCTCAGCCGGGCGCAGTGGCTCACGCCTGTAATCCCAGCACTTTGGGAGGCCGAGGCGGGCGGATCATCTGAGGTTGGGAGTTCGAGACCAGCCTGACCAACATGGAGAAACCCTGTCTCTACTAAAAATACAAAATTAGCCAGGTGTGGTGGCACATGCCTGTAATCCCAGCTGCTCGGGAGGCTGAGGCAGGAACAATTGCTTGAACCCAGGATGCAGAGGTTGCGGTGAGCTGGAGATCGTGCCTTTGCACTCCAGCCTGGGCAACAAGAGTGAAACTCTGTCTCAAAAAAAAAGAAGTCTCTCTCCTTCATCCTTTTCCACTGCTTAGTGCCTTCCCACTCGCCCCCAGCCCTGTGCCTTCCTCTCAGCACATCTGGGGCTGTTGTATCCAGGGTGGCTGTCAAGCAATCCCGATTGCTAGAGGTCCCATCACATGGACTTCACCCCAGATGTGATGGTCCATGCAGGAGAGGACAGGTGTAAGGGCAGAAAGAGTGTTCCCTCCCGCTCTGAAGATTCAAGTCTGCTGAAATAAACTGACAATAAATAGATTAACAAAATAAAAGGCTACAAATATATTAATGTGCATGAACACAGGAGCCATGCAAAATATAAGACTTTTTATACAGGGTCAGATGGTTGAGGCTTAAGTATCCTCTTTATAGGGGAGAGAGACAAAAAGGATGTATTCAATTGTGAGAGATAGTAAATGATTTTCAGGGGAAAATGAATGGGCCCAAAGAGTAAACTGTAGTTTGTAAATGATCCTCTTTGGAAACTGAATAGGACCAAACATATACTTATTATAACTCACAACATCATAGGAAACAGGTATGTGAGGTGTCCTAGTAGAAGCCAAGGACATGGATGCCGAGGAGAAGGCAGCCTGCATGTCAGTGTTTGGCCTCAGTAAACTGTGGGAACCACTTAGGGGTTAGGAAAGAGGGAAGAAGCCAATCCAAGAACAAGGTGACAGCCACTGCATGAGTCTATGGGGACAAAATCCTAGGTTGAGCCCCTCTACTGAGACTCCTCCTCATCCCTCTCTTCAGAGAGCGCATCCTCTCTGGAAAGCTGGTGCGCAGAGCTGAGAAGCGGCTTAAAGAGGTGGTGCTCCAGGTGGAGGAGGAGCGGAGGGTGGCTGACCAGCTCCGGGACCAGGTAAGCAGCTGGCATCATTAGGGAGCAGTGGAGAGTGTGACCACTGGCTGAGAAATTGCACAGGCTGTCTCCAGAGGCAATGAGCTCCCATCACAAGAAGCAATGTGCAGGTGCTGGACTGGAACTGAATGCAGATACCATCTTGGCACTTGGCACATCAGCAGAGGGTTGGAATCAGTGAGTTTGCAATTCATAAATGCTGGCATCTAGAAAGGGCCCTGTAGGGAGCTGAGGAAGCCAGGGCAAGGGAAGAAGTTAAACCCTACCCAGAAGCTAGACCAGGACTAGCTTCTATGTACCAGGCACTGTGCTAAAGACATAACATTTACTGTGTTTAATTCTTATCAGAATGGTAGAAGGAAGGTGCTATTATTTACCCTCTTATTTATGTGAGGAAACTGAGGTACAGAAAGGTGAAGTAACTTGCTCAAAATTATTTAGCTGGTAAGAGGTGGGGTCAGTATTCAAACCTCAGCACTCTAGCCCCAGAGTGTGTGTTCTTGATTACTTACTGAGCAGTTACTGTGTCATAAGCAACTGCTTTTTAAAAAATACATATTTGCATTTCCTCACTAGTCCCATTTCACAGATGAAGAAACTGAAACTTTAAGAGGATATATTTTGCATCAGAGTCACAGAGATAGAGCCTGGATCAGATCCCAGGTCTGTCTGGACAGAGTCCCTCTGCCCTTAAAAGCTCAGCTGTGCTTTATTCGCCATTCATTCCACAAACAATTATTGAGCACCTGCTATGTGCCAGACACTGTGGTAGGCATTAGGGATATGGATGTGAACGAAACAGAGGAAGTCCCTGCCCTCATGGAGCTCACATTTTCTGCATAGGATGAGACGTAATAAACCTGTAAACAAGCAGATAATTACAGATTGTGACAAGGGCTATGAAGAAAAAAAGTGAAGAGAGAGGAAGACACAGAGGATTGGGGAATCCTCTTCAGGTTGGGAGATCAGGAAGAACTCTTTGAGAAGGTGACATTTAAATTGATACCTGAAGGGTGAAAAAGAGCCAGTCAGAGGGAACAGCAAGTATAAAGGCCTTGAAGAATAGAAATACGTTTGGTGAGTTCAGAACAAAAAGCAGATTAGTATGGTCTAGATAAACATCTGTTGTTATTTTAGTCCTGGTCTAGCTTCTTGGTAGAGTTTAACTTCTTCCCTCACTTTGGCTGCCTCAGCTCCCTACAAGGGCCCTTCCTAGATGCCAGAATTTATAAATTGCGAAGTCATTGATTCCAACCCTCTGCTGATGTGCCAAGTGCCAGGATGGTATCTGCACTCACTTCCAGTCCAGCACCTGCACGTTGCTTCTTGTGATGGGAGCTCATTGACTCCAGAAAATGTGGGATAGGAAGGCTGAACGATAAGAAATGAGGTCAGATCATGTATGTTCCCTCCCTGAAGAGAGAGGTGGTAGGGTCTGGGGAGGATCTCAGTGAAGTTGGTCTGGACAGTGGGTTTATGGGAAGAGAGAACTGGACAAGAAAAAGACCCTGTGGGGCCTGGAATGCCAGGCTGAGGGGCTGGAACCTTGTCCCGGGGGTACTGGGGAGCCATGAAAGGATTGTGAGCAGGAGGGTCTGGGTCAGCTCTGGGTATAGGAAGACCTTTCTGAGGCCATGTAGGAGACAACCTGGAGGGGAGAGACTGGAGGTCAGGGTAGAGGCTGGCATGAGGGATTTAGGAGAAAAGAACAAGGCCTAAACAGAGAGCAGAGGATGGGGCAGAGAGAGTCAGGGGGCAGTAGGGATGGGGCAGTAGTGGGCTGTTGGAGAGGGAGGGAGTGATGACAGTACCTGGAGATATAACCCAGTCCCCCTGCTTCCATCAAGCTGGAGAAGGGAAACCTTCGAGTCAAGCAGCTGAAGCGGCAGCTGGAGGAGGCCGAGGAGGAGGCATCCCGGGCTCAGGCCGGCCGCCGGAGGCTGCAGCGTGAGCTGGAAGATGTCACAGAGTCGGCCGAGTCCATGAACCGTGAAGTGACCACACTGAGGAACCGGCTTCGGTATGGTCATCCCACGTACAGGCCTGACGGGTGGGGAGCACCCTAACTCCATAAACCCCAGGGACGCGAGGCCGTGCCAGGGGCAACAACAGGGGGAAATGGGATCCACGGGGGTGTGGGGCTGTGGGAGCAGCGGCTGTGTTGCGGGAGAGCCAAATCCAGGTAACTTCTTTCTTCCCACACCCATTTCTCCCTGTCATCTCTGTGCCCTCCTTTCCCACCGTGCACCACCACCTTTCTCTCCTTTCCTCCTCTCTGTGTGTCCTTCATCTCTCTCTGCCCCCCATTGCTTCTGCCCGTCTCCCTCCATTTCTCTTGATCTCATCCCTCTCTTCCCCCTTATTTTGTTCTCTCTCTTCCTATCTCTCTCTCTCTCCCCCTCATCTCTCTCTCTCCTCCCCCTTTCTCCTCCCCTCCCCTCCCCTCATTTCATCTCTGTATCCTGGTCTCTCCTCCCCACAGACGCGGCCCCCTCACCTTCACCACCCGCACGGTGCGCCAGGTCTTCCGACTAGAGGAGGGCGTGGCATCCGACGAGGAGGCAGAGGAAGCACAGCCTGGGTCTGGGCCATCCCCGGAGCCTGAGGGGTCCCCACCAGCCCACCCCCAGTGACCCTACCCTGTCCCCAGATGCACTAACAGATGGGGCCCAGCCCCCTTCCTCCCTGGACCCCACGGGCCCCTGTCCCAGGAACCCCGCCCTCTGACTTCTTGCCCTTTGGAAATGGTGCAGCACTCTGGCATTTATCACCCCCACCTGGGTCCCCTGCAACCTCCCATCAAAGGATGACCCCTAAACACAGAGGAGCGGGGCAGGCAGGGAGGCAATGACTGGAGCTACCTTGCTTGTTGGGGGACTGGGTACAGTTGGCAAGCTGTGTTTCCATCAGCTCCCTGTCCTCCTTTCTTCCCTCGTTATTGATCTATAGACATTAGGAAGGGAGTGAGACGGCTCCTCCACCATCCTCAGCCAGTGCAACCCATTCCCTCTGCTTCTCTCTCTCTCTCTCTCTCTCCCTCCCTCTCCTTCCCTACCCTCTCACCATCTTTCTTGGCCTCTCTGAGGGTCTCTCTGTGCATCTTTTTAGGAATCTCGCTCTCACTCTCTACGTAGCCACTCTCCTTCCCCCATTTCTGCGTCCACCCCTGAACTCCTGAGCGACAGAAGCCCCAGGCCTCCACCAGCCTTGAACCCTTGCAAAGGGGCAGGACAAGGGGACCCCTCTCACTCCTGCTGCTGCCCATGCTCTGCCCTCCCTTCTGGTTGCTCTGAGGGTTCGGAGCTTCCCTCTGGGACTAAAGGAGTGTCCTTTACCCTCCCAGCCTCCAGGCTCTGGCAGAAATAAACTCCAACCCGACTGGACCATCTCTGTGGCTGTGTGTGTTCCTGCAGGGGGTCTCTGATGGGGCAGGATGGGCACAGGCTGCTTCAGCCTGCTAGGGCAGCAGGTCAGGCAGCCTGCTGGTTAGAATGACACCTGCGTGGGTATACAGGGACATCCTGTGGATCAGGCGCTTCATAACTCCTTTCCTCCTGACTCCAGTGTATAATGGAAATATTCCCTGCATTATACAGATGAGGGAACAGTCTCAGAGCAGCAGCATCCCTCACTCCACGCCCCCAGTGAGTGCTAGAAGGGGTGTTGCACTCGGGCCAACTCTTAAGTTTTGCAAAATAAATGACAGGCCTGCTGCAGTGGCTCATACCTGTGATCCCAGTGCTTCGGGAGGCTGAGGTGGGAGGATCACTTGAGCCCAGGGGGTGGAGGCTGCAGTGAGCTATGATTGCATCACTGCACTGTAGCATGGGTGAAGAGTGAGATCCTGTCCCAAAAGCAAAACAAAACAAAAAGACAGCCGTGGTCGTTTGTGCTGCGTGCTGTGCTAAGCACACAGTTTATCTTAACCCTTACATAGCACTACAGGTAGAGATTTCATTGCACTCCAGTGCCTAGAACAGTGTCTGGCACACAGCAGGCATTCACTCAATATTTGCTGAATAACTAAGTGATGCCCCTCCCACCCTTTTAGAGTGGTGGAAACAGGCTCAGAGAGGCTGAGTGACTTGCCCAAGGACACACAGCTACTAAGAAGTTGAAACAGTTTGAACCCAGACAGTCTGGCCTCAGAGTCAGCACATATAGAGGCTGAGCCCTCAGCCCCTGACCCCACCTTGGGGACCCAGGTCTGTCTCTCTCGTGGGAACTAGGCACCCTCGTGTGGGGGCTCACGTTCGTCAGACTGAGTCCTCAGTGACTTTTCAGTTAGAGGTGTGGATCCCCATTTTTACTATCAGGGAAACTGAGGCAGGTGCTTGCCCTAAATAAGGTGCAAGCCGTGGAGCAGATGTCACGATCACCAAAGCCCATCCTCCCCTTTTTTAAAAAATTGAGAAAGGGTCTCACTCTGTCACCCAGGCTGGAGTGCGGTGGCACAATCATAGCTCCCTGCAGCCTCGACCTCCCAGGCTCAAGCGATCCTCTCGCCTCAGCCTCCAGAGTAGCTGGGACTACAGATGCCACCACACCTGGCTAATTTTATTTTATTTTTTGTAAAGACAGGGTCTCTCTTGTGTTGCCCAGCCTGGTCTTGAACTCCTGGCCTCAAGCGATCTTCCTGCGTCCTTGGCCTCCCAAAGTGCTTGGATTACTGGCCTGAGCCACTGTGCCCAGCAATAGGGCCCCACTCTAGAAGTCCCAATCCCTCTGTGCGCCCCAGCCGCAATCAGGAGACTTTCCGAACAGGCACACAGGAGGCCATTTTTAAATGAAAAGGAAACGTTTATTTTGGTGGGGAGTGAGGGTGGGTGGGAAGGGGGCATGACACTTTTTCTTTGGGGAGAGGGGGGTGACATGCGGCAGCTTCTGCATTGGGCGGTTCATGCACCCAGGGTGGGCGTGGGGGAGGCTTGGGGAAGGGGCCACGCCGACCCCTCCCTCCCTGCCCTGCGGGTGGGCTGAGAAGACCCGCCATTAGCACCAGAGTTGGACGATTTGCAGACCTCCCCTCCCCACACTGTCTCCGAACCCCGCCCCCATCCCTGAGAGCGCCCCCTCACCACTCCCCCCACCAGCGACAGGCTAGGCCCGCCCCGCCCACATTTGAGTGAGAGAAACTTATTGCTCTGTGTGTGTGTGTGTGTGTGTTGGGGAGGGTGAGCCGCGGAGCTCAGGAAGACCCCCCGCCATTCATTCCTCCCCAATCGCCCCGCCCCCTGGCCCGTGTCCGTGCGTTCCCGGAGCGCAGGAGGGGTGCGACATGCGTGTGGGGGGCGCGTCATGCAGCGCATGCGTGTAGGTGCAGGCACCCTGGCGGCCGGGGGGAAAAGGGGGAGCCGGACTTGGAAAGAGTCCCTTTAGCTCGCTCTCTCCCTCCCCGAATCCCACACTATTGACTTGGGGGATGGGGTGGGAGGGGAGGAGAATCACGTTTTGTAGAAGTTTATCATGATTGTGGTTATTTTGAAAAGCTGAACTCAAAAGCTGGGTACGTGTGGCGGACTGGCGAGCAGGGGGAGACGTTGGGAAGAGGTCAGTACCCTTTGGAAAAGACCCTCACCCCCTTTCCCCGCCTCCTTCGGCTTTCGTGAAGGTCAGGGGAAACGGGGGGGCTTGTTAAAGAAGTTGAACCCTTTGGCAATATAATCAGTCCCCACCCCGTACCCTGGTGTCTGGAGCCCCTAGCCCTTTGCCCCGCCCCCACCAAAACCCGCCCCACCCCTCACCCCTGCTTCACCAGGGTTTAGGGTCCGAGGGAAGGATGGGGGGGACTCAAAATGCCCCTTGCATAGGAATCGTTGCATCGAGAATCGTGCTCAGTGACGCCCCCCATCCACCCTCGGGTGGGGGGTTCCTGAGGCCGTGGGAGCAGAGGGAGGGAGGTGGCTAATTCCGTGGGACCCCGGCTCCAAAAGGGGGGTCCGCTAAAGAGTCTGGGACCGGTGTGGTCTCTGGGCTTGGGGGAGGTAGCGCATCCTTGAGCCAGGATAGGAGGTGGGAAATGATTTTCCACCCGCGAGCGTGACGCGGTGAGGACCGCTGGGGAAGGGGGGCTGGGATCCCAGCCGAGCTGGGTGTTGTCGGTTCCCAATCTTCTGATACTCCAGTGTTCCTCCCTTCGGGAACAGCCTCTGTGATCATCTGTGGACTACTTTAAATGGAAACACTCTTAACCTAAATAAACCGTGTCCTAGCCAAGCAGCGATGCCTGCACTTATCGGCTTCTGTACAAAATGCGTATTAGAGACAAAACTTTTAAAACAAGTGTTTGTCCTCATACTGCCTCAAACCTTAGCACACCACCAAAGGTACAAATACAACCCTCTGGGAAACACTGGTGTCTGTGAAGAGGGTACCTTTGGGGCACCATCTCAGGGAAGAGACTCAGGGTTAGGCGTAAGACAAAGAGGGTGCTTGGGGAGGGTCTGGTTCCCTGGAATTGCAGACAGGTTGCGCCTATCTTGGAAGTTCTAGCATCAAGGGAACCTGGGCTGGACAAGTCTGTTAGGGCTTTGGGGATATGGGTGCGGAACAGGCCTGAGGCTTTGGGGGTGTCCAAGAAATGTCAGTTGTGGGAAGGATTTGGAGCATCCCAAAGGCTGAATTTGAGCTGAAAAGAGCTGGGTCAAGTCTTGGAGGTTTGAGAAGTGCTGGGACGCAGTTCAGGGAATTTGGTGGGGGTGTTTGGGGTGGCAGGAGTGGGGAGGGAGGGTGGTTCAGGGAGCCTCTGTGTGCAGAGGTTAAGTCGCAGGAGTGTGTGGGGATTGGGAGATGTGGCGTGCCAGGGTCAGTCTCAGAATTCTGGGTGCAGGTCTCATGTCCTGGGAATGGAGGGAGATAGTCGGGGAATTTCGTGTGCTAGGGCCAGATCATCCCAGGAATTCTGGGATAGGAGGTCTGAGTCCATGCAGCAAGAATAGAGGCGAGCAGGTCCCTGGGGGAAGGGGCGGATGAGAGGGTGAAATTCACCAGAGGAATTCTCCTAAAGGCTGAGGGAGCAGGTCCAAAGCCCGCCCCGCCCTCCCACCACCTGAGCTCAACTCGGCCCCGCCCTCCCGCCACCTGAGCTCAACTCCGATCTGGGGCTTGGGTAACTGTTCCTCCTTCCCCTACACTGTTTCTAGTTTCTGGTTTGTTTTCTCCTAATCAACGCACAGGGTTGGTTGTCCTCCTGGGGTGAAGGATGGGAAGGCTGGAGACCTTAAAGGCCAGCCCGACCCCCGGGAGGTGCCACCCCCTTCCCAGAGTGCCTGCCCCTCAAACCCGCGCATGCGGCCCCTGGCGGCTTATTGCTGAGGTGGACTTGGAGTGGGGGCTCCAGGTTAGGGAAGGCATGCAGTGTGTGGGGGGAGGTGCCCCAAGATGTAACTGGCATAATTTGGACTTATTTACACAAGTTGATGGCAGGGGGATGTCCTATGGCTCGTGGAGACCTGAGAAGGCTTTTTTTGGGGAGGGAAGAGTTGGGGGGACGGGCTGTGGCCCCTCTCTCCATCCTGGGGGCCCAGGTTGGGGGTGAGGGGCCCGGGGGTGTCTGCTGGCATCGTCATCTCGGTTGCATATTATTAATGACTTTTTGATTTTTTTTAAAAAAACCCTTTTCCCCACCCCCCACCCCCAGCTCCTTTGACCTTCTTCCCGGTCACCCCCGAGTCCCCCCACAGGGGGGAGGGGAGCGCTAAAGGATGGAGGGCAGGGTCGGGGGAGCGCGGCGGGCGGCCCGGGGAGAGCCAGGGGGGGTGGCAAGGGGCGCGAGGCGCAGGGACACCCCGCTCAGGCCCGCGATGCTGCTGAGGCTGCGGGATTTCTCGTAACCTGGGGGGTGGGGAGGTGTGCAGACACAGGGGGGAAGCACGAAGATGGGGTGCAGGGAAGGGTCAGACAGAGAGACCCAAGGCAGGGAGAAAGAGACAGAGAGAGAAAGAAATGGAAGGGGAGGACAACAGATACCCAGAGAGACAGAGAAGGCAAGACAGACAGAGTCAGGCAGACAGAGACACAAAAGGACGGATGACAAGAGACAGATGGACAGAGATGGACCAAGGAGATGGAGAGAGAAAGTGAACAAATCGGGGAGTCAGTCAACATCGATGAGAAAGGGGGAGACATCGGGGAGGGGGGAGAGACTCCGGATTAGGAGGCAGGTTGGTGCCCACCGAGCCTCCCCCGCCCCATTCCCACCACAGTCCACCGCCCTTCCCCCCCTCCACTGGTCCCCTCACCTGAGGCAAAAGGTGGGGGGCAGCAAGGCGGGATGGTGGGCGGCAGGGGCGTGGGGAGGGGCTGGGTGGAATGCATGTGGGAGCAGCCAGCGGAGAGGGCAGGGAACGGTGCGGCCGCCGTAGCGGGGCTGGGGGCTGACCTAGTTGTAGGGAAAGAGAGCAGGCAGGGGGTGGGGTCTGCAAGGGGGCTGAGTGGAGCGAAGCTGGCAGTGCCCTTGGGGAATCCGATGAGAACTCCAGGAGCAGTGGGGGGGGGTGGGGGGGGAGGGAGGCTCCTCCAGAAGATTCTAAGGACGGGGTCGGGGGTGGGGGGCGGTGAGGCGGAGGGCTGGGGAGAGGGACATCTTTAAAGGGTCCAAGAAGGCTCTGAGCTTCTGACGGGTGCGGGAAGGCTCTCACAGGCATCTCACAGCTAATGGGACTCAAGATCCAGCAACAGTGTGTGTGGTTTCTGCAAAGCCTGGGGCTGCCTGCAGGGTTCTGCACCCCCGCAGGGAGCTCTGTGGCTTTTCCAGGCAACGCTAAGGGAGCTGTCTGGACAAAAGGTGTCTTGATCGTAGGAGGGAGGGCTTGGGGGGAGATTTGAAGCCCAGTGTCTTGGGGACACCCCCTCCCAGCCATTCCCAATTGCTAACCTGGGGGGAAGGGGCGGGGGGGACCGAAAGTCTCGCGAGGTCTCAGGCGGTGACAAGAGCTGGGGACAGAAATACACAGAGTCACGGGGGTGGGGAGAGGATGGTCAGGGGAAACCCCCCAACACAGCCTCACTGTTGGGGGGATGGAGAAACGCCGCCGGGATCATTTCCTCCTCTCTGGTGTTTTCCGCGGGAGGGGAGCAGTGAAATGGGGGGCGGCTGAGACATCAAATATGGAAGGAGCTTCCGGGCTGGCTGGGGAGGGGGAGGGGAGGAGGAAGGATGGGAGGAGGGAGAGTTCTGGGGAGGAGTGGGAGCCAGTGATCAGGTGAGGGCAGATGTAGGAGGGAGGAGCAGGGGTGGAGGACAAGCCTGGAGGAAAGGAGGGTCTTGGGAGGACCATAGGGGACAATTAGGGAGGGAAGAAGCCTGGCGCAGTGGCTCAGACCTGTAATCCCAACACTTTGGGAGGCCAAGGCAAGCAGATCACTTGAGTCCAGGAGTTCGAGACCAGCCTGGCCAACAAAACCCCATCTCTACTAAAAATCCAAAAATTAGCCGGGTGTGGTGGCAGGCACCTGTAATTCCAGCTACTCTGGAGGCTGACGCAGGAGAGTCACTTGAACCTGGGAGGCAGAGGCTGCAGTGAACCAAGATTGCGCCACTGCACTCCAGCCTGGGCGACAGAGCGAGACCCCATTTCAAAAACAAAAACGAAAGGGTTGGGAAGGGAAGGTTGTGGTAGGAGAGACTCTTGGGGGAAGGAGCATGGGGGGCAATAGGCCAAAGGGGTCTTGTGGGAGGGAGGGTTGTGGGGCTGAAGGACAGCAAGGAAAAGGCTTGGGGAGGGCTGGAGGGGGAAGGATCCAGGGCACCAGGGATAGAAGCTTCAGCCAACCCCATCAGCTCCAGCCATGATTTGAGTTCAATGAATGGATTTTGGCATCATAGGCAAGAGAAGCAGGGACCTCCCCCACCCAGCCACCCCCACCCCAATCCTCCCTCACCCATAGGCCCACACCCTCTCCCCCTCAATCCCATAGGGGCCCCTCTAGACCTGGGGGTGGGGAACAGAGGAAGGTAAAGGACTGGGAGTGGGTGCAAGCAGGGGGAGGAGTTAGATAGGAGCAGGGAGGGGAGTGGGGGGGTAATGAGCTGGAAATGGACAATGACGGGGAGGTTACAAAAAGGAGAGGTGGGGGGGATGGAACAAGAGGAGCCAGACAGTCCCCCCTCTGGACTAGGAGCCCGGAAGCCTGGGGTCTCGGCCCTTGTGCTCTGTGGCCTGGGGTGGTGGGTTGGTCATGGCCTTCCCTGAATGTCTGTGAAACACAGGGGTTTAGGTGAGGCCATTCCTGGAAGCCCCCCAGGTTCCCCTATGGCATCTCCTTAGGCTGTGGACAGGGATCCTTTAGGATGTGTCTCTGCATTTCTAAAGAAGATTCCACAGACGGCTGTTGAATGAATGCATGATGGATCACATACCTTCAGGTGGCTTCCCTTCACGTTTAAGATAAAGTCCCGCCTCCTCACCATGGCCGAAAATCCGTCCTGATCTTTCTCCCTGGACTCCAGCAGCCCTCTCCCCTTGGCCACTGGGATCAGCCTCACTGTGCTCCTTGCTGTCCCTTGAACAAGCCAAGCTCATCCTCCACCCCCTCCCCCAGGGAAGCTCAGGGCCTGTGCACTTGCTGTTTCTTCTGCCTGCCTGGCCCTTTTCACCCTCCAGGTTCTGTGTCACCTCCTCAAAAAGTCCTTTGCAGAACTCCTTTTCTTCCCCCAGAGATGGGGTCTTACTCTGTCCCCCCAGGCTGGAGCACCATGGCACAATCATGGCTCACTGCAGCCTCCCAGACTCCTGGGCTCAGACAGTCCTCCCACCTCAGCCTCCCAAGTAGCTGGGTCTACAGGCATGCACCACCACACCTAAGTTTTTTGGTTTTGAGGAAATGGTCTTGCTCTGTTGCCCAGGCTGGTCTCAAATTTCTAGGCTCAAATGATACTCCCACCTTGGCCTCCCAAAGTGCTGGGGTTATAGGCGGCAGCCACTGTGCCCAGCCAGACCTCTTTAACTGAAGTGGCCAGAGTAATAGTCTTGTTCTTTTATCTTTATCTTAATTGCTTCTTTTCTTCTTCTTCTTCTTCTTCTTTTTTTTGAGAGGGAGTCTCACTCTATTTGTAGCCCAGGCTGGAGTGCAGTGGTGTGATCTTGGCTCACTGCAACCTCCACCTCCCGGGTTCAAGTGATTCTCCTACCCCAGCCTCCCAAGTAGCTGGGACTACAGGTGCCCACCACCACGCATGGCTAATTTTTGTATTTTTAGTAGAGATGGGGTTTCACCATGTTGGCCAGGCTGGTCTCGAACTCCTGACCTCAAGTGATCCACTGTCCTCGGCCTCCCAAAGTGCTGGGATTACAGATGTGAGCCACCCCCGCCGCCCAGCCTTAATTGCTTATTTTCTGCTTCTTCCTATGAGCGGCTGGAAACTTTTCCTGTAAAAGGCCAGATAGTAAATCTCTTTGGCTATAGGGGCTGTATAGTCTTTGTCCCAATTATTCCACTCTGCTGTCGTGGCTTAACATGGTTGTGTTCCAATAAAGCTTTGTTTACAAAAACAGATGCTGAAAGATCAGGCCCTCAGGCTGGAGTTAGTTTGCGGACCCCTTACAATCTGGAGACTGTAAACCGTGATGGCAGATTCACGCTTTGTTTTATCCCAAATTTGTAGTGCCTGCAACTGTGTTCTCAAGAATCAGTTGTGGCCATGGGTGGTGGCTCATGCCTGTAATCTTAGCACTTCGGGAGGCCAAGGCAGGAGGACTGCTTGAGCCCAGGAGTTCAAGACCAACCTGGCCAACATAGCGAGACCCCAACACTTGAATCCAGGAGGCGGAGGTTGCAGTGAGCCGAGATTGCACCATTGCACTCCAGCCCAGGTGACATAGCAAGACAGTCTCAAAAAAAAAAAAAAAAAAAAAAAGAATCAGTTGCTGAAACAGTGAATGAATGGATTGAATACATGAATGAAAGGAGCTAGGAGTTGGCTTGGATTGTTACAAGGATTAAAGAATATATGTTAAATTCCTAGCATGTGGTAGGTACTTGGTGATATTTGCTGAATGATTCGTCTACTAAATAGCACCACTGTCTTATCCCCCTCACTTCTGCATGGCCGGCAGCCCCCAGTCTGTCCCTTCTGATCCCTGACCCCGACTCTCTCGGCCTCGTCCCTTCCTCTCCATCCTCACAGCCCTGGCCCCAGCTCACGCTTCCACCTGTCACCTCAGCCTCCTAACTTCCAGCCTCCCACCTCCAGTCCATCCTCACAAGACCCCAGAGCTGCCCCTCCCAGCTCACCTGCCTCCTCCCCAAGCCCCTAGACAAGGTGGCAGCCTCTCAGCCCGGTGCCTGCCTCATATCTACCTGAGAATCCTCCCTCCACAGTCTAGTCTCCTAAGCTCTGTCCTGCGGTTCCCTTCAACCGTTCCTGTCGATGGGATTTCTTCCTCTGCGTGTGGTCAGAACTCCTGCTCAACCTTAAGGCCCCACTGCAGATATCGAGTCTTCCCTGATGCCCGGCCCCATCCCCTGGGAGTTTCTAGTGTTCCTCTCACTGTCTGTGCTCCCTCCATTTTAGCATACATCGCCTCAAACCATGACTTTCTAGGTCCGTGTCTGCCTCCTGCTCCAAAGCGGAAGCTCCTGGGGGCATGGTTTTTGTTCACGGTTGAACTCCCCATGCCCAGTACCTGGGATGCGTGGGTGCTGTCTAAGCGCTGGCTGAATTCACAGGGGCATGGACGGATGGCTGAGCCTTTCTCTCCCCATTCTGCACCCAGAAGTGTTCTGGGTATGCCCTCCGTTTTCCTGATTGAATTTTTAAAAAAAACCCTAGGACCAAGGAGGGAGGCAGAGATGTTGATGGGGGTGAGGATGGGGTCGGTCGTGAGGGCAGGTGCAGTGTGGGAGGCAGGGTTGAGTTAGTTCGGGGGTTAGTGAGGAGCAGGGTGAGTCCTGGGTAGGTGGGTGTGGGGTCAGTGTCAGGAGCTGGGGGTTAACTGGGTGCAGCTGCTTGCAGTGAGGGGGCCGAAGTCTCGGTCAGTGGGGGCTGCATGTTCTCAGAAGGGTTAGTCAGGCAGGAGTGGGGAGTCTGGGGGTCCGGGGGATCAGAGGGTGGGGGCTACTTACCCCGGGGGGAGGGGGTTCGTCCACTAGGGGGATATCCAGGCCGCGGCGTTGGCGTTGAGGTCGGGCAAGAAGCTTGGGGGGCCTGGCTTACGCCAGTCTTGGGGGGGCAGTGGGGGAGCACCAGTGGCTGGGGGTGGGGGAAGAGGCCAGAGAGTTGGGGGGAATGGACATGGAATAAAGACAGGTGAAGGGTCAGTGGTGAGGAAACTTGGGGCGGGGGTACAGGGAAGATCTGGGAGGGAGGCAGTTTGGGGCCAAGGGAAGGGGGAAGGGAAGTCCACCGCCTCCTCCCCCATCCCCCTCTCCTCCCTCCCCTGGGCAGGGGAGAGAGAGGGAGGGTCCCAGGGGATCAGTAGGGGGGGCACCTCACCTTTTCGGATGGAGCCATCAGGGGAAGGGGCATAGTCGGTGAGGAGGAAGCAGGCTCGGTCCCGGCTATAGCGGCCACGGCTTCCAGGCGTGATGGGGCTCTTGTCTTCCGGGGACATGGCAGGCTGGTCAATGGCTGGGCAGTCCTCGTGGGCAAGCGCAGCTGCTGCCGGATCCCCATTGGGGCGAGGATCTGCATCCCAAGGGGGTCAGACAGAGAGACAAAGGAGAGAGTGAGGTGCGGTGAACACGCGGTGGGGCAAGATGTCTGCGAGGAGCAGATGCTGGGATGGTCGGCGGATGTTTGGCACTGGAAGTGGAGATTCAAGGGCAGGGTGATGGGAAGGAGTGGCCAGGAGGGTGGCAGGGGGCACAGCTGGGAGAGGGTATCAAGGGGGCGCGGCTGGGGGGTGATCATGGGGGTTGAGTGCTGGGAAGGGCGACTGCAGTTGGGAAGGGTGGTCTGGACAGGGAGTTGGACAGATTGTGGTGGTGCAGGGAGGTGTTGAGAGCTGGGATGTGGTGGTGGTGCCAGGTGTGGGGTGCCAGGAAGGGTAGGACTGGGGTGGGATGCTGTTTAAAGATATGGTCTGGAGCTGGCCACATTGGCTCATGCCTATAATCCCAGCACTTTGTGAGGCTGAGGTGGGAGAATTGCTTGAGGCCATGAGTTTGAGACCAGCCCTGGCAACATAGCAAAACTCCATCTCTACAAAAAATAGAAAAATTAGCTGGGTATAGTAGTACACGCCTATAGTCCCAGCTACTCTGCAGGCTGAGGCAGGAGGATCACTTGAAACTGGGAGGTCGGCCTGCAGTGAGCCATAATAGTTTCACTGCTTCAGCCTGGGTGATAGAGTGAGACCCTGTCTCCAAAAAAGATAAAAGATAAAAGATGCCAGGCGTGGTGGCTTACGCCTGTAATCCCAGCACTTTGGGAGGCCGAGGTGGGTAGATCACTTAAGGTCAGGAGTTCGAGACCAGCCTGGCCAACATGGTGAAACCCCGTCTCTACTAAAAATACAAAAATTAGCTGGGCACAGTGGCGGGCGCCTGTAATCCCAGCTACTCCGGAGGCTGAGGTAGGTGAATCACTTGAACCCGGGAGGCGGAGGTTGCAGTGAGCCAAGATGTTTCCACTGCACTCCGGCCTGGGAGACAGAGTGAGACTCCGTCTTGGAATAAGAAAAAAAAAAGAGAGAGATGGTTGCGGATGAAGCAAGCTGGGTGTCGGGGAGAAGATGAGGCAGTGTTGGGGGGTGGTTGGCTGGAGCAAACTTCAGGGGGCTTGGCTGGGGTAGGGGTAGCGGGTGGAGGCATGGCTGGAGAGGATGTGGCAAGCTAGGAAGTGGCTGTTCAGGGAAGAGTGCTGGGCTCTGGGAAGGGCACCAAGGGGAAGGGCTAGGTTAGGTGAGAGATGGGAGGTGGGACGTGGGGGTCCCCTAGGCTCTGACTCCAGCTATTTTTAACTGGTGTGAAACTGGGTCAGCGGCTGAGGGAGCAAGATGGGGGCCAAGTGGCCCAGCTCCCTTTCTTGACCTACTTAAGGCGGGGCAGTGCAGGGGGGGGCCACCAGCCTCTCCTTCCTCCTAGACTCCCAAGCCACTGCCTCTGAGGCATAGACACCCCCTGGGGGAGGAACACACACAGAAGCACAGGTAACTTTCTTCTCCCTCATCTCTCGCTTGTCTCTTCCTCTGAGCAGCACCTCTCTGGATCTCTCTTTGGGACCCTCCCAGGCTGCCCACAGCAAAGCCGACTGACCAGGCCCTGGTTTCCGTTCTGCCCTGGGGGATCTGCCCTGGCCTGACTCTCCGTTTTGAAGTCTGTCTGCCTCTTGGGCTTGCTGTCATTAGAACCCAAACTCTCTGCCGCTGACCGCCCCCACCTCCGCCCAAAATCTACATCCCATCTCTCTCTGGTCTCCATGACAATCTCTCGGTTTCTGACTCCCCGCCTCAGACCCTATCGGCTTCAGTCTCTCTTCCCTCAGGGCTGTCTCCCGGATGCTCAGATGCTGCTACGTTCCCTGGGGTTCTGCCTCGGGTCTGCCTGTGATTCCTGTGAGACCCTCTTTCTGTGTCTCTCTGAGCCCCACGCTCCTCCGGGTCCCTCTCTCTGCACAGCTGATGACACTGCCTCTGCCTCGCCAGCCCCTCTGAATATCTTGCAAATCTGTTTCTCCCCAAAACTCTTTCCCATGAAACCTATGTCTCTGTGTGATTATCTGTGCCTCCTTCTTCGCCTGAGCTCCTGCTGTTGGTTTTTTTCTCCCTCACCTCTTCGACGCCAACCACCCCAGGTTCTCTGAACCCCGGCAGCTACCTCCCCAGTCCTCCCCGGGTCTCCACCTGTGCCCCCGATCCCTGACGCCCAGGCTCACCTGCCCGGTTGATCTCAATCACCTCCTCCTGAGCCAACGGGCAAGGCTCGCCGGGGGCTGGCAGAGGAGGCAGCCCCATGATCCCCAGCCCACCCGCTCCCCCCCTGAGCAGCCCGGGGTGCGTGTGGGGCCCCGCTGGGTAGGCCCCGGCCACAGTCACCCCCATGGAGGGTGGGGTGATGGGTGGCGGCGGGCTGATGCCCCCGCTGCCGTGGTGCGGGTGGGGCGGGGGTGGCGGGGGTGGGTCAGGCTTGCAGTAGTTGGGCGAGCCCGGTTGCGGGGGCCGGGGGATGTGTTTGTTCTTCTTCTTGGGCAGCTTCTGCTTGGCCATGGCCAGCGAATAGTACATGCCAAAGTTGTTGACAATGACGGGCACAGGCATGGCGATGGTCAGCACCCCCGCCAGGGCACACAGCGCCCCGACCAGCATCCCCGACCACGTCTTGGGGTACATGTCTCCATAGCCCAGGGTCGTCATGGTGACCACAGCCCACCAGAAGCCAATGGGGATGTTCTTGAAGTAGGTGTGGTTGGAGCCCAGGATGTCATCGGGGTCGGCGCCAATGCGCTCAGCGTAGTAAATCATGGTGGCGAAGATGAGCACCCCCAGGGCCAGGAAGATGATGAGCAGCAGGAACTCGTTGGTGCTGGCGCGGAGCGTGTGTCCCAGCACGCGCAGCCCCACGAAGTGCCGGGTCAGCTTGAAGATGCGCAGGATGCGGACGAAGCGGACCACCCGCAGGAAGCCCAGCACGTCTTTGGCGGCCTTGGAGCTGAGGCCCGAGAGGCCCACCTCGAGATAGAAGGGCAGGATGGCCACACAGTCGATGATGTTGAGGCTGCTTTTAAGAAACTCCACCTTGTCTGGGCAGAAGGTGATGCGCATGAGGAACTCGAAGGTGAACCAGACCACGCACACCCCCTCCACGTAGGTCAGGAAGGGCTCCGTCTCCACCTCCACGTTGGTGATGTTCTCCGGAGGTGCCCCGGGGATCGGGGAGGCCTGGGTCACCGTCTTGTTGCTAATATGGATGAAGCCCTCATGGGTTTCCAGGCAGAAGGTGGTGATGGAGATGAGGATGAAGAAGAGGGAGGCGAAGGCCACATACTGCAGGGCAGGGAGGGAGAGAGAGGGGGAGAGGTGACCTAGGCATCAGGTTGGCCATAACATCCAGAAGACCCTTCCAGTGCCCCCTTCCCCAGCCTCCTGGGCCCAAACTCTGGGCAAAATCCAGGTGTCTCAGCCCTGTGGCTCCATCACTTCCAGAATCCCATTCTCCCCTCTAAAGCTAGCAAAAAGGGAGAGAAAGGAACAGAGGCAGTTGGAGAAGAGCTGGCCCCAGCAGACGCAGCAGATGGGCAGCTTCTTTCCTTGGAAACATTTCTGGCCCCTTGCTGTTTCCTAGACCACCTCCCCCCACCCTCCTGTTCCCTGTGTCCTATTTCAGGGCCCCCCAGCAGGGTCCACGGGTTCTGCTGTGGGACGGGAGCCGCCAGGCCTAAGATCACACATCCTGTGTGTCTCGGAGGCTTTAGGGCTCAGCTTGGAGCTGGGCAGACGGGAAGGGAGAAGGCGGGCAGGGAGGCAGAATCGTGAGGTGGTTAAGAGTCGGCGAGCCTGGGCATGAATCTGGCTTTTAACCTGTCAAAACTGGGCAAGGAGACTGAGCTTTCTGAACCAGAAGTTTGTAGTGGGATTGTTGTGAGGATTAAATTAGATGAGCGTACGAAGGACTTGGCTCCAAACACAGTGCTTGGAGCAGTGCCTGGAACACAGTAAGAAGACCTGAGCTGTTGTTAGGGTATGCAGGCAGCAGTTAGTTGGGGGGCAAGGTCAAGGCCTCACCCAGAGAGGACAGGGCAGTGGTGGTGCCACAGAGGGGAGGTGGGGGTCCGGGCCCTTAAGGGAGGAGGGGTTGAAGGGTTAAGCCTGCAAAAATGGAAGAGGAGATAAAAGAGGAGAGTCAGGCAGGGTTTAGGGCCCTGAAGAGGAAGGAGAGTCACTGGCCTGGACATTGTGGGAAAAGGCAGAGCCAGGGCCAAAGAGAAGTTAGGGCATTTGCCAAAGGGGCAGAGAATGAGGGGTGAAGGGTCCTGAGCCATTTCAAGATGGGGGATAACCAGAGTCCTGCCACACAGTGATGTGGGTTTTGATGAAGGCCTAGAAGAGGAGGGAGTGGGGTCAGGGTCTTGGAGAAGGAAAGCAATGGGCCAGGCCCCTAGAGATGTCATGGGCTTTATCAGATATGCAGAGGGGTGGGAGGGGAGAGGAGTGCATTGGAGAGGGAAGGAAGACAGGTGTTATAGTAAAGAGAGGGTTTTAATCCTGCGGGTAGTGGAGGAGGGAGGGCATGGGGAGTTTTGCTATTAATCAGGGGCACAGAGCACGGGGAGGCCACTGCTGGACCACAGAGAGGACCTTGGACTTTGGGGTGGGCCAAGGGCCAGCACTGTCCCTCTGTGCACCCCCCTTCCTCCACAGGGGTTGGGCTCTGGGCTTGACTTCACTGAGGTGCAGAGCTGGGAAGTAGTGGGTGGAGAGTTTCGGGGCCACAGAGAGGACCCTGGACGTTGGGGTGGGCTGGGGGCCGGCGCAGGTCCTCTCTGAACTCCCCCCCCACCCCCACCTTCGCTTCTCTGCAGTGGTTTAAGAGGCCAGAGGCCTTCGCAGAGCGCATGCCTAGTTCCCCGCCCCCTCCGAGCCGGGCGCGCGGCGCTAGCTGCGGCACCGCAGTGGGGGCGGGCCAGCCGGGCCGGGGGGCGGGGCGCACGGCGGCCAGTACCGCGGACAGCTCCCCCGCCGCAGTGCGCAGCCGCAGCGGCTAGGGGCCGTCTTAACCCCTTCCGGGCCGGAGCCTATTCAACGCGCAGCCGCAGTGTTGCTGCTTTCCGGCGGGAGGCCAAGGGCCAAGAGTCTAATTAACTCCTTCCCTCCCAGGGCACAGGGAAAGGTGGGCACCCGCCGCAGTGCGCAGCTGCAGAGGCTGGACGGCGTCGGGCTGGTTTAACCCCTTACTCCAGAGTGTGTCAAAAGCAGAAGGGGTAGGAGGGCATGGAGTCTCTGTAAGAAGGAAAGGAGTGATTACGAGGAAGGGGGCGGGGGCAGGGGGCTGTAGGGTCGGACCCTCCACTTTGCTTTGGCCTCAGCTCCCAACTCTCTCAAGCCATATCACTGGGAGGCTGGAAAGGGCTCGGCACACCTTGGACACCCAAAACACATTGGCGGAGTAAATGAGTATCTCCCGTAGCTGTCCCGAACACCTAGCCTGACCATCACAGAAGAACTCTAACTTCATCCCGCTCCTCATCTCAGCACCCTTCAATGGGGTCACAGGAGAGAAGGGCGCCCCGGCCATGGGGGAAGGAGCCGCTCAGTGTCTTGAGGGGGCATCCAGGGCCATGTCCCTTCCGCACCTCCTCTTCCCCACCTCCCCCCATCCAACCCCAAATCTCGCCAACTCAGCGCTTTCTGGGGACCAAACTTTATGCGGTGGCTCCAGGCGTCCCCCCGCTCCCTCCCCCGGCGCGAATGCGGCACTGCGGCTCCGCGTCCTTCCCGGCTCAGGACGCGGCACGGTGGGGGGAGGGGGCCAAGACCTGCTCCTCTGTGTTTGGGTACCCAGGAGCCCAGGAGGGGGTCTTGGGATCGCTCTTATTTCCCCCATTTCCAATTGCCCCCATTTTGCACTGCCCCCCTTTTCCACCACATTCTCCCTCCGGGGTCCCCGGGACAGGGAGGAAGTTAGTAGGAGGAAATGGTTCAGGAGAGAACCCAGGGGGAGGGTAGTCATTTAGCCTAGGAAGTTATGGATGCTTGAGGAAAGTTTTCTGGGAGCGATGGAGAGAGCTTTGGGGAAAATCTAGAATTTGGAGAGAGAGAGAAGGCTCTTTGGTTCACTTTGATGGAGGGGGACAGACTGAGGGGCTAGGTTCTGGGTTTTGCACGGCGGGGGGGGAGGTTCGAGAAAGGAAGAGGGCAGGTGGAAGGAATCCCAGGGCAAGGTAGAAAGAATTGTAAGTTATTTTGAGATGAAAGTTTTAGGGCTGATGACTTGAGGGGCCTCCCAGGGTTTGAGGTTAGAAAAAGTTCTAGAGCAGGAGGGAAAGTCACTTAGACTAGGAAACGGGCTGTGGGGGCTTTGGATGGGGGGAGTCCCAGGGATAGAGAGTGCACTGTGCAGTTAAAATGATGGAGAGGAGAAGCTGCGAGGATCTATGGAGGAGGAAGAACAATTCTGGAGGACATGTGAGGGTTCTGGAGAGGAAAGGCATATGATGGGGGCATGGGATGCTTCTGGAGGCACTGAGGAGGAGTGTGAAAGGCTTGGGGGAAGTCTGGAGCTTTATGGGGAAAGTCCTTGAGATGGGAGTTGGCGTGGAGGTTGAAGAGTGTTAAACACAGAGTGAACACAGAGGGGGCCTGGAGGTTCCAACGGAGAAGATGCCCCAAGACTCAGTATTGCAGTGAGGGGGAGGTGAAAATGTCCAGGCAAGAACAAGTGGAGGTTTAGAGGGGTCCAGAAGGCTGTGAGGTTGGGGTGGGGGAGTTTTCTGAGACTCTGAGAGCAGAAGATACTGCAGGAAGGGAGTGGAAAAAATAATCAGAAGATTCAAACTTGGAGAGAGAGGTCTTCTGGGAGACGGGCCACGGGGTGAATCGGGGAGGTGCTGGGAGAGACTGAGAGTTGAATAGGGGGCCCCAGAGAGTCTGGAGAAGGCAGGGAAAGTGGGGGTCAGGGCTCACAGGGCCTAGGAGAATTTGAGGGCTGAGAAGGGATGTCTTCTGAGGGGCTGGGGAAGGTCCAAGAAACCAAGGGCTGGACGGTGACCAAGAGTAGTGAGAAGAGATTTGATGGGGCCCAGGAGACATGAGGGTTGGGGAGGGTCTCAGAGGAGCCCAGGAAAGGTGGGGACCGGGTTGTTCAGAGAAGCACGGGAGATTCACGGTCTGGAGGAAGTGTCTAAGCGTCTAGGGTGGCCTTGGCGGGGGAGGGGGAACTTTGGAGGGGTCTGGAAGAGCCCGAAGGTTGGAGATCCGTCTTTGGAGGATCTGGGGGATGGCTGCGAGAGGGGGGTGTGTTCGGAGGAGCCCAGGAGACTCAGGATTGGGGAAGAGGCTTCTAGGAGACTGAGAAGCCTAGAGGGACCCGGAGGGTTGGAGCTGGGGCGCTCCTGGGAGACTGGGGGCGCCTGGAGAGGCGGGGGTGGGGTGGATGGGGGCCCCGAGAGCGCGCTCACCCTGGCAGCCCGCGACGAGTAGGGGTCCTCGAAGAGCGCCCACACGCGGGGCTGCCAGCGGCGCCACCATGTGCCGCCCGCGCCGCCCGCGCCCCCTGGCGGCCCCCCGGCGCCGCCGCCCGCGTCCTGGAAGCAGAGGCGCTTGAGCTCGCCGCCCGCTCCGTCCAGGCCGCCGCCGCCCGCGCCCGCCTCGTCGTCCAGGCCTCCGTCGTGGGCGCCTGCGGCGTTGGCGGCGTTGGCGGCGCCCGCGGGGTCGGGCGCCTCGAAGGAGTCGAGCGCCTCCTCAGCGTCGCGATGCTGCCGGTAGGTCATCCAGCAGCAGGCCTCCACGTCGGTCTCGTCGATGCCCCAGAAGCCGAGCTCCTCCTCAAACAGGGGCCCGCACACGTCGGCTGGGCAGTGCAGCTTGCCGGTGCGGTAGTAGTTGAGCACGTACGCGAAGACTCCCGGGTGCCGGTCAAAGAAGAACTCGTCGGCGCCCGGGTCGTAGTCGAAGCGTGCCGCCGCCTCGGGCTCCGTCAGGCCGGCCAGCCGCGTCCCCGGCAGGGTGCGCAGCGTCGAGCGGTACGTCTCATGGCGCACGCCGCCCACGTTGATCACGATCTTGCCGCTGTCGCCACCGCCGCCGCCGTGCCGCCCCATGGCCGCCGCCGGCAGCCCGGGGCATGGCTCGGCGCGCCGGTCCCCGGGCCCGCGGGGTGCCGGGGGGCCCGCCGGGGACGCGGCGGGGCCGGGCTGCGCAGGCTGCTGCTGCTGCGGCGGCAGCGGTGGCGGCGGCGGGGACTCGGGCGGCTGCGGCGGTGGCGCCGGCTGCTGCTTGCTGGCCCCCTGGCGCCCGCGGAAGGACGAGACGCAGACTGAGCTCAGCATTGGACGGGGGGCGGGGCGGGAGGGGCGGGGACGCAGGGGCGGGGACACGGGGGGAGAGACCGACGGGATTGGGTGGGAGGAGGAGCGAGGTAGCGGGGGCGTGGCTTAGGGGAGAGGAACCAAACTGATTGGCCTGGGGGAGGTGGGGCGGGGCTGTGGCTGGGAGGAGTGGGGCGGGCACTCTAACGCGACCCAGCTGGACGAGTCGGGGCCGCCAATGAGACGGAGCGATTGGCTCTTTCTAAGAGAGCAGGGAGGAGGGGCGGGGCGGGGCGTCAAGGGAGGCGGGACCGGTTACTACTAATTGTGTTCGGCAGCACTGGTAGCCAGGGGAAGGCGGGGCTAGATACGATAGAGAGAGACCTTACTGAACTGAAAAAAGTGCGGGCGGGGTAGAGGGAGGAGGGGACACATCCAAGCTATTTAAAGACGCCCGACTGGCCTGGAGGGGCGGGGCCACCATGAGAGAGGCCGTCCTGATTGGGCTGAGAAAGGGGCGGAGAGAAACAAAACAGATCGCACGCCCTCACCTAAAACACCGCTAGGCAGGACCTGGTGGGGAGGAGCATTGCTTGGAAGAGACAGGGCCGCAGAAAGTAGAAACGGTCCAGATGAGACTGCATGGGGCGGGAACTAGAGATGGAGGACTTTCCCGCGCAAGGGGGACAGGCTGGACTGAAAGAGGACACGGGAAGAACAAAGACTTAGACTCGGTGAGAAGGTGTTGAAACTTGAGAGAGTCCTGGAAACCCGAGAGGGTCTGGATAGGCCTAAGGGAGGGAGCGGGGCTGAGGCTCCAAGGCGGGCCTGGTTAGTCGGGGCTGGGCCCGGAGAATGAGTGTCCGGATGGATGAGTGGTACTGAGGAAGGTGAGTGGGGTCGACAAATAGAAAACGTCTTGAGGCAGGGCGCAGTGGCTCACGCCTGTAACGCCAGCACTTTGCGAGGCTGAGGTGGGTGGATCATTTGAGGTCAGGAGTTCGAGACCAGCCCGGCCAAAATGGTGAAGCCCCGCCTCTACTAAAAATACAAAAATTAGTCGGGCGTGGTTGTGGGTGCCTGTAGTCCCAGCTAGTCGGGAGGTTGAGGCAGGAGAATCGCTTGAACCTGGGAAGTAGAGGTTGCAATGAGTCGAGATCGCACCACTCCACTCCAGCCTGGGCGACAGAGCGAGACTCTGTGTCAAAAAATAAATAAATAAAAGAAAAAGAAAACGTCTTGAATGGGCGGTAGGAAAGAGAGACTAAGGAAGGAGCGGGGCTTGAGGGTCTTGAAAGCAACCAGGGTAGGCGAGGGCAGGGCAGGGCTAAGGGAGGGTAGAGGAACGGGAGAGGTGGATCCCAGGGGAACAATGAGACTACAAAGAGTACAAAGCTACTGGGCTGGATGGAGGGGAGGGACCTGGAACGGGGAGTCTTCGGGATCAGAAGACCTGGGAGAGGGCACTGCCTAAAGGTCACAGGGTCTCAAAGGGCGAGGCGAGAACTTCTAACGAACGCTACACCGCGGCGGACTGCAGATTGGAGGACCGAGGGTAGATGAGGACTGGTGAGGAGGGGGCACGCAAGGAGGCAGAGAGGACGGGAGAGGGGAGAGGCCAAAGCGCCAGGAAGCACCGTCAAGACTGAGGCAATATAGGCAGGACCGATAAAAAATGGGGTGGGCTAGGAGTCTCAGAGGTCGGGTTCTGGGGAAGAATGGAGTGAGGGGCGGGGCCAGAAAAAGGGGACCGCCTCGGAGCGGGCCGTCCCCGCCCCCTGGGCGGTCGTAGGCTCCGAGAGGCAGAGCGCAGGCTCAGGGGGCTGGGGCGGGGCCAGCGGCTGCGGCTGGGGCTGCGGAGGGAGGAGGCGGCGCCTGCGGGAGCGAAGGGGGCGGGTCAGGGGGCTGCGGGCGCCCTCGGGCAGCACAGTTTCTGGCCCGCCGCTTCCTGCTGCAGGTGCGGCGGCTGATTCGTATCGCCTCCCAACCCCATCCCACCCCCGCTCCCGTTTCTGGGTTTCTTGGCGTCTCTTTTTCTCCCTTCTTGAGTATTTGTGCCGCCGTCTCTGTTCCCACCCCTCTGAGTCTCCGACCCCTCGTTTGTAAATCTGCCCTCCTGGGTCTCTGATTCTGTCCCCCTCCTTCTGAGTCTTTGCTCCTCTTCTCTCTAGGCCTCAGTCTCTCCTCCCTGGTGTCTCAGTCCCCGCCCCCCCACCCCAGCTCCCCCGAGTCTCTTTCTCTTGGTTTCTGTACCATTTTATCAGGGGTGTGCCTCTCTGTCTGGGGCTCTGTACCGCACTCCCTGGGTCTTGTGTCCCTGTCCTCTACTCCCTCCCCGCAACCCGCTTTGTCCTGCCTCCTCTCTGGGTCTCTGCCCTTTCATCTGAGTCTGTCTCCTCCTTGCTCTCTGACAACCTCTTTCCCCTCCCCCTTCTTCTTCCCCTTCTCCCCATCTCTGGTGTATTTCCCCCTCCTTCTTCCCCTTCTCCCCATCTCTGGTGTATTTCCCCCTCCTTCTTCCCCTTCTCCCCATCTCTGGTGTATTTCCCCCTCCTTCTTCCCCTTCTCCCCATCTCTGGTGTATTTCCCCCTCTTCCGTCTCTTTCCCTCCTCTGTCTCTGCTCTTTCTCTTGCTGGCTCTCTGTTCTTCTCTCTCTCCCTCTAAGTTTCTGCCTCTTCACTTTCTCTATGTCCCCTCCCTGAGTCTCTATTCCTCCTATGTTTCACCTTCTTCTGGGTCTCTCTCTTTCTAGGTCTCTGTCTCCACTTCCTGGGGACCCTGTCCCCCTCTCTCTGGGTCTCCGTTCCTTTTTCTCAGACCCCCCATCACCCTCTCTAACCCCCGTCCTAGCTGGGACTGCGTCACTGCAGAGAGAGTTGCAGAAGTGGGGCCTGTCCTGCAGCCCAGGAAGGTCGTTGCCCTCACTCCCCAGACCCAGGGCTCTCCATTGCACCCAATCCATCATGTCCTTCAGCTTCTGATGGAATCCAAGAGGGCACAGAAAAGACATAGGTACTTCCTACCCCTTCCCCGAATTCTGGTGCACCCCCAGGCAGAAGCAGAGAATCCTGAGGTGAGGGACTGGGCTGGGGCTGGATGAGGCTCCTGGGCAATTGGGGGTGGGGTGGTGGAGGCAGGAGCAAGGGCTGGGTAGGCACTATGGGCTAGGTAAGGACCTCGGTCGCCATCCTCCTCCACACTCCCCCCTCAACCCTGCTTTTCCCTTCTGCTTTTCACAGCAGCCAGGCACGGTATCAAGTGGCTAAATCAGCGTTTTTTTGCAGAGGTCAGAAGTGTGGGAGAAGGTGGGGGCTGTGGGGAAAAGGGGCTGGAATAAGGAGGAATGTGCGATGCGACTCAGGATTAGAGGCCATGGGAGGGGAAGAGGCAGCGGGCCGGGAGTAGCAGGCTGGTCCGTCCACATTCCATCAGGCCCTGGGAAACTTGGATGCCAGCACTCCCTCATGGCCCTCCACAGACCCCACCAGGGTCTATGGGAGGATTTGTGAGCCTGGAGTCTCCACCCACCCATTAGAGAGGAGGGGGCTTCTGGAAGCTTCATGAGGGCTCCAAATACTGGACACTCAGCTATGTTCACAGACCAGGAGGAAGTAGACTCGACTCTTGACTAGGGACACCAGGAGGGGAGAGGCCAACGTCTGTCTCGTTTTCAGTTCCTTTCCCCACCCCTGCTCCTCCCAATCCATCCGTTCCCAGGCCCTCAAGACACAAAATTCCTGAAAGCTCCAACTCCCATCTACGTCATCTTCGGCGTCCCCTGATAACCCTCCCTCCCCCATTACCCCAGGCCCTGGAATTGGGGAAGGGTCTTCCCTCCCTGACTTCTACGACCCCTTCCTTGTTCCTCTGCCCCCATTCCCACCCGGTTCCATTCGGAGCCTTGGTCTCTGGACACCAAAGGTGAAAATGTGAGGACTCTCTGCCTACGATCCTTCGTCCCCTAAAACCCTCCAAGTACCTTGGCCCCGAAAGCTCAGAGTCGAGGGGAATCTCCCCGCTATAATCTTTGGGTCCCTGGATCCCAAGTCCCCCGTCTCCAAAACTAGGATTCGGGCTGTCTTACCGCCCCCGGACCCTGAGCCTTCGCCCCCTCCCCCGTACTCACCCCAAGTCGAGGCGAGGTGGGGATGGGGGAATCCGGGGCTCGAGATGGGGGGAGGGGTGACCCAGCCCCGGCAGCTCTGGGCAGCAAGAGGCTGCAGAGGGGGGAGTGACATCACCGCCGGAGGAGGGGCAGCACCGCTCCCCCAACCCAGGGGCTTCAAGCTCCGCCTTTATGGCGGACCCCGGGGTCCTGGAATGCCAAGGCAGAGAGGAGAAACAGGAGACGAGGTCCGAGGGAACGGTATCCCCGCCCCTTAGAACAGGAACTGGTAAACCCTTACCAATTACAGCCACCCCCGACTGCCACCTGTGGCTGCCGTCGCGACCTGTCGCCTCCCACGCATGTTGTGGCTGCGCCCGCCCCCGTCAGGGCGTGACCACGGCGTGGACTACAACGACCGTGATGCTCCACGGAGCCAGGAGCCTTTGACGAAAGGCAGCGTAGGCGAGGGCCTTCATGGGACTCGTAGTACAAGGCCCATCACAAGGGTGCGCCGTGGAGAAAAGGGGTGATACCCTTCGCCTCCCTCTCTTCCTCAACTCCGTGGGTCCATGCACAAAGCTTTCTCTTCAAAAAGTACGCTCTGAAAAGAAGCAACCTAGGCAGGTTCGTTCAATGGAAATATTGGATTTTTACTGAGTAGCGCTAGCTCTGCTACCCGGTGCGCATGCGCATCACCTGGGCGGCACCCGCGGTACTGCGCCTGCGCGGTCTCGCGCCTTCCCAGGTCCGCTCCGCGAGGGCGAGCGCGCGCCAGTCCCACTCGTGCGCCGCTCTTCATGTCCCCGCGGTCGAAGACGGTCACATACGCCCCCAAGAAAACGTCGCCGAGGATCCACACAGGTACTGGAGGCGAAGCGATGTCCAAGGCCCGGAAGCCGGACAAGCAGAGGCGGACGTCACCCTGAGCAAACTGCAAGGCGACAAGGCGGCAACTGGGTGTCCAGGCCGCAGGAACCACCATTTCCCTGGGAGTCCGTGCTCTCTCCGCCCCCAACCCCGGGGACAAGAAATGTTTCTGTGGCCCCTTCCGGCCCTAGTGATGTCCAACTACCAGCTCCACCCTCTCAACTCCAGTCATATTACATCACTGTGGCGTCATTATGACGGACACCTACCTGGATGACGTAATCCTGGGCCGTGAGATTAAACCAGACCCCCCCAATGAGGAGTGAGACTGCGGGGAGCTTTGGGATTTCTGAGCACCGGATGATGTACTGGTGGAGGAGAGGAACAAGTGAAGATGGGAGATTCCTGCTCTGCTCAAATCCCGTCCGTGGCTCCCCAGTGCCATGGAGTAATGTTCATATTGAGCACCTGGGTATTCAGCACCGTGTGTGGACAGCCCTGTTGCCTAGGCTCCTCTCATCTAGTCCCAAACAAAACTGCATTATCATCTCCCCCAACAACCCCCCCCCCACTCCCACCCCTACTTCACCATCCACTGAGCCACTTAGCATAGACACTTGGGAAGTATCTTTGCTTCCTCCCACCACTCTCTGGCATGTCACTTAAGAAGCCCAGTCCCCTCTGTCCTGGATACGCTCTAGCTACCTGCTTCCCATCCTCAGGCCGCAGTGTTCGCCATGGAATTGCCATCATCTTCCCCAGGACACACCCACCAGAGACTGGGACCTCACCTCCCCAGCCAGCAAGGGGATTCCCCCAATGGCTGCATGCAGGGCCCGGATCTCCTCAGTGGGTCCTACGATGACAGGTGTGCCTGTATCCAGGATGGCAGCACAGCCCTGGGCACAGAGAGTCAGCCGTGAGCCCACCTTCACACTGAGGGGGAAGGAAGCAGTCATTAGAGGCAGGGTCCTAGGAGTCCAGGCCTCCAGCTCCAGACCCAGGAGACCAAGTCCCTCACCGCTCCATGTGGATCTGCCAGTAGGCGGGGACTGTGACTGGCACGAAGGTGAGGGGTGGGATGTAGTGTGCCGGGTCTGAGCCCCCCAGGACCAGCTCTCCTCCATCAGCCACTTCAGGGTCCCTGCAGGGGCAGAGTGTAGAGGTCATTGTCGCCAGCCCTCCCCCGCCAGCCCTAGGAATGGCCAGGGATGGGACTTCCTGCCAATTGGGTCATTTTTGGGGTTCTAGTTGGGGCAGTGGAATGCAGGCAGGGCCGAGATGTTGGGACTGGAAACAAGAAATGAAGGGAAATGGTGCTTTTCTTGATGGAAGTTAGGACTTTAGGATGATGGATACTTCCTGAAGTGGAGAGGAGACTTCTTCATTTGGCTGTGGAAGGTAGAGCTTTTGGGGGAAATTCCTGAGCTGAATATCATAGTAACCAAGCAGACCAGTGGAGTCTCAGAATTGGCTCGAAGGTGTGACTTGTACAGGAGTGGGGTGGCTTCCTGGGAAGGTGCATAGACTTTCTGAATTGCCTGTTGTGGTATCTAGAAAGGTGTTAGACTTCCTGAGCTGGCTGAGAGTGATGGGAACGGGGATGGAAACTTCCTGGAAGATGTAAATGAGTGGGACCTACCGAGAGCTAGGTGGAACTTCTTGAGTGGGTTGGATGTCAGGGTAACTGAGTGGGCATTGGACTGTGTGTGATGGGCCCTGGGAGGGAAAGTGAAGACTTCTCGGGTGGTGGGTGGGACTTCTGAGCATAAGATTGACCTTCCTACCAGGTGGGTGGGGCTTCGTGAATTCAATCAGGCATTTCCTGACTTCTGGTCAGTGTTCTCAAATGGGATTTGAGCTTTATGGTGAAGAGAAGGTTCCTGAGTATTTGGTTGGGTGGGGCATAGAATTTCCTAGTTTGATTTTGAAACTCAGCATATTGAACTGTTGGTGAGTTTCTTTAATATGTCTTAAGTTGTCACTTAAGCTCTGGGGCTTATGAATAGGGTTGAGGTGTTTCTTCTGTTAGGTAGGTGGCTACTTCCTGAATGAAGGGTGGGATTGATTTTTTTTTTTTTTTTTTTTTTTTGGAGACGGTCTCTCTCTGTCACCCAGACTGGAGAGCAGTGGTGCGATCTCGGCTCACTGCAACCTCCACCTCCCGGATTCAAGCAATTCTCCTGCCTCAGCCTCTCAAGTAGCTGGGATTACAGGCATGTGCCACCGCACCCAGCTAATTTTTATAGTTTTAGTACAGATGGGGTTTCACCATGTTAGCCAGGCTGGTCTGGAACTCTTGACTTCAGGTGATCAATCTGCCTCAGCCTCCCAAATTGCTGGGATTACGGGCATGAGCCACCGTGCCTGAACTGGGACTTTCTTTATGGAGTAAGAGACTTCCTGAAGGAGGGCCTCACTTCCTTCTGAGGAATAGGACTCATAGATAGGTGCACCCTCCCCAGCACCTGTTGAAGTAAAAGGAGAAGACAGGCTTATCCAATAGCCCCTGCTCCACCAGTACATCCAGCGGGGGCCGAACTCCTTCCACAGACAGAATGGGAAAACCGAGGCCCAATATCCCATCGGGGCGGGAAACAGTGAAGACCAGGCTGGATTCCCACAGAGCTTCCCCGAAAATCACGGATGCACCCTTGATTCCACCAATCTAGGGGTAGATTGAGATGTGACCAGTTACTTTTGGGAGGACAATAACCACATGTCCTGAGGTCTCCCAAACCAAAGCATTAATCCCAGGTCTGGGGACATCTGGACCCAAGCCCCCAACTGCTTAGCAAACTTTGCCTCTGGACTTGAGAGAATTCCTATCCCTTCACCCAGGAACCCCTCCCCCTCCTTGAGAAGCCCCATCCATCGGCTCAGGAAGCCCCTGCACCTCAAGCCCCTCCCTAAGCCAGATGATCTTAGACAACAGGGTTCTCCCAGGCTCGAGGCTTCCTGGAGTCAAAGGCCACTCACAGTCAGCTTGTCCTCACTCAGGATTCCATCTACCCGCCCAGTTCCATACTGAATGGCAAACTTGGTCCCACTGGGCTTGAAGGAGCTGGAGGCATTGGGATTGAAGCGGTGGTGGAACCCTAGGTCAGAAGTCAGAGAGGTGTCACTGTGGGAGGGGAGCTTTCCGAATGCCTTCTGCCCCTTTAACCTTCTGACCTTTGAGGGTGTCAGAAAAGAACAGTTCCTCAAAAACCTTTGGGAAGCTGAGGCCCAGCCCCGCCTTCTCCCTTCACCCCCATTCAGCCTTATTCTCCCACATAGAAGCTCACAGCAGGGCACACTGAAGAAGTGGCATCTCCTGGACGGGACCCAGAGATTGGAGGAGCCAGTGTCAAAGGCAACAGTGAAGTTTTGTGGAGGCGTTCCCAGCCCAATTTCCCCAAAATACTGGGCCTGAGGAGGCAAAAGAAGAGACAGAGTCAATGAAGAGTTTGGCTCAAGGGCACAGGAGTGGGGGCTGTGTAGGGCTGTGACTCACATCCAGGAATTTGGAGAGAGGTACCGAGGCAGGCTTGTCCCCAGGGGATGGGGCCCCCAACTTGGGGAGCTCTGCTGGTTTTCCCCATCCCCTCAGTAGGTTCAGGGTCCTGCGTCCAGGGTGGACTTGACGAAGAGGGATCCTGTAGGGTATGAAGATGATGAGAATTAGGAAGCCGCCCTTCCTGGAGACCCTCTAAAATAGACTTACCCAAATGGAATATGATGACAAATTCAACATTTCCAAGGCGCTACAATAGGAGTCATTACCAGAAACCCTACAATAACAACCTCCGGGAAACCCTAGCACAGAAACCATGATGACAGATATCCCCAAAGACTTTACAGGAACAAACCATCCCAAACAGAACTTCCCAATGGTATCCAAGTCCTTAAAATAAGCCATTCCCAGGGAATTGACATTCTCAAAGTTTTCCCAAGACCCTAACATGAAATCTGACCTTTGCAGAAGCCCTCGGATGGTGGCCCTTGCATGCTTCAGTTCATGATGTTGGAGACTATTTCCCCACCCTTGCGGAAAAACGTAAGCATCAAATCTTAATTTCACTTTTTTTTCCTGCAACCTCTGCCTCCTGGGTTCCAGTGATTCTCCTGCCTCAGCCTCCCGAGTAGCTGGGACTACAGGCGCGCACCACCACGCCCAGCTAATTTTTGTATTTTTGGTTGAGACGGGGTTTCGCAATGTTGGCCAGGTTGCTCTCGAACTCCTGACCTCAGGTGATCCACCTGCCTCAGCCTCCCAAAGTGCTGGGATTACAGGTGTGAGCCACCGCGCCCGGCTGAGACAGAGTCTTGCTCTGTCACCAGGATGGAGTGCAGTGGTGTGATCTCGGCTCACTGCCGCTTTTGCCTCCCAGGTTCAAGTGATTCTCCTGCCTCAGCCTCCTGAGTAGATGGGATTACAGGCACGTGCCACCAGCTAATTTTTGTAGACAGAGTTTCACTGTGTTGGCCAGGATGGTCTTGATCTCTTTACTTCATGATCTGCCTGCCTCGGCCTGAGCCACAACAGCATGAGCCACCGTGCCTGGCCTGAGGAAAGCTTTTCTAAGCATGAAGGCAGGATCAAAAATCATGGGGGAAAATATTAATAAGTGTGACTCAAAATTGACACCTGTTGGCCAGGCACCATGGCTCACGCCTATAATCCCAGCACTGTGGGAGGCAAAAGCAGGCAGATTACTTGAGCTCAGGAGTTCGAGACCAGCCTGGGCAACATGTTGAAACGCTGTCTCTACTAAAAATACAAAAATTAGCCAGGTGTGGTGGCACACACCTATAATCCCAGCTTCTTAGGAGGCTGAAGCGGGAGGATTGGTTGAGCCCAGGAGTTCAAGTCTACAGCTACAGTGAGCTATGATCTTGCAACTGCACTCCCAGCCTGGGCAACAAAGCAAGACCCTGTATCTAAAATAAATAAATAAATACAATAAATAAATTTTAAACCCTTGTACTTCCCCTCTACATACACACACAAAGCTGTAAATAAAGGCAAGGACAAAAAATCTGGGGGAAATAATTATAAGTTGTATATTAAGAGTTAATATTCCTAATATGCAAAGAGCTTCTACAAATAAATAACAAGATAACCCAGTCTTGGGAGACAGTTTTTCTTGAGTCTCTCACATGTCTGCAGAGCACTGACTTGTCTTTTGAAGGATTTTGTTTAGTGAACAGCCTTGGAAGAGAGATAGCATCTCTTTCTGGAGCAAAGGGAAGGCAGGCTTATGATGCCTTATAAAAGATTTAAGCTCCCTATGCTCAAGGTTCTATTAATATCATGCACCACAGTGCATGTGCAGGTATCATCTGGCCTTCTTCATTTCATCTTGTGGAAACGGGCTCAGAAAAATAGGCCAGCTGTGGTGGCTCATGCCTGTAATCCCAGCACCATGAGAGGCCGAGGTGGGAGGATTGCTTGAGGCCAGGAGTTTGAGACCAGCCTGGACAACATAGTGAGACCCTGTCTCTACAAAAAATAAGAAAGCCAGGTCTGGTAGCACATGCCTGTAGTCCTAGCTACTTGGGAGGCCCAGGAATTCAAGGTTACAGTGAGCTATAATCATGCCACTGCACTCCAGCCTGAGCAACAGAACAAGACCCTGTCTCAAAAAAGAAACAAAAAAAGAAAAAAGAAAGAAAAAACTGGCACACGTACTAATACTCTTGCTACTACTATTGCTGGGAGTAATAAACTGCCCTTTGTCTCTGACTTGGGAGTCTTGGGTCTTCTATGAGCAGCCATGAAACTATGGCAAACTAACTTCATAGTTCTTGACGCTCATTAGGAAAATGGACAAAGGACATAAAATTGCAAAAGAAGTACAAATAAATTCTAAATACATGGAAAGATGTCATCAACAGTCATCAAAAAAATACAAATGACAACAGTGAGAAACCTTGTTTCACCATACAGATTGGCAAAGAACTGAGAATACTTATTGTTGATTAGGTTTGCAAATGTGTATCAAATGCTCGAAAATTGTACCCACCATTTAACACAACCCAGAATTTCATCTATAGGAGATCACTGGATGAGTGCACAGAGGTGGGTTTATGAGGCTGTGCCTAATTTTGGAAACTGGAGACAGTCCAATGATGAACTGCCTTTGCAAAAACTATAAGTGAGAAAATTAGGACAGTGAAAGAGATCTGATCTAAACAACCGCTACCTTGCCTTTAACTTCCAAACTGCCTTTGGTCATTCCTGGGCTTAGGCCAAGCTAACTTTGGGAGACAGTTTATAGTTTAAATGGTAATAGTCCATCCCCAAAACTAAACCACCTTTGTAAAGCTAATGAAGTACCACCAGGATAGGAGGATGAGAGGAGCATGAATTCTGCTAAGGTGCAGACATAAATGATTACCAGTCATTATTCCAGAGGTCAAAATATTTGCAGCTTCCCCAATTACTCCTGCAGATTACATCACTACTGTAGAACCTGATTGGCCTTTTGAGACTAAGGGTTTTTGCATTTCTGGTGATGCCACCCAGACCTGCCAACCAGTCCTGTGGCTCCACCCAGAAGCAGACTATTTTCCAGGCCCCTATGAATGATTACATCCTTGACCAATCAGCAGCACCCATTCCCAGGCCTGACAAACTATCCTTGAAAAACCCTGGCCTCCAAATGTTAGGGGAGGCTAATTTGTTGTTTTCATTTTGTTTTTTTATGAGATGGAGTCTCACTCTGTCACCCAGGCTGGAGTACATTGGCATGATCTCAGCTCACTGCAACCTCCACCCCCTGGGTTCAAGTGATTCTCCTCCCTCAGCCTCCTAAGTAGCTGGGATTACAGGCACCAACCACCATACTCAGCTAGTTTTTCTATTTGTAGTAGAGACGGGGTTTCATCATGTTGGCCAGGCTGGTCTTGAACTCCTAACCTCAGGTGATCCACCCGCCTCGGCCTCCCAAAGTGCTGGGATTATAGGCGTGAGCTGCCATGCCCACCTCTGATTTGAGTAATAATAAAACTCTGGTCTCCTGCTCAGCCAGTGGCTCGGCATAAATTAAACTCTTTCTCTATTGCCGCTTTCCTATCTTGATAAATTGGCTGTATCTGGGCAGCAGGCAGAAAGAACCAGCTAGGCGGTTACAGTGGCCAACAATGGGTACAGCTTAGTTCTGCTTTGGAACATACATAGAATGGAACCCCATTTGACCTCTAAGAAGGAGGAAGTAGCTGTCTATACCAGTCATTCTCAAACTTTATTTAGCATGACCCAAAATCACCTACAGCAGTGGTGTTGGGCAAATCTTTGTGTAGAGGCTTTGCAGGCCAGACAGTCTCTGTGGTAACTATTCAAATCTGTCCAGATAGCATGAAAGCAACTGCAGACAACAGATGCTATGGAAATGAATGCGCATGCTGACTCCAGTTTTGTTAGAGACAGGGTCTCACTCTGTTGCCCAGGCTGGAGAGCAATGACACGATTGTGGCTCACTGCAGTCTCAAACTCCTAGGCTCAAAGGTCATCTTGTCTCAGCCTGCCAAGTAGCTGGAATCAGGCATATGCCACCACATCCTAGCTAATTTTTTTTTCATTTTTTGTAGAGATAAGTTCTTGCTAAGTTGCCCAGGCTGGTCTCAAATTCTTGGCCCCAAGCAATTCTGCCTCGGCCCTGCAAAGTGTTGGGGTTACAGGCATGAGCCACTACATCTGGCCTAGATTCCCTTTAGCTTATTTGTAAAAGGGAAATAGCACGCAGGGTTTGACCCTCAGGCTCAGTGTTTGCCAAGCCCAGACTCAGAGGGCTGGTTCAAATTCAGATCTCTTAATTTTTAAGTAGATCTGGGATGGGGCTTGAGAATTTGCATTTCTAACAAGGTCCTGGGCCATGCTAATGCTATTGGTTTTGAGACAACATTCTGAGACTCACTGTTCTTTGCATTGACTTGGAAAATGTCCGTGATATATTAGGTTTGCAAAGCAGATGAATAGGGAATGATGAATTCATTGAACCTTACACCAGCAACATCTATACTCTCAGAGTCCTGGGAGAATTTCAGATTGTAAATCCTTACTTATTCAAAGATCTTACTGAGGTGGGAGGATTACTTGAGGCCAGGAGTTCATGACCAGTCTAGGAAACATAGTGAGACCCCCCATCTCTACAAAAAAAGAAAATCTTAAAAAAAAGCTGGTTAACAAACATAATGTGCAGTAATTTTTAAAATAAATTTTATATTTAATGATTTTTTTGTAGAAAGAGATGGGGTCTCACTATGTTGGCCAGGTTGGTCTTGAACTCTTGGCCTCAAGCAATCCTCCAGGCCTCTGCCTTCCATAGTGCTAGGATTACAGGTGTGAGCCACCATGGCTGGCCTCATGCAGTAATTTTTTTTTTTTTTTTTTTTGAGATGGAGTCTCGCTCTGTTGCCCAGACTGGAGTGCAGTGCCATGATCTTGGCTCACTGCAAGCTCCGCCTCCCAGGTTCACGCCATTCTCCTGCCTCAGCCTCCTGAGTACCTGGGACTACAGGCGCCCACCACCACGCCCGACTAATTTTTTTGTATTTTTAGTAGAGTTGGGGTTTCACCATGTTAGCCAGGATGGTCTCGATCTCCTGACCTTGTGATCTACCTGCCTCGGCCTCCCAAAGAGCTGGGATTACAGGCATAAGGCACCACGCCCAGCCTGCAGTAATATTTTTGTACCCAATTTTAGTCACTCCTTGGAGCATGACACCCTCACTCACACCTTTGCCCTCACCCCTCATGACTCAGTCTTTGAAAGGCACAAGAACGAGAAGTGGGGAAAACACTTTCCGGAAAATACACCCCTCCCCCTGCGAAGAGCCCCAAGGGGTAAGGAGAAGAGAAGAGAAGAGGGGAAGGGAGAAATTGGGGAAGCATCAGAGGTAAGGTAGGGGAGAACTTCTTGGGTGGGGTCCCCAAAACTGGACTTCTTTTTTTTTTGAGACAGGACCTCCCTTGTCGCCCAGGCTAGAGTACAGTAGCTCAATCATAGCTCACTGCAGCCTCAAAACCCTGGGTTCAAATGGTCCTCCCACCTCAGCCTCCCAAGTAGCTAAGACTACAGGCACCTGTCACCGTGCCTGGCTGATTTTTTTTTTCTGTAGAGACTGGGGGTCTCACTATGTTGCCCAAGCTAGTCTTGAACTCCTAGCCTCAAGCAGTTCTCCTACCTTGGCCTCCCAAAGTGCTGAGTTGACAGTGGTGAGCCATTGTGCTCAGACAAAAAAATAGACTTCTTGAGGCCTAAACAATTTGGAGGGTGTGAATGTGGGGGAGTCTTAGTTTAAATGTCACATGCCTTGGTCTCCAAGATGGCGGGAATGTGTCACATGTCTGGAGACCCCCATAACTGGTCATCAGAGCTTGGAGTGGGATCTGCAGAGGCCTCCAAAAAAACATATCCAGAGAAGAAGGGGAGGGTTCCTCACTCAAGAGTCTTAGTGAAGGCCGGGTGTGGTGGCTCGCGCCTGTAATCCCAGCACTTTGGGAGGCCGAGGCGGACAGATCGCGAGTTCAGGAGTTCAAGACCAGCCTGGCCAACATGGTGAAACCCCATCTCTACTAAAAATACAAAAATTAGCCAGGCATGGTGGTGCGTGCCTGTAATCCCAGCTACTTGGGAAGCTGAGGCAGGAGAATCGCTTGAACCCAGGAGGCGGAGGTTGCAGTGAGCCGAGACCACGCCACTGCACTCCAGCCTGGCAACAGAGTGAGACTCCGTTTCAAAAAAAAAAAAAAACAAAAAAAACAAAAAAAGAGTCTCAGTGTTGGAGGATCTGGGACTTAAAAGGGCTCTGGGCTGGACATGGTAGTTCACGTCTGTAATTCCAGCACTTTGGGAAGCTGAGGTGAGAGGATTGCTCGAGCCCAGGACATGGAGACCAGCCTGCAAAACATAGGGATACCCTCTTCTTTACAAAAAATTTCAAAAATTAGCTGGGCATGGTGACACATGCCTGTAGTCCCAGCTACTTGGGAGGCTGAGGTGGAAGAATGGCTTAAGACCACGAGTTTGAGGCTGCAGTGAGCCATGATCGCACTACTGCACTCCAGCCTGGGTGACACAGCAAGACCCAATCTCAACAAATAAATAAATAAAAAGAAAAAAATTATTTTAAAAAAGGAGCTCTGAGCCAGACGTGGTGGCTCACGCCTGTAATCCCAGCACTTTGGGAGGCTGAGGTGGGCAGATCACCTAAGGTCGGGAGTTCAAGACCAGCCTGATCAACATGGAGAAACCCCATCTCTACTAAAAATACAAAATTAGCCGGGGTGGTGTGGCACATGCCTGTAATCCCAGCTACTTGGGAGGCTGAGGCAGGAGAATCGCTTGAACCCAGGAGGTGGAGGTTGTGGTGAGCCAAGATCGTGCCATTGCACTCCAGCCTGGGCAACAAGAGTGAAACTCTGTCTCAAAAAAAATAAATAAATAAAAGGGAGCTCTGATCTTAGGAGATGTCAGAGTAGAGCCCTCGGGGTGAGAGCCCACTTTAGAGATCTGGAAAGCCAAGAAAGAAGAGTCAAGGATCCTGGGTGCCAGGTTTGGGAATCACTGAACCAGGAGCCCCAGACTTAAAGGGCAAAAAGCAGAGAATCCCTCCCAGGTTTGGGGGTGGCAAATGGGGTCACCATACCGGATCAGTGTGGCCCCAGCAGGCTCCACATTCAGCAGAGGCAGCAGCAGCAGCAAGGGTAGCAGCAGCAGTGGTGGAGACATTGCTGGGGAGCCGGGTGTGAACCCAGGCTTCCTAGTTTTCTTTCCCCTGTGACTCCACCCTGTTTATGCCCCACCTCCCGGTTTAGGAGGTGACCAGAACACGAGGTCTCTCAGCAGGTGACACAGGGGGACAAGGATGTTTTTGAAGATTTGTGCAGAGTATTTGTGTAGTGTCAACAAAAGTTGTATCCTGTGTCCTTAGTGCTCCTCATTCCCTACTTGGGGGGTGGTGGTCGTGGGGTGTCCTCTGCTGGGACTGCCTCCCACCCCCCATCCTTTAGCCTCTGTCACTTTTACTTCTCACTTTCACATCACTTTTCTGAGACTCATTAACCACAGTGTTTCCTTGGCCAAGTGGGAGGGACCAGCAGGTGTCTGTGAAGGGCCTGGGGAAGGGAGAGAGGAACTGATTATAAGCCTGCCCTCCCATATGAAGTGGGACTGCCTGCGTCTGAGGACCCAGACTCTTATTTGTAGGTGAAGTATGTTTCTTGTAAGCAACAAAACATTGGGTCTTCTTTTTCATCCATTCATCCGTTCTATATCTTTTTATTCGAGAGTTTAGTCCATTTACATTCAATGTTGTTCTTGATAAGGACGTCCTCCTGACATTTTGTTACTTGTTTTCTGGTTGTTTTGTAGTATTCTCTTCTTTCTGTCCTTCTTTCATGTTATTTATTTATTTATTTATTCATTTATTTTTGAGACAGAATCTCATTGTCGCCCAGGCTGGAGTGCCGTGGTGCAATCTCGGCTCACTGCAACCTCTGCCTCCTGGATTCAAGCGATTCTCGCCTCAGCCTCCCGAGTAGCTGGGACTACAGGCGCGTGCCACTGCACCTGGCTAATTTATGTATTTTTAATAGAGATTTGGTTTCATGATGTTGGCCATACTGATCTCAAACTCCTGACTTCAGGTGATCCACCCGCCTCAGCCTCCCAGAGTGCTGGGATTACACATGTGAGCCACCACACCTGGCCTCTGTTTTCCTTTTAGAGAAGATAATTTTCCTTGGTCATATGATTTAATTTTTTGCTTTTTTTTTTGTATCTGTTGTATGTTTTTTGATTTGAGGTTACCATGAGGCTTGCAAATATTGTCTTTTTTTTTTTTTTTTTTTGAGATGGAATCTCGCTCTGTTACCCAAGCTGGAGTGCAGTGGCTCGATCTCGGCTCACTGCAAGCTCTGCCTCCTGGGTTGACGCCATTCTCCTGCCTCAGCCTCCAGGGTAGCTGGGACTACAGGTGCCTGCCACCACACCTGGCTATTTTTTTTTTTTTTTTTTTGTATATTTAGTAGAGACGAGGTTTCACCGTGTTAGCCAGGATGGCCTCGATCTCCTGACCTCATGATCCGCCTGCCTTGGCCTCCCAAAGTGCTGGGGTTACAGGCGTAAGCCACTGTGCCCTGCCATAAATACTATCTTATAACCCATTATTTTAAGCTGACAACATAAACTTAACACTGTTTGCATAAACAAACCAACAAACCAACAAACAATAAGAAAATTAGTAAAAACTCTACACCTTCACTTTGTCCCCAACTTTTTAACTTTTTGTTGTTTGTATTTATATCTTATTGTACTGTCTATGTCTTGAAGCGTTGTTGTAGTTATTATTTTTGATTGGTTCATCCTTTAGTTTTTCTACTTAAGAGTTGTTCACACACCATAGTTATACTGTTACAATACACCATGTTTTTCTGTGTGCTTACTATTAGCAGTGAGTTTTGTACCTTCAGATGATTTTTTTTTTTTTTTTTGAGACGGAGTCTTGCTCTGTCACCCAGGCTGGAGTGCAGTGGTGCGATCTCAGCTCACTGCAAGCTCCACCTCCCGGGTTCATGCCATTTTCCTGCCTCAGCCTCCCGAGTAGCTGGGACTACAGGCACCCACCACCACATCCGGCTAATTTTTTTGTATTTTTAGTAGAGACGGGGTTTCACCGTGTTAGCCAGGATGGTCTCGATCTCCTGACCTCGTGATCCACATGTCTCTGCCTTCCAAAGTGCTGGGATTACACACGTGAGCCACCGCGTCTGGCCCAGATGATTTTTTATCACTCATTAACATGCTTTTCTTTCTGACTGAAGTACTCCCTTTAGCATTTCTTGTAGGACAGATCCGGTGTTGATGAAATTCCTCAGCTTTGTTTGTTCTGGGAGAGTCTTTATTTCTCCTTCATGCTTGAAGAATATTTTCACTGGATATGCTATTCTAGTGTAGCAGGACAAGCTGTGGAGAAAACCCCACAGACACCGAGATAGTGAAGGAAGTAGCTTTTAATCAGCTGGAAGCATCAGCAGACTAGCATCTTAAAATTCAAGCTTGTTGAGTGCACAATTTCTGTCGCTTTTAAGGGTTCACAACACTAAAGATTTTACATGAAAGGACCGTGATTGATTGAGCAATCTAGGGGGTATGTGACAGGGGCTGCATGCACCAGTAATCAGAGCAAAGCAGAACAGAACGAGAAGTTTCACAATGTCTTTCCATACAATGTCTGGAATTTATGGATAATCGGTTGCTAGGTCATGGGTTGAATTTTAACTATCAGGCTAAGGTCAGGCAGGCCCAGGCCTGGTTTTGGGTCTGGTTTTGGGTCTGGTGCATGGCGCCGGGCTGCCTGCCTTTGGTTTCGCTTCCTTGTTTCTTCTTAAAACAGGTACTGAGTATGAAACAATATAGAACAATATGGGGGGGTCTCTTTCTCTCTTCTCTCATTTCCCCGCTTTGAGACTCTCACTCATGGTATTAGTGGAAGTTCTCACTTTCATTTTTACTACTTATGTCTTCCTGTGCAATAGATTGATAGTGATTCAAATAATATACTCGTGCTGAAGCATTCTGGTGAACTAAGGTAGTGATGAAGCTTTTTATCATTTGAAGAAGTATAGGTAGCAAACAAGGGAGTAGTAAGCGGATTCCTATTACTATTATAACTCCTATTATAAGAGTTTTAAGCCCTCCTATTGCTGGGAACCAATTTCCAAACATGGCCTCAGGATCAAATCCGTGCCACACTCGCACTGTACATGTGCCAGTTTTGTTATATCTTTAACTATGTCTTCAACTACTTGCCCTTGATCATCTATGTGGAGACAGCAATTAGTAAGGTTAAATTTTCCACAAACTCCTCCTTCAGCTGCTAGCAAGTAGTCGAGAGCTAGTCTATTTTGGTAGATAGCATTCCTCATCTGAGTCTCTTGCCGGGCAAGAACAGTCAAGGCTTGACCAGTTTAATTAGTAATAATTTCTAAAACAGCTTGCAACTGTATGATTCAGTTGAGCATGTAGATGGGGGTCCAATATCCCTATGAGCCATCTTATGCCCAAGTGGCGGGCCCATAGTATTGTATAATTCTTTCAGGGGGCCATCATCATCTTTCCAGTTACCTATGGCTATGCTTCGTTTTTCACGGGAAGCATAGACAGGGAATCCTAAGAGTTTGTTGTTTTTATGGGCAGCAGGAAGAAAGATGGTTTAATAGTGCCAATTACACAGCTACCTGTCTACTGATCAGATAGCTTAGCATAAGCTCTATGTCCACATATCCAGTATAACCCAGTAGGGGCAGTCCAGTCCCAGTGGAATTCTGGGTGGGCCTAAACAGTCTGCAATTTTGGAAATTTACGGAATGGATTTTTTTCCGTGTAATTGGAACTCCACCATGTAACTGTTTTTGTGGTACCATTATACAGTTTTTGTCCAAGACAACTAACCTGTCCTACAGGATGAGTGAATTCTTTTCCTTCTCTAGCTATGCAACATTGTCCAATAATTGAGGCTTTTAGAACCCAGAAATTGTCAGGGTGGTTCTTTTGGGCCGAGAATTCATCAGGAACTGGGTCTGTAGGAACTCATTCTCGGGCTTCCCATGGCCACTGATCTCCTGTTACAGTTGCTCCACAAACAAAACACGAAGTGACTTTTAGAGACTGGGCTACATGCTCGGCTAACTGCAAAAACAAATGTCTAGTTTTTCCTGGAATTTCAGGCACTGGCACATTTTGTTCATCATAGAAAGTGTGAAATACTGGCTCTGGAGAGCATGTTCGAACCTCTCCTTTTATTAAAATGTTTACCCTAGGGTCTAGTCTTTTTCCATCAATGCCTAGAGATAAGTATTTTCCTTTTTTCTATTTTGGGTCTGAGGGGCTTGTGATTACTAATTTTAAAGGGTTGCAGCTTCCACTCATGCAGGACAGGCTTCCTTTCCCTTTTTGGAGCAAAACAGGATCTTTTTCATTTTTTTTTTCCCAAGTAGCCTAAATGACACAAGACCAGTACCCACATTCTTTTCCACACAATCCTGATTCATGACAGATGTACTTATTTTCGGTCATGTAGTTTTTTCCTAATTAAAAGAGCCACATCCTGCTCCTAACTTATTGCTATTAATGACAGCACAGCGTCAAATCTTAAGATTATGCATTTGGGCACCCCTTTTTCTTCTGTTCTGGCTAATACTTTACTTGTATCATTTATGAGTCCCTGCCAGTGTTCAGTCCTTAATCTTATTTCAAAAACTGTGGAAATGGGAGGTTCAGAGGGGTCATAGCACACATCGGGCTGGTCACTTCCTGGATCACAGACTTTGTACTGAGTGTTATTATACAAACATGTTCCTTTTGGAATTCCTAGGCCTTCATAATAACTATAGAACAAAAAGATTGTCTTAACTTGTTGTCCTACCTCAGTGACCTGAGGTATGCACTGAAAGCAGTCCTCTGTGTGGGAAGAAGCAGTGGAAGCTTTTACCACACAAGTCCGTGTTATAAGGAAAGTAAGTCCCACGACGATTTTCCTCATGCTTCGGCCGCGAATAGGCCAGTCAGCTTCCGGGTGTGACTGGAGCAGGGCTTGTCGTCCTCCTCAGGGTTACTTTGCAGGGATTGTCTAGGCCTGGTTTGGCCTCCCAGGTTCCAGTGGCTGCAGGCTTTCCGCAGCTGTGGTGAATCCCGGCCGGAATTCCTTCTACCTTCACAGCCGTGGGAGTGGTCAGGATAACGGTCTGGGGTCCCTTCCACTATGGCCCTAAGGGAGCTACGTTCCAGTCCTTGATCCACACGCGGTCACCTGGAGAAAAAGGGTGAACTGGGGAGAATAAGCTGACCGGGCACCTCATTTACCCAAGTTGAGATTGTCTCGGTAATTTTCCCCAAGGCCTGTAGCTGTCGCTGCAATTCAATTTCACCCAACTCTTGGGGAGTACCCAGAAGCCCTCGCGGCATAGGAGGAGGCCTATGATATAATATTTCATAAGGGGAGTGTCCTGTTTTCTTAGAGGGGGTGCACCTGTTTTAAACAATACCATAGGAAGGGCCTGTATCCATTTTAATCTTGTCTCTTGACATACTTTCCTTAAACTATTTTTGATAGTCCGACTCATTCGCTCCACCTTCCCAGAACTCTGAGGTCGGCAGGCAGCATGTAGACTTGTTTGTACCTGTCCTTCTTGGGAAGGCTTTCCAGGTATTCAAAAGGACTTGAGGATTGTGATCTAAGCCATATCTGTATCAGGGGGCCTCCCAAGCCTATTAATGCTGTGGTTTTTGTTTGTTTTGTTTTTTTGAGACAGAGTCTCACTCTGTCACCCAGGCTGGAGTGCAGTGTCATGATCTCAGCTCACGGCAACCTCTGCCTCTCAGGTTCAAGCGATTCTCATGCCTCAGCCTCCCAAGCAGCTGGGATTACAGCTGTGTGCCACCACGCCTGGCTAATCTTTGTGATTTTAGCAGAGACTAGGTTTCATCATGTTGGCCAGGCTGGTCTCAAACTCTGGGCCTCAAGTGATCCATTCACCTCAGCCTCCCAGAGTGTTGGGATTACAGGCGTGAGCCACCACACCCGGTCTGCTACGGTTCTTGCAGACTCATAGAGGTACTGCCTTAGTGGTCTTGGATAACATCCAGAAGAATTATCTGGATTACCAGGCAGAGGCTCTTGTTCTCTTCTTTTACTTTCTCCCAAACAAAGGGAGCTGAGCCACCTGGAGGTGGGGATAGGGTGACACAAGCACCACTGTGGCCAGTAGCACTGGGACTGCACTGGGTCTCGACCAAAGCCCACTATAACCGCTACCTGGCTGCTGGCTATATTTGCTTAAGGCCCTAGGGCTCTAAAACCAGCAGGTTCCAAATGCAGCCAGGCTTATATCCTTTTCGTCAGGGCAGCAAGTTTCCCAAAGCTCTGGGTGGGTCCAGAAATGCAGTCAGTAAGCCAGGGACTGGAGTCAAAAACCTTAGAAATCTACCTGGTGTCTTGTTCTACTGTGGCTGAACTGGCTCTCAAATCACAAGACGCTCAGCCGGGTGTGGTGGCGCATCCCTGTAATCCCAGCACTTTGGGAGACTGAGGCGAGTGGATCACCTGAGGTCAAGGGTTTGAGACCAGCCTGTCCAACATGGTGAAACTCCGTCTCTACTAAAAATACAATATTAGCTGGGCATGGTGGTGCATGCCTGTAATCCCAGCTACTCAGGAGAACTGCTTGAACTTGGGAGGCAGAAGTTGTGGTGAGCCAAGATCGCACCATTGCACTACAGCCTGGGCAAGAAGAGCGAAACTCTGTCTCAAAAAAAAAAAAAAAAAATCACAAGACACTGTCTTTCCCACTCTTCCCTCCCTTTGCCACAGGCAGAGGTGCCTCACCCCATGGTTACCACAACCATAGGCTCAAGGGGAGTACTGCCAGGCTTCTGCCAAAGTTCACTCAAGGCCCGAGGAGTCTTCAGTCAGCTTCTAGTGAATGCTGCCAGGCCTAGGACTCACCCCTCAGGGCAGTGGGCTCCCCTCTGGCCCAGGGAATTTCCAGAAATGCCATCCTAGAGCCAAGATCTGGCATCAGGGATTCCAAGATCCCACTTCTCCTCCACTGTGTCTGAGCTGGTACCTGAGCTGAAAGACAAAGTTCCTTTTACTTTTCCCTCTGCGTTTCTCAAGCAGAAAGAGTCCCTCACTGTAGCCACCATAGCTGGGAATGTGGTGGGTCTCACCTGAAGACAGCATGTCTCAGAGTCTCACCGAAGGCCAATAGCATGTAGTACCTGGCATCACTGCTTGTTATTCAGGGCCCAACGGCTCTTGAGTCAGCAGGTGATAGAGCCTGCCAGGACTGGATCCTTCCCTTCAGGGTAGCTGGTTCCCTTCTCGCCCAAGGTGTGTCTAGAAATGTCATCTGGAAGCTAAGTCCTGGAATGGGAGGCTCATGACTCTGACTCGTGTCCCATCCTACTGTGTCTGAGCTGGTATCCAAGATGCAAGACAAAGTCCCCTTTACTTTCCTCTCCTCTCCTTAAACAGAAGAAAAGGGGTCCTTTTTGGAGCCACAAGGTATGCTACCTGGATTTGGGAAAGGAGTGGCACAAGTGGCCCCTTAGCTGCTGAGGTTGGTGTCTTAGTAGGTCATGTGCCCCCCAAATCCAATGGCTTTGAGTCCAGCTCAGCACCAGGACTTGCCTAGGAGTTGCAGTCCTCATGACCTAGACTGCCTTTCAACTTTATTTAGGACCCCAGAGCACTTTAGCCAACAGTGGTGTGGCTTGCCAAACCTCACATTCCGACTGTTGGGATGGGCGATTCTCCTCTGGCTTGGGCTGGTCTAAAATGCTCACTCCAGGAGCAGACAGTCTGCTGAGTTCAGGGCAGTTTTGCTTTCCACTGTGACAGGGCAGCACTGAGTTCAATGCAAAGTCTCAAAATCACTGCACTCTCTCTCTCCCAAACACACAGCTTCTCTCTGTGCCATGCAGCTACTGCCAGGGATGGAGGATGGCGGGAATTGGCAACTAAAGACTGTCCTCCTACCCTCTTCAGTGTGTCCTTCAGCAATATGAAGTTAAAACCAGGTATTGTAAATGCTTACCTGATTTTTAGTTCGTATGAAGGTGCTTTTTTCCTGTAGATTGTTGTTAAATGCGGTATTCCTGAAGATGAAATGATTGGTGGAAACTTATATTTGGCCATCTTGCTCCAGCCCCTCTCTAGACATTCTCTTACTGTTTTATTTGGAAAATACTGAAACAGACATACACACACACAAATAAAAATCACCCATAGCCCCATCATCTCTAAAATGTATAAAAATAATTTGCACTGTCTCTCTGTTCGCCAGTCCCTCTTCTCCCAGATTAAGCTTCTCAATTTTTAACAAGCATAAGAAATCTAGTTAAAATGCAGATTCCTGGGCACCACCCTCAGCTATTCTAGTTTGGGAGGCCTAGGATGAGACCCAAGAATCTGCATTTTTAAACAAATTCACTGATCGGCTGGGCGCAGTGGCTCACACCTGTAATCCCAGCACTTTGGGAGGCCAAGGCAGGCGGATCATGAGATCAGGAGTTCAAGACCAGCCTGGCCAACTTAGTGAAACCCCATCTCTACTAAAAATACAAAAAATTACCCAGGTGTGGTAGCGGGCACCTGTAATCCCAGCTACTCAGGAGGATGAGGCAGGAGAATTGCGTGAACCCGGGAGGAGGAAGTTGCAGTGAGCCGAGATCTCGCGACTGCACTCCAGTCCGGGCGACAGTGTGAGACTCTGTCTCAAAATAAATAAATAAATAAATAAATAAATAAATAAATAAATAAATACAATAAAATACAATAAAAAATTTTCACTGATCATGGAGCCACAAAGATGTCTGAGAAACCCTATTCAAGCTCTTTGGCTTTCTAGGATAGATTTGCATGTCAATATCAGCATGCACATTTTTTTTTGTTTTTTGTTTTTGGTATTTGCTTGTTTGTTTTAGTAAATAAAAGCTGCTGTAATTATTGATCTGCAAGTGATTGTTTTTAACTTAACCATATTCCCTGGACTTCAGAAAAAAATTGACATAACTTATCTACAGTAAAACACATGAGTCTGAGGCCAGGCGTGGTGGCTCAGGCCTGTAATCCCAGCACTTTCGGAGGCTGAGGCGGGCAGATCGCTTGAGGTCAGGAGTTCAAGACCAGCCTGTCCAACATGGTGAAACCCCATCTCTACAAAAATACAAAAATTAGCTGGGCGTGATGGTGTGCGCCTGTAATCCCAGCTGCTTGGGAGGCTGACGCAGGAGAAATGCTTGCAGAGGCAGAGGTTGCAGTGAGCAGAGATCATGCCACTGCACTCCAGCCTGAGCAACAGAGCGAGACTCCGTCTCAAAAAAAACAAAACAAACGCCAGGCGTGGTGGCTCATGCCTGTAATCCCAGCACTTTGAGAGGCTGAGGCGGGCAGATCACCTGAGGTCGAGAGTTCGAGACCAGCCTGACCAACATGGAGAAACCCCATCTATACTAAAAATACAAAATTAGCCGGGCATGGTGACACATGCCTGTAGTCCCAGCTACTCGGGAGGCTGAGGCAGGAGAATCACTTGAACCTAGGAGGCAGAGGTTGAAGTGAGCCGAGATCGCACCATTGCACTCCGGCCTGGGCAACAAGAGTGAAACTCCGTCTCAAAAAAAAAAAAAAGTAAAACTTAGCCAGGCATGGTGCCATGTACCTGTGGTCCCAGCTGCTCTGTAGGCTGAGGTGGGAGGATTGCTTGAGCCCAGCAGCTTGCAGATGCAGTTAGCAGTGATTGTGCTACTGCACTCCAGCCTGGGTGATGGAGCAGAAAATAAACTAATAATCTGGTTCCCAAATGTCAATAGTGTCAAGGTTGAGAAACCTTGCTGTATTCATTCCTCAGCCCATCTCATTTTCTTGATTTCAAAATAAGTTGCAGACAACAGTATTCTTCAGTGCATATACTTCACATACCCATTCTTTTAAACAGGTTTTAAACAGCTACTTAGTGTTTCAGAATACAAATGTAACGCTACTTCCAGAACTGATTCTCTACATAGATTGCTCCCCGTCCTTTTTTTTTTTTTTTTTTTTTTGAGATGGAGTTTTGCTCTTGTTGCCCAGGCTGGAGTGCAATGGCATGATCTTGGCTCACTGCAACCTCTGCCTCCCAGGTTCAAGCAATTCTCCTGCCTCAGTCTCCCGAGTAGCTGGGATTACGGGTGTCTGCCACAACACCCAGCTAATTTTTGTATTTTTAGTAGAGATGGGGTTTCATCATGTTGTCCAGGCTGGCCTCGAACTCCTGACCTCGTGACCTGCCCACCTCGGCCTCCCAAGGCCGTATATATATATGGGAGTTTATTAAGTATTAACTCACACAATCACAAGGGTCCCACAATAGGCCGTCTGCACATTGCGGAGCAAGGAGAGCCAGTCCGAGTTCCAGAACTGAAGAACTTGGAGTCCGATGTTCGAGGGCAGGAAGCATCCAGCACGGGAGAAAGACGGAGGCTGGGAGGCTAGGCCAGTCTCTCTTTTCACATTTTTCTGCCTGCTTATATTCTAGCCACAATGGCAGCTGATTAGATTGTGCCCGTCCAGATTAAGGGTGGGTCTGCCTTTTCCAGCCCACTGACTCAAATGTTTTTTTGTTTGTTTGTTTGTTTTATTTTATTTTATTTTACTTTAAGTTCTGGGATACATGTGCAGAACATGCAGGTTTATTACATGGGTAAACGTGTGCCATGGTGGTTTGCTGCACCTATCAACCCGTCATCTAGGTTTTAACCCCCACATGCATTAGGTATTTGTCCTAATGCTCCCCTCCCCCTTTGTCCCCCAGCCCTCAACAGGCCCCAGTGTGCGATGTTCCCCTCCTCAAATGTTAATCTCTTTTGGCAACACCCTCATGACACCCAGGATCAATACTTTGTATCCTTCAATCCAATCAAGTTGACAGTATGAACCATCACAGTCCTTATAGATATTTTCTGTGCATCTGTTCCATATCATCTGTATTAGTCCATTTTGCATTGCAATAAAGGAATACCTGAGGCTGGGTAATTTATAAAGAAAAGGCCAGGTGGGTGCCTCATGCCTGTAACCCCAGCATTTCAGGAGGCTGAGGCAGGAGGACTGCTTGAGCCCAGGAGTTGGAGACCAGCCTGGGCAACAAAGGGAGACTCTGTCTCTAGGAAAAAAAAACAATTAAATTATCTGGGCGTAGTGGTGCATGCCTGTGGTCCCAGTTACCTGGGAGGCTGAGGCAGGAGGATCGCTTGAGCCTGGGAGGTGGAGGCTGTAGTGAGCCATGATTGTGCCACTGCACTCCAGCCTGGGCAACAAAGTCAATCACTCAATCACACATTCACTGTCCTACAATTATGGAAATCAGAAGCCCGAAATGATTTCAGTGCTGAAACTGCCATGTTTGCAGTGCTGTGTCCCCTCTGGAGGCTCTAGAGCAGAATCCACGTCCTTGCCTTCCCCAGCTTCTAGAGGAGCTCTGCAGGAGCCCCTTCTCCCTTCTTCAAAGCCAGCATCCTGGCATCTTGCTTCCGTCTTCACATGAACTTCTGAATCAATCTCCCTCTGCCTCCCTCTTATAAGGACCCTTGTGATGACATTTAGGGTCCACCTGGATGACCCAGGATAATCTCTGTTCTCAAACTCCTTCATTTGATTACATCTGCTAAATCCCTTTCCTCATATAAGGTAGTATTCACAACCCCAGGGATTGAGGTGTGAATATATTTTGGGGGCCACTCTTCAGCCCACAGTGTTGGTAATTTGCTTCCTATCTTAATGCCTATTTCCCCATTCGAGTTTAATTCCTATGAGGGCAAAGATCTTCATCTGTTTAATTCTCCACTGTGTCCCCAGCACCTAGGACAGAGCCTGGCACATAGTGAATAATAAATAATGACCAAGGCAACATGGCAAAACCCCGTCTCCACCGGGCGTGGTGGCTCACACCTGTAATCCCAGCACTTTGGGAGGCCAAGGCGGGCGGACCACCTGAGGTCTGGAGTTCAAGACTGGCCTGACCAACATAGAGAAACCCCGTCCCTACTAAAAATACAAAAATTAGCCGGGCGTGGTGGCACATGCCTGTAATCCCAGCTACTCGGGAGGTTGAGGCAGGAGAATCGCTGGAACCCAGGAGGCAGAGGTTGCAGTGAGCCAAGATGGTGCCACTGCACTCCAGCCTGGGCAACAAGAGCAAAACTCCCTCTCAAAAAAAAAAAATCTCCACAAAATATTTAAAAATTAGTCAAGCATGGTGGCCCACGCCTGTGGTCCCGGCTACACGTGAGGCTGAGGCAGGAGGATCGCTTTCTCCGGGGAGTTCGAGGCTACAGTGAGCCATTACCGCGCCACTGCACTCCAGCTTGGGCGACAGAGTGAGTCCCTGTCTCAATAATAATAACAATAATAAAATAATAATAATAATAATAGTAAAGATCCACTTTGTGCACTCCTTGCTCTGGGGAATTTTTCTGAAACAGTGGACAGTGTCTCTATGATAACTCTCACCACCACCACCACCACCCCCGCTTTGTTTTCTCAGTCAGAGCACTCGATCTGGGCCCTTTCAACTCGCCCCTCATGCTTTCCGTCTGCAGCACCCCATCCAACTTCACCCAAAGCGCCCTTAAGTAGTTTCTGAGAGGCCGTGCCTGCAAATTCCCAATTGGCCACAAGGTGGAGGTGTGGGCCTGTTTTCCCAGCCGCCACCCGTTTCTAGAGCTGGACCCCTGGAACACCAGGCTCTTTCTAGCTTCCCTGCTTCCGCCCTAGCGGTTCCCACCGGCCTGGAATGCCGACTTGCTCGCTCTCTGCATCCCACGGGAAAAGGAGCAGAACAGAGGCTTCCTCCCTGACTCTCCTGCCCGAGCTTACTGGGACCTGAATCTCCCCGTGTTTAGTAGTTTAGCGGTTTGTGATCAGGTCGGCCTCCACCATCAGAGCAGCACACTCTCGAGATGGGGCTCAGGCCTGACTCTTTTCGGGGTCCCCAGAATCGCTCAACACAATTCTTCCAGAAGCCTCGGGATGCGATTAAAGGATTGCCAGATTTTTCGACCGGTCGTTTTGTCGAATCATTTAGTTCTGGGTAGCAAGAGGCTGAGGAGGGGAGAGTGACGTCACCTCCGCGGGTGGGGCAGCACCGCTCCCCGAACCCGGGGGCCTCGAGCTCCCCAGGGGTCTAGGAATCCGGAGGGAGAGAGGAGAAACAGGAGATGAGATCCGGGGGAATGGTATCCTTGCCCCCTTGAACAGGAACTGGTAAACCCTTACCAATTACGGCCAACCCCCACTGCCACCTGTCGCTGCCGTCGCAACCTGTCGCCTCCCACCCATGTTGTGGCTGCGCCCGCCCCCGTCAGGGCGTGACCACGGCGTGGATTACAACGACCGTGATGCTCCACGGCGCCGGGAGCTTTTGACGGAAGGTAGCGTAGGCGAGGGGCTTCATGGGACTCGTATTACAAAACCCCTCACCAGGGTGCGTCCTGGAGAAAAGGGGTGATACCCTTCGCCTCCCTCTTCCTCAACTCCATGGGTACAGGCACAAAGTTTTCTATTATTATTTTTGAGATGGAGTTTCGTTGTTGCCCAGGCTGGAGTGCAATGGTGCGGTCTTGGCTCACTGCAACCTCGGCCTCCCAAGTTCAAGCCATTCGCCTGCCTCAGCCTCCCGAGTAGCTGGGATTACAGGCATGCGCCACCACTCCCGGATAATTTTTTTTGTATTTTTAGTAGAGACGGGGTTTCACCATGTTGGCCAGGTTGGTCTCGAACTCCTGACCTCAGGTGATCCACCCGCCTCGACCTCCCAAAGTTCTGGGATTACGGGCGTGAGACACCGCGCCCGGTCACAAAGCTTTCTCGTTAAAAAGTACGCTCTGAAAAGAAGCAACCCAGGCAGGTTCGCTCAATGGAAATAGTGGATTTTTACTGGGTAGCAGGACCTCCGCGACCACCCGCTGCGCATGCGCTTCACTTGGGCGTCACCCGGGGAACTGCGCCTGCGCAGTCTCTCCCCATCCGAGGTCCGCTCCGCGAGTGCGAGCGCGCGCCAGGCCCACCCGGGCGCTGCTCTTCATGTCCCCGCGGTCGAAGACGGCCACATACGTCCCCAAGAAGACGTCACCGAGGATCCAGAAGGGCCCTGCAGGCGGAGGGACATCCAGGGCCTGGAAACCGGACAAGCAGAGGCGGACGCCATTTCGAGTAGTCTGCAAGGCAACAAGACGACAACTGGGTGTCGCGGCCACAAGGACGGCCATTTGCCTGGGAGCCCGTCCATCCCCCCCACCCTCGGGTTCTTTGATGTTCGCCAACAAACTGCCATCACAGGGAAAAGAAATGTTTCTGTGGCCCCTTCCCTTCCTAGTGACGTCTCTCAGCTCTACCCTCTCAAACCGTCATATGACGTCACTATGGCGTCATGGTGATGGCCACCTACCTGGATGACGTAATCATGGGCCGTGAGGTTAAACCAGACCCCCCCAAGAAGGAAGGAGACTGCGGGGAGCTTTGGGATTTCCGAGCACAGGATGATGTACTGGGGGAGAAGAGGAACTAGTGAAGATGAGAGATTCCTGCTCTGTTCAGTCCCTTCCGTGGCTCCCCAGTGCCATAGGGTAATTTCCCTATTGAGCACCTGGGTACTCAGCGTCCTGTGTGCAGAGGCCCTGCCGCCTAGACTTACGCAGTCCCAAGCAAACCTGCATGATCGTCTCCCTCCACCCGGCCACCATCCGCAGAGTCGCAGTGTAGACACGTGGAAAGTGTCCTCAATTCCTCCACCACCCTCCAGACTATCTGTCACGAAGTCCAGTGCCTGCTGCCCTGGAAAGCCCCTTAAATACTTGCCTCCCACCCTCAGGCCCTTTGATGTTCACTGTCAAACTGCCATCAGCCTTCCCAGCCCGTACCCACCAGACTGGGACCTCACCTCCCCAGCCAGCAAGGGGATTCCCCCAATGGCTGCATGCAGGGCCCGGATCTCCTCAGTGGGTCCTGTGATGAGGGACGTGCCCGTATCCAGGATGGCAGCACAGCCCTTGGCACAGAGAGTCAGCCCTGGGCCCACCTTCACACTGAGGGGGAAGGAGGCAGTCATCAGAGGCAGGGTCCTAGGAGTCCAGGCCCCCAGCCTCCAGCTCCAGAGCCAGGAGACCAAGTCCCTCACCGCTCCATGTGGATCTGCCAGTAGGCAGGGACCGTGACTGGCACGAAGGTGAGGGGTGGGATGTAGTGTGCCGGGTCCGAGCCCCCCAGGACCAGCTCTCCTCCATCAGGCTCTTCAGGGTCCCTGCAGGGGCAGAGTGTAGAGAGTGTAGATGTCAGTGTCACTGGCCCTCCCTCAGCCCTAGGTATTGCCAGGAATGGCACTTCCCACCAACTGGGTTGTTTCTGGAGTTCCTACGGGGTAATGGGATGCAGGAAGGGCCTAGATGTTGGGACTGGAAGCCGGGCAAGAAAAGCATGATGCTTTTCTTGGTGGAAGCTAGAACTTCCTGAAGTGAAGACGAGACTTCATTTGGCTGTGGAAGGTAGAGTTTTGGGGAATTTCCTGAGCTGAATATCATAGTAACCAAGTAGAGCAGTGGTGTCTTGGAATTGGCTCTTGAAGGTGTGACTTGTGCAGGGGTGGGGTGGCTTCCTGAGTAGGAGAAGAGAATTTCTGAATTGCCTGTTGTGATATCTAGAGAGGTGTTAGACTTCCTGAGTTGGCTGAGAGCGATGGGAACAGGGATGGAGACTTCCTGGAAGGTGGAGGAGAGCAGGATCTGCTAGGTGGTTGGTAGAACTGCTAGAGTGGGTTGGATGTCAGGGTAACTGAGTGGGCATAGGATTTTCTGACTGTGTGTGACAGGCCTCTGGGAGGGAAAGTGGAGACTTCTTGGAAACTTCTTGGATGTTGGGTGGGACTTCTGAGCATAATACTGAACTTCCTAGCAGGTGAGTGGGACTTCCTGGATTAAATCGGGCAATTCCTGACTTCTGGTCAGTGTTCTCAAATGGGATTTGAGCATTCTTTGTGAGGAAGAGAAAGCTCCTGAGTATTTTGTTGGGTGGGGCATGGAATTTCCTAGTTTGATTTTGAAACATGGAGCATTCTGAACTGATGGTGGGTTTCCTTAGTATGTCTTAAGTTGTCATTTAAGCTCTGGGACTTCGAATAGGGTTGAGGTGTTTCTTTATAGGGCAGGTGACTTCCTGCATGGAGGATGCAACTTCTTGTATTGAATGGCTGACTTCCTGAATGGACAGTGTAAGTGGGTGACTCTGAGAATGAGAATTCCTGCATTGGGTCAGTGACTTCCTGAAGGAAGACTCTCTTCCTTCTTGGGGATAGGACTCATAGATAGGTGCACACTTCCCAGTACCTGTTGAGGTAAAAGGAGAAGACAGGCTTATCCAATAGCCCCTGCTCCACCAGTACATCCATCGGGGGCCGAACTCCTTCCACAGACAGAATGGGAAAACCGAGGCCCAATATCCCATCAAAATGGGCAAAAGCGAAGACCAGGCTGGGCTCCCAGAGAGCCTCCCCGAAAATCACTGATGCACCCTTGATTCCACCAATCTAGGGGTAGATTGAGATGTGACCAGTTACTTTTGGGAGGACAATAACCACATGTCCTGAGGTCTCCCAAACCAAGGCATGAATCCTAGGTCTGGGGACTTCTGGATGCAAGCCCCAACTTCCTAGGAAACTATGCCTCTTGAGAAGCCCCACCCCTTCACCCAGGAACCCCTTTCTTCTCCTTGAGAAGCCCCACCTCTTCACCCAGGAAGCTCCTCCCCTGCTTGAGAAGCCCCACCTCTTCACCCAGGAAGCTCCTCCTCCCTGCTTGAGAAGCCCCACCTCTTAACCTTGGAAGCTCCTCCCCCCTGCTTGAGAAGCCCCACCTCTTCACCCAGGAAGCCCCTCCCCCTCCTTGTGACGCACCATCCCTTCACTCTGAAAGGCAGGCCCTCCTCCCCACTTGAAAAGCCCCATCCATTGGCTTGGGAAGCTCCTCCTCGAGCCTCTTCCTAAGCCAGATGATCTTAGACAATGGGGTTCTCCCAGGCTCAAGACTTCTGAGAGTCAAAGGCCACTCACAGTCAGCTTGTCCTCGCTCAGGATTCCATCTACCCGCCCAGTTCCATATTGAATGGCAAACTTGGTCCCATTGGCCTGGAAGGAGCTAGAGGCTTTGGGATCAAATCGGTGGTGTAACCCTAGGTTAGAGGTCAGAAAGGTGTCATGGGGGAGGGAATCTCCCCAGTGCCTACTGCCCCTTTGACTTTCTGACCTGTGAGGGCATGATAAAAGAACAGTTCCTCAAAAGCCTCTGAGAAGCTGAGGTCCAGCCCCGCCTCCTCCCTTCACCCCCATTCAGCCTTATTCTCCCACATAGAAGCTCACAGCAGGGCACACTGAAGAAGTGGCATCTCCTGGACGGGACCCAGAGATTGGAGGAGCCAGTGTCAAAGGCAACAGTGAAGTTTTGTGGAGGCGTTCCCAGCCCAATTTCCCCAAAATACTGCACCTGATAGCAAAAGAGGAGAGTAAACGAAGAGTTTGGCTCAAGGGCGCAGGGGTGAGGGCTGTGTGGGGCTGTGACTCACATCCCTGTAGTTCGAGAGAGGTACGAAGATGGGCTTGTCCCCAGGGGATGGGGCCCCCAACTTGGGGAGCTCTGCTGGTTCTCTCCATCCCCTCAGTAGGTTCAGGATCCTGCGTCCAGGTTGGACTCGATGAAGAGGGATGCTGTAGGGAAAGAGGATATTGACAGGAAGCTGCCCTTCTTGGAGAACCTCTAAATAGACTTACCCAAATAGGATATGATGACAAATTCAACATCTCCAAGGCACTACAATAGTAGTCAGTACCAGAAACCCTGCAATAACAACCTCCAGAAAAGCCCATCAAAGATGCCATGATGACAAATATCCCCAAAGACTTTACAAGAGCAAACCATCCCAAACAGACCTTTCCATGTCCAAATCCCTTAAAATAAGCTATTCCCAAGGAATTGACATTCTTAAAGATTTCCCAAGACCCTAACAGAAAACCTAACCTTTGCAAAAGCCCTTGGGTGGTGGCCCCTGCATGCTTCAGTTCGTGAGGTTAGGGACTATTTTCCCCACCCTTGAGGAGAAAAATGTAAGCGTCAAATCTTAATTGTCTTGCTGTGTTGCCCGTGCTGATCTCAAACTCCTGGCCTCAGCCTCCTAAAGTGCTGGGATTACAGAGGAGAGCCACTATGCCCTGTCCGGGTTCCTTTAAACTGTATTTGCAAAAGCAGGAGGCAAACAGGATTTGGCCCTTAAGCTGAGTGTTTGCAACCCTTGACTTAGAGGGCCAATTACAATTCAGGTATCTTAGTTGCTAATTAAGTAGGTCTAGGATGGAGCCGAGAATTTGGATTTCTAACAAGTTCCCAGGTCATGACGATGCTGTTGATACAACATTTGGAGACTCATTTTCTTTGCATTGACTTAGAAAATGGCCATGAGACATTAGGTTCAAAAAGCAGGTTAACAAGCACCATGTGCGGTAATATCTTCGTTCCTGCCTTTAGTCACTCCTTGAAGCACTTGTCACATCACTCACACCTTTCCCGTCACCCCCCATGAGTCAGTCTTTGAGAGGCACGAGAATGTGAAGTGGGGAAAACTCTTCCTGGAAGTGTACACCCCTCCCCCTACCAAGAGTTCCAGGGAATGAAGACAAGAGAGGAGAAAAAGAGAGATGGGGGCGGGGAGGGGACATCAGAGGTAAGGTAGTGGGAAGACTTCTTGCATAGGGTCCCCAAGATTGGATTTCTTTTTCTTCTTTTAAACTTTTTATTTGAAACAGGGTCTCCCTCTGTCACCCAGGCTGGAGTGCAGTAGTGCAGTCAGGGCTCACTGCAGCCTTGATCTCCAGGGCTCAAGTGATTCTCCCACCTCAGCCTCTGGAGTAGCTGAGACTATGGGCACACCACCACACCTGGCTTTTTATTTTATTTTATTTTATTTATTAATTTTTTTTTTAGACAAGGTGTCACCCTGTTGCCCAGCCTGGAGTGCAGTAGCAGGATCATAGCCCACTGCCCCCTCGAACTACTGGGCTCAAGCAATCCTCCTTCCTCACCCTCCTGAACTAGCTGGGACCATGGGTGTGCACCACCACACTGAGCTAATTTTTGTATTTTTTGTAGAGGTGGAGTCTGGCCATGTTGCCCAGGCTGGTCTCAAAACTCTTGGCCTCAAACAAGCTTCCCACCTTGGACTTCCAAAGTGCTGGGTTACAGGTGTGAGCCATGTCTCTGGCCAAAAACATGACTTCTTCAGGCCAGTTTGATGGGCGTGATGTGGGGGAGTCTCAGTTTAAATGTCACATATCTGGGGCTCGAAGATGGGAGGAGTGTGTCACAGGTCTGGAAACCACAGTACCTAATCATCAGAGCTCATAGTAGGGTCTGCAGAGACCTCTCAAAAACATGTCCTGGCCAGGCGCAGTGGCTCACGCCTGTAATCCCAGCACTTTGGGAGGCTGAGGCAGGCAGATCACGAAGTCAGGAGTTCAAGACCAGCTTGGCCAACATGGTGAAACCTCATCTCTACTAAAGATACAAAAAAAATTAGCCGGGCATGGTGACTCACGCCTGTAATCCCAGCACTTTCAGAGGCAGGAGAATGGTGTCAGCCTGGGAGGTGGAGGTTGCAGTGAGCTGAGATCGCGCCATTGCACTCCAGCCTGGGCGACAGGGCAAGACTCCGTCTCAAAAAAAAAAAAAAAAAAAGGCCAGGCGCGGTGGCTTACGCCTGTAATCCCAGCACTTTGCGAGGCTGAGGTGGGTGGATCACGAGGTCAGGAGATCGAGACCATCCTGGCTAACACTGTGAAACCCCATCTCTACTAAAAATACAAAAAATTAGCCGGGCGTGGTGGCGGGTGCCTGTAGTCCCAGCTGCTTGGGAGGCTGAGGCAGGAGAATGATGTGAACCCGGGGGACAGAGCTTGCAGTGAGCCAAGATTGCGCCACTGCACTCCAGCCTGGGCAACAGAGTGAGACTCAGTCTCAAAAAAAAAAAAAAAAAAAAAGTCCTGAGAGGAGGGGGAGGGGTCCTCAATCTAGAGTCTCAGTGTTGTAAGATCTGGGACTTAAAAGGGCTCTGGGACCGGACGCGGGGGCTCACAGCTGTAACCACAGCACTTTTGGAGGCTGAGGCGGAAAGATCACTTGAGGTCAGGAGTTCAAGACAGCCTGGCAAACATGGCGAAACCCCATCTCTACTAAAAATACAAAAATTAGCCGGGCGTGGTGGCATGTGCCTGTAGTCCCAGCTACTTGGGAGGCTGAGGCAGGAGAATCACTTGAACCCGGGAGGCAGAGGTTGCAGTGAGCTGAGATCGCCCCACTGCACTCCAGCCTGGGTAACAGAGCAAGACTCTGTCTCAAATAATAATAATAATAATAAATAATAATAATAATAATAATAATAATAAAAGGGCTCTGGTCAGCCAGGCGCGGTGGCTCACGCCTGTAATCCCAGCACTTTGGGAGGCCGAGGTGAGCGGATCACGAGGTCAGGGGTTCCAGACCAGCCTGGCCAACATGGTGAAACCCCGTCTCTACTAAAAATACAAAAATTAGCTGAGCATGGTGGCGCGAGCCTGTAATCCCAGCTACTTGGGAAGCTGAGGCAGGAGAATCGCTTGAACCCAGGAGGCAGAGGTTTCAGTGAGCTGAGATCATGCCATTGCACTCCAGCCTGGGCAACAGAGTGAGACTCCATCTCAAAAAAAAGAAATCTGGTCTTAAGAGATGTCAGAGTGGAGCCCTTAGGGGTGACAGCCTGGTTTAGAGATCTGGAAAGCTGAGAAAGAAGCTCTAGGGATCCTGGGTGCCAAGTTTGGGGATCACTGAACTGGGAGTCCTAGACTTAAAGGGCAAGAGGCAGAAAATCCCTCCTAAGGTTGGGGTGGTAGATGGGGTCACCATACCGGATCAGTGTGGCCCCGGAAGGCTCCACATTCAGCAGAGGCAGCAGCAGCAGCAGGGGTTGCAGCAGCGGTGGTGGAGACATCGCTGGGGACCTGGGTGTGAACCCAGGTGTCCTGGGGCCTCATTTTCTTTCCCCTGTGACTCCACCCTGTTCATGCCCCACCTCCAGGTTTAGAAGGAGACCAGGACATGAAATCTGTCCGCAGGTGACGCAGTGGGACAAGGATGTTTTTTGAAGATTTGTGCAGAGTATTTTTGTAGGGTTGGCAGAAGTAGCATCCTGTGCTCCTGGTGCTCCTCACTCCCTACTTGGGTGGCAGTGGTGGTGGGGTCTC